>NC_000001.11:30178835-30803835 GCF_000001405.40 Homo sapiens
TGCACCTGGCCATATGCTGATACTTTTTAAGACATTTCTATTTTTATTTTACCAATAATTTTTAAATCAACTCAAAAATTACTTCAATTAAATGCACTAAAATAAATTTCAGTTAATTAGTATATAGTTGATATGAGCATTTAAGCCAATCTGAATAGAATTTATTAAATGGTTTCCGATGGATGACACCACATTTCCTCAACATGTTATCATACTTTGGCTCTAGAATCTGACTTCTTGGAGTCAAGTCTTAGCTCTACCTCTTAAGAGGTGTGTGACCTTGGGCAGTTATACTGTCATTATAAGCCACTTATCCATCCTGGCGGGGAACAGGCTCTCTCTCACCTCTGCCCCATGCACGTGCTATGGTTGTACCTGGAGCAGCACCCTGTCCCCTCCCTCATCTCACACTCACTTGTCCTTCAGGCCTCTGTTTGGACCCTATCTCTGCTAGGAACCCATCTGGATCCTCCAAGACAAGGCCAGTTGCCTTTCCTCTGTGCTCCAACAAACACTCAGGTTGTGTCCTCTCACAGCTCTCCCTGGCTGCAAAATATGTCCATTTAAAATGATTCATCAATTACAAATGGTGCCAGGACTTTCACGGTGTGAATGAAGCAAGGCGCTGACCTTTCAAAGCACCCATTCTAGTCTGTTGTAATCAGCTACTCCAAGGTCTGCTTTCCCTCTAAACTTTGTTCTTAGTGGCTGGAGGTACAAGGCTCGGGGTCGTCTGCCTCCCTGGGATACAGCACTGAGGCTAGTACAGAGCAGGAGCATCACTGTTGAATGAAGGAAGCTTGGTCTGAACCATTTCCTGGGACCCCTCACTCTATTGGCACATTCTACCTGTAAGCAATGTAGGAGACGATCTAAGAGAAACTGAGACCCAGAAAGGCAAAGTGACTTGCTCAAGGCCAGGCAGCAAAGTATTGACCCAGCTCGAACAGGAACACAGGGTACCTAGATTGAATAGTGGTTTCCCAAAAGAGAACCTCAATATCCAATCTTATTTGGAAGAAGGGTCTTTGCAGATATAATTAAAATGAAGATTTCAAGGTGAGATTTTCCTGGCTTAGAGCTTAGAGGGGCCCCTAAATCAAATGATAAGTGTGCATAGAAGAGACAGAAAAGAAGACACACATAGAGAAGATGGTGCTGTGAGGGTGGGGCAAAGACGGGAAGGATGCCTCTTGAATCCAAGGGACACCAAGGATTGCAGGCAGCCCCCAGAAGGTGAGCGAGACCTCATAGCCACCAGAGGGAACCAAGCCTGCCCACACATCGATTTCAGACGTTAGCCTCCAGAACTGTGAGACAAAGCATGCCTGTTGTTTGCAGCCCCCAGTTTGTGTGAATTTGTTACCGCAGCCCTAGGAAGTGAAGGCAAGCCTCTCCCAGCTCCTGGGAGTGTCCATCCCTGCCGCAACACACTCCAGCCTCAGGCAGCAGCAAGCTTGTCAGATCAGGAAGACAATTTATTTTCCTCTAAAAGATAGTGACTGTAGGAGATAGCCAAATGTTTATAAATGTGTTAAAACCACATTATCAGCACATCAACTGCAGAACTGTTCTGCGAATGCATCCATGACGGAGCAGGCTCAACAGGCCCCGCTAAACCAAGTGGGAAATCCTGTGTGGGAGGGCAGATGGACCCCAGAAAGTGAGTTTCAGATGCCCTCGCTATTCCAACTTACTAACCATCAGAGCAGAAGACAAAATCTACATTGTCTCATACACTCATCAAACCAGCATCTTTCACAGAAAATCTCAAACTACTTTTACTCTAAGGGGAAAAACTGGCAACTTCTCATGTAGAATATGGCACATCCTGACGTAGAGGAAAAAATGTTATAAAATGCAAAAGGGAAGGTAAATACAGTTTGTGTCTGATACAGGGATAGTAAAGTTATCAATTCATTTTATTTAATCCACACACAAACCATGTGGAGCAGGGATTATAATGCCCAAAGCTCTGTGCCTATTCATAGCTCTGTGACTGCTCCAAAAAATATCTGCTGAATGAACTCCCATTTTACAGATGGGGAAAGCAAAGTTTAGAGCAGTTAGATGGCTACACCCAGGTCTATTGTCAAAGCACCTCTGACTTCTAGGTCAGACAGCCAGAACGTAATCCCATCTCTGCCACTTCATGGAGGGTGGTTCTGGGCGAGTTGGCTTGTTGTGCTGAGTATCAGTTTTCCCATCTGCACACGAGAACAATAGCATCTGCCTACAGGATTGTTTTAGGATTAAATGCAGTGACTTGTGTTAGAGCCCCCAACACTGTCCTGACACAGAGAAGGGTCTCAGTGGGGAGATTGTTAGTCCTTGGTACAACCATAATTTGAACCCAGGTTGGTCTGAGGCAGTGTTGGGCCTGTCTAGCACAGATTAGCCACATGTGCCTAAAGCCCCAGATATGTGGGCCCAGCCTACCTGGCTGCCTCCTAAGGGCTTGCTCTTCCCCACTCGCATTTTCCATTGCATTGGAAACGAGACTGCCGCTTCTCTATTTGGGGCTTCTGATGCCCTTAAATCAACAAGAAGAAAAAGAGGTTACTGTGCTGATTACAGTGATTGAGCCAAATTACCAAAGGGAAATTTGTTGGTTGCTATACAATTTGGGGGAAAGAAGGCTTTGCCTAGAACTTAGGGGATTCTCTGGGGGCCCTTCTAATTTCCTCTGTGTCCCAGAATAAAGGTTCCTGAAAACTACAGCATCCAAGAAAGGACCATTAAGGACACAGACTCTTTTTTTTTTTTTTTTTTTTTTTTTTTTTGAGACAGTCTCACTCTGTCACCCAGGCTGAAGTGCAGTGGTACAATCTTGGCTCACTGCAACCTTCCCCTCCTGGGTTCAAGCCATTCTTTTGCTTCAGCCTCCTGAGTAGCTGGGACTATAGTTGTATGCCATGACACCAGGCTAATTTTTGTACTTTTAGTAGAGACGAGGTGTGACCATGTTAGCAAGGCTGGTCTCAAACTCCTGGCTTCAAGTGATCCGCCAGCTTCGGCCTCCCAAAGTGCTGGGATTACAGGTGCAAGTGACTGAGCCTGGTGAGGACACAAACTCTTAAGGAATGACCACTTGGGTTACTCTGTCAGATAAAGAACCCGCCCAACTGAGGTTCTAGTTGAGGGCAAAGAAAATATGGAAAGGGTAGTGGAAGAAGGAAGTCACAAATACTATCTATGTGCTTGCGAGCAGTTTCTACAAAGAGGACGGTTGTAGCTTTGCATATTTTCTCTTTGCACATGTTATGTGTACATATGTATGTGTATCAATTAACTATATCCTTTCTCTCTTACTATTTTATATTCAAGCTGTTGGAGGAGAACCTCAATTTAGCCTTTAGGTACTGTGCAGAATTTAAGGAGTAATGAATATTGTCAGCAATTGAAACAACAGTGGCCAGGACTCTGTCTCTTCATTTTGGTGAAAGAGTGAGAATTTTTCCACTTGTACAAAAGATAGCTGCATTGTCTTAATTGGAAACATGAGTTGTTATCTGTGTGGCCTTGAGGTGTTTGTGTGGAAGGTGAAGTATGTAGAGGGCGCATTTGGAAGTCAGGTAGCCAAAGGGATGGGCTGTGCCAGGGATCAAAATATTGTCTCTCAGCTCCAAATTCTCCCTTTTTGCTTTGTATATTGATACTGGAGCTGGACCCTGTAAGCATTTCTCCTTCAGCACAATATTATTCTTTCTCAACATATGGCACTTGGGGCAGGGGGAATGCTATGCTGTAGCAAAGGAAGGGGCTCCTCTTCCTGGTTATGTTGTTATCTCTCCACCTTCTATAAGGCTGTCAGCAGTATGTGAGATGATCAGTGGTGTCCACCCAATATTTCTGCCACCCCAGTGGACCACTTCCTATAAACCACCTCTGGTGTCCTACACCCTCTAGTAAGTGTCTCATCCAACTGGCTGGCTGGTCCTACTGACCACCTCTGAACTGCACCTTCCATCACGTTCTGAAGCCACTGGCATGCTACATGTTCCTGTGGAGCAACAACCTCTCCAATGGGACACAAACCTCAGCCTTGGTGGTGGTGATGGGGGCCTCCTCTGAGTTCTTAGTTCTTTCTTTCCTTGTTCTCTCTCCCTCAGCATAGAGGTAGTAGCTGTTTTGTGCATTTGCTATTCCTGTATTCCAGAGGGTCCTCCTTGACTCCTGTTGGTCGTTAACCATCTTTTGCAAGTTAATCATTCTTTACACTAAATTTTCCCTGTTCCGGTTACTGGTGGGGTTTCTGTCTTCTGACTCGACCCTGGCTAATTCATAGGGTGATTCAGGCAAGCAATGGGGGAATGACAGTGGCAGGACAGATTTTGATCTTGGACAGACTGAGGCCACTTATTCAGTCCACACAGTTTATGGGGGCATCTCCTTGGTGCCCCCACTGTCCTGGGATTTGGGACCCAGGGGTGAACCAGGACAATAGTATCCCTGCTGCTGTGGAGCTCACAGTACAGCTGAGTGTAGGGCCTGCTTCTCTGTTGATTATCTGTGTGGCCTTGAGGTGACACTTCATCTCTGGAGAGTTTGAGTGTCCTCGTCTGAAAAATGTGAACAATAAGAGTAATAGAGTTGTGAGAAATTAAATGAAAAAAAGCCTACCTAGATGCCCTTCAAATTACAATGAGGTTACATCCCAAAAACCCATTGTAAATTGAAAATATTCTAAGTTGAAAATGCATTTAATACACCTAACCTACCGAATGTCATAGCTTAGCCTCACCTGCCTTAAACGTGCCCAGAATGCTTTCGTTAGCCTACAGGTGGACAAAATCAACTAACACAAAGTCTATTTTATTATAATAAAGTGTTGAATATCTCATGTAATTTATTGAATACTGTACTAAAAATAAATGACAAAATAGTTATATGGGTACTTGAAGTGTGAGTTTTACTGAATGTGTATCATCGTGACATCATGAAATCACAAACCATAAATGGAACCATTATAAGTCAGGAAACATCTGTAAATGGACAGAAAACTGGTCCAGAGTGATTAAGGTCACCCTTAGTAAATTTGTGGCAGACTCGGTTTTAGAATTCAAATATTCTAACGCCCAGCCAAGCACCCTTTCCACCACTGGTGTCTGTAGGTTTGGACTCTGGCTCTGCCCCCGCAGACTGTCCTGGCATGGGTGGAAGGAGAGGGCTGCAGTGGACTTGACCCTGCCTGAGTCAGGCGGAGCTGTTTCCTGAGTATGACCAGAGTGGGGGGCGCTGATGCTGTTGCCACTGGGAGCCATTAAACAGGTGCCAGTTAGACCACAGGGGCCCCTTCTCTCCCAGCTGCCTGGGTTGCTGGCTGTGCAGCATTTCATCTTAGAGATGCTGAGAGCATCCCCAATTGGGAGAGTTCAGTGGGGGTGGACCTTTGGATGCCGGCTGTGGTAGCAGCCCCTCCCCCTCCCTCTTTCCCACAGTCTTTTTCTCCCACCCCTACTCCTCCTATGTCCATCATTTTCTCTTGGTCCTCTCACTGCTATTCCTGGCCCCTTTCTCTCCTTCCTCATTTTCACCTTCTCTATCTCCTTCTCTCCTCTCTTCTTCCCTCTTCCTCCTCTCCCTGTCCTTCCCCCTTCTTCCCCTTCTTCACTCCTTCCTCATTTTCACCTTCTCTATCTCCTTCTCTCCTCTCTTCTTCCCTCTTCCTCCTCTCCCTGTCCTTCCACCTTCTTCCCCTTCTTCACTCCTTCTTTTCCATCACTTCTTCTCCTCCTCCTCCCACCCTCTTTTCTCTTCTCTAGTTCTCCTCCTGTCTTTTCCTTCTTCCCTTTCTCCCACCTCCATCTTCTTTCCTTTAGTCCATCTTTCCTCTCTTTCCTCTTTCTGTTTCCTCCAGGGAGTCCCTCTGGCCACTCTGGAGAGATGACCCTTATCTCCAGCCTGCAGACCTCTCAAGTTGCACTGAGGCTCTTTGCTAAAAACTTCTGCCACTGGGCTTGCTGCCAGAAAAAAATGACACTCCATCTCTCCCTTCTAATTAGCTACTGCCTTCGGCTGTTTGGATGGGGCCTGTGCAACACACTTTGTTTCTGAACAGAACAACTCAACTTAAGGTCATCCATCAGTCCAGCAAGGCAGAGTCTATCTCAGCAGCACACTCAGCTCTGCACCCTGGCATCTGCTGCTTCCTGGAGAAGGACCACCAGCCTTGGGCTTCTCCTGCAGAGGGTGGATGTGTCCTCAAGTTACAGAGCAGTTGACAGAGGGGGAATGCTGAGCCTCTTGAAGTTGGCCCCAGCCTGCCTGCCCTGGCCTGGACACAGTGCTGTGGTTATGTAGAGTGGGCACGGGCTTCGGTCTGCAGATCTGGGTTCAAATTATGCCTTTATTACATCCTTGACCAACATCTTTGAGCCTCACTTCCCTTGCCTGTAAAATGGGGGAAAAATTACCTGGCTTAGGGGGCAATTGTGAGGATAAAAAGAGATGATATATGAAAAGCACCTTGTGCCATCTGTGGCATCTGGTAAGAGCTCAACAAATGGTACTTTCTTATTCTTCCTCCCCATCATCTAAACTTTCAATGCAAACTATATTCAAACCAAAGGAATGTGCTCACCATGCATGTATTTTCTGGCTGAAATGTCTTGATCTTTCTTCTCAGAACTCTTAGTCATGCTTCAAAACCCATCCCCAAATGTCACAGCTCCCGTAAGACTTTCTCCGACCACTTAAACCCTCCCCTTCTCTGGTGGAATTAGTCTCCCCTTCATACTGCTGCCATCTTACTCAAGGTTCTTTGGTGTCAAGAGCCGGCTCCAATGCATAGGTATTTAATAATGTTTGCTGCTACTTCTGATGGAAACAGAACACAAGTGGACCTCATGGGTACCAAGCGTGGGAAGCCAAAGGAATTGAGACAGTGTCTCTCTCCTTCTTCCCCTCTCCCTTGTGGTCATATAGAGCCTTGTCTCTGCTTCTCACAACAGATTTTCTATGTCATTGTGCATATGGTTGAAAATGGTGGCCACAGTCCCACTACACATACCCTTTTGGTATGGCTAAAATGAAATGCAGCTGTAGAGATGCCCAGAGGTCCACTCCTGGGCCAGCCAGTGTGGCCAAAGGGGGAGCACCACATAACCAGTAAGCAATGGCAACACCGTCAACAAAGGGTGTGTAGGAGCAGTGCTCAGAGAAGGGGCGGGCCCATGCTCCATCACGCCCGCCAGACTTCCCCGGGAGCTCTGAGCATGCTGCTTTCACAGCCTCAGCATGTAGCATGAGGCTCAGGTTCACTGTCTGTCTGTCTGCTTTTCTCACCAGAGAGTGAGCTCCTCTTTAATGCTCCAGCTTGTTCCACAAGCTGGGACAGAGCAGATGTCAACACTGCGTGGAATGACTGCAGGAAAGGAGTGATGATGATTAAAAAGCAAGGGTTGTTCTCCATGATGCTGCCCTCTCTATTAGAATATTGCTACAAACTCCTTATATCTATATTTCCATTATCTGAAGATAATTATCACTCCTGCTTCATCTAAGTCTATATCCACTCACCCCCCCATCCATCCACCCCCTATTTATTCATCCATTCATCCATTCCTTTTCCATTTTTCTTCTCACATATTTCCACAATTTTTCTCTCCTCCAACCCTCTAACCATTTATTCACCCATTTACCCAACCATCCATCCATCTCACCCATCCCATCTATCCATTCATTCATCTGTTACATCCATCCATCCATCCATCCATCTATCCATTCACCCACCCACCCATCCATCATGTTTCCTTGGCTTTTGTCCCATCTATGTATGCCTGAAAAAATCGAAGTCTCCAGCAAAGCATCCTCGGCTTCTCTGGAGAATATTTCACATGCTTCCTGACAGGACTGGTCAACTTTCCAATGAGCTATCCAGTAGAATCTACCATTTACTTCCGGTTTTCCTACCCACCAGTACTGAAACATACACACAGGCACACACCCCCCTCTGCCAGCGATCACTGCTTCTACTGGTTGCTGCAAGTTTGCCAAGCTCCTGCTGGACACCACAGCAGCCTCTTTGTCCCCTATCCCTGCACTGAAGCCCCTGAGGAAGCTTCATAGCATTCCATGGCAATGTGGGGTCCCAAAGAAATTATAATTTGTGGTTGTAGTTGTTTTGTGGAAATTATTTTGCAGGTGACAGATATCAGGACAAAAGGCAGGGATGGGGTGGATTGAGGAACAGAGACATCTTGAGGGTCTGGGGTATAGTAGGCACAAAATAAACGTCAGTTGCATGAAGTCATGAATGAGTGGGGAGCTTAGGTCATTCTACACACCAGAAATAGATGTACCTGTACTGCAGGCTAAATTCATCCACATTGGCATCTCCTGGAGGGCATTGTCCTGCCCTTGCTTTCTTCCCACCTGCGGAGAGACAGGGAGGGGTGGGTGTCTATTTTTATACCTCAGAAGCTGCAGAGGAGCAGAAGAGCAGTCTGCCAGCAGCCAGCACCTAGGCAGTCAGGCAGCTGATTGGGGCAGAGGGGATAATGGAGGCTGCCACCTCTGTCTCCGACACTGCCCAGAAAATGTCTGTTAGCAGAATGGTGATGGCATCCTCAGCTGCCGTCACTCAACCCAGAGATCAAATTTACAGAGGACACAGCACAATATAAGCCACCACCAGTCCCATATGCATATATACGCACACAAACATAAGTAGCCCAGCCACAGAAATCCCTATAATTAGTTAATTCTCCACTTAGGAGACAAAGCTTGAAATTGCCAGAGATGTTCTTTCCCAGCCTCCTTTAGAGCTTGGGTGAAGTCACATGACGAGGCTTCTCCAATCAGATCGCCCCACCTCCCAGTATAGACTTTGGGCCAGAAGTCCAGTGGGAAGTGGTTTTCCTTGCTGAGCCTATTCTGGCAATGGAGCTGATGATGGCAGCTGAGGCTGGCACATGTCCAACTACAGTCCATGGGAAACAAGATGGCAGGGGTTCACCTGTAGCCTGCAGGGTCAGTGGTGGTAGTGAAGGTGGTGCAAGCTGTTGGGGGCAGAACTTGGTAGAGGAGGTCAAGATGCTGTTGCCTGTGGGTTGATTTGGGGCATCTGTGCTGATGCCACAACCCCTGAGCCTGGCTCTCTAGCCCTCCCAGTGATTCTGTACCTCTCTGTGTCTCTGCTCATCTAGAAAATAGTGGTGACAGCAGCACCTACTTTCCAGGATTGCTAGAAGGCTTATTACAGGTGTTCATATAATAATGTCCTGTCTCAAACCCATGTTGTATGACTCGATACCCTGCAAGGTGGCCCTTCAGGAATGTGTCTGTCATTCCCATTGGTGGCCCACGGAGCACTCCAGTATTATTGCTCTTCCAGTTTCTGAGCCCTCTGAACATACTCCACACTATGCCTTTCACTGGCCCAAGTCCTCTTGTCCCTTGAGGCCACTCCTGTCCACCAGCGTCACACCATTCCCACAGTGTCTGTCCTGCCCTAGTCTGTCACCTGTACCATCACAGGCCTCTTAACTGATTGATTTGCTGCCAGAGCCTCCTCCTGCAACATTTTACCTTCCCACACTTTTGCAGCCCTGAGCACGTCGTCCTGCTGAAACTGGAATGGGCCTGTAGGATAACGAGCAAACCCTGCACCCGGCATTCAAGGCCCCTCCTGCTCTGACCCCTGTGGCTTCTGGCCTCCTGTACTGCTTCCCCTCCCAGACACCAACACCGCAGTCTCCCTTGAACCTGCCCTTCAGCCGTTGGTGTCCTTCCCCATCTCTGCCTGGTGAATTTTGTTCATGCTCTAGGATTCAGCTCAGAGGTGACCCTCAGAGCTGACCTTGACCTCCATCCCACAACCCCATAGCATAGGGTGTCCACTGTTCTTAACAACAACCTTTACCTGTGATGGTCCATGGAGTCCCCATGTGTAAGCCCCTGAGAGCAGAGCTGGACCGTTCTCTTCTGAATACCCTCATAGCCTCCCAGCTAGGGGTCCGCAGAGAAAGACCCAACCCCCAACTCCACTTCAGGTGTGGAATCTCAAAGGCATCACAGACTGGACGTGCACAGGTCCAGACTCATGAGCTCCATGCTCCCCAGAAATGAGCCTTCTCTGGGTCCCTTCTTCCCATGTCTGGTGCCACCATCCATACAGTCACCCCAGCCAGGAGACTTCTTTCCATCTCTGAGCTGATCTTTCTTTCTGGAACATTTTCCTCCCTTTGATACCTCCTCTGCTGTCTCACCCAACCTCACATTCAGTCCTGCCCATGCACTCCTCATGTCTCGGAATCTGTCCTGTCCTCTCCATTACTGGTACCTCTGGTCTGGCCACTGCCTTGGCCCCCACCTGGCCCTGCCCTCCCCACCTGCTGTCTACCCCTGCCAATTTCCCACAGCAGCCAGAGGGACAGTGTGGAAACACCACCCTGCCACTCTGCCCCTGCTCCCAGTACAATCCAGAAGCCTTAGTGTGACCTGGACACCCTGGGGCACCTGCTTCCCCACACCCTCCCTCCCCACTCACGCCTGCCTTCTGCTTTCCAGCCATAGCAGCCACTTCTCAGCCAAGAAGGTGTCAGGGGTTCCTCTGCCACAGGGGCACTGCAGATCTAGAATTTTCTTTCTCACCCCTGCAGATAGTAAATGTCTAATTACTGCAGATTTTGGTTGACCTGTCATCTTCCTGGGGAGGACTCCTGCCCCAGGGCTAGGCCCAGATCCTTTGCAATAGGCACCCCTAGGTCCCACCTTTCCTCTTCGGAGTTGATCTCTGTTTGTGATTTGAATTCAGCTCTGGGATTCTTTAATCAATGGCCTCCCCCTCCTCCACTAGACTCTAAGGTCCCTGAGGACCAGGTCTGCATCTAGTTTTCTTCACCATCGAATTCTCAGTTCCCTGAGCAGGGCCTGGCATGCAGCAGGTGCTCACTAAACACCTGCTTACTGGATGCATAAAGGCGAGCTACTGTTTAGTAGGCACCTACTGTGTGCCAGCCCCTGTGCCAAGCACTTAACTGAATCAACTAATCCAACTCCCTCAAATCCCAAACTGATCCTCATTGTAGGGATGAGAAACCAAGGCTCAGTGAGGTAAGTGACTGTCCCTGACTCCCACAGCCAGCTGGTGGCAGAGCTATCTCAAACCCATGTACCTCTGGGCCTTACCACCTCACTCCAGTGCCACTAGAATACAACCCCTGTCTTACCCCCACTGTCAGTCTGCCTCACGCTTCTCCACTCAGGCACTTGCCTCCACCATCAGATGATGAGCTCCTGAGGGTGGACACCCTAAATCATATTCCTATATCCCCCAAACCCAGGGCCTAAGGACACCCTCCCTACCAGATCAATAACGAACAAAGGAAAAGGGAAGCTGTGTGCAGCCTCGAATCCTGGTTTGTTAATACTCAGTGCAGCTCAGTGGCTGCCCAGGGATATTGGCTGCATGAAGGTCTGTAGGAGGAAGCAAGTGTAAGCAAAGAGCTCCCACGGGCTCGGTGTCCACGTTTCTAGTGGGCTGACTGGAGCCCCCGCCAGGTGAGCCGGGCTCTGGGCTGCTGTCTATGCCAGCAAGGCTGCCCAGAGGTCTCCACTCCCAATACACTGCTGCAGAGTTGCCACATGCCTTCATCTAAATGGCTCTAAAGACTCAGCAAAGGGCAGTGGAGACACAACAGCTACGCTGTCAAATTACACAGTTAGCTCTTTAATGAGGAGCCGAGGGAGCATCTCCTTGGACTGTGGGCCTGGGACCCAAATCACAGTGATTATGAATTACTAATCTCCTTCAAAGGCTCTCGAGTTCTTACCATACGTAGCCACGACAGATCAGAGCCTCTCAGTGCCTTTTGACAGATTCCCTCTAAATCAATAGATGTGCAGCTGTCGGGAGGAAAACAAATCAGGGTGAGCTGGGGCTATGGGGACGGCTGGGTGCATGGAAACCAATCCATCAGGAGGCCTACATGGATGAGGCCATCCATTCATTCTGATCAATAAACACCCTGGACTGGACAGTATTTTTGCTGCCCTCGGAGCCATGTGTGATCATCAAACCCAGATAGAGGAGTAGAAACAGCCTTTGTTTGCTTTTAAAAGGGTCACAGGATGGGCACCAGGAGGCAGGTGTTTCAGAACCGACTGCCAGCCAGTAATTCCCCAGGACTGATCCCTGACAGGCCTGGGTTTGAATAGGACTCTGCCATCTCCAGACAGAATGGCCTTGGGTGAGCCTCAGTTTCCACACCTGAATTGCTGGGAATGAAGCTGGAGGGGCCCGGGTGAGAGCTGGGCCTCACAGGGCTTTGACAGCAGAGCTCAAGGTTTGGGTCTTTGCTTTAGGAAAAGTGGGAGCCTCTGAGGGGCTTTAAACAGAGGGAGGACAGGAGTGTTTTGCATTTCAAACAAATTGCTTAAGACCTTTATCTCAGCCCTTCTGTGGGTTGTGGGGACAAAATGGTAAAATGCTGCTTAAAAGCTTAGACCAGTGATGACTCAGAGCAGCTTCCAGGAACTGACAGCAAATGTTTTGGGTGGAGATGGGTGGAGTGAGAAGTAGGTCAGAGGCTCCAGACAGATGTCCGCAGCTAGGCTCATCAGAGCAGCAATCCCTCCCATTATAGCAGTGACCACACCCATCAGAGCAGCAGCCCCTCCCACTATAGCAGTGACCACACCCATCAGAGCAGCAGCCCCTCCCACTATAGCAGTGACCACGCCCATCAGAGCAGCACCCCTCCCATTATAGCAGTGACCACACCCATCAGAGCAGCAGCCCCTCCCATTATAGCAGTGGCCATGCCCACCAGAGGAGCAGCCCCTCCCATTATAGCAGTGGCCACACCCAGCAGAATAAGTGCCCATCACAGCAGCAGCCCCTCTTGCCCTCCTGAGTGAGGAGCTGAGCACTTCACACAGGTATCCTCACTGCCTTTTTTTTTTTTTTTTTTTTTTTGAGATGGAGTCTTGCTCTGTCTCCTAGGCTGGAGTGCAGTGGCCCAATCTTAGCTTACTACAGCCTGGGGCTCAAGCAATTCTCCCGCCTCAGCCTCCCGAGTAGCTGGGATTACAGGCACCCGCCACCACACCCAGCTAATTTTTGTGTTTTTAGTAGAGACAGTGTTTCACCACGTTGGCAATGCTGGTCTCAATCTCCTGACCTCAAGTAATCCACCCACCTCGGCCTCCCAAAGTGCTGGGATTCCATGCGTGAGCCACCGCGCTGGCCCCTCTCACGGCACTCAGTGAGGTGGGTGTTATTACCACCTTGTGTTACAGAAGGAGAAACTGAGGCTCCAAGAGGTTACTGGCTTATCAATTAGACCATGGAATCCTAGAGTGGGAAGGACCTTAGGGACATGCCCTCCAGGAAGACTCCCATCTCACAGAAGGGGAAACTGAGTCATGGGGCAGGGCGGTGGCTTGTCTATAGTAAACTGTTCATTACACTTGAGGGTCAAACAATCATCAGGGGCTGAGGATACAGAAATGAATCAGACAGAGCTCTTACCCTGAAGAACTTCCCAGTTCTTGGAGAGGAGGGTATTGGTGGGGGTTCCAATATAAATTATGTTTTGCCATTTACCATGAAATGGACAAGCAGGGAAGTGTGTGGAAGGTGCAGACACAATGCAAAGGAATCAGGAATGAAGTCCATGCAGTCTGGGACCACCAGGGTCGGCTTCTGGAAGGATGAGACAGTGCCAGAAAGGAAGTCACATCCCCTGTCTGCCTTCCCAGGGCCCTTTCTGCTTCTCCACAGCCACCTCTTAAATAGTGATGGTGGTAGTGCAGGATGTATAAAGACATTTTATGTGACAAGTTACCAAACTCCAGTTCAAAAGGCACCTGAGCACAGATGCCCAGAATGAGTCACTGCAGCCCTGTTTATAACTGAGAAAATCAGAAACAAATGAGTATCCATGGACAGGCAGTGGTTAAGGAACAGATGGAGCATCTGTATCATGAAATCTGGGCACCTGGTCTAAGGAACACTGCAGCAAGATTGAGGGTGAAGAGAGGGAAAGGAAACGTGATAAACTCATTGGTGCTTTTGTCCTGGGTGAAGAGACTGGGTTTGCCTGCGAGGCTGAAAGAGGGGGGCAACTCCCTGTCCCTGTCCTCTGCTGGGCCCCCCTCTTCCCCATGACCATCTTCCTCTCTTTCCCCTGGGTCCTGAGCTTTGCCACACAGATGTTACAGGGACACACCTGTCAGCCTTCTCCCAGCTGCACCTGAGGCAATGCCATTCATTTATTCATTCATTCATCCATTCACTCCCATTCACTCATTTATTGAGCACCTGCTATGTGCCAGACAACATGCTGAACCCAAGGGAGCATGTGCAAAGGCCCTGGGGCAAGAGGCAGCAAAGCAAGGACAAAGAACAGGAAAACAGCCAGAGGGGCTGGGCCCAGACAGGAAGTGAGCGGGCAGTGCCAGATGGGGCTGGGCAGAGACGGGCAGGAGTGCAGGCTTCATGGAGGACTGTGGTGCTTATCTCTAGAGTAATCAGCAGCCACAGGAGAGTTCTAGCCAGGTAGACCTCAATAGATCACATGGGAACTGATTTACCCAAGTCCCAAAAATGCCTGCCCTCAAGTTCAGTCTTGCCCTGGAAACCCCAAGGGACACAGCAGGGATCAAGGCTAACTGAGCCCCCAGGACCCAGGGCCCAGTCATTCTGGGTGTATGTGGAGGTGACAGTGATGCATGAATATAATCATTAAATAGGAACTATGTCAGGTGACGTGTACCATGAAGGAAAATGAAACAGTGTAAGAGGGACAGAGAGTTATGGGGGTTGCTGTGTTAGATGCAGGTGTCACGAAAGTCCCCTGGCAAAGCAGAGGCCATGCATGACATGAGAAATTGTTAGCAGCCGAAAGTATCCAAGTCACAGGTCTGCAAAGTATGTCAGCAGCGGTACGAATCCATATCTCTATCGGTCTGCAGCAATCTCAATCCTTGCCTCCTCAGAAGATAGAATTCGACCCAGGGGCATAAGGCAGGAGAGACCGAGGCAAGTTTTAGAGCAGGAGTGAAAGTTTACTAAAAAGCTTTAGAGTAGAAAGGAAAGGAAGGAAAGTAAGTACACTTGGAAGTTCACAGCTGGAACTTCTTCCATGACAGCAGCCTTGGAGGGGCCAGGGGAGCAGAGGGGACAGCGACATGCCAGGCACCACACCAGGGGCTTTGCATTAAACGTTTGATTTATTTTTCATAATAACATTTGCTCAGTGGTTATTAGAATCCACCTTTAGTATCTTGGGAAACTGACATTCAGAGCAGTAAAGCCACCTGCCCAAGGTCACAGCCAGTGTGTGGCTGAGCTGGGATTCAGCCCCAGGCGAGTCTCACTCAGAAAGCCGTGCTCCAGTGCTAGGGACATGGCTTTGGGTAACTGTACAGGTCTGCAGCAACCTCAATTCTTGCCTCCTCAGCAAAAAGAATTCAATTCAGAGGCATAGGCAGAAGGAGAGACTGAGGCAAGTTTTAGAGCAGGAGTGAAAGTTTACTAAAAAGCTTTAGAGTGGGAAGGAGAGAAAGTATACTTGGAAGAAGGCCAAGGGGGTGACTTGAAAGACACAGGCACCATTTGACCTTTTGGCTTGGGGTTTCCTGTGTTGGCATACGTCCGGGGTCTTGCATCACTTTTCCCAACTCCTAAGATCTTATTGGGAAGCTGCTGAGCTGATCACTAGTTTCAGGTGTTTTCTATTAGAAGTCAGCCTTTCCCTGGTGCCGGCTGTGACCAATTATTACTTTAGAGAGACAGTTAACAACTGCCTGACCATCACCTGATGGTCGCCCAACACTCCTGGTGTGTGTCTGGGGTGGGGAGGGGGGAACCCTCTCCTGCCCTGTTCATACCTGCCTAGCTACCCACTGCAACAAAATGAGAAATGGGCCATGCAGGTGGGTGGGACATTCCAGGCAGAGGGAACAGCAGATGCAGAGGCCCAAGGCAGGAACGTGCCTGTTAGGCAGCCAGGAGGCCCATGCAGCAGGAGGGGAAGCCTTGGAAGGACCAGGGCGTTTACTCTGAGTGCCATGAGGAGCCTTTGGGGAGCTTTGAGCAGAGCAAGGACACATCCTGACAGGTTTTCCAAGGATGTCACTGGCTGCTGAGTGGAGAGCAGTTTGCAGGGGTGACAGCGGGGGTTTGCAGGGAATGGGTAGGGGGCCCAGAGGCCAACACCATAGTCCAGGCAAGAGTGGAGGCTGACCTCGGTTCATCCTGCGCCTCCTGTTTTGTAACCTCCTTTTTCCACCTGACCATGCCTCAGGGACATCCTCTAGGTCAACACACAAAACTCCTCCCCATCCTTTCTAGCAGCAGCCCACACCACACCATATGAAGGCCTCTTTCTTTCACCGCTTCCTCTCCATGGACACTTTATGTGTTTTGGATTTTCTCAATTATTAACAGCTGCAGGGACTGATCCTGGGCACCTGTGCTCAGACGCCCTCCAGCTGCATTTGGTTTACTTAATACAGTAACCACACAGCGTCCTGACCCACCCAGGGGAGCTTCTGTTCACTCCTGGAGAATTCCTTGCTTTGCCCCCTTCCTCCTTCTCTTCTCACATCACCCTAGACCTGAAGGGCTTTGTTCAGCTGTGTGCTGTATCCTGGGACAGCACCTGGCCCAGGGTGGATAAAAAGGCCTGTTGGTGAAGCTCGGAGTCCTGGTGTCTCCCGGGCAGCCGTGTCCCTAGTACTGGAGTATGGGCTTCTTTCTGAGTGAGACTCGCCTGGGGCTGAATCCCAGCTCAGCCACACACTGGCCGTGACCTTGGGCAGGTGGCTTTACTGCTCTGAATGTCAGTTTCCCAGAATACTAGAGGTGGATTTTAATAACCACTAAGCAAATGTTAATGTGAAAAATAAACATTTAATGCAAAGCCCCTGGTGTGGTGCCTGGCATGTCGCTGTCCCCTCTGCGCCCGTTGCCCCTCCAAGGCTGCTGTCAAGGAAGAAGTTCTAGCTGTGAGCATCTTTCCAGCACCATCGAGATGTAATTGAAACATGGAGCGGATGATGCTGGGCAGTCAGTTGCATGAGACCCTGCTTCCCACTGGGGCCTTGTCTGTGCAGGGTGTGATGGGAGCCTCTCGCTGGTTTACGGCCAGGCTGTCCGTACTCTGGCTCCCAGCACCCCGTGTCTCCCGAGGTCTCTGAAGGAAAAAGACCTGGGCTGGAGGGCTGGGTCCCTGACCCACTCAGGACCCGGGTGCCAGGGAGGGGGAACACGTCAGCCTCAGATGTGTGGGAGTGGGGGGACCTGGCTGGGAGGGAGGAGGACTCTGTTCTCCAGTTGCACAGGGAACTGGATTCCTGACCCACGGCAGCAGATAAAATATAGGTGTTCTTGTAAGCTGCCAAGTGTTGGATGCCTTGTTTCTCATAGAAGACTAATATAAGGAGAGTGTATGGGGCAGAGCCCTGCCTGCCTCCTTCTTGAGGGAGGGCAGAGTTCACTGGAAATAAAAAAAAAAAAAACAATGCCAGCCCCAGCACACCTGCAGAACTGGACCACCATCGTCATCAACCAGCCCCTTCCCCACACCTGGCACTTATTTAACCTATTCACCAGCACAACACCAGGGCCAAGGGGAGATTAGCAAGCATCTGAGATGCGCCCCATCCACCCTTCTGCCCTGGCCCTGGCCCAGATGGGCACTCTCCTCCCACCCCCAGGCCTGCCCCATGCTGTTGCCAGTTGCTCTTCTCAGGCACACTCTGACCTTGCCATCCCCCTGCTTAGAAACAGTCAAGGGCTCCACATTTCCCACTGAAGGAAGCCAGTATGCTTAACAGGTGAGGCTGCCTGTGATCCAACCTGAACACAGCCTGTGGGGAGAGGGGCCAGTGGTTAAGACCCAAACTCTGGAGCCAGGACACCACAGTCCACCTCCTGGCTCTGCCACCTGCTGAGTTAGTCACATACCCTCTCTGAGCCTCAGTTTTCTCTTCTATACAATGAGGATTGTTCTCCCTCATGGAGTCTGCTTCACAGAGTTGGTGTGCAAATGAATGAGTCAAAGCATGTAAAATGCTTAGGATGTCCAGCGCCTGGTAAGCTCTCTATGTGTGCCCATTCTTGTGATCTGTTAGGTTGGTATTTGGAGGTAGTTTATGCATGTTATCCTTCTGGGATCAGCCCTTCCTCCCACCCCTGCCTACCCCGCCTCTTGGACTGACCTCTCAGAGGAACCAGTGCATTTCCTTCCAAGCTCAGCCGGAAGAGCTGGGTTTTCCATCACCTGCAACCACACAGGCCAAGCCTGCCCCCTGCGCATCTTCATCCTTTCCTGCTCCCTACGCGTCTTCATCCTTTCCTGCTCCTGGACCTGAGCCCTCTGCTCCAGCCCTACCGACTGGCCCCTCCCAGACACCACCAGTACGTTCCCACCCCTATGTCTTCACTCTTGTGGTTCCCTCTTCCTAAATACCGATCTCCATCTCCTTAACTCTTATTCTCCCAAAATGCTGCATGTCCTTCAATGCACCAGCATCCATGAACCTTGAAAGCAGAGCACAGAGGAAAGAGACGGGCTTTCATCCCTGCTCCACCCCTTACCCACTGAGTGGGCACAGACTCCTTGTTTAACCTCCCAAACCTCAGTTTACTCATCCAGCATGTGCAGGCGATAAAAACAGTCCTACAGGGGTCCGGGGTGGATTGAGTGCAGTAGTTCACAACAAAGGCCTGGTGCACAGTGGGTGCCTAATAATTGCTGGCTGACGCAGTCAGTGCTAGAGTGACTTATGCCAGCTTTGCCCCCAGCACTTCACCTCCAGAAGGGCAGGTAGGAACCCCAGGGAAACCTTACCCAGCAGCCTCGCTTTGGGAAAAAGAAATAGAAAATATTCTAATTCCAAAGAGTAAATGTCAGAGGCGTGGGAAGGAGTCAGAGGTTCTGAAAATAAACACAGTCACTGAAAGGAGGGAGGGAGAGAAAGGAGGGGGCTGAGGTGGAGGACTGGAGTGAGAGGCAGAGAGGAGATGCCAAGTATGGGAAAGGCAGACAGAAGGAGGGAGACAGAGAGAGCCAGAGACAGAAGGGATGAGGGAGAGAAACGGAGACAGAGGGGAGGGAGAGAGACAGAGCCAGAGACAGATGGGAGGAGGGAGAGAGACAAAACCAGAGACAGAAAGAAGGAGGGAAAGAAACAGAGCCAGAGACAGAGGGGATGAGGGAGAGAGACAGAGACAGAGGGGAGGAGAGAGAGAGACAGGGGAGGAGAGAGAGACAGAGGGGAGGAGAGAGAGAGACAGAGGGGAGGAAAGAGAGAGACAGAGGGGAGGAGGGAGAGAGAGAGAGCCAGAGACAGAGGGGAGGAGGAAGAGAGACAGAGATACAGAGACAGAGGGGAGGGGGGGAGAGAGGGGGACAGAGAGACGAAAGACAGAGACAGAAGGGAGGAGAGAGAGAGACAGAGGGGATGAGAGAGACAGGGGGAGGAGGGAGAGAGACAGAGACAGATAGCCAGAGACAGAGGGAAGGAGGGAGAGAAATAGAGCCAGAGACAGAAGGGAGGAGGGAGAGAAAGACAGAGGGGAGGAGGGAGAGAGCCAGAGACAGAGGGGAGAAGGGAGGGAGAGAGAGATGGAGACAGAGAGACACAGAGATGAAAAGGGGGAGAGGGGACAGGGAGAGAGACACAGAGATCTTTTCATTCTGGACCAGTCTTCACTTAAGTCGCACTCCCCCTCAACAAAAGTGGCCTCACCTGTAAAATGCAGATGTTAGACTAAGTCAGAGGTGGCAAACTGATGGCTGCAGAATGTATCCACCTGTGCATATGTTTGTTTTTTTCTGCGTATTTTTTTTCAAAATTGGGTGGACTTCCAAAGTTTACAAATGGGGATATTTTGCCTAGAAATTCAGACCTCTGTCTCTTGGCAGCATCAGGAGGCTGGCCTCTTAGGGCTTGCACTCTGGCCTGGGCAGTTGGCTGAGTGAGGCAGCTTTTGCCCACTGCAGGAGGGCATGCATGCTCCAGGTAGCCACAGTCCTGCCACACCTGACCACCCCTCAGCTTGGAGGCTGAGCAACAGATTCTTTCATGTCATGCTTGCTCTGTTTTGTATTTACACTGGAACACCTCCTGCCCTCTAAAAGATTCCCGGCGATGCCTGGACCAGAGGATCTATCTCTAAGACCCACCTGCTCATCCTGAGAGTTTATGACTCTCAGCTCAAATATCAGCTCCTGGGAGAGGCCTTCTTGAGATAACACAGCCCTCTCGCCCTCAACCTCATGCTTCATCCCATTGCTCGTCAATCAGAGACAGAACAAACTAGGAAAGAGTGAGTGGCTGGGCCAGCTCCAGTTTCCCATCTGAGAAATGACCTGAGGTTGGGCAGGGGTGGGGAGAGGAGGTTTGTACTAGATGGTTGTAAGCAGAACCACTCCAGACCCAAGTCCAGTCTATTTCTGGGAGGGGGAGGGTCCAGGGCTCTCCCTGATGCAAGTGGAGTTGGGACCCTTTTAGAGTAGACCACCCTAGGGGTCCGTACCTGGAACAGGTGAAATGGGATCCAGGGGGTTCTTTAGGGCAGCTTCTAAGGGACGACCAGAACAAAGGAGCCCCATCCAGTGTTGACTGAAGGTCCTTAGGATCAGGGCCTCCTGCCACAGCAGGAGGATAGCTCAGCTGGAAGTCCCCTCCCCACCCCAGAAAAACATGCCCTGGAAGCCTGGGAGGAACCAGGAGCCCCACTGACCACTGATTTGCTGAGTGACCCTGGGGAAGTCACTTATGAATGCACACCTCCATTTCCTTCCCTGCCTGCAGGAGCCATAACCTAACCCCTCTCCCCAGCCCCCCAGAATCTGAAAGGTAAAAGGCCATAGGGTAGTCCACAGCCCTGAGCAGGGGAAGAAGACAACACGGGGATTTATCAACACTGCAAACGCCTGGGTGGCGGACAGAGGACCCCATTCCACAGGCATCAGTTACCATGTTAAGCACGCTGCCCTGTGGGAGGCCCTAGGGACCCAGTGCTCACCTCCAACATCGAGAAGCAGAGGCATCTTCCTCTATGTCGTGATTCAGGGCCCACGGATGCAGGCAGCCCCTTCCCACCTCTCAGGAGCCATGGGTCCACGTACCAGACAAATTGAGCAGCTCTGTGGTGGTTGTTTCCTGGTGAATTAAAGGATGTTAGAGGGAGAAAGAGGCTCATATTGCAGGGCTTATTGCGTACCAGGCTCTCTGCCTGCTATATGGGCAGAATACTTACTTCTCACAGCAAAAACATGTATACCCCCATTTTGCAAATGAGGAAACTGAGGCTCAGGTTGAATAAGGTCACATAGCTGGTAAATGGCCTCAGGCTTAGTCCAACAGCCCTTAGAAATCCCTGCCTTGGTGTCTCCACCCAGACCTCACCTGGTCTTGGCTCCCATACCTGTGGGCCAATGGCAGCTCCCAGGACAGGCAGATCTCACATCTCCAAAGTTGAAATCTGTCCCCTGTGAGTTTCCTCTGAGATCCCAGCTCTGCGTCTGGAGTCTTCACACACCATGTGGGATCACCCACCTAACAGCCTCAGGCATCAGCAGCCACAACAGCACCACCAACAGTAACAGCTAACCTTTGTGGAATGCTCATTACTTGCCAGACAATTCATTTTTGTGTATGGGACAAGATATGGATCAATTTTTAGAAGTATGTATATCCAGTTTTTGTTTCAGCACCATTTATTGAAAAGATGATTCTTTATCCACTGAATTGCCTTTACATTTTTGTCAAAAATAAGTTGTCCTTAATGGGTGGATTTATTTCTGCATTCTCCATTTTGTTCCATTGATCACTTTGTCTATCTTGATGCCAGTACCACATTCTCTGAATTATTGTAGCATTATCCTATGTCTTGAAGTCCGGTAATATTCATTCACCAACTTTGATCTTTTCAACAGCTGTGTTGGCTATTCTTTACATTTTGATATGAATTTTAGAATCAACTTGCCAATTACTGCAAAACACTTCTGGGATTAGATTGAGATTATTTTGAATCTATAAGTCAATTTATGAAGAATTAACATCTTAATAATAATGGGTCTTCCAACGCATGAACACTGTGTCTCTCTATCTACTTAAGTAATTTTAAATTTCTCTCAAAATTTTTTTTTACAATTTTCAGTGTATATATCTTATACTTCTTTTGTCAGATTTATCACTAATGAATTTATATTCCTTATGCTATTGCAAATGGTATTGACTTTCTATTGCAATTTCCAATTATCCATTCCCAATATGTAGAGATGCAGTTGATTTTTGTGTATTGATTATATGGCCTGAAAACTTGCTAAACTCATTTTTCAGTTAAAGGTATCGTTTTTTAAAAATAGATTCTATATCTGTGAATAATGACAGGTTTACTTTTTTCTTTAATCCTTTAATTAAATCTGGATGCCCTTAATTTCTTTTTCTTGCTTTGTTGCATTGGCTACAACCTCCACTACATTGTCAAATAGGAGTGGTGACTCTGGGTTTTACCTTGTTCCTGATCTCAAGGCAAAAAGGCTTCAGTCTTTCATCAGTAAGTATGATGTTAGTGGCTGATATATGTAGGTGTCCTTTATCAAGATGAAAGAGTTCACTTCTATTCCTACTGTGCTGAGAGCTTTTATCACAAATGGGTCTTGAATTTTGTGAAATAGTTGTACTACATCTAGTGCAATGATCATCTGGTTTTACAATATTATGAATTACATTGATTGATTTTTTAATATTAAATCAGCTTTGCATTCTAAGAAAAATTCCACTTGGCCATGATGCATTTTCTTTTCCTTTTTTCTTTTTCTTTTTTTTTTTTTCTGAGACAGAGTTTTGCTCTTGTTGCCCACCCAGGCTGGAGAGTGCAATGGTGCAATCTTGGCTTACTGCAACCTCTGCCTTCTGGGTTCCAGTGATTTTCCTGCCTCAGCTTCCCAAGTACCTGGGATTACAAGCATGTGCCACCATGCCCAGCTAATTTTGTACTTTTAGTAGAGACGGGTTTTCTCCATGTTGGTCAGGCTGGTCTTGAACTCCCAACCTCAAGTGATCCACCCGCCTCAGCCTCCCAAACTGCTGGGATTACAGGTGTGAGCCACCAGGCCCAGCCACCATGATGCATTTTCTATCTTATATATTGTTGGATTTGATTTTCTGAATTTTGTTTAAAAACCTTAAACCTATGTTTATGAGGAATACTGTTCTGTAGTTTTCTTTTCTAGTAAAGTCCACATGGTTTTGATATCAGGATGTCTTAGTCTGTTTTGTGCTGCTATAGCAATATACCTGAGACTGTATAATTTATATAAAACAGAAATTTATTTCCCACAGTCCTAGAGACTAGGAAGTTCAAGGTCAAGTCACCACTAGGTTAGGGCACAGTCTTTCTGGTTCCATGATGGTGCCTTGAACACTGCATCTTCCAGAGGGGAGACATGCTGTATCCTCACATGTCAGAAGGCAGAAGTACAAAAGATGTGAACTCTCTCCTTCGAGCCCTTTTATAATGGCATTAATCCAACCATGAAGGCAGAGCTCTCATGATGTAAACACCTCCCAAAAGCGCACACCTCCCAAACTGTTGCATTGGGGATTAGGTTTCAATACGAAATTAAGAAAGAATGAAAGCATTCAAACCATAGCACAGGGAAATGCTGGACTCACAGAATGAATTAGCAAGTAGTCCCTCCTCTTCAATTGTATGGAAAACTTTGTGTAGATTTGATATTCTTTCATCCTTAAATGTTTTGTAGAATTCTGCAGAGAAGCCATCTAGGTCTTGAGTTTTCTAGAGGGAAGGCTTTGTTTTGTTTTGTTTTTGTTTTTGAGGCAAAGTCTTGCCCTGTCACATAGACTAGATGCAGTGGTATGATCATAGCTCACTGCAGCCTCAAACTTCTGGGCTCAAGCGATCCTCCCACCTCAGCCTCCTGAGTAGCTGAGACTATAGTCATGCACCACCATGCCTAATTTTTTACTTTTTCTAGAGATGCGGGTGTCACTATGTTGCTGTTGCCCAGGCTGGGCTTGAACTCCTGAATTCAAGCAGTCCTCCCGCCTCGGCCTCCCAAAGTGCTGGGATTACAGGTGTGAGCCACTGCACCTAGCTGTTCATGGGAGATTTTTAACAGCAAGTTCAATTATTCAATTTCTCTAACAGGCATGGGATTCTCCTGGCAGTCAATTTCTTCTTGAGTGATCTTTGGTAATTTATGTATTTAAACAAATTTATCTACGTAGGTTGTCAAGTTTGTTTGCATAAAGTTGTTTATACTATTCCTTTACACTCGTTTTAATACCTGTAGAATTGATAGCAATCTTCCCTCTCTCATTTCTGATATTAGTGATTTATAATTTCTCTCTTTTCTCTCAATCCCTCGGATATATAGTTATTATATTATTAATTTTCTCAACTAGATTGTATTATAATTTATGTTATTTATGTTTTCTATCTCATTAATTTTTGGTCTGATCTTTATTGTCTTTTCTCTGTTTTGAGTTTAAATTGCTCTTCTAGCTTCTTAACATGGAAGCTGAAGCCATTAATTTGAGACCTTTCTCATTGTCTAATATAGGTGTTTTGTGCCACAAATTCCTCCTAAAGTACTGCTTTCATGGAATGTCATAAATTTTGATATGTCAGGCTTTAATTTTCATTCAATTCAAAATACTTCTTAATTTTTCTTTTGATTTACTCTTTGAGACTTTGTTTATATAATCAATCTTGATCAGTGTTTCACATGCATTTGATTATAATGTGTATCCTGCTATTGTTGGGTAGAGAGTTTTATAAATGCCTATTAGAACAAGTGGTTTGATGTGTCTTTTATATCCTTTTTGACTCTGTGTCTACTTGTTCTTGTCAGGCCTCTGAGCCCAAGCTAAGCCATCATATCCCCTGTGACTTGCACGTATACATCCAGATGGCCTGAAGCAACTGAAGATCCACAAAAGAAGTGAAAAGAGCCTTAACTGATGACATTCCACCATTGTGATTTGTTCCTGCCCCACCCTAACTGATACGATATAGTCTCCCCCACCATTAATAAGGTACTTTGTAATAGTCTCCCCGCCCTGGAGAATGTACTTTGTACGCCTATCCCAAACCTATAAGAACTAATGATAATCCCACCACCCTTCGCTGACTCCTTTTTCGGACTCAGCCCGCCTGCACCCAGGTGAAGTAAACAGGCTTGTTGCTCACACAAAGCTTGTTGGTGGACTCTCTTCACATGGACTCATGTGACATTTGGTGCCGAAGACCTGGGACAGGAGGACTCTTTCAGGAGACCAGTCCCTGTCCTCACCCTCACTCCGTGAAGAGATCCACCTACGACCTTGGGTCCTCAGACCAATCAGCCCAAGCAACATCTCACCAATTTCAATTCGGGTAAGCAGTCTTTTCACTCTCTTCTCCAGCCTCTCTTGCTACCCTTCAATCTCCCTCTCTCACTACCCTTCAATCTCCCTGTCCTTCCAATTCCAGTTCTTTTCCTCTCTAGTAGAGACAAAGGAGACACATTTTATCCCTGGACCCAAAACTAAACTCCGGTGCTGGTCACGGACTCGGGGAAGACAGTCTTCCCTTGGTGTTTAATCACTGTGGTGATGCCTGCCTGATTATTCACCCACATTTCATTGGTGTCTGATCACCGCTGAGATGCCTGCCTTGGTCATTCACCCACGTTCCCTTGGTGGCAAGTCAATTGCAAAGACGCCTGCTTTGGCTGCTCACCCACATTGCAGCCCAGGGCTGCTCACCACCCCCTCACCCACTTTCTCCATGTTTCTACCCTCTCTTTTCTCTGGGCTTGCTTCCTTCACTATGGGCAACCTTCCACCCTGCATTCCTCCTTCTCCCTTAGCCTGTGCTCTCAAAAACTTAAAACCTCTTCAACTCATACCTGACCTAAAACCTAAGTGTCTTATTTTCTTCTGCAATACCACTTGGCCCCAATACAAACTTGACAATAGTTCCAACTAGCCAGAAAATGGCACTTTTGATTTCTCCATTTTACAAGATGTGGATGATTTTTGTCGAAAAATGGGCAAATGCTCTGAGGTGCCTGATGTCCAGGCATTCTTTTACACATCGGTCCCTCACTAGTCTCTGCTCCCAATGCGACTCATACCAAATCTTTCTTCTTTCTCTCCTTTGTGTTCCTTCAGTCTCCACCCCAAGTTCTGAGTCCTTTGAATCCTTCTTTTCTATGGACTCATCTGACCTCTCCCCTCCTCCCCAGGCTGCTCCTCGCCAGGCCGAGCCAGGTCCCAATTCTTCTTCAGCCTCTGCTCCCCCACCCTATAATCCTTCTATCACCTCCCCTCCTCACACCCGGTCCAGCTTATGGTTTCATTCCACGACTAGCCCTCCCCCACCTGCCCAACAATTTCCTTTTAAAGAAGTGGCTGAGCTAAAGGCATAGTCAAGGTTAATGCTCCTTTTTCTCTATCAGACCTTGCCCAAATCAGTTAGCATTTAGGCTCTTTTTCATTAAATATAAAAACCCAGCCCAGTCCATGGTTCATTTGGCAACAACCCTTAGATGCTTTACCGCCCTAGACCCAGAGGGGCCAGAAGGCCGTCTTATTCTCAATATGCATTTTATTACACATTCTGCTCCCAACATTAGAAAAAGCTCCAAAAATTAGATTCTGGCCCTCAAACCCCAGAACACGACTTAATTAACCTCGCCTTCAAGGTGTACAATAATAGAGAAGAGTTGCAATTACTTGCCTCTGCTGTGAGAGAAACCCCAGCCACATCTCCAGCACACAAGAACTTCAGAACACCTAAACCGCAGTGGCCAGGCATTCCTCCAGGACCTCCTCCCCCAGGATTTTGCTTCAAGTGCCAGAAATCTGGCCACTGTGCCAAGGAATGCCTGCAGCCTGGGATTCCTCCTAAGTCATGTCCCATCTGTGTGGGACCCCACTGGAAATCAGACTGTCCAACTCACCCGGCAGCCACTCCCAGAGCCCCTGGAACTCTGGCCCAGGGTTCTCTGATTGACTCCTTCCCAGATCTTCTCGGCTTAGCAGCTGAAGACTGGCACTGCCCGATTGCCTCGGAAGCCTCCTGGACCATCACAGATGCTTTGGGTAACTCTTACAGTGGAGGGCAAGTCCGTCCCCTTCTTAATCAATATGGAGGCTACCCACTCCACATTACCTTCTTTTCAAGGGCATGTATCCCTTGCCTCCATAACTGTGTGGGTACTGACGGCCAGGCTTCTAAATCTCTTAAAACTCCCCAACTCTGGTGCCAACTTGGACAACGTTCTTTAATGCACCCCTTTTTAGTTATCCCCACATGCCCAGCTCCCTTATTAGGTCGAGACATTTTAACTAAATTATCTGCTTCCCTGACATTCCTGGGCTACAGCCACACTTCATTGCTGCCTTTTTCCCCAGTTCAAAGCTTCCTTCACATCCTCCCTTTTTATCTCCCCACCTTATCCACAAGTATAGGACACCTCTACTCCCTCCTTGATGACTGATCATGTACCGCTTACCATCCCATTAAAACCTAATCACCCTTACCCCGCTCAATGCCAATATCCCATCCCACAGCACACTTTAAAAGGATTAAAGCCTGTTACAACTTGCCTGTTACAGCGTGGCCTTTTAAAGCCTATAAACTCTCCTTACAATTCCCCCAATTTTACCTGTTCAGACACTGGACAAGTCTTACAGGTTAGTTCAGGATCTGCACCTTATCAACCAAATTGTCTTGCCTATCCACCCCCGTGGTGCCAAACCCATATACCCTCCTATCCTCAATACCTCCCTTCACAACCCAGTATTCTGTTCTAGATAAACCTAGCTGACTCCATAAATCCTAAATTGTTTCCCCACTCCCATTTCCATTCCATAAAAAACAGTCCTAAAATCTGCTTCCACACTAGCTCTCCCTAACTCATCCCAACCCTTTTCACTACACATAGCCAAAGTACAGGGCTGTGCAGTCAGAATTCTTACACAAGAGCCGTTACCGCGCCCTGTAGCCTTTCTGTCCAAACAACTTGACCTTACTGTTTTAGCCTAGCCCTCATGTCTGCGTGCAGTGGCTGCCGCTGCCTTAATACTTTTAGAGGCCCTCAAAATCACAAGCTATGGTCCACTTACTCTCTACAGTTCCCATGACTTTCAAAATCTATTTTCCTCCTCATACTTGATGCATATACTTTCTGCCCCCCAGTTCCTTCAGCTATACTCACTGTTTGTTGAGTCTCCCACAATTACCATTGTTCCTGGCCCAGACTTCAATCTGGCCTCCCACATTATTCCAGATATCACACCTGACCCCTATGACTATATCTCTCTGATCCGCCTGACATTCACTCCATTTCCCCATATTTCCTTCTTTCCTGTTCCTCGCCCTGATCACATTTGGTTTATTGATGGCAGTTCCACCAAGCCTAACCACCACTCACCAGCAAAGGCAGGCTATGCTATAGTATCTTCCACATCTATCACTGAGGCTACTGCTCTGCCCCTCTCCACTACCTCTCAGCAAGCTGAACTCATTGCCTTAACCTGGGCCCTCACTCTTGCAAAGGGACTACGTGTCAATATTTATACTGACTCAAGATATGAGTCAATTTATGCCTTCCATATCCTGTACCACCATGCTGTTATATGGGCAGAAAGAAATTTCTTCACTACACAACAGTCCTCCATCATTAATGCCTGCTTAATAAAAACTCTTCTTAAAGCCGCTTTACTTCCAAAGGAAGCTGGAGTCATTCACTGCAAGGGCCATCAAAAAGCATTGGATTCTATCACTCATGGCAATGCTTATGCTGATAAGGTAGCTAAAGAAGCAGCTAGCATTCCAACTTCTGTCCCTCATGGCCAGTTTTTCTCCTCATTGGTCACTCCTATTTACTCTCCTACTGAAGTTTCCAGCTATCAATCCCTCTCCACTCAAGGCAGATGGTTCTTAGACCAAAAAAAAAAAAAAAAAAAAAAAAAAAAAAAAAAAACTCCTTCCAGCCTCACAGGCCCATTCTATTCTGTCATCATTTCATACCCTCTTCCATGTAGGTTACAAGCCGTTATCCTGCCTCTTAAAACCTCTCATTTCCTTTACATCATGAAAATCTATCCCCAATCCTCCACTCTTGACTCCCTCTTGGAGTGGATAGATGATCTTTGCTGACAGGACACACTCCAATACTTTCACCCTGATGAAATCCTATTCTTTACTTTTATACTCGCTCTTATTCTCATTCCCATTCTTATGCCACCCTCTACCTCTCCCCAGCTATCACCACCACACTGTCAATCTCACTCACTCTCTCCTAGCCATTTCTAATCCTTCTTTAACAAACAATTGCTGACTTTGCATTTCTCTTTCCTCCAAAATTGCTGAGGCCCCAACTTACTCACTGCTAAAAAAAGGGGATTCTGTATATTTTTAAATGAAGAGTGTTGCTTTTATCTAAATCTGGCCTGGTATATGACAACATCAAAAAACTCAAGGATAGAGCCCAACAACTCTCCAGCCAAGCAAATAATTATGCTGAACCCCCTTGGAGATTCTGTAATTGGATGTCTTGGGTACTCCCAATTCTTAGTCCTGTAATACCTATTTTTCTCCTTCTTTTATTCAGACCTTGTGTCTTCCGTTTAGTTTCTCAGTTCATACAAAACCGCATCCAGGCCATCACCAATAATTCTATATGACAAATGCTCCTTCTAACCCCACAATATCACCCCTTACCCCAAAATCTTTCTTCAGTTTAATCTCTCCCACTGTAGGTTCCCACGCTGCCCCTAATCCTGCTTGAAGCAGCCCTGAGAAACATCTCCCATTATCTCTCCATACCACCCCCAAAAATTTTTACCGCCCCAACACTTCACCACTATTTTGTTTTGTTTTTCTTATTAATATAAGAAGACAGGAATGTCAGACCTCTGAGCCCAAGCTAAGCCATCATATCCCCTGTAACCTGCAAGTATACATCCAGATGGCCTGAAGCAACTGAAGATCCACAAAAGTGAAAATAGCCTTAACTGATGACATTCCACCATTGTGATTTGTTCCTGCCCCGCCCTAACTGATACGATACAGTCTCCCCTGCCCTTGAGAAGGTACTTTGTAATATTCTCCCCCTGCCCTTAAGAAGGTAGTTTGTACGCCTATCCCAAACCAAAAGAACTAATGATAATCCCACCACCCTTTGCTGACTCCTTTTTCGGACTCAGCCCGCCTGCACCCGGGTGAAGTAAACAGCCTTGTTGCTCACACAAAGCCTGTTGGTGGTCTCTTCACATGGACGTGCGTGACAGTTCTACCAGTTATTACGAGAGTGAGGACTAAACTCTGATATTTTTATCTTGCCCAAACTCCTATCTAAGCGGTCTGGGGAGTCATACCCAACAAATCATAAATTCTCAGATGGATTTTATTTAACCCTATATATCATGATTTACTTTCCAACCTCACTCTGGCATAACATTATGAGACAAAGAAGAAAATCAAAAACCAAAATATTTCATCCCCAAACATATTTATTTGCCATATTTTAAAATGGTCCTGCAAAGCCGTTCTTTGTGGGGGAGAATTTGCATCTATAAGAATCTCTATTAACATAGCTACATCTTTTTCTCTCAGACCCTCCCAATCCTAAAGAGATTAAATAACATCTGAATAGGACACATTTGTCATCTATTGTCTCTAAGGGCAGCCACTATAAGACTTCAAAAGAACTTTGTTCTACACAATCTTTTATCTTAACCTGAAAATTCCCTTTCTGTCTATCCCAGGTCTTTTTTTTTTTTTTGAGACAGAGTCTCACTCTGTCACCCAGGCTGGAGGGCAGTGGTGCAATCTCGGCTCACTGCAACCTCTGCCTCCCGGGTTCAAAATGATTCTCCTGCCTCAGCCTCCTGAGTAGCTGGAACTACAGGCGCACACCACCATGCCCAGCTAATTTTTGTATTTTTAGTAGAGACTGGGTTTCACCATGTTGGCCAGGATGGTCTTGATCTCCTGACCTCATGATCCACCCACCTGGGTCTCCCAAAGTGCTGGGATTATAGGCATGAGCCACGGCGCCTAGCTATCTATCCCAGGTCTTTAGACAAACTCAACCAATTGTCAACCAGAAAATGTTTAAATTCGCCTATAGCCTAGAAGCCCCCCATTCCCCGCTTTGGGTTGTCCCGTCTTTCTGAACCAAAGCAATCTATTTCTTAAATGTATTTGATGGATGCCTCAGGCTTCCCTAAAATATATGAAACCAAGCTGTACCCTGACCACCTTGGGCACATGTTCTCAGGACCTCCTGAGGGCTGAGTCAGGGGCCATGGTCACTCATATTTGGCTCAGAATAAATCTCCTCTAATATTTTACAGAGTTCAACTCCTTTCATCGACAAGAGGGATATGAAAGTTTTTCACTATATAGATTTGTCGATTTCTCTTTGCAGTTCTATTTTTGTTTCATTATTTTTAAGCTCTGCTTGTTCATGTATCTGAGTGTAGGACTCATATTCTCTTGATGAATTGAAATCTTTATCATTATCAAATGACCCATTTTATTCCTGGTAATAGCATTCTTTGCCCTGAAATCTATTCTGATATTAATATAGCCACTCTTGCTTTTTATTGATTATTGCTAGCATGAAATATCATTTTCTATCTTTTATTTTTTCTTTTAGAGAGTGGATCTTGCTCTGTCACCCAGGCTGAAGTGCAGTGGTGCAATCACAGCTCACTGCAGCCTTGACCTCCCAGGCTGAAGTGATCCTCCCGCCTCTGCCTTTAAAGAAACTGGGACTACAGGTATGCCACCACGCCTGGCTTACTTTTGTATCTTTTACAGAGATAGGGTCTCACTATGTTGCCCTGGCTGGTCTTGAACTCTTGGCTTCAAGCCATCCTCCCATTTTGGCCTCCCAAAGTGCTGGCATTACAGGTGTGAGCCACCGTGCCCAGCCTATCCTTTTACTTTTAATCTGTTTGTACCTTAATATTTAAAGTGTATTTCTTTTGATATCATATAGTCGAGTCTTGCTCTTTAATCTGAGAATTTCCACACTTAAGATTGATGGTGTTTATACCATTTTCACTTAATGTGACTATTAATACACTTAGTTTTCACACATAACTACTGTGTTTTATGTTTTGTTTTCTGTTTGTCACAACTGTTCTTTGTTCACTTTTTCTTTATTTCTGCCTTCTTTTTAAATAATTGAGTATTTTTCTGATTCCATTTTATCTCCTTTGTTAGCTTATTACCTATAATTCTTTGTTTTGGTATTTTAGTGGTTACTTTAGGGTTTATATTATGCACACTTCACTTATCATTGTGTATCTTCAAGTATTATACCATTTCACATATTAGAACCCTGGACTAGTATACTTCCATTTCTTTTCTCTATGCCTTTATGTTATTGATGTCATTCATTTTACTTCTACATATGTTGTAAACCCAACACTACATTGTTGTTATTAGTCTTCAAATAATCAATGACCTTTTCAAGAGATTTAAATAGTAAGAGAAAATGTTATATTAACCTGTGTAATTACTATTTCCAGTGCACTTTATTCCCTTGTGAGATCCATATTTTCACCTGGTATCATTTTTCTTCTGCCTGAAAGATTTTATTTAACATTTCTTGTGGTGGCTATCTGCTGGTAATTAATGTCTTCAAAACAGGAAAAAAAAAACTTTGAAAAGACAATGGCTACAAATTTTCCAATTTTGATAAAAAGTATGAACCCACAGGTCGAAGAAATACAATAAATCCCAAGCAAAAACAAACAAACAAACAAAAAACCCAAGAAAGACAAAAACACCAAGTCACATGTGATGGTTAATATTGAGTGTCAACTTGATTGGATTGAAGGATGCAAAGTATTGTTCCTGGGTGTGTCTGTGAGGGTGTTGCCAAAGGAAATTAACATTTGAGTCAGTGGACTGGGAAAGGTAGACGCACCTTCAATCTAGGCAGGCACAATCTAACCAGCTGCCAGTGTAGCCAGAATAAGAGCAGGCAGAAAAACGTGAAAAGACTAGATTGGCCGAGTCTCCTGGCCTCCATCTTTGTCCCGTGCTGGATGCTTCCTGACCTCGAACATTAGTCTCCAAGTTCTTCAGCTTTGGGACTCTTGACCTTCGGCCACAGACTAAAGGCCGCACTGTCGGCTTCTTTACTTTTGAGGTTTTGGGACTCAGACTGGCTTCCTTGCTCCTCAGCTTGCAGACGGCCTGCTGTGGGACCTCACCTTGTGATCATGTGAGTAATACTCCTTAATAAACTCCCCTTCATATATACATCTATCCTATTTGTTCTGTCCCTCTAGAGAACCCTAATACATTGTATCCTAATCAAAGGGCTCAAAGGCAGTGTTTTTTAAAAAAATCTTAAAAGCAGCCAAAGGGAAAAAAGGCACATTATGCACAGAGGAGCAAATATATGGATGACAGCAGATTCTCCTCAGAAATTATTCAAGTGCGAACATGGTGGATAAATATTTTAAAATGCTCTAAAATTCTAAACGCTAAAAGAATGCCTTTCAGAAACAAAGGAGAAATAAAAACGTTTTTTGATCTACAAAGCTGAAATACTCACAGGGCTTGCCTTTTTCTTTCCTGCCTTTCAGGGATCATTGTGCCCTCTTTGCTTGGTGCCTAATGTTTAAAAAACATTGTTCTATATATTTTTTCCAGTTTTTTTAGTTGTTTTCCGCAGCATGGGAAATCCAGTCCCTGTTATTCCATCTTAGCCAGAAGCAGAAGTCACAGTTATCATTTGATGTGTATTTGTGTGATTTTCTCATGCTATAGTCCCCGTTCTAGGAGGGGAAAGGTGTATCTGTGTCTTAATCTCTGCTGTATTCCCAACACCCAGCATAGTGTCTGGCACAGAGTGGATCCCAACAACTAGCTTCTTTAAACTTCCATATGGTCTCACTTAGTCTGGTGAATCCCAGAGCTTTAGGTGGCCTAGGAGGCACTTTGGAAAATATAAATTAAGATAAGAAAAAAGCCACCGTGGCTCACGCCTGTAGTCCCAGCGCTTTGGGAGGCCAAGGTGGGTGGATCACCTGAGGTCGGGAGTTCGAGACCAGCCTGACCAACATGGAGAAACCCCATCTCTACTAAAAATACTAAAATTAGGTGGGTGTGGTGGCATATGCCTGAATCCCAGCTACTCAGGAGGCTGAGGCAGGAGAATTGCTTGAACTTGGGAGGCAGATGTTGTGGTGAGCTGAGATCACGCCATTGCACTCCAGCCTGGGCAACAAGAGCAAAAAACTCCATCTCAAAAAAAAAAAAAAAAAAAAAAAGAAGAAGAAGAAAAAAGAAAAAAGCCACATACCCGTGTCAAGGTTGAGAAAGGTCAAAGGAAAAGAATGGAGTCTCCAGGAAGTCAGGAAGGTTAAAAAAAAAAAGACAGAATAGACATATCTCTTTTCCCACTCCACTGCCAGACTCACCTCAAATCTCCAAAACACTTGTTACGTGTTCCCCTTACTGTGGCCAGCCAGCCCTTTCCCACCCACCCACCCCACCCCCATATATTCTCCACTTCTTCCTTTCATTACGGATCCTGAGATTTAAACTGCATAAAATAAAAACTACACTTTCCCAGTGTGCCCTGCAGCAAGGTGCATGCATGTGACCATTTCCTACCAATGGCATACAAATAATTGTGTGCACTATACAGGTTGTCCTTAAAGGGAAGGCTTCTACTTTTCATGTTTTCTTGTTCTTCCTTCCTCCTGGATGGAATGAGGACATGGAATTGATCTATATTTTATAAAATTAACTTGGCTGCTTTACAAGGAAGCTGACATTGCTCAGAAATGCCTAGGCAAGGGGCCTGGAAGAAAAGACATCTAACTTTGGCAGGCAACTTGGGCCCTAGAGTGTCATGGGAGCTGGGGCAATTTGCTTAGAAAAGGACATCCTGGAATCTGTGATTTTGCCAATGGGAGCCAGTTCCTGTTGGTGCTCTGACTGCAACGGAACGTGCAGAGGTGAGGAGGAGGTTAGAGTTGGATGCAGGGAAATAGCCCTGCTGGCCAGTTGCCCCTTTTCCTACCCATCTCAGCAGAGAAATCCTCCTTAAAATCCTGAATTATTATCACCCTCTTCCCGCTGCTTTGAGTTGGGCCCAGCCAGTCCACTGAGCAGGGAAACAGGGAAGGAAGGAAAATTAACGGCACCACTGATGGGAATGACGGTTATGAATGGCTGGCTGTCTAGCAACCCACCCATCATGCCCTCTGAGAGCACCCTTCACGCGGCAGGCTCAGGGACCGAGTCCTCCTTACTGCAGGGCACGCTCTGGCCCTTGTCATCAGACCTAGTATAGTCATCAAATAAATCCAACATTTAGATAAAAGGGGCCTGCAGAGGACACTTTCCTGAAATTCAGTGGTAATAAAAAAGAAAAATGGATTGGCTCACTCCAGATAACTACCACCAGAGAGGTAATTATGCCGCTCCTGTCCTAAGCCAGGATGCTGGTGGCAGAGGCACCTGCCCAGGTAATTTATCCGCCCAGATTTATGGACTCCCCAAGAGCTGCCTGCACATCTCCTCCCCTCTGGTTTACTTGAGACACTTTTATTTAGATTTTGTCAGATTATTGATCTTCTCTGTAACTTCTTAGGTGGCAAGTGTGGGTGAGGTGAGCACCACCCTGGGTGGCACAGTCAAATATTGATTTGCTGGCAATGACCCAGGAGGACACAGCCCATTCAAGGGAGCCATTTATTTCAAGCTACCAAAATCCCGATTTCCCGTGCAACTCCTTGAGCTCGTGATATCGAAGTCAATGCAAGCAGAGAGCCCACTGCCTGCACAGAGAGGGATTAAGGCTGCATAATATGATGAGGATGATAAGCCTCAGTTTCCTCATTGATACAATGGGAATAAGGCAGAAGCTGCATACCTGTTTCTCGAATGCCTGAGTGAATGTAGGTAGTGAATTATGCAGAAATAGATGGGATACTTCATATCATCCCCCTGCCCTTCCATTGCATTAAGATCAAAGGTCACCAAACCCAGTATAGCCATAAAAACAGAGATTTTGGACATTTGAAATGGTATTATAAGGTCTTCCAATCCATCATCCTACTTTCAGGCTGGGAAGAGCGTGTTCTGATTTTACTGAGGACTTAGCCACGCGGCGTGGATAAGTAAAACTACCTGTCAAAGTCCCACCGCAACAATATTACTAAACCCCTCAATGTCCAACAGCAACAACCACAGCCACACAGCCACAGCAGCAACGAGGCTTTGGCGGCTCCCTGACCTCACTCTCCTCACTTGCAGACACTGTGCCCTGGGCGTGGTATCATCTCATTTAATCCTCACAAAGACCCAATAGGGTGGGTTCCGCACTTTCTCATTGTTTTTTTAAAGCTTTTATTGTATCTTTTCTACTTTAAAAAGAAATATATCCTTGTTTTAAAAGATTTTATCAATAGAGAAACTCATTTCAAGTAGGAACAATAAAATAAAAATTTAGGGCTGGGCGCGGTGGCTCACGCCTGTAATCCCAGCACTTTGGGAGGCTGAAGCAGGCAGATCACCTGAGGTCAAGAGTGCAAGACAGCCTGGCCAACATGGTGAAACCCCATCTTTACTAAAATTACAAAAAAGTAGCTGGGCTTGATGGTGCGTGCCTGTAATCCCAGCTACTCGGGAGGCTGAGACAGGAGAATCACTTGAACCCGGGAGGCAGAGGTTGCAGTGAGCTAAGATTGTGTCACTGCACTCTAGCCTGGGCAACAAGAGCAAAACTCCGTGTCAAAAAAAAAAAAGAAAGAAAGAAATTTCAGGGATAACTGCAATTTGTCCCACATTGCCTCCCCCTGTGACAACATCGGCAGCACAGGCAGGCTGCTGATGGCCAGGGTATGAAGGAGCTTGCAAGGGAAGTAAACTACCAGGTTGGCTGAGGACACGGATAACTCAAAAAGGCCTCTTGCTCCCTCCTTGCCTTCCCCAGACATCACTGGGACTTGTTTTTTCAAGTTGCCTGTAACATCTTTTGTCATAATTTCAAAAATTCTCCCTCATTGTACTGCAGGGCTCTTTCTGTGGGTTCTGCACCATGATGGTGTTGATAAGGAATGCGGACTCGCTGTTCCTCCTTCACCATCACTCTCTCACCTCCCTTCTGACTACAGCAGAGACTCCCAGAGGCCCCAACAACCTGGAAGACCAGAGGCACCAGAGACCAGAGCACATCTGCCCTCTTCGTGGGATTTATGAATGATACCGAGAGTTCTCGCTAAATTGTACCTGGCAATAGTTTCTGAAAAGGTCGTTAGAGGTCTCCTCTGTGAGAGAGTTGACAGTGCCAGTTACTCTTTGAACACAAGTCTTCATCTTTGTTCCCCCACTATGCCAAGCACAATGCTGCACACTGCAACTTGGGAGACTGTGGCTTAAACTGAACAGAACTTGAAATGGAAATTGACCATGTGTTTAAGGGTTGCTTCAGAGCATGCAAGGGAAGGGTTTATAAATGAAAAGCTTTTCTGCTAGTCCCTGGAGAGCACAGCACTTCAAAGAAGCCTTTGGCAAATCCTTTTGTAAACTGTAGAATCCCTTTCTACTGTAAATAAACCTCACTTCGGAAGCTGGGACATACACACCTTAATATACACACAGATATGCACACACATGCTAATATATATGCACACACCCACATATATGCACACACGTTAATATTCACACACACGCACATACATTCATGCACATGTACACATACACGCACATATGTATATGCATGCACAGATACATATATACACATGCATGCACACACGTATGTGCACACATGCATGCACATGCATGCACACACACATGCACATACATGCACACATGCTAATATATGCACACAATGCACACAGGTTAATATATACACATACACACACATGCACACACACGTGCACACATATATGCACATGCATGCACACACGTATATGCACACACATGCACATGCATGCGCACATAGTCACACACATGCACACATTAGCATATGCATACACATACATGCACACATGTATATGCACACACAATATACGCACACGTGCACACATGCATGCACACATTTATGCACACATATGCACACAAATATGCACACACATGCACACATCCACATATATGCACATATGCACATGCATGTACGTACACATGTATATGCACATGCATGTATATGCACACACATGCACATGTGTATGCACACACATATGCACACATACAGTACAAATGTACACGCACATATACAGTACAAAGGTAAAACAACGCCAAAATATAAATAATACATGCACACATACGGTACAAAGATAAAACAATGCCAACAGCCACAGAAGAGAAAATGTTAAATTTTAAACCTCCTGATGCTCTCTCCACTCCCACTCCTTCAAGACACTGGCTATTAAAATGTGGGGATGTTTTAGGAACTGCTTAGGTTAGGGCTGTCTCCCTGCTCAGCCCCAGAAAGGACTCAGGGCTTTTTTGTTTTTTTTTGGAGACAGAGTTTTGCTCTTGTCACCCAGGCTGGAGTGCAATGGTGTGATATCAGCTCACTGCAACATCTGCCTCCCAGGTTCAAGCAATTCTCCTGCCTCAGCCTCCCCCAGTAGCTGGGATTATAGGCACCCACCACCACACCCCGCTAATTTTTGTATTTTTATTAGAGACGGGGTTTCACCACGTTGGCCAGGCTGGTCTTGAACTCCTGACCTCAGGTGATCCACCCACCTTGGCATCCCAAAGTGTTGGGATTACAGGCGTGAGCCACTGCGCCTGGTCATTTTTTAAAAATCACAATGAGTAGGAAATTTCTGGGCACACAATGCCAGTCTGCCCAAAGCGTTTCTTTGTTGCTGATCCTGTGGGAAATGCTGCCCTGGCCCTCATCATGAAAGATGGGGGGTGGCTATCGATTTTCTGACTGGTCTACGTCCCCGGAATTGACACAGACCACTGGATCTTGTGGTTACTGGGCAAGGCTAAGCTCCCCTTCAGCCTCCCCTTCAGCTGAGCCTTGTCTGCAAGACGAGGATCCTTCTGAGTCCCCATCTTGCAGACCAAGATGGGGAGGGACGGGTTCTGTTCCTTTCTCGGACTGCTTCAGGCCATTGTTAATATTTCGTAACACCTATCTTATCTCCTTGAAGACACCATTAAAAATTTTCTATTTGCAAAAGTTGTCAGAATCAAAATGAAGTCGTTTGGTCAAACCGTAACAAAACAGAACTGGGAAAATCTATAAAGGGAGGGTCCTTATGCACGATTGTCTGATAACAAAGATGTATCACAAAAGACTGTAAAAATCAGAACCTTGCACAAAGGTCACTGCAACCTTACCCAAACAATACTTCTGCCGGGACATCTGCTTAGCAACTGCCTGGGCCACTCTCGTTATTAATCCTCATAACCAAGGATAATTGTTTCAAAACAGCTTATGTAACCCTCCCCATTTTTCTTTTAAAAGCCCTTTTTACCCTTTGCCTCTCTGAATAGGCCCATAGTTTATAATGCCACACATATTCCACACTGCAGTGCTCACTCCCAATTAAACTCATTATATTTGCAGAATCTCTCTGTGTTTATTTAGGTTGAGATTTTCAATGAAAACACTGAAAAGAGGCAGACACAATTTCTAAAGCAAGTACATTCTAGAAAGTACCCAGACACCAGTCATCTACTCTTCTCTCTCTGCAGATATGTGATCTTTCCTACAGGGACTCAGGGTTCTGCAGAACTTCGTACAAGAACAACCTATGTTATTCATAGCTTTGTCATCCTGTCATCCTGTCTGAGAAGGGAAAATAGTTGCCTTTGTTCCTTTAAACATTCAACCAATATTAATTGGGCATCTGCTCGGTTCCAGGAACTGAGATGGGTGTTCTGGGTAAATCAGAGAATAAAACAGATCAAATTACTGAATTATCTGTAAGTCATTAAATTTACAATAAAGAAAAATAAGTGAATGACATAGTATGTTGGAAGGTGCTAGGTAGGGAGGGAGATAGGGAGTAGCTGGAGAGGCTAGGGAAGGTACTACTTTAAATAAAATTGGCTGGGTGCAGTGGCACACGCCTGTAATCCTAGCACTTTGGGAGGCTGAGTCGGGCGGATTGCCTGAGCTCAGGAGATAGAGACCAGCCCGGGCAACATCGTAAGACCCCATCTCTACTAAAATACACACACACAAAAAAAATTAGCCAGGCGTGGTGGCATGCACCTATAATCCCAGCTACTCTGGAGGCTGAGGCAGGAGAATTGCTTGAACCTGGGAGGCGGAGGTTGCAGTGAGCCGAGATTGTGCCACTGCACTCTGGCCTTGGTGATAGAGCGAGACTCTGTCTCTAAATAAATAAATAAATAAAAATTGTTGGCAGGTGGACTTCCTTGAGGACTTTTGAACAAAGACTAAAGACTTAGGAGGCAAACCTTGAAGGTGTCTGGGGAGTAGGGCCCCAGACAGAGGAGCAGCAAGTGCAAAGGCCCTTGGGCAGGACAGACCTGGGATGTTCAAGGAAAAGCATGAGGTCAGTGTGGCCGGAGCAAAGGGAGCAGGGGGAGAGCAGCAGGACCAAGGTCAGCAAGGTGGTTGTGGTTCGGGGCTCAGTCCCTGTAGGGGCAGATGGTCCATTGTAAGGACTCTGGATTTTTCTCTGACCTAATGAGAATCAGCAGAGGAGAGATAGAATCTGACAAATGAAATAGGATGACATGAGATCACTCTGCTGCTCTGTGAGGAAGAGATTCTTAGTGGGGAGGGAGGCAGTGAGGAGAGCAGTTAGGAGGCCACTGCAATCATCCAGGAGAGAGGGGGCCGAGACTGGTATGGAGGACCAGGAGGTGGCTGTGGAGGTGAAGAGAAGCAGTCAGTTCTGGAGATGTTTTGAAAAAGGACCAGTAGTTTTGCTGATAGATGTGACATGCGGTATGAGAGCAAGACGGGTCCACCACAGCTCCAGGTTTTTGGCCTGAGTTGCTTTAACCGAGATGAGGGAGATGGTGAGTAGGCAGCTGGATGTATAAGCCTGGAGTTCAGGGAGGTGTCGGGCTGACATGTAAATTGGGGAGCCATCTGCATAGGAATGGCATGTAAAGGTCCAAGGGAGTGAGAAAGGACAAGAAGAGGACCAAAGACAGAGCCTGGGGACAGCTCAAGGGTTACTGGTCAAGGTGCCAAGAAGGAACTAGCAAAGCAAATAAAGGAGGAGCAGCCAGGGAGATAGGAGGAGACCCAGGAGAAGAGGGGATCCCAGGAGCCAAGGGGAGAGAAGGTTTCAGAGAGGAGTAAGCCACTTACCAAATGACCACAGGTCAAGAGTCATTGAAAGCTGACTATAGGATTTATCAATGAGGAGATGATTGGTGACCTTAATGAGAGTGGTTTTGGTGGAGTGTGAGGGCTGAAATCCCAGTAGAGTGAAATGAAAAGAAAATGGGAGGAGGAAAATTAGAGAGAGCAGGTATGGTGCTTTCATGTAAAGGAAAGCAAAGGTAGCAGAGGAGGGTTCATTTTGGTTTTGATTTGGGGTTGTTTTATTTTTTGAGTTTGGAGAGATAATGTGGTATTGGCACATGAGGGTAATGACCCTATGGACGATGCAGGAAAGAGAGCAGAGGAATTCTGGGGCAATGACCTTGAACAGTGAGAGGGGGAAGGTAATCTTGAGCACAAATGGCCTCAGATAGTTCTTGTTATCAGAGAGTGTCAGACACATTAAGGATTTCCTCAAGGGTCTCCTAGTACAAGTGTTCATCCTTCAAGATATTTATCTGTGCACGTACAAAATGATCAGAAATTTTATGCAAAGCAGCAGCAGACAGTTCATATTTTTCATCAAACTTTTTTACTAAAAAATATGATGAACAGTCTCCTGAGCCAGTGCATAGGACTCACGCTTATTATCTTTTAATGACTGCCAGAAATGTGCCATTATTTATGTAATTAATCTCTTATGAATAGACATTAGATTACCTCAAATTTTTGATATTACATTTTTACACATGATGTGAACATCCTTGAATATATAAATATTCCTATGAGTTGAAATGACTTACTAGTAGAATTTAAATTGCTGAGTCAAATCCACATGCATCTGGATTTTAATGAATGTTGTGCAAATATCCTCCACTAAGGTTATTCCCAGTGAACATCTACCAGCAGAATGTGAGTGAGGGGCTGTGACACAGGGGTGTGGCCGGGGGTTTGTTGAGTTTGGACTTGAATACCAGAGTTGTTTAAAGTAGTTCAAGCTGAAAGTGGTGTCAGCAACATAACTGATAAACCACTGCCACCTCCTTTCCAGGCTGCAGGAATGTGCTGATCCGGGCTGGTCTGGGAATCTGGAGAGGCAGAGAATTGGGACAGAGAGAAAAAGAGAGGCAGACAAAGAGGTCAGAAGAACAAATTTCAGGGAGCCATTGGATGCTCTGGGGATAGCTTGGCTAAGCCAACACCTCGCTGTGGGGCCTGGGGCAGGCACTTAGCCTCTTACTGCCAGTTCACAACAGCCAAGGAACCCATGTATGGATCCAGCGAGCTAACAAATATAAATATGAAATGGCAAGTCGTTAGTCAGGGTTACCTAAAAGGATAGACCTAATAGGATAGATGTGTATATGAAAGGGAGTTTATTAAGGAGAATTGACTCACACGATCACAAAGTGAAGTCTCATGGCAGGCCGTCTGCAATCTGGGGGGCAAGGAAGCCAGTTTGAGTCTCCAAACCTCAAAAGTAGGGAAGCTAATAGTGCAGCCTTCAGTCTGTGGCCAAAGGCCTGAGAGCCCTGGCAAACCACTGGTGTAAGTCCAAGAGTCCAAAAGCTGAAGAACTTGGAGTCTGATGTTCAAAGGCAGGAAGCAAGATCTGAGAAGACCTTAAGTATTTGCCTCAGCCTGATCCCTGCACAAAGACAGCCTATGACAAATTTTTAAAAAGCAAACCCTGAAGGAGAGAATCTGATTTCCAGAGTTACTACACTATAAGATTCAAATGTTTAATTTTCAACAAAAAACTTCACAGGGCACGTGAAGTTTCCTGGATATGTGTGGTGACTTTCTAAATTCCTTTGTATATGCAATCGCATCAAAATGTCCACATCCTTAAACGTCTGGCTCCATAAAAGAGGGAGAAGTGATAATGAAGAGAAAAGTGTGCCAGTCCTTTAAATTCTCTGAAAGTCTCTTCAGCCAGAAGGGTAGGGGCTTGCAACAATGGTGCTAAAGATTGCAACGATGGCTGCTCACCACTGTCTGCATCGAGCATCCCTGTTACTGCATCTCAACAATCAGAAGAAATCAGCAATCAGAGCATAGATCCCCAGTATATACATATATATTTTGAGACGGAGTTTTGTTCTTGTTGCTCAGGCTGGAGTGCAATGGCACAGTCTCAGCTCACTGCAAGCTCTGCCTCCTTGGTTCAAGCGATTCTTCTGCCTCAGCCTCCCAAGTAGCTGGAATTACAGGCATGGACCACCATGCCTGGCTAGATTTTTTTCTTGGAATTTTTAGTAGAAACGGGGTTCCACCATGTTGGCCAGGCTGGTCTCGAACTCCTGACTTCAGGTGACCCGTCCGCCTTGGCCTCCCAAAGTGCTGGGATTACAGGCATGAGCCACTGAGACTGGCTAGATCCCCAATATTTGAAGGGCAAGGTCCTTATTGTCCACCCAGGCTCCCACAGGCTGCATGCAAGCTGCTCCTGGAGCACATGCACAACTACCTGCCACATGGCTGTGGGATGGAGGGTTGGAAGCTGCTACCCAACTAAGAGCTGAAGTTGAGGGAAATCAGCTGTGATGTACTACATAAGCCTTCCCTCTAATTTTCAAGCCTTTGCATAGACTTTCGAGTTCCAAAATAGTTATATCAGAAGATTTTGCTAGTGCAACTGCTATTTAGATGGGAAGATGGATTCCCTACTCCACCATCTTACCCTGAGGCATGTGACCTGGAGACAGTCACTTAACCTTTCTGGGTCTTTGACACCCTGCCTATAAAAGTGACATTGAATAGATTTCAAGTATTCTCACCACAAATAAATGAGTATGTGAGGTAATGCATATATTAATTAGCTTAGTGTAGCTATTCCACAATGTATCCATATTTTAAAACATCATGTTGTACACCATAGAGATATATAATTTTTTTAGTTGTCAATTAAAATACATAAATAAGGATATAGAGTTGGTCTGAGAGTATTGAAGGTATTTCTAACTCTAAACACCGAGAATTCTATACCTAGGATTATAACAGCTCCAATATCATTGTATTATTGGGAAAGTGAAATGAAATCAATCCAGGATGCATAAATATTTGTATTTTTCCTATCCACCCTTTTGTTTCTGTTAATACGTTTTCTTTTCTTGCTCCCTGCCCCAAACTCACTCCAGGCATCTATGGGTTTTGGTGGCCTAGTACACTTTTATTCTTTTACTGATAAAACTGCCCTCTCCCCAACTCTCAGTCTACATGGGGTTAAGCTCACTCATGGGATAGACCCTGATTGACATATTCCAGGCCTCTATCTTTTCTGGTGATTCAGGGATGGGGCTGTGGTTCTTAGAGCCAGTGGCCTAGAACTTTTGATCAACCATGAGGAAAAGAAGTTCTCTTTTCTGCTGAGTGCCAGTCCAGATGGAAACCATCTCACCACTAGGAAGGGGGACTTGAGATGGCTTTGCATGGTAGAGAAATGCTAAAAGATGGTGAAAAAAAGGAGCAGGTCCTGCTGGCATCATTTGAGCGCCTGAGTCAAGGTGCTCCTGACAGCTCCCCTGTCTCAGAGCTCCTCTGTTTATATAATCCAAAAAATCCCTTCTGAACTCAAGTAGGGTTCCTCTGAGGTTCCTGTCACAGGAAATGGAAGAGCCCAATGACTGTCCCTCACCAGCACCTAGGTCTCCAAGCTGGGACCAGCACAAAACTTTACCCTCAAGCTCTCCTCTGGCGGTATGAGTCAGATTCATCTCCTGTTCCCCATTCTCCTTGTTTTCATCCCTCCTGCAGAGGAAGCTGCAGAAACCACCCTGTAATGGCATCTCCAAGGGTGAGGACATATTAGCCCTGGTCTCTAATGAACCGAGCATCGCTGTTACTGCTGCGCCCGGCATCACACAGTGATCTGGAGGGCTGCCGAGTCAGCACTGTGGGTTCATGGTGCTGATTTGCCTTCCTTTGGTAGAAGGCAATTTGAGCTAGAAAGCCACTTACCAGATAAGGTAGAGGGTGGGGTGTAGGGGGAGGGAGGGGGGCATCACACAGAACTATACCGAGACAAGGCCTGACCCTCTGAGGGAGCTGAGAGGGTCTCAGAGATCCCTTAGTTAATATCTCTTATTCTAAGATGTGCAGACCAAACTCAGAGAAGCCAAGTGGCTTGTCCTGTGTCACACAGTGACTCAGAAGCAGGGTGAGGCCCAGAACCCAATCCCCGTACTTCTCCTTGGCCATAATATTCCCCAAAGGTCAGCTCTGCATCCTGTCCAGACCCTCCCACCCCTCACTTTTCCACTTCCCTGAGATTCTCCAGAGTTAGTCCTGTGGCCACAGCCCCACAGCATGTCCTGAAGTCTCTGAGACCTTGCCCCACTGGGCTCCCTAGCTCTTCTCCAAGTGCCATCCCTTCTTCCATCACAGCAAGCCCTCCAGGGTGAGTGCCATGGGGACCTGCTAGGACTTGGGGGCCTCCTTCTGAGCTGGGCTCTGAACTCAGGCTCTGTGCCTTTTCTCCCATCTCAGGGATGCCCTGCTTCACCCCCAGTCAGGATCCACCCTCCTCGCCTGCCCTCAGCCCCCGTGGTGGGTGGAGCTTGGCCTGCCTGAAGACACACTGCACTCTGTCCGCTTTGTTGCTGGAATGCCTGACCTGACCTTCTGGTCATCACTCACTTGCCCCTGCCTCTCTAAATGCTGAGTCTTCCTTCCCATCAGCGGTGGTCGAGGCTGCCCCATAGCCGTCTTTTCTGTTTGGGCAGAAAGGTCCCTTGCCCACATCTCTGAGTCTCACCTCTGGGCTATCTCAATGTCGACCCACTCTCCTGCTGCCCAGGGGTGCCCGGGGCCTCCTCAGATGGTCAGTAGTGGGACAGGTGAGGGCTGGAAGTCAGGGTACCACATCACACCTCACCCCCGTCAACGGTCATCTGTGCACCCAACTCGAGTCACTGGCACTAACAGATTTGAGCACCTGCTGCCAGGAACCATGCTGAGAGCTGCCCATAGCCCCACCCCCGTGGCCCTCACAACCACCCTGACAGGAGGATTCACTCATTCTGCCTTCCATGTGGGGAAACTGAGGCACTGAGAGAATGAGTCATTGCCCCAAGGTCACTCACCTGCCCCTAAGGAACCTGAAGGGTCAGAGGAGAAGGGAACACACATCTGTTCCTCCTTCGCACTGGCCCTGTCTACAGAGATGTGGTTTCCAGTAACCTCTGGGGACAACCTTGAGCTGCAGTCCACCATTGCCCCAAGGTCACCCACCTGCCCCTAAGGAAACTGAAGGGTCAGAGAAGGGAACGCACATCTGTCCCTCCCTCCCACTGGCCCTGTCTAGGGAGATGTGGTTTCCAGTAACCTCCAGGGACAACCTCGTGCTGCAGTCCACCTCCTAAATCCTCCCCGGCTGCTGTTCACCTGGAATCATCCTATTGATCCCGCTGAGCAAATGTCAGAGATTGTCTCTTAAAACCGGAGGTTGTGACCATCTGGCCGTCAGACACTGGGTGAAACCCCAGCCCTGTTCTCAAGAGGGACTCGTTCAACCAACAGCCCCTGGGGCATTGTGTCTGCAGAGAGGCCTGCTCCACTTTGAACTCTGTGGAAATTACAAGGTAGCTTGTTATCCAAAATGATTTATGGAAGTTGAAAGGATTCGGATGAAGATTTCAGCAATTAGACTGTTGGACTCAAACAAATGTCTTCACTTTCAGATAGATGCTTGGGTAAAAAGCAATGGAGTCATGAAATTTTAATTCAATTCTTATTTGTGTTGAATAATTGAGTATGGAATTGGAGCCTGCTGACTTCCCAGGCCTGTCTCTAGAGGGGAAGCGTGCCTGCTTCCAGGGGAAAGCTGCAAACGCGCAGGCACTGAGGGCATCAACCCGGCCTTCCTCCAGCCCTGGGACCATTACTTCTCCTTTCAGGGAAGTCAGCTTCCTTTTTCCCTCCCTAGTCTGCTGGCAGTATGTGGACAAATGGGAGGAGGAAAGGCAAGCCAAAGAAAAACTTGTGAGGCTGGAAGTGTGCAGAGACCGTGGAGCCTGGAGTCCAGCAGGAATCTGATTCTGTAACTCCCTAGCCGCGTGATTTGGGCAAGTCACTGTACTTCTCTGGACATCAATTTCTGTATCTGGAAACTAGGGACTGTAATTCATGGCTGCTGAGAAATGCTGATCATTTTCCCCTGCACAGCTCCACTTGCTAGCCCACAAGGCTACTTGCCCTTCTGAAGCTGAGTTTCCTCATGTCTAAATTGGTGCCAACACCATCCACCTCACTGTGTTATTGGAAAAATTATGTAACAAGTATCTCATACTTAGCCAAGGTCTGGCCCATAGTGAGTGCATGGTGGATATTACTTTCCAGCTGCCAATCATTCAGAAATGCCATATTCCAAAAAATGTTTAGAAGTCAGAATAGAACGTCTCATACAACTCTGCTTTAGACTAGTTAGTCAAGAAGCACCTAATGATCCAAAACCCACAAGCAGAGGAGGACTTCCACGGACACCTGGACACACTCACGGAGCATTATGACATTCCCAAAGTCAGCTGGAGGAAGTAGCCGCCTGCCCCGGGTATGCAGCAGCATTGAGGGTCTGCAAGGCCACGTTGGGGTTATGTCTATTTCCTTTGGTATATTCTAGAAACATAGCTTTACACACACCCTCTCGTCTTCTGCTACACACTGCTTTTCGAAGCTGTGTACTCTCATTCTGGAACTTGATTCAAGTAGGACTGCCCTTGTAAAACATAAAAAAAAAAAAAAAGAAGCAACGAATGGCTTCTACTGATAACCACAGATAACAATGTTTGGGAATAAGTAGTTCAAACTCCAGGCGTAAGCAACACATCCTCCCTTCCCTAGGCCACTCTCAATAAAGACACTGTATTTGAGGGAGTACCCGAAGCAGAGAGGGCAGAGCAGAGCAGGACCAGGCTATTCAGACCTGGGGGGTCAGGGTTGATGGAGACCAGGAGTGCCAGTGTTCCTCTGACTCTTCAACCACAGCCATTGCTACAGCAAGGGTAGCAGTTGCTGCTGGTTTGGGGCTTAGCTGTGTCAGGCTGTGTGCACCTCCTCATTAATTCTCATCACTACCCTTGAAGGAAAGGGCTATTATGAACCCATTTTTCAGCTGAGGGAGCTGAGACCTTGAGAAGTTGAGGAACTTGCCTGAGCTCACAGCTTGGATCTAAATCCCAGACCTGTGACTGCCTCCAGCCCCTGCCCCAACCACTGCACTCACTGCCACGCACTCCTGGTGTCCATTTGTGCCTATTGGAGGGCTCATCTCCACAACCACCCTGGGAGGAAGGGGCTGATGGAAGCACCGTCCCCAACTACAGATGAGGAAAGGGCCCAGAGAGGGGAGGCGGCTTTCCCAAAGTCACACAGAAAGGAAGTGGTGGAGTCGGAATGGGAAGCCCTGTGGGCCTGACTCCTCCTCCAGGGCACCATCCCCTGCTCCCCCTCCCAGCCTTTCCAAGGAAAGTGCAGAGACAAGACTGGGGGCCTCTCTTCCCCACAGGTAACAGCCTGGGCAATGGGAGAGCCTCCATCCCTCAGCAGCTCCTGCCTGGTGGCCAAGCCCCTCCTAGGTCTACAGCACACCCCATCTTCTCCCCCTCTGAGCCCCAGGGCTGTTACTTCCTTAATACGCCTTCTTTAATTATTACCTTCAAGGAAAGAATCAGGAGGTAAACACAAAGACCTGCTGCTAATAATTAAAAGCATCCCACCTCCCTTACATGCAAATGGAGGCCCCACTCTGCAGCCGCTGCAATAGCCTGTGATGGCCTCCATCAGGGCTGAACAGCTCCCCATGCAGGGTGCACCTTGCTGTCCTGCAGGTGCCAGGGCCAAGCAGGGGTGCCACATTGTTTAGAGTAAACAGGCAGGTCCATGTCTCTGGGGCCAAATGGCCTGGTATGGGCTGGTGCCACAGAGGTGGCTAGAGCATCAACAGCACTAGGATGCCGGGAGACACAGGCATGGGACCCCCTTTAGCCCTTGCACTGCACCTGGGCCCAGCCCAGTCTAGACGCCACCAGGCCCACAAAGGTGGGCAGCAGGGGACACTGCTGGGGATTGGGGCACCTCTTGGGAGGCCCTTCTCTGATGCTATCTGGATACCTGGAGCTGCCAGGCCGGACCTGGGTGCTCTTTCCCTTGGCTGGTCCATCCCCAGCCCCTCTGCTTTGATCATGGAATTTGGCCTCCCCAGTGCTCAGGTGCTTAGGCCCCAGGTTCCTCCTGGACTGTGCTGGTGAACAGTTGTCCAGCCCTAAAGCCAGCCCCAAAACTGGGCCCAGCCTAGCCTGCTCCACTCCACCCCTAGGGAAGAAAGACAGAGAATAAGGACAGGAAGAACCTCTTTTCACCCGCACGCTTCCCCTAGAGCAGTGGCTGCGTGGACAGTGGAGTGTGTGGGTGCCCACGTGGCAGCAGTGCCCACTGGGAGGCGTGCAGGCTTGGGAGGTGAGCCCTGCTTCCTGTTCTGCCACTTACTAAATGTGAGGCTTAAGTCAGGTTACTCAATCCTCCCTGAATCCCAGGTTCCTCACCTCTAAATAATACCTTTTTTGGAACCTAGTTTTCCCCTTGATAAACTACAAAAAGCACTTATACATTCATCTACCTCTAAGCCTGGAGAAGTCAGGGGTCGCGTCTATATTTTGCCACTGCTCCCCAGTGCTCAGCTCATAGTAGGACCTCAGTCAAATGTATGTTAAGTAAGCGCATGGTCAAGACATCTCTGCTAGCCTCAGCTCTCAGCCCTGCTGGAAATGAAGGGCACCAGCACAAAACGCCAAGGCATGTACTTGCACATAAAAATCCCAGAGGCCCTGGAGTCCAGCCTCCCCTCCCGACTCCTCTTCTTGGATGCTCACAGGTCACCTGCCTAAGCCCATCCTCGGCAATCCATCCAGGAAGTGAGACTAAGTTTGAGTGGGATCATGGATCCGATGTGCCAAGTCTTGCTCCGTAAACAGGGCTCCATCTCCGTCCTTCTCTGATCCAGGCTCAGGCTGTTAACTCCACCCAGGCCAGAAAGTGTATGAGCAGCTCATGTCCTGCCACTGGAATGCATTCTGGAACTCACTGTGTAGCCAGGGCTGGGACCACACCTGTCAGAGGGGAGCCCTGGGCCCTGGCAACCAACTGAACCCATCCCTCTCTGGACCTACTCCTCACTGTACAGCCTGCATTTCTATCCTGGCACTCTTTCAGAACAGCCTGCCATCCCATGCCCTGTCTGCCTCACTCTTTCCATCTCCTCTCTTGTGGGAAGGTCTGGGAGCTCATTCCTCAGCTGATGGGGCCTATGAGAGAGAAGGCAGAGGCATGGGTGGCAGAGGTGAGAGACAAGACTAGCTGGACTTCCTATGCCAACTAAGAATTCCTAAGCCTAGCTGGGGAAGGTGACCGCACTCACCTTTAAACACGGGGCTTATAACTCAGCTCACACCTGACCAATCAGGTAGTAAAAAGAGCTCACTAAAATACCAATTAGGCTAAAAGCAGGAGGTAAAGAAATAATCAAATCATCTATCGCCAGAGAGCACAGGGAGAGGGAAAATGATTGGGATATAAACCCAGGCATTTGAGCTGGATTGGGCAACCCCCTTTGGGTCCCCTCCTGTTGGATGGGAGCTCTGTTTACACTCTATTAAATCTTGCAACAGCACACTCTTCTGGTCCATGTTTGTTCCGGCTCGAGCTGAGCTTTTGCTCCCTGTCCACCACTGCTGATCAATGCTGTTGCAGACCCACTGCTGACTTCCACCCCTCCGGATCCGGCAGGGTGTCCACTGTGCTTCTGATCCAGTGAGGCGCCGATTGCCGCTCCCCATAGGGCTAGAGGCTCGCCATTGTTCCTGCACAGCTAAGTGCCCAGGTTCATCCTAATCAAACTGAACACTAGTCGCTGGGTTCCACAATTCTCTTCAGTGACCCTTGGCTTCTAATAGAGGTATAACACTCACCACATGGCCCAAGTTTCCATTCCTTGGAATCCATGAGGCCAAGAACCCCAGGTCAGAGAACAAAAGGCTTGCGGCCATCTTGGGAGCAGCCCGCCACCATCTTGCTGCCATCTTGGGAGTGGCCCGCCACCATCTTGGGAGCGGCCCACCACCATCTTGGGAGCGGCCCACCACCATCTTGGGAGCGCCTGCCACCATCTTGGGAGCTCTAAGAACAAAGACCCGCTGGTAACAGAGGCAGGGGTGTTGACGGGAGAGCAGAACCCCTCCCACCTCTGTTCTCCAAGGCAAAACCATCAACCCTCAGAGAAGGTAGGAGAGTGAGTCAGACATCCCCTCTCCCTGTGGGGACAGGGCTGAGTGGGGAGCAGAGCAGAGACAGGCCGCATCACAGGGCAGAGAAAATGACCCAAGGTGTAATGAGCTCAGCCGCGCGAAGGGCCCCCTCCTCACCCTCCGTCTTGGTGCACAGCAAATCCTTATTCCCTCATAGTTCATGCTCCAAGTGGATTGCTTTTTTTCTCTTGACAAGAGTGTAGTTCATTTAAGGTTCTTTGATGGTTATTTTATTTCTCCCAGGTATATTCTATATGAGAAAATCAATTCCAAGAAATTATTAGATCCATTAACAAGTGCTAACCAGCCAACTGTTGGAGGAAAGGGCTTTAGACCAGGAGAGGACAGAAAGGAAACTCTGACCAGGCTGTTCCAGGAGGAGTCCTGGAGCAGAATTCACACCCAAGGTTTGGAAGTCTTCAAAACTGACATTAAAGTGCATTTTGGAGTCTAAAGAAGGTGACTAAATTCAGCAGAGCCACAAATCAGCCCCATGCAGTGATGGGAGGAGACCCCCCTGACTCAGCCCTGAAGCTGCATAGCTCCCTGAAGGCTGTGAGCACGTTAGTGAACAGCCTATTTGTTCCCATGTCCCCTTTCAATGTGAACATCAGTCATTGCACACCTGCTTGGGCAGTAGGGAAGGAAGAAACCAAAATACCATATCGGCACTGTTCTCTTCCACGGACCAGGTAGGGCAGGAGAATCTGATCCAGGGGAGACCTTTCAGGAGGCAGATCAGAGGACTGAGGGAGGATGGGAAGGAGAGGCAGAGTGACTCCCTATATCCCACCACCAGAGTGAGGCTACAGAAGGGCAAAGCGGTTAGGTGACCGCCAGTGAGGTTCCAAGTAGGGTCGTCCAGAGAGGCCTCCAAAACCCAGTGCCCTCCCTGTAATGGCCTCCATGAGGGCCGAAGGGTTAACTGTGAAGCTCAAAGTCCCAGAGGCCTCTCCCTGCCTTCCCACACTGTGATGAATTCAGTTTGGCAAAGGAGTATTTATGCTGGAAATTTAATCATTTCTCATAATAAAGGAAGTAAAAAATAAATTGAAAGTGTCAAATACTGCATTAGGAGGGGTGATCGAGTGAGGCGGGGGCCGACCGCCTGGCCTTCGCATTGGGTAGTTTCACAAACCCGAGGATTTAGGCAAGTTTCTTTTTCCATAATTATACAATCAAGAACCAAGGTGATGGGGCCACAAGCATGGGGACAGCAGTGTGCTAGAGCTGATGATGAATGAATGCTCAGGAGCTCTGCCAGCCAGTTGTTAAACACAGACAATGTTAACAATTAAATGATATTAACTTACAATGTAATAAATTACATTAAAAACAAAGGCAATAGTTGTCCTGAATGCAAACAAACAAACAAAAAAAACCCAAAGGCAATAAACACTCAAAAGTCATCAATTCCTAATTACGTCATAATATTTTACCACTGTGTATGCTAGTGAGATGATTTACTCACATTGCATGTGTATGGTAGGAATATTAAATAATGATGTGTTATTCCGTGTCTCTCCCAAACTTCACATTTAGTGACATAGCATTGCTCATCTGAAATTGGCCATGGCGGGAGTATTTATACCACAGAGAGTGGTGGATACCACATATCAGGGTCCAATCAGGAGACAGAAATCACAAAAGTAATTTGAACAGGGAAAATTTAAAGAATTATTAACTAGTAAAAGATGATTAATTACTAAATAGAATAAAATAGGATGCTAATAAATGTAGAAATAGAAAATGCAGGGAGAGCCTACTACCTCTAGGGCCAAAGAAGAGTCCCCAAGGAAGGAATGATGTTGGAAGAGAGTCACATTGTTCAAGGCCAAGATTCAGCATTGTTGGAAATGGTATGACTGTGGCCCAGCAGATACAGGAGAAGTTCCCGGGGATGCCACAAACTAGAAATGGTCCTTAGTCAGTGGCCCAATGCTAGTGAGTAGGAAGCCACCCTCTGGGTGATAACAAAGCTCACTGGAAGGTGAGAGCCACCGGGTCACTCTAATGCCACCAGCAGTCTTGCCACAGGAACAAGAAGCAAAGAAAACCCAGAACCCGGACAAGAAGTCCCATCCTCTTCTATAGCCTTGCAGTGTCTCCCCAGCACCCCCTACAGACCAGGTGTAACATTACATCACCTGGCATAGAAGAAATTTTCGGTGTCCAGCTTCAGTATCAAAAAAACAAGATAAAGAAGAAATTTGAGCTAAGAGGCAATAAATTGATAGTGGGCACAGTCCCCTAATTCTCAGAGCATTCATAGAGAGATCTTTTCTAAAGACACCAAGTGCTGGAAGTGGGCAAAGCTACAAGACCTCATCTGATGCCAGAATCCTCTCCATAAAAATCAAGCATTGATGGTAAAATCATCAGCTCCCAGCCGAGCATGCATGTAGTGTATTACATATACTATCTCATTTAATTCTCACAGTAACCCAAAGAGGTGGGTAACTTTATAATCCCCATTTTTTCAAATGAGAGACTGGGTCAGAGAGAGGTGAAATTGTCCTGAAAAAAGCACAACAACTGTCATTCCAGTCCAGTTTGTCCTGATATTATGACCCCCACTAAGTAGTTACCTAATTACTACTTGCATATCCATAGCGGGGGAGCTTATCGCCTCTGGAGGTAGCTCATTCCACCTCTGGACAGCTTTGGCTGTTGAAATACCTTCCTTTGGCCCACACTGAGGGCATGTACTCCCTCTTCCACAGGACAGTCCTTTCTGTATTTGAGAATATTTCTTTTGTCTCTCCAAGGTTCTTCCTTCTGCAGGCGCAACAGCCCTGCTTCCTCAGCATTCTGCATCACACTGCCCCTTCATCAAGTTGGTCATACTCTTCTGACCAAGCTCAAGTTTTCAGTCTTTCTTTTACATTTATTTTCTTGCAAAGGTGGATGCAGTTCCCTCGGGATGACCTTCCCAGGGCAGAGCCCCATTTCCTGCCTCTGCTTGTCCCAACGATCTAGCAAACCAAGTCAGATAATTTCTCTCTGGGCCTGGGTTTTCCTATTCTCTAATTCTAGGGCAAAAGATAAATATGTCTAACTGGGTTTCGGTAACAGTCCACACAGTTACATATGAGAAAGTGCCTAGCATAGTGGTTGACTCAATAAAGATTGGAAGAATCTAGATCTAGTCCACTGATATTTGGAGAAAACCAGGGAATTATTCCCAACCCCACTGAAGGACAGAGCAGGAACTAGAATCAGAGTTTCCTGATACTTAAGCCTGACTTCTCTCATTTTAGAGGCAAAACCAGCTTCTCTCTTGGAATTCGCAACTCATCACATCACATAAGGGTGGCTACATGCCCTTCTCAGACAAGTATCCAGCGTGAATCAGGAGTATATCCACGGCGACAGCCATGACTGGATCAGCCCTGGTCCCTCTGAGTCCTTTTCTCCTCTCCCTCCCTCCTTTGATGATCCTACATCCTGCATTAGCTGAGAGAATTTGTGGGAGTCCCCGATGCTGGGTGGGGCCCCTCTGAGGACTGTTGCATCTTCCCTATAATGATGTTCATTAGTCTGTCTGACTTCAATACTGTTCTCAGGTTAATATGTTTAACTTAATGAGGCATTTATTTTCAGCTGGAAAAGTCCTGAAGAAGCATGTTTTCTCCTGATGAGTGCAGCTGATGAATAGATTAATGCTGGGCTTGAAATAGTTGGTTAAGAAAATGAATCTAAGTGACATCTTCATCAGATATAGGCTGTACTTAAATTAATTTGTGTTAAACTGCTTAGGGGAAGAAACAGGAAGAAAATCCTTCCTTGGCTCTGTGAGTTGTCTTCCGTTTGCCCATTTGTTTTTCCTTCCCTTCCCCACCGACACCCCAGTATCGGAGGATAGGGAAATGCCAAGGGCCAGCATGTGATGAGTTGGGGAAAAAAGTCTACAATTAAGCAGCCAGAGAGTCGAGAACAGAAGGGGCCTTTGTGTGGCCTCAGAGGCCACAGCAATGTGTTCACATAGCTGGGAGTCTGGCCGGTCCCTCTCTGGCATTTAAAAGCTCTGTGGGGTTCACTATTGCAGCCCCAGTGCTCAGCACATATTGCGCACAAAATAGGTATTTGTCGAAGAGTGAGGTAGAAACTCACCAAATGGTAGCTCTATTGTTATTCATGGAATCACATGAGATCAAGAGAAGATGCCTAATGTCCCAGGCACATCTAGTGGATGAGCCAAGGTTCAGTGACCCCTGACCCAAAGGCCAAAGATGACCCAAAGGCCAAAGATGACCCAAAGGCCAGTCTTCTTTGATAACTTGACCAGGAGCTCCTCTCACCTCATTCTCCCCATGGGCACCTGGAGTCACTGCCAGCCCTGAGTGACACCAGCTGGTGCGCATTTTCCTTCCTCCTGGGAGTTTTGGGGCCACACCAATTCAGCACCTGCCTCTGCCCAGAAGTCAGAGAAAATGGATGGGGTTGTCACTCTTTCCATTTCCATCCTGCCTGTTTAATAATCAGAATTCCCTCTGAGGGCAAGTCCAGCCCAAAATGGAAACAATGGAATATGTGTGTTGGGGAGTGGGGGTGGGGGTGTCTGCAGTGGAAAAAGTGTGGGCCTTACAGGAAACAGGGAAGTTCCTGCATCTCAGCTCTGCCACCTGCCAGCTGTATTAGTTGTTTATTGCTGCCTAACAAATTGTTCCAAATTTAACAGCTTCAAACAACACCTGTTTATCATCTCACGGCTTCTGTAGGTGAGAAATGTGGACACAGCTTAGCTGGGCTCTCTGCTCAGGGTCTCACGAGGCTGAAATCGAGGTGCCTTCGAAGCCCTGTTCTCATTTGTAGGCTCAAATAGGGAAAGATCTGCTTCCAATTTCATTCAGGTTGTTGACAGAATTCATTTCCTTGTGATTGTAAAATGCATGGCAGCTTGCTTCAAAGCCAGTGTTGAAGAAAGTCTCTATAGCGCTCCGTGTCTGACCTTCTTTAAAAGGACTCACCTGATTAGCTCTGACCCACCCAGTATAACCTCCCCTTTGATTGATTTAAAGTCCACTCATTAAGAGCTTTGATTACGTCTGCAAAATCCCTTCACCTTGACCACATTCAATCAGTAAAGGAAGTTATACATCCTGTCAACACTCAAGGAAAAGGAATTATATAAGGGTATGAATTATTAGGGGTTATCTTAGGATTCTGCCCACCACATCAACTGAGAGAATATGGGAAAGTCTCTGTCTATGAGGCTACCTATCCTTAGTTGTAAATAATGATAATGTTGCCTTATTCAGGATTTGTAAAATAATTAAATGAAATCATATATATAAACAGATAGGACAATCCAGAGGGCACTCACAGAGTGTGTTAAACTGAGTTGAAAGATAAAGGAGGTGCTGTCACTAGGAACAGGTAAAATTTTACCTTCCACCTTCCTCAAATCTGTCTTCTCTCATTGCTATGGATGTGTTCTCTGATTCTATGTGGTTTCCAAATGGATCTTGACTCTGGAATTCTGTTTCCTGAGTCTTAGTCCTGGTTTCCTGTCTTGGTCCATTTGTGCAGCTATTTTTAAAAGCCTGAGACTAGGTGATTTATAAGCAATAGAAATTTATTCCTCATAGTTTTGGAGGCTGGAAGTCCATGATCAATGTGCCGGTAGGTTCAGTGTCTGTGAGGGCCCACTCTTTGTTCCCAACATGGCTCTTTGCTGCTGTGTCCTCACACAGAAAAGCAGAGGGCAAAGATGGCCCCAGCTACTTCCCTCCAGCCCTTTTATGGGTCACTTATCCATTCTCAAAGAGTACCACCTCTTGATAACACCAAAATGGAGATTAAGGTTCCAACATGAATTCTGGAGGAAACACATTCAAACCATTGCGCTTCCTCTCCCAGCTCCCACACATTCCTATTGGTTCAGCCAACTTGCTGCATCTGCTCTGTCAGGCCTGACAGCCAGCCCCTCTGGGGTCATGCATAACAACCTCACCATGGCTCCTGAATGTTCCTCTTCCCTAATTTACCCAATGCCTTTTGGGTGAAGGCCTCTGTTGGTTCTCTTCAGCACCCTGGGAAGCTAGCCTGATTATCCTCCTCCTCCTCCAATGGAGATGGCATGGTCAAGGGAGGCTTTGGTGTCTTTTATGCTGCACAGCTAGGATGGACATGGCCTCAGGCCCTCATCAGGAAGGACCAGGTCCGTCAGGCCACCCACCTGACTCTTGGAGAATCCTGTAGATCTTTGTGCTGTTGTCCTGACTCCAAAGGTGCCTGTCATCTGTGGGTTCCAAGACTCTGGGGAAAAGAGCAGGATGGGGAATTGGAAGGGGGGGGAAGATTGATTCTAGTAGGGAGGGAGGGATTTTCTGAAGGCAACTGTGTCCTCTTCCCCTTGGCCTTAAATGCACTGGGTAGGGCCAGTCCCTTGCTCTTCTTCAGCACCATTGACAGTGGCCACAGAGCCTTTGGTCCCGCACCCAACTTGTGTGTCCTGGCTTTTATGACTCAAAGACTGGTAGACTCATTCAGGGATTACCTCATTGAGTAGTCCTGCGCCTTTTCTTAGGGCTTAGGTGGAGAAATTCCAGGAGAGTTAAAGTGAGAAGTGACTAGAAGTGAATCTGCTGTGTGACCTCGAATCACTTCCCTTCTCTGGGCCACAACTCTAAATCCTATGATTCTAGGACTCCTGGTTTGAGAGGAAAGATGCAATATCTGTGAGTTACACAGCCCCAAGTGTGACCCTCTATAAGGGGAGGGCCCAACAGGCTGTGAGTCTGATGACCTCCAATTATATTTGTGCTTCTAAGCATTGTAGCCTTCTGTTCTCCTGTGCAGCAGCAATTTGATAAAAGATTCCCCCAGTTGTGGCTGTGTTGATTCATCAAACTAATTAAAGAGATATTATTAAGAGTTTCCTCACTGAGGGCCTCATGAAGTATTGAGAAGTCTTCCAAGTCAAGGAAGTAGCTCCCCGATTTAGAGAATGTTTTAGCAGGAAAGGCCTTCACAGTTTTCCATCCATCTTTTTTCATTCTACAGATGAGAGTTATATTTGTTTAACCTGTTCTTTCTTTTTATTCCTTTGTCTGCTTTCTCCTAAGTAAATTGATCATCCATTGTATTAGTCCATTCTTGCATTGCTATGAAGAAATACCTGAGACTGGGTAATTTATAAAAAAAAAGAGGTGTAATTGACTCACGGTTCTGCAGGCTGTACAGGAAGCATAGCGGCTTCTGCTCAGCTTCTGGGGAGGCCTCAGGGAGCTTTTATTCACAGTGGAAGGCAAAGCAGAAGCAGACATCTTTTTTTAAGTGGCAGGAACGGGACCAAGAGAGAGGGAGGGGAAGTGCCACATACTTTGAAATGAGCAGATCTCACAAGAACTCACTCACTATCCCAAGCACAGCACCAAGGGGAAAGTTCTGCCCCACAATCCAGTCACCTCTCACCAGGCCCCACCTCCAACACTGGGGATTACAATTCAACATGAGATCTGGGCAGGGACACAGATCTAAACCATATCACTCACTATTCCTTTTTATTTAGTCTACTAGCTTATTTATACCTCTTATTATATTTTTAGTGTTTTCCCTGGGGTTTGCAATGCACATTCCTAATTAGAGTCTACCTTCAAATAATATTATGCTTCTTTATGTGTCATATTAGGAGCTTACATTATAGTCCCAATTTGTCCCTCCCATTATTTGTGTTATTGTTGTCATATATAACATTTTTAAACATTCTATAAACACAATTATGCTTTAAACAATTACTTTTTAGGGCAATTAAAAATAAGGAAAAATGTACTTTCTATGTTTAGGGCCCTTTTTATTTCCTCTTGTAGATCCAAGATTTTGTTTAATACCATATTCCCCTTGCTTGAAGAACTCCTTTTAACATTTCTCATGTCTCTGTTGACAACGTATTTCTTCATTTGTTGTTTCCCTGAGAAAGTTTTCAGTTCTACTGCATTTTTGAAAGCTGTTTCTTCTGGTATAGAATTCTGGGTTGACAGTTTTTTTGTTTTTCTTTCAGCACTTCAAAGATGCCACTCCATGGTCTTCTAGCCTGTGTGGGCTCTGATGAGGAGTCTACTGTGATTCTCCTCTTTGTTTATCTCTGTATAGTGTTCCTTCTTTTCTCTGTCTGTCTTCGAGATGTTTTCTTTGCCATTTTTTTTTCTCCAGCATGAATATGATTTGCCTAGTATATATGTGTGTATATGGGTGGGGGGGTGGTGGGAGCTATTTCTTCTGCCTGATAGTCTTTGAGATTCATGGGTATGTGGCTTTTTTGTCTCATTGATTTTGGGAAATTCTTGGCAATTATTTTTTCACATGCTGTTTCCGCCACATTTTCTCTCTCATCTCCTTCTCCAACTCTCAATTACACATATGTTAGATTGTTGGATATTGTCCCATTGCTCTTGGGTGTTCTCTTCCTATATTTTTTTCTTCTTTTTCTTCACTCTTTTTTCTGTTTGTGGTTCAGTGTGGGTAACTCCTATCAATATATCTTCATGTTCCCTGATCCTTTCCTTAGCTGTTTCAGTTCTGCTGAGGTACTCTGGAAGCCATTTTTCATCTGAGCATGCATGTTATCCTTTAAGGTGTTAATCATAGTTATTTTAAAGTCCCTGTCATATAGTTCCAGCATCACTGTGATGTCTGCATCTGGTTCTGCTGATTCCTGTGTGCCTTACAGGCCTCGTGATGTTTTTGTTGAAAGCTGGACCTTTTGGCTCAGACAGTAGAGACTGAGGAACATGGTTTTTATGCCTGGAATCGGACACCCTTCCTGATGCTTTAGTGACGGGTTTGAGTTACTGCAGTCAGGAGTTGGGCTGGATGTGAGATTTGTTCTTGTTCTGTTTATCCTCATTGCACCACAAGCTTCCAATTCCTGTGGTGAGGCCTGTGTTCAGGGTGGAGATTGGGTTGCCAGCACCATGTCTGTCTGAAGCTGTGCATGGGGCCATCCCTTTAACTGGACCTCAGACATTCCCCTCCCTGCAGCATTCTGCACTTGCTCCTTGCTTGAAGCTTGTTAGCTTGGTTGGGGGTGTGGGGCCACTGGGGTGTATTTTCTGTTGCTCTGATTAAGCCTGTCTTAGTTCAACCAAGTTTCCCTGCGTCTCAGGGTGTGGCCCTCTGAACTCTCCTATCCCTCACTGTAGTTTTGGGCCCACTGAGTGCTCCTTTCCCCTTTCTCAGGAAGAAAGATCCCCTTCTTCTCTTCCCCTCAACTGAAATAAGCTTTCACCAGTGCCTGAGGGACAGTAGTTCTTATTCCCGTTTTCTACCTAGGTGAAGGCTTTTGTTTCATTGGAGAGAAAGGCTGCCTGAGTATAATTTTTTGTAGCTTCTCCTTGTCTGAACTGTAACAGACACTTTCTTATACCTCTTTCTGACCTTTCCTGTGAGCATGCCCTGGGTTCTAGAAAGAGCCTGAAAGTTGGCGCAGACTCCTCGATTTGGGGGCTTCACACTGTCCAGCCAGCCTGCACCTGGCCTTCACTAACTTTTTAATTATTCTAGCTGAACTCTTCTGACTACTTTCTGATGCATCTACCTGTGAAAGGAAAATAAATCTCAGACCGCCAAATCACTAAGCCAAAGGGGAAAGTCAAGCTGGGAACTGCTTAGGGCCAACCTGCCTCCATTCTATTCCAAAAGAAGATAGCTATTAAGATAAAAACAACAACAACAACAACAAAAACTATATGCCTGCCTTGCAATTTGTGGAAAAAGGAAAGACAGAACTCAGTCCTCCCTCTGCTCACTGAGATAAATGCGTATCTGATTGCTTCCTTTGGAAAGGCTCATCAGAAACTCAAAAGAAGGCAACTATTTGTCTCTTATCTACCTATGACCTGGAAGCCCTCTCCCCGCTTCGAGTTGTCCCGCCTTTCCGGACTGAACCAATGTACATCTTACATATATTGATTGATGCCTCATGTCTCTCTAAAATGTATAAAACCAAGCTGTGCCTGGCCACCTTGGGCACATGTAGTCAGGAACTCCTGAGGCTGTGTCAGGGGCGTGTCCTTAATCTTGACAAAATGAACTTCCTAAATGGATTGAGACTTGTCTCAGATATGCTTTGGTTTTTATATTCCAGGGGAGGGAGTATTTCCGTCTCCTTTCTCCCTGCAGCCTTCTATCTCTCCTCAGATTTGGGGCCAGTTGTTTGCCCTTTGACTTTACTTCTTTGATGCGTTTGAAAAAAAAATGAAGTCATGAATTGGAAGTTAGTTTAGCTCTTTTTTATTTAATGGTGAGCGCATATTTTTTCAGGTTGAGGGAATTTGTAACTTCAGGTGCACAGCCTCATTTTTATATCATTTTCAACCAGGGTTTGCAGAATTCCTATCTGTGTGGGTCACCTGGATTCTTCTCAGAGGAGACGGGGTTCCCCGGCTTTCTCTGTAGAGTGGTCCCATGGGAAGGACCAACAGCAGAAGGCCTGGGTTCAAGTCCCAACTCTGGCCCTGACTCACCAAGTGACTTTGGGCAACACCCTGGCCCACCCTGGGCTTCAGTTTTCTCTTTAAAAAAAAAATGGATTCAGTTATTTCCAGGACTTCTTACAGCTGGACATTCTTGTATGTTTATAGCTGCAACATGCCCTCACCTGCCTGGAAATAACACACTTGATTCATTAAGAGAACTCTGCAGAGGCTCTATTATGCACCGGGCCCTGAGATGGATGGATGGGAACCCCATCAAGTCACACTTTCCATCCCATGGGGAAGGGAGATGCATGGAATAATGACTTCAACATGGTGGGCAGAAGGCCAGAGCAAGATCAGCTCCAAGGATGTCCATTTCAGGTGTTCTGGAGAGCTCCCCAGGAGCCTGGGCACATTTGCTCTGTGGCCTCAAGACCCATCCCATAAGGCCCCTTCTGCCAGGCCTTGGGCAAGCTGTCCACTCCCTGGGGCTGTTGCCTGGTCTGTAAAATCCAGATCTCCATTCAAAAGCTGGAAGAGGCTTTCCTAGGCCCCCAATCTAAGTAGCCACGTAGTCCTGCCTTCCTTTCTTCATAGCACCTCTCGCTCTTTGATATTATACTATTTATCTGTTTACTTGTTTTTTTTATCTGAATGCTATTAATCCTATCCACACCAAATGTGAATCTTCAGTTCATTCATATAATAAGTATTTATGTCTCAGTCAATGTTCTAGGAACTGGGTATTTAGCAGTGAACAAAACAATCATCATCACTATCCTTCTAGAGCTTACATTCTTGGGATGGCAGCCAATAAATAATGTAAATAAAATATTCAGAATATGCCAGATAGTGACAGTGGTAACTGATGAGGAGACATCAGGCAGAGAGGAGGGCTAAAGAGTGTCGGGAGGTTGGGGTGCAGTTTTATACGGGTGATCAGGAAAGGTCTCACTGAGGACTCACTTGGAGACAGCCCCAAAGGCTGGGAGCCATGAGGACATCTGGGGTGGGCAGCCCAGGCAGTGGAAGCCACACGTGCAGATTCCCAGAGGTGAGAGTGAGCCTGGCATGCTCCAGGGTCAGCAGGGAGGCCCAGGTGGCTGGAGGACAGCAAAGAGGGGTAGGGGGTGAGGTCAGAGAGGTCACAGGGTCTGGGACCAGGGAAGGACTTGGGCTTTAACCTGCAGAAGCTGGGCACCCATGGAGGGTGTGAGCAAGGAAGGAAGTGGTGGCAGGGGCATTTTTAAAGGCTCCTTCCTGCTGCTAGGTGGAGAGGAGACCACAGTGGGTAAGAGTGGCATCGAATCTGGGAGATGATCCGGCATCTCTGGCAATCATCCCGACAGTGGGTGACAGCGCACAGAATCAGCGTGGAAGCGGGAGGGTTAGAGACGATGAATTAAAAGGCACCTGACACAGTGCTGGTGCACAGTAGGACCTCAGGCGATGGTAGCTATGATGATCCGCATATGGAAAGTCCTAGGAGCCATGAATTGGAATCTCCCGGCTGCCTGACCTCACCTGAGTTCATTTCTCTCGAGGGGGTGGAAAGTCAAGCCCTTGGGCTGTAAAAAGAAATGACCCATGAAGCTGAGCAAGGAGGAAGTCTCCTGCACTGGAGAAAGACAGGAGGGCAGGATTATAACAGTGATGAAATGTTAACATTTCACATGTTCAACACAAGCTTAAATTACACGCATTCAGATCGTTTCTGAGGGAAAGGTAATCTTTAAAAGCTATTTTCTTTTTCATGGTAAAAAAAAAAAAAGATACATAAAAAAGGTTAAGCAGCAAACTAAGTATGTGGTAGCTTGAATTTTCTCAAATGAAACCCTTTCTTCCTGTAGTATATTCATTTGATGGGACTTTGAACTAGATGTAATGCCACATCCATACAGAAGACAGATCACATCACGTGTTTTCTTTTGGAGAGAAACTGACAGCCACTTTAGGTTTTCAAAAATACAGCTTTTAAGCCGTGGAAGTAATTCTAAAAAGAAAACAAACAAACAAAAAGCAGCCTCAGGGCAAATTAGCCTCCAGCTGTGGAAATCCAGGTTGCTGCCTGTTAGCTTTTGATCTTGGAGAGAGTATCTGGCAAGCAAAGCAAGCAAAGTTGAAGGAGACCCCAGGGAGCTGCCAGACAGAGGCTGCAGAGACCCCAGGGGTGCTGGGCTGGGACTCCTGGGTGGCTGTGCCACAACCAGCGGGGCACCTTGAGCCCATTGTCTCGCTCTGTGCCTCAGTTTCTCCAGTGTTTAGAACAATGGGGTTGGACTCATCATTCTCTGAAATTCCTTCCAGGTTTACATTTTTAAATTAGTCAAAGTTCAAGGACAATAATGAGGGGCAGTGCAGGGAAATGGAATCCTGGTGAGTTGAGGATTATGTAATTTAAGGAAAAAAAGTGAGGAAATACACCATCCTGTCTTTCCCATGGTGACAATGACTCACTCCCACATAAATGGAAAGATCAGAGTTTGCTAAACATCTTCCCACCCATTGTCTCCTTTAATCCTCCCCATAATTCTAGGAGGTGGATCTTTTCACTCAATTCATCACTGTGGAACCTGAGACTCAGAGAGGTGAGGGACCTGTCCGAGGTCACCCAGGATGGGAACTGCAGGTCTCCGGGCTCCAGAAGACATGTTCTCTCCCTACTCCAGATGCCTAAGTGCTGAGTCCTTGAAATACAAAATGAGGGACGTGAGGCTGCTCTGCCCCTTTCTGAAGAGGCCCCCAAAGCTGAGGCTGAGAGGAACTGCAATGTGGGCTTGCAGAGAGCTGGCATTGCTCTCCCAGGGCCGTCACAGAAAGCTGCTTGGGCCTGAGACCACAATGAGACACCTCACTCTTTTTTCTGGGTCTAGGCAGGGACTCTCTGGGAGATGAGGTCTTCAAGGCCAACACCTGTGCGGTTGGCTGCTGGGAGAATCACCATCCACAACCCCTCTAACCCTGGGATCAGGGACCCCAAAAGAGGGGCACGTTTGCCTGTAGAAGGTGGACCCCAGCCCACATGCTGGGGAGGAACACGGACATGCACCACCTCAGGGTCACCTTTGGAGTTTGCCTCTTCCAGACCCACTCACATTGACCCACTGTAGCCTGATCCCAGTGTCCTGAGCTGAGTGTCTTCCACACAGTGGGTGCACACGGGAGCTGAGGCAGATCGGCAAGGCAGCGAAGATCATCTTGTCTGTTTTTGGAGCCCAAAACCAATCTCAAAATAAAATATTTCATCAACAATTGATGACCAAACCCTTCCTTTGACACATCACCATTTCTTGCTTACACCCTGTGCCGGGTTGGGAGGTGCAGTGAGATGGAAGCCATGGGAAAAGGGTGTCAGCCTGCTGTGGCCCCAGGCGAGATTCGTGGAGGCGAGAATCACCCTGGGTCTTCTGCCCCCACCCCAGGCCCTTTCCAGCCAATCTCTATTTCTAACTGCCATATGTCTTCTCAACTCAAACTCAACATGTCCAAAACTCTACCTGTTCAAAACAGCTCATCATCCTTCCATTCCAGCCCACCCCTTGCCTGAATCCCCAGCCACCAAGATTGACACCACAGCCTTCTCAGTCACCTGGGCTTGGAAGTTCAGCATCCCCATAAAATTCAGTTCCATTTACAAGTCACTTACTAGGTGCCATAGCCATTGCTAATCTCCCAAATGTCCTCTAAGATGTGCCTTCTTGCCCACATTTTACAGTTATGGCAGACGCTATTGATGTCCCAGCCACAGCCCTGGCCCCACCCTATTAGTCCAGGCCTGACTTCTAAGGATCAGCTCCTGAAATTCATTACCTGAAGGCTTTCTAAGCTCACTCTGACCTCCTATGGGGCAGGTCAGAAGGGCCAGGGAATTAACACTCCTGGCAATAGCCTTCAATCAGGGACCAGCAGGAACTGGGGTGTTAATGCCCGTGTTCCCTTGATCTTCAGGCAGGATCACTCTGAGACATGTGTTCTGTGTCCCAGACTTTTCTCAGCAGAATTAAGCCCTGAATACCCACAGGATGGGAAGACAGCCAGGCCAGACCAGGCCCAGAAGACATCATCCAGAGTGGCCTGAGGATGTGTCACCAGGACAAAAAGACAAGATCAAGGCTGGAAGGCACTAACGGCAGGACCCGGGGGAAGGGAGACCTGCACCAAAGCCCTGGAGAGGGGCAACATCTTGGAAGGAGGACTGAGGAGCTGGGCCAGAGGGACCGGAGACAGATCACGTTCGACGCAAGGTCATGGGGAGTGTGGGTAGCTCAGGGGCAAGTCCGTGGGCAAAGGTGAATCCCACACAGTGGAATAATCATTCTGGAAAGCCGTCAGTATCTACTAAAGCTGAATTTCTGCATGGCCTTTACCCGGCAGCTCTGCCCCTAGGTAAATGCCCCACAAGAATGCCTTCACCTGCTCATCGAAAGAATGTTCATCATGAGATTGTCCATGTTTCCATCTAGGATAAATAAATAATTGTATTTTCATAGCGGAGAGCACTACCAACCAATAAGAATAAATAATGTACAACTTAATGCAACAGCATGGATGAGTCTCAGGATCATAGAGCTGCTCAAAGGGACTGCATATGTAGGAACACAGACGGTGTGAGTCCACTTGTTCAAAGTTCTAGAACAAGACCGGGCACGGTGGCTCACGCCTGTAATCCCAGCAATTTGGAAGGCTGGGACGGCGGATCACTTGAGGTCAGGAGTTCAAGAACAGCCTGGCCAATGTGGTGAAACCCCATCTCCACTAAAAATACAAAAAAATTAGCCGGGCGTGGTGGCACTCACCTGTAATCCCAGCTAGTCGGGAGGCTGAAGCAGGAGAATCGCTTGGACCCATGAGGCAGAGGTCACAGTGAGCTGAAATCGCACCACTGCACTCCAGCCTGGGCAATAGAGCCAGACTCCATCTCAAACAACAACAACAACGTTCTAGAACAGGCACAGGAAGTCTATACTGTTAGAAGTCAGCAGTGGTTACCCATAGAGGGCAGTGACCAAGGGAGAAGGCCCGGGGGGGTTCTGAGGTACTGGAATGGCTGTTTGCAGAATTGTGACCTGTGTGCTTTTCTTCTTATACAGTATGTTACACTACTATAAAACCTTACTTAAAAGGTCCTAGGGCTTTTGTTACCAAAGGCCCAGAATGTGCAGGATGGACACGTATGGAATCACATTGGAACAGACACACCCAATCCACGCTATTACCAGCAATCTACATACAACTGAACGTTGTATGAATGAATGAACAAGTGTGTAAACTCATAAACAAGAAACATAAATGATGAATGAATGCATGAAAGAGATAGTGAATGAATGAGTACATCTGGTAGTGAGTGAATGAATGAACTCATGAAATCAGAGATGACAAAATGCATTGCTGGTGAGTACTGAGTGCACAATGACAACAGAAGGAAGAATGAATGAATGAAAGGACAAATGATGGAAGGAGGAGTGGAGGAAACAGAGCGAAGGAAAGAAGAAATTAACATGAATACATGTGGTCAATGGATGCAGGAAATAATCATAAAGAAATAAACAAAAGCTATTTGAAGAGGTGAATCATAAGAGCCCGTAAGTGAACAAGTGAGTGGATGTTTGGACACAGATGGAAAAGCATGCGGGTGCCCCGACAGACAGGAGGGGAAGGCAAGTCAAAGGGCAGCAAAGCCCCCAAAGTCCAAAGAAAGTGTCTCTGCCCAGACATGCAGGCCAAGACCCTGGCGACTCGGTGCAGAAGTTCCCAAGGAGCCCTCATGTCGGCTGTAAAGGAACACTATTTAACAAACACCGGTGGAAGCTTCGGAGGATGCTACTCAACAGGATTAACTCCAGTTCTGCGGAAACAGCTAAAGAGAATTGACTGCATTGTTTTCCCAATTAGGCCAAAGATAATTACCTATTATGTGGCAACCCCCTGGCATGATTTTAATAATCACTATTTAAATAGCACATTTTTACTGTCTCCTTGCAAATTACCCTCCGGGAGGTATAATTAATGTCCGTGTGGGAAGCTTGGCCATGTGGCCTGGGAATGAGGATGGGTTGAAGCTGTGGCTGTGATCGCCCTGTGGTATCCGGAGGCCAGGTGATGCTGAGGCCGGAGCTCAGGTTTGGGGACTCAGAAAACCTGGGTCCAGGACATCAGACAAGTCTCTCCCCATCTGGGCCTTGGTCACCTTCTCTGTAAAACTAGGATGGTTCCTAAATTCCCAAACTCACTAGGACATTAGGAGACCTCACTCTAGGCCTGAAACAGGGTCAGCATTAGACACACACACACACACACACACACACACACACACACACACACACACTCCCCATCATGTCCTCACCACAAGGGCACATGTCTCACTGTGAGAGGGGTCTTCTCTTGATGTGTTTCCCCAGACTGAGTGTGGGGACTGATTCCCGCTCCTCAGTGCATCTCGGCAGCAGCACCGGGCCTGGCACATAGTAGGTGCTCCGTAAGCACTGGCCCAGGGAATGAATGAATGATCTTAGTGTATAGTGCATGTTTTAGGAGCTGCCCCGAGTCCCTTTCAGAACAACTGTAGTTTGATAAACAGGTGCCTCTCACCGCATGTCTTCATGTCACTTGTCACTTCTCCAGCCATCCCTTGCTCCCTTGACTCTCCCGGTGTCCACCTATCTCGACCCCTCCTGCCGTGTGCTGCCTGTAACACCGGGTGGGCCTGGGAAGCATGGAAACAAGCAGGGGGCTTGGGAAGAAAGTGAGAATCGATGGCTCTGAATGGGGCCATGGGGTCTGCGCTGAGTGAAAGCCCAGGAAGAGACAACGCGTCTCCGGGTCTCCACATCGACCCTGATGCCACCGACATTGACAAGAGGTCAGCCGGTGGATCTCACCCTGCAGGGCTGATGGGTGGAGTCTTGCCTGGAGGGGCTGGGGAGGATCCAGGTCCGTTGACAAGGACTCGATGCTGCCCTGCTGTCCCTCGTGTGGACTGAACGCTGTGATTCGGGTCTGCATCTGTGATTCTGGGATTTCTTCCTGCTCCTAGATGTCTGTTTTCCTAAATAACCCATCCCATTCAACTATCTTCTTGCTCTAAGGTAGTGGAAACCGCGCCTACCTGGGTCCCACCTGCAGAGGATGAACAGCCCCTCGTCACTCACCTGTGTCTGACCCTGCTGATGCTTTGCTTCTCTGCCCTGCACCCACTTCTTCCAGCTTGGGTGACAGTCACACCTCCCCAGTCAGGCCTGATGGGATTGGCCCAGGCAGGGGTGCAAGAGAGGGAGGAGGCCAGTCTGAGAGGGAGGCAGGCGCCCACTGCAAGGGGCCCGGATTTCCATGGCGAGGAGCATGGACTTCATCCCGTGAGCAGCGAGGACAGGCAGAGAGAGCACAACAGACAGCTCTGTGGCTAAACTTAGCAGATTCCATGTCCAGGACCCAGGAACCTGGAGGTAGCCCTGGTGGGCCCAGGGAATCATGTGATCATGAGTTACCTTGGGGTCTATCACCTGTAGCACCCCCAGTGGTTCCAGGGCCAACATGTCTCCCCACCTTGGCTGATGGCATTGGGCGCAGAGATGCAGTGACTGCCCCAGCCAGTCATCTGCACAGGTTCTGTCCAGCAGGGCCATTCTGACTTGGATTCCCCAAAACCCTCTGCTCTCCCGTAGCAAAGTCCAGCCTCAGGGGCCACCCCAGCATGTCCCCCAGGAACTAGATCAAGGGAACTCCGCTCACCTTCATGAACAGCCAAGGACACCCCAGGCCACCTGTGAGTGGGGGAGCCACAGGTGACCCGACTCCTCCTCTGTTTGCCATGTTCTTCAAATTATCCTTGATCATCACAAATTGCCCCTAAAGATATAGGAAGAAGTTATTTGTTTAAAAAAAGAAAGAGACAGAAATAGGCAGAGGTAGCTCCTATAAAATCAGATCAAGTTTCCTTCTACACAATTAAACACAGGCATTTAAAATGCTCTTTCCCACAAAGCACTGGCCCCTGTTAGAGAGGATTATTTGATAATGAAGGGACTGGAGGTTTCTGGAAATGTAAAGAGCAGAAGAACCAGGGGCTTCAGAGCTACACAGACCTGGATTTGAGTCTCAGTCAAGCCACATCCTTGGGCAGGTTCACTTCACCTCCCAAACCTCCCTTCCTCATTTCTGACATGATAGATGACATTGCTCTCAGAGGCTTGTAGGGTGTGTTTAAGTCAGGGTTTCCCAGCCTCAGCATTTTTGACATTTGGGGCCAGGTCATTCCTTTTGGGCAGGCTGCCCCACATGTGGCAGGATACACGTCCTCTGCCCACTAGATGCCAGCAGCACCGTCCCCCCAACCCCTTCCCCAGTTGCCGCAGCCAAAAATGTCTTCAGACATTGCTAAATTTTCCCTAAGGGGAAAATCAACTCCGGTTGAGAACTACCACTTTAAATGCAGAAATGTGAGTTAAAAGGTGCAGTTTCTGGGATATTTCAAACATTCAAACAGTGGTGGTTGTTACTGAGACTAAGTGAAAGGTACAGCAGAGGCTGCTGGGAGAGATGCTTCTCGCCTTTTTGTCCCTTTGGAAATTTCCTGATGGACTGCTTGAGCCACCTAGATAATCTCTTATTCTGATAAACTGAAGCTTGGCTGCAGAAAGCATTGCCGTCAAAAGAGGGAAAGAAAAAAGACACTCACACCGTGACGTCCATAAAATTCATTTCCTATCCAAGACCCTGGGAGCAAGGGGGTGAAGGCAGCTGCTTACCATGCCTGTGGCCTCTGCACCAAGGACTGGACAGGCAGTGTCTCACTGTGTCCCCACAACAGCTGCAAAGGGGCGTCATCCTCCCACTGTACACATGAGGAAACTGAGACCCAGAGTGGTGATGTCACTTCAATGACAGATTTTTACTGAGCACTTACTGCCTGGGACCCAGCAGTGACTAAGACAAAGTCCCTGCCCTCATGGAGCTGGTGTTGTGGTAGGGAGATGCAGATCATAAGAGATGAGGACATAAAATATGTCAGACAGCAGTAAGTGCTAAGGACACAAAGCTGGAAGTCAGGGGCCTCGTTTGTCCTGATGAAAAGCTTGCTCCTGTCCTGACACTATGAAGCCAGCACATCCGGTCCTTCTCAGAGCTGCTTTCTGCTGGGGAGGCTCCCGGCATGAAGAACATTGTGTGGGAATAATGGATGCATGAAGTAGGACCCAAGGACCCTTCATTTATTCATTCATTCATTCATTCATTCATTCATTCATTCATTCCCAGGGCCCAGCCCTGGGTATAAATCAGTGAAACCAGACAGACAAGCCCCTTCCCACAGCTCACACCCCAGCCGGGGCATGAAGCCTACAAGTCAGTGCAGATCAGCAAGGTGACACCAGCTCGTCGCTTCCCTAAGCCTCGGGCTCCTTGCCTGTGCAACAGAGGTGAGAGCAGTGAACACCAGCCAGCATGGGTCATGATAATAGCAGGAGCCACCGCTCATTGACTGGACGCCCTGTGCTGGGAACACTGCCGACGGCTCGCACACCTCATCTCTGCCCAGCCTCGTGACTGCCCTGTGCACCATAAGACACAGATGAGGAAACTGAGGCCCAGAGAGGTGACTTCAACTGGTCAAGGTCATAGGGTCAACAGGTGGCTTCAGGATCAGAAGACTCCAGCTGTGTCCAGGCTCAGCCATTCCCCAGCTGCGTGACCTCGGCAAGCCTCTCACCTAGAAGCCTCGGTTTCCTAATCAGCAAAATCTTCAGCAAAGTGAAGATGACAGTGGCCCTGCCTCATGGGGCTGTTGGGAGGGTTATGTGAGATGGCATATGGGATGCACTTAGGGCTGTAGCTGGTGCAGACTCACATAGTAATAGTGCTAGCAACCCGCCCTTGTGTGGTGCCTGCTGAATTCGATCCTCATGATAGCTCTTAAATGGAACGTGCTATTATAACCCTTTAACAAAACGTGCTATTCTCTCCAGTTTACCGATGAGGAAATCAGGGTCAGAGAGGTGATGTCATTAATTAAGTCGTTTGCCCAGTGACACACAGATGTGAAAGGCAGAGTTCAGGATGCTACCTTCTTATTTTGTGCTGTCAATGGCAAGGATTTTTGTGTTGACTTTTGCTTTTATTCTTTGTGTGTGTGTGTGTTTCTGCTTGGCTCACTTCCTGACGCCCATGCATATTGATCAGGTTTTGTTTATTCTCTTTTCCCTCTACTGGCTTGGAAATTACATTCTATTCTCTTCTTTAATTGATCAGCTTAAAAATCATAATAAGCACACTTGACTAACACAGTCTAAAGTAAATCAATATCTCTCTCCTCCCTCAGAACCACGCAGTCTTTAGAATGCATTAACTCTGATCTCTCTCTCCACCTCAAAGCTATGCAACCCCGACCCGTGCTTCCATCTTCCACTATATACCCACAATCGTTGGGATTATTATTGCTGTTGCTGCTGTGTTTATGTCCTATGGTCAGCCCCAAATTGACCCATTCTTTCCTTCACTACTGCTGGTTTGATTCCTTCCTTGTTTCTTCAGGCAACATCTTTCCACCTGAGTGATTTTTTTTTATTAGTTCTCTTAACAAGGGCCTCTGAGTGTGTCTTAGCCTGAAAATGTCTTTCCTCCTCACTCAGCTTGGCATGATAATTTATCTGGGTCTAGAATTCTACTTTGCTTATTTCATGTGACACTAAAAATATGATTCCCTGGCTTTCTGTCTCATGTTGCTCTGAGAACCTGCTGCCTGCTCCTCCTTCCTTGGTAAGTAATCTGTCTTCTCTCTGGCAGCTTTTAAGAAACCTCCTCTTTTCTTGGTGTTCTACATTTTCACTACAGTGCTTGCTCCATCGTAGTTTTAATTGGGTGCATCCTGCTGGGGATTCATAGAGATGATTAAAAGGGAAGAGTCACTGGTCCATGGGCTGGAGGAAGGACGTTTGCCAAAAAAATATCAGCATGCTGTTGATATTAATACCAATTAATGAGCATTACAGCTAACAGAAGTGACTTGAAGGGTTTACTATGTGTCAAGCACTATTATAAGTGATTTGGATATATCAACTTATTTTATCCGCTCCCCCCCACCCCGTTTTTTTTTTTTTTTTTTTTTTGAGACAGAGTCTTGTTCTGTCACCCAGGCTGGAGTGCAGCGGCACAATCTTGGCTCACTGCAATCTTCACCTCCCAGGTTCAAGCGATTCTCCTGCCTCAGCCTCCTCAGTAGCTAGGATTACAGCACATGCCACCACGCCCAACTAGTAGAGATGGAGTTTCGCCATGTTGGCCAGGCTGGTCTTGAACTCCTGACCTCAGGTGATCCACCTGCCTCAGCTTCCCAAAGTGCTGGGATTAAAGGCATAAGCCACCGTGTCCAATCTTATTTTATCCTTAAACTGCCTCATATGGAGAGTACTAGTGTTTTCACCATTTTACAGGTGACAAAACTGAAGCACAGAACAGAGAGTTCCCTAGAGGAAGGGAACTGCCGATGGGGTGGAGGTAGCACGGACTAAGGAGTTGGGCAGGTCAGAGTTCAGATGTGTGTTTGGTCCCTCATCGTCTGTGTGGCCATAAACGAGTGACTCCAACTTTCTGAGCCTCAGTTTCCTCCTCTGTAAATTGAGGGAGAGAGGGATGGGATCTGATCCCAACAGGACCTGGGTGTGGCTGAAGAGGCAGGACGCCCATCTCCATCCCTGGAGCTGGAGTCAGTGCCATGTCCCTGTGATGGTGCCGGGCACATCCTGGGATGGGGTCGCCTGGAGAAGGAGGAGGGCTTCCTAGTGAGAGAGGGCTTGGCTGGGCCGCCTCTGGGAGTCTCTGGGGCACAGCGAGACCAGGGACCAGTCCCAGTGTCACTTCTGGGGCCCATGCTCCACCTGGCAGGGAGCAGCGGACACTCAATGCCAACACAGAACCTCTGTCTGCAGAGGAGACCAGACCTCCCAACGCAAAGGTCTCCTCGATTACTTTTTAATGAAACCATGCTGCGTCCAAGCTGAAATTATATTGTCAGCAGTTAATTATCACTTGTCAAACAAGAGTGTGCCCGGATTATGGGTTTAATTTCCACCTAGCTTTGCAAAAGCCTCGTTCCCCTCATTTGATGAGGCCTCTAGGAATGTGTCTGAGAGAGACACACACATTCATTGCTGGAAAGAGTATTTTTTTTAAAAACCAGTTTTTTAAATAAACAGGTTTCCTCGGTGTCTGAGTCAGGGCTCTTTGCAAGCAACAGAAAAACACTAAGAGTAGTTTAAGGAAAAAGAAAGAAGTGTGTGGAGGTTGTCATAGGTTCAGGGATGTTTGGTGGAACCCTGGGCCTGATCAGGGACTGAAACTGGGAAAGTAGAAAGTTTTATTATTATTATTTGAGGCAGGGTTTCACTCCCGTCAGCCAGGTTAGAGTGCAACGGTGCCATCTCTGCTTACTGCAAACTCCATCTCCATGGCTCAAGCGATTCTCCTGCCTTAGCCTCCCAAGTAGCTGGGACTACAGGCACATGCCGCTGCGCCTGGCTAATTTTTTGTATTTTTATTTTTTTTCTTTTTTGTAGATACAGGATTTCACCATGTTGACCAGGCTGGTCTCGAACTTCTGAGCTCAAGCAATCCTCCTGCCTCAGCCTCCCAAAGGGCTAGGATTACAGGCGTGAGCCACCACGCCTGGCCTGGGAAAGTAAGTTTCTCAAAGTGAGTGTGGTCAAGGAGAAGAAGGCATCCATCCATGCCACTCCCCTGCCAGGTGGTCAGAGCCACCAGGTGGAGGGCAGTGACTTGTGAGAGGGGAAACCTGGGAGAGGGGAGGTGGCCTGGGCAGAGTTGGGTGCCTTCACTTGGGGGGCCTGAGAGTCATGCAGGAGGAGGTCTTGGGAGGCAGCTGGGTGGCTCAGTGTGGAGCTGGACAAGAGTCCCTTGCAAAGACAAAATGTTGACCAATCAAGCCCAGGCCTCACTCCTCCAATCAAATGAACATGGGGGTGCCATTTCTGGCTTGCGCAAAGGGAAAGCCACAGCGTCCTAATCTCCCTGTGCACCTGCAGGGAGGCTTTCTTGGTTGTACCCTGGTGGCAGTGGCTGCATCCCAGGCTATGGAGACAAAGGTCAGGGAGTCCCTGATGATGAGGAGGAGGCAGTGGAGGCAGTGGATGGTGATGAGGAGCCACCAGGGGAGGGGAGGCTCAGGGGGCGCTGGGCTGTCAGGGCATTCCCTGCATTCCTGGGGCCTGTGTCAGCCCAGCATGAACCCAGCTTGGAGCTCAGCAAGCAGAGGAGGGCGGCATGCTAAGTAAAGCCTCCTGGAGATGCCAGCTCCCCATCAAATTGCAAGATTCCCAGCACTGGCAATGGTGTGGGGGGGAGATGAGGCTCCCCGGCCTCATCTTGCCCTTCCTGGAACACTCTGGAGCAGCCGCACACCTCCACAAGGGCAGGGCCAGGTGGGAATCCCAAGCCAACCCTCATTAGCTGGGGGCAGCTGGGCACGGCAACGAGCCAGGCCAGGCCAAGCCTGTGAGCTCAGGTGAAACACAAGGGTGTCCCTAGAACCAGCTTCCTTGGGCTGCCTTGAGAAATAATGAGACAGTCCCTTGTTTAGGACAGCATCTTACCCGTAGGACATCGTCAGGGCTGAAGTCACTTGCTTTCTCAGCAAATAGGCATTGGGCATTTACTGTGGGCATTCGCTGTCCTAGGCAGTGGGAGAAAGCTCAGAACCAAACAAAGCCCCTGTGTGGGGAGCTCAGGTCTAGAAGGAGACAGACACGGAGCATCAGACGGGGGCTGCAGGGTGCATAAGAGCTTCGGAGGGAAAGGAAGCAGGAGAGGGGCAGGTGATGGGTCACACTTGTAAATAGTTGGTTACGGAGATGCCAGCTCCCCACCAAAGTAGCAAGATTCCTAGCACTGTCAATGGTGTGGGGAGAAGGTTAGGGAGGGCTCTCAGAGCAGGTGACACTGGGACAAGAACCTGAGGAGGAAAGTGAGGGAGTGGGTAGACATGGGAGAGGTTCCAGCTGAGGAAAGCACAGGGACGGAGGCTGGAGGCAGGAACTGTGAGGACCACGGGTCCAGGAAGGAGCAGAGGGGGCTATAGGGGAGCAGAAGGAGGGGGTGAGATGGGCCAAGTGGGGGTGAAGCTGGGGACTGTTGGGCCGGGGCCACTGTCAGCTTGGATGTACCCAGTGAGGCAGGAGCCTGGGGTGTCCAGAGCAGAGCAGAGAGGGCTCCACCTTGAGTCTCACAGGGTCACAGGGGCTGCTGTGCGGGGAGTGAGTAGAGCCAGGGACCCATCAGGAGGCTACTGCACCAGTCCAAGCATGATGACCTTGGGATCTGGGTGGGAGCCTGGAGAGGGAGAGAAGATTGGACCTGGATTTACATTAAGATCAAGCTAATGGGACATAAGGGTTATTCGCTCCATAAATATTAGGCATCATTAGTTTTTAAAACTTTGTAATATTCCACTCATCATCTCCTTATAGCAGGCTATTTTAAACTTTGTTGTTTCCAAGAGATTTGTTTGTTATTGCATCATGTTCTAACCTATCTAGACAGTCACACCCATTTGAAAGCAGTTATGAAAATATGTACTTGTATATGAATAGAAAAAGAAATGAAGAAAGGTATTAATATGTAAAAACTACTATCTCCGGAAGGCAAGATACCAGATGAATTATATACTCTCTTGTATAAACGCCTGCACTTGCCAAATGCTTCACAGTGAGGATGCATGGTTATGTTAAGGGGAAAGATCAATGTCATTAACACCTGGGCCCTGGCCGAGGCCATCCTCATCCCAGGCTGCATTTTTCTCTCCTTCTTCTCAGGCTCCTGGTCCATTAGCACCTGTCCCCCGCAATTATCCTTTTATTACTGATCATTTTGTTCTCTGTCTGCCCTGCATAATTTAGCACAGTTATATACTGCCTTGTTGCCAAACGTTTAATTTAATGTCTCTTGGCCTCAATTTCTTCATCTCAAAGTGCAGTAGTGGCAAAAAGGGAGAACTTTAGAGGCTGCTCAACACCAACGCTCCTTCAAATCCTGGAAGAATTGAAGCTAGCACTGTCTTGGCACTTACTGTGTGGCAGGCACAGTGCTAAGCACTTTTCATGCATTAGTTTACTTAATTATTTCAACAACTCCATGAAGGAGACCCTGTTGTCATTCACCCCTCTCCTCTATTTTAAAGATGAAGATACCAAAGTTCAGAGATGATTAGGAATTTTCCAAGATCTCACAGCTCAGAAGTGACGGAGCCAGACTTTAAACCCAGGCAAACTGCTTCCGGGTCCCTGCTCTTCCTGCTCCGGTGAGCCTCAAGTCTTTACTATGCCCGGACCCTGTGCCAGGGGCTTGATACATAAAGACAAGATAGGGTGTTTGCCTACAAGTAGAATAATAATAATAATAAGTATAGCAATGCCAGTTAGCATACATTGAGAGCTCTCTTTCCTGGAGTCCCCGCAGCATCCTACGCAGTAGAGACTCCCAATCTCTATGTGAAGGATGAGGATCCAAGGAACAGAGACACTGTGTTTTGCTCAGAGTCCCACCCACAAGTATGCACTAAAATGTCACTTGAGCCCAGGAATCTGCCTCCAGCTGATGTACCCTCGTCACATCCTCGCAATAGCTCTAGGTGGTCAATAGTGTGTGTCCATTTATAGAGGGAAAAACCGATGGGGCTCACAGAGGTTCAGCCACTTCCCAAGTCACATGTTGAGTGAGGGCTGGAGGCTGAATGTGAACCCAAGTTAGTGGGGCCTGGGGCTCATTTTCTTCTAACTATTCCAATGGTGAGGGACCCAGAGGGGCCAGGGCCCTCCAGTTGCTGGAGGAGCTGCCCACCTGGACAGCCATGGGGCCAGAGAACCACGGTCCTGACACAACTGAACCGCAAGACTAAGAATCCTCACTGAGCTTGCTACTTGTGTTGCCACATTTACTTCTAGCCCCTACGCAATAAGGTAGATGCTACTACTATCCTCAGCTAACATATGAGGGGACTGAGCTCAGAGGGCTTAAGTGAGCTTCCCGACCTCTAACAGCAGGTAAGTGGAAGAGCCAGGGCTGGAAACCTGTGTAGGCCAAAGCCTGTGGTTTAACCAGGAGGCTATACTGCCTTCCTCCCCTGTGCCCAGGGCTTGGAGACCATTAACCGGAACCAAGTCACCAGGGTGACTGGTGGCAGTCTCTCTAGCAAGTGTTTGTCCTAAATCCGGTAGGAATCTGTCATCTAGCATGATTGTTTTAATTCCCAGGAAGACTGGGCAGGCCAGCGATGGGTCAGGTCTTCATGGGACCCACAGCAGTGACAGCTGAGCCCCTCCCCCGCAGCAGGTCTGGGTTGTGGGTCGTGTGTCCCCCTTGGTGCCCAAGCTCACATTACGGTGCTGGTGAGGAGTCTCAAGCAGTTATTAAACTCTGGTGTGCCTACCAGTGTATAATTGTGGACATGGGTTTTGCATATTTTGATAAATATACAAATGTGAAATGTGTTGTCCATCACTAGCATATGCTTATGTTCCATGTTAAATGTATCTAATGTGTATTTCCCCAAAGAATGAAAGTTGCCAATTCATGACCAAGACACAGTGACACTATTGATTACACAGAATATGTTTATTCATCAACTTGGAGGAGGGCAGCCAGGATGGTGACCAATATCCCCACATCACAGGCAGGTCTGCGGCCCTGGAGCTCCAGGAGCAACAGACAACAGGGTTGGGACAGTGACTGGCCCAGCCACTGGCCTGGACCCAGGGTGGGAAGGGGTCATCTGGGCACCTGCCTGTGCCAGCTCCACCCAGGGCCCTGCAGTGGGTCAGAGCACAGCAGCTGGAATCTGAGCACCCTGGAGCCCCACCTGCCCTCACTCCACCTGGGTTCCCCTTCCTGAGCCTCAGTTTCCTCTGATGTAAAATGAGGATGAAAAGGGCTCTTTCCTCAGGTAGCTGTGAGGATTAGGTGAGCGAGTGCAAGTACAGGGTGCCCAGCACGCGTAGGAAGTGCTCGCACCTATGAACTGATATTCCTGCTATTGTCACCCCCAGGACTGTGACAGAGAGGGCACCACGGGCCACTTTACAGATGGGCCTCATCCCCGCAATAGCTGACAGGTGTTAACACCCCCACGAGCCCGGGCACCTGCACACACGACCCACGTCACCTGCATGACCTCCCTATGCAGCAGGTGCTGTCATGGTCCCCACTCCACAGGGGAGGAGGTTGAGTGCTTCCCAGATCACACAGCCCACAGGGGCGGAGGCTCAGAGCTGGATTTTCTTTCCCTACCCCAGACGCCACACTGCCGGGGGAAACTGTCAGCAAACACCAACAAGAAGGTGGTGGACACATGGGGCTGCCCCCCAGTAGACCTGCCCCTCCTCCTTCACTCACAGAACCCTGTGTTTGTTCTGCAGTCACAGGCTCAGGCCTGGGGGCCCCTCCAGCCCTGGGGTAAAGCCAAGCCAGGCACCCCATCCCCCTTCTCCAGAGATCATTTTATGGGTGAGCGTGTGGCCCAGACTTGGCCACCAAGATATGAGGGGAAATCTGTTGGTGGAGGGAGTGCTTCTGGAAAATATTTTTTTCTGCCTCACCCTGCAAACTTCTTCTTGACTTGAAGGCTGTAGCGTGAGACATGATGTTTGGAGCTGCAGCAGTCATCTTGCAACCATGAGGCAACAAGCTAAGGACAAAAAGCCCACATAGCCAAGGATGGTAAAGATGGAAGAGGGAAAGTGCTTGGGTCTTTGTCAACATCCCTGCGCATCTGACTAAGCTGCAACCACTTCTCTCCAGACGTGTGGCGATGCCAGAGCATTCTACTTTCTCATCGCTTGAGCACTGTTGTTAGGTTGTCTGTTACATGTTGCCCAACGCGTCCTAACTGAGGGAAGTGCCTGCTATGTGCCAAGCACACATCTGCCTCATAGGATCATAGCCATTTGTCCATACTTCATCTTCCCTTTTAGACTCTGGAATCCTAAAGGTGGAGATTATGTCTGGGTCACATCCCAGTCATCACATGGGGATGGGACAGTGTCCCATAGTGAAACCCAATCACCATGACTTTGACAATATGAAGGAAGGAAGGAAGGAAGGAAGGAAGGAAGGAAGGAAGGAAGGAAGGAAGGAAGGAAGGAAAGAGCAATTAACAAATAAATGATCATGGTGAATGTGGAAATGCTTTGTACCCTGTAAAGTACTGAGCCCAAAGGCAGGCTGAGACTCTGGCAGGGGGACACAGACACGGGATAGAAGGAGGTACAGGCGTAAGGAGCAGAGATCAGAGAAAAAGCGGCAGCTCCTCCCACCCCCACTTCAGCAGGGGTGAGGGCGCAGTTATCCTCCCAGATGCTCCTCCTGCTCACACAGACTTCAGGTCTGGAAAATCCCACCCACTCCCTCATGCCTCTTCTCCTTTACTTGTTGACTTTGACAGCAAATCACCTCCCTTCCTTCCCTAAACAGACAGTGAAAGGCAAAGCTTTGTGCTCTGTCATTTTCCCCCTAAAAAATTGTATGAGAAACCAAATGGTTATCATTATGCCGGCTGCAATCTGTTGCATTATTTTTTAAAGGTGGAGGAGGGGTCGGTACCAGGAGAGAAAGCAGCAGGGAGAAATGGAAAGAAACTCTTTAGGGCAAATGGCTTTAAAATTTCAGCTCCAGGTCTCACAGGGAGACTGGATTAAAGGATCATTTCAAATGAATTTTGCCATCAGAGTGAGAGATCTGTCCTCCCAAAATGCTCTACTTTGACAGTTGGCTTCAAGGGGCTTGACAGATTTTATTTCTCCAGCAGACAAGAGAGATCAAGGTATTAAACAAAACATATTCCACCCTAAGAACTCTGTTACATGCTTAACTTAATGGAAGTGAGATCTTGCCAAAACTGCGAAGTCATTTTCTTCCCCCAGGAAAATTGCTTGTGGTCGGGGAGTTGGCAGGTAGTCAGGGGCAGAGGTGTAGGTGGAAGAGTTCCTGCTTGAGACCTCCTGGGTCTGCCCTCCTGCCCTCCAGGTCGCCCTGGGGAAGCCGGCAATGGAGAGTCCTGACAGTCCAGCCTCTACCTGCTCCTTCCCTCCCGGCCTTGGTTTCTCCTCTATCACGGGGGATGGTGCCCTTTCCCGTAGAAGTTGCAATTTCGCCAGATCCAGATTTCCTGTGTCATCACATTGTATCCCTGCAACCACCCTCAAGCACCAGAAAGATTCTAGGGTTGAGCCGGGTGCAGTGGCTCACGCCTGTAATCCCAGAACTTTGGGAAACCAAGGCAGGTGGATCACTTGAGGTCAGGGGTTCGAGACCAGCCTAGCCAAAATGGTGAAACCCCATCTCTACTAAAAATTCAAAAATTAGATGGGGGTGGTGGTGAGCACCTGTAGTCCCAGCTACTGGGGAGGCTGAGGCAGGAGAATCACTTGAATCCAGAGGGCAGAGGTTGCAGTGAGCCAAGATTGTACCATTGCACTCCAACCTGAGTGACAGAGAAACTTTGTCTCAAAAAATAAAAAATAAAGAATCTGGGGTTGGCCTTAGTCACCCTCCCACTCTGACCCTCAGAGTCCTCCCCTGTAAAAACAACAGACCTGATGAGATGTACCTCCTGGAGGGGCTGTAGGTTCTAGGAACCCACAGGTGAGAGCCACAGGCAGAAAAGCACAAGGGTATGAGGACACAGATGCAGCACACACAGTAGGCCTTCAGCTGTGGCAGTGGTCCCCAGGATGCCAGATGGGCTGGGAGGACAGCAGGGGCTTTGGAGACAATCCGGGAGGAGGTGTTCATGGCAAACAGAGGCATCCAATGAACAGTCATGCTCGTACTGTCATTGTACAGGGTGAAAACGCCACCCCTGAGACAGACACCACAGGTTCAAATCCTGGATCCATTGTAACTGAGTGTCTCAGCCTTGAAATGCATTTTGAACTTATTTTTTCCTGTCCTTCTTCATCTCAGAATGTAGCCTTGTGCTTTAGAACATTTGTTTCTTCCCTACCCACCAGGTACTCCCATGAACAGTGCTCCTTATCTCATTATGTGCTGGCTTAGAAATTCCAGGGGCTAATTTTGAAACAAACCAGGCTTGCAGATCCAGCTATGAAATCAGCTTGCTTAGTGGGCTTACAAACAAGGAGACCACCACCAATAGGCAGAAGTCAAGATGATGCCAACTGGACCTCCAGGTGCTTGACTACTCAAGAAAGCCTTTGGAGCAAGACCTGCAGACCTGCACCTTCCTGCACCCCTCCCACCTGTTTCCTGTACCATGTCTCCCTTCTGAAACCATCTCACTCAGCCCAGAAAGTTGGACTGGTCTTTTAAAAGCATGAGTCTGGCCATTCCCCAATTGCTAGCTTCCAATTAATAAAACTGTTTTCCTTTCGCTGCGCCTTGTTTCTCATGTTTTCAACCTCTGAATAGGGAGCAGCTGAACTTGAGCTGGTGACACCATCGCTGACTTGCTCTGGGCCATTGGGCAGGTCCTGTTCTCTCCCTGTGCTTCAGCTTCCCCATCCGTAATCCAAGGATGATAATTATAACAGCCTTACAGGCAAGACACAGGTGATACTCACTAAGGGGTAATTAAGATGGTAATGACTATGAGGATGGCAAAGATGATGACTGACAACAGTCAGGATGATGACGATGATGACACCATGAGTATAATAATGAAAACCAAGACAATGGTGACTATGAAGATGAGGATGACAATGATGCTGAAGACAGCAATGATGATAATTGTGTTAGGCTGTTCTTGAATTGCTATAAATCAATACCTGAGACTGGGTAATTTAGAAGGAAAAGAGATTGAATTGGCTCATGCTTCTGCAGGCTCTACAGGAAGCATAGTGCTGGCATCTGCTCAGCTTCTGGGGAGGCCTCAGGGAACTTACAGTCATGGCAGATAGTGAAGGGGGAGCAGGCACATCACATGGCCAGAACAGGAGCAAGAGAGAGAGAAGGACCAGATCACACTTTTAAGGGACCAGATCTTGTGAGAACTCACTCACTTTGGGAGGACAGCACCAAGAGGTGCTCTCACCATTTGTGAGAAATCCACCCCCATGATACAATCACCTCCCACCAGGCCCCACCTCCAGCCTTGGAGATTACATTTCAACATGAGATTTGGGCAGGGACACAGATCCAAACCATATCAATGATGATGAAGATTCTTCCCCCAGAAATGATGATGATGGCAGTCATAACCACACTGATAATGCCTGCCATTGATCAGGCACTGACTGTGCTTTGTCTCAAGCCCACGAAGGCCCAGTTTTATCATTATCCCCTCCTTGTTCCCCCTCCCCAGTGCCCATCATCTCCTATACCTGCACTCCCCCAGCCATTTCTCCACTGTCTGTCTGCGGCCCTTAGCAGACTGCATCCTGTGCTCACATCCCGTAATGCGGCCAGCAGAATGGGGGGCCTCACAACCCAAGCTCAGTTGTAATAAGCTCTGTCACCAGCATCAGGGAGAGCCAGCAGAGACCAGCCATTCCACTCCCTGCTGGGTAACCCAGGGCAAGTTCCCCTGCCTCTCCGAGGCTTCATGCCTCTGCAGTAACAGGGAGAATTCGACCCACTCTGGGGGCATTGTGAGGGGTGAACAGGATAGCCCATGTGCCTGGGACACAGTAGCACCTCTAGAAGCAGCCATTTCCCTGACACCTGACCCACTGCATAGGCCCCTGGGGAAGGACCTGGGACCCACCATGATTCAGGATTTGCAGAAATGCCTCTGGGATGTTCCCCAGTGTCAGCTTCCCCCCAGATACCGTCAGACCTTGCCTATTTTCAGAAAGGATAAAATGCATGTGACAGCTTCATCTCTAAAAAGAATCACATTGCAGTTATTGCCACAGCGACATTCAAGTCAGGTAACCTCTTGCCTATCTGCCAAGGGGGTTGTGTGTATGCAGGTGTGTACCTATGTGTCTGTGTTTATGTGTGCACATATGTGTGCAGGGCCCACATTCAAGCCCTCAAATGTGACCTTGTGGTGCTGTTACTAAGAGGTTCTTCCCATGGACTCAGGGGCACAGGGAAAGAAGGCAAGACTTTCATCTAACAGCCTCCTCTGTGTGTCCTGGTTCCCATCCACTCTGCCTCACCTGTGGAAAGAATTAGCTTTTTAAAAATAAACCTTGTGATTACCTGATAAATCACACATCACATATTTGTTGACAAAAGTGTTCATTTGTACAATGTAAATATTTAGGTAATATCCCAGTATTTGTGATTCTATTTTAACATTTATTTATTTTCCAATTTTCTGGGAGCAACAAAACAGAGAAGAGGCCTGGGCTGCTCTGAGCTCTGTGGGGCTGGTGCTGGGCGGACACGGCCCATCATGCGGCTGGTGAGCACACAGGTGTGGAGCCTTATACGTGTGCCTGTGGACACATGTGCCTGGGGTTCTGTCTTGCTACCTTCCTGCCCCATGGAAGGAAGAGAGAAAAAAAGAAAGCAGAGAGAGAGGAAGGGAGAGAAGAAAAGGGAGGACTGGAGTGTTGAAGAAAAACGTATTCAATGATACTTCTCAAAGCACTTGAGGTATACTTAATAAGTATACTTATTATACTTGCTAAAGCATGGAAAGGAAGAATTTATTCAGGGCCATGATGTGTCTTGCCCATGTTCCAGGCTGAGTGGCCTGGGAGGACAAGCTACTCTGCTAAGGGCCAGGTGGGCAGATACCCCCCTTCATCCTGCCCCTGACTGTTCTCACCTAGAGCTCACTTCTTCCCCTCAACCCCTGGCTTCTGTCCCTCAGCACAATGGCCTGTCCAGCCCCACATTGACCCCCAGGCAAGGAGTCTCTCCTTGGCCAGATGATTCCAGGCTCTGTCCTCTGTCAGTGGCCTGGTGTGGCCACCCACTCCCCAAGCCCTGCAGGACCTTAGTGGGCAGCACTGCGGGCACTGCTGTGTTCACTGCTCCACGCAAGACTGGCGAAGCTGTGCCGGAACCAGGCTGTGAGCTGTTAACTTGCCAGTTACAATTGGCCTGGAGCAACAAAACAGACCATTTCCTCTCCACCTGACCCACTTGCACAGGCCCCTGGGGTCACCCCTGTACAGGACTGGAGAGTGCCATGATGAGGTGAGGTCCTCAGGAGGCTGCAGTGTGGCACCACCTCCACCGCCCCCCACCCCGCATCTCTCTCCAAACCCACAGCTGGTTTCAGGCCTGGCAAGTCTTATGGGCCTGGGCTTGGAGTCTCCAGATCTCCCAGGAGCTCCCAGAGCAGGACAGTGGAGCCACTGGAGCCACTCCCCAGGCAGCCCTCTTTACCACTTAAGCAAAAGCAATGTTGGCTGGGCTCTGAGCCCTAGTGGGGCATTATGCTCATTTACTCACGTCATCACAGGTTCACACCCCGGGAGGCAGGCCTTCTTCACAGGAGGCAACAAGGCTCCTTCCTAGCTGGTAGCCAGGTCGCCCAAGGCAAGCCAACACTCAAGCACATTGCAGCTCATTACCCCCACAGGCTTCTCTGTAAATGTTGCCCATGTCCTATATAAATGCTGTCATGCTCATCAAATTCTTACACTTGGCAGTGACTTTCCAGGGTCCCCTAGTCCTAACCTCTTATTTGCAGGCCAAGAAGCAGAGGCCTGGAGCAGCCCAGACTCACACCACGTGCTGCTGCCCTAGAGGCTCGTCTGCTCAGCCCAGGTGGGGCTCTGTACTCTGTGCTTCGGTGAGCCCCAGCCATGCAGAGGGATCCACGCTCTGGGGTGGCTGCTGTCCAGCAGATCTGCTGGCAGAGGAAGGTGCCAAGGGCCTACAAGGGGGAGACACACAGTTACAGGGGTGAGTTAAGGTGCTGTGAGGTGACAGAGTAACAAAGATAATAAATTATACCAGCAGCCACTGTTTGCTGAACACTCAATACATTAATTTTCTCAAGAAAATATGGAGCTTTTTGTCCAAGGTCACCTGACCAAGAAGAGAGAGAGTCAGGAACGGAACCAAAGCCACAGTCATTCCAGAGCTTAGGCTCCTAACCACTGGCTGGCATCAGGAGCTGCCAGCCGTATGCTGGCCCATCCCATAGATGCTGGCCACATGGAGCCGCTGAACACTTGAAGCATGGCTGGTCTGGATTGAGGTATCCTAGACGTGTGACAGGCATACCAGACTTTCAGACTCAGTCTAGAAAAATATGTAAAATATTTCATTATTTATATTTAATACTGATTTCAGATTGAAATGATATATTGGGTTAAATAAGAGACATTTAAAAGTAAATTTCACTTATTTCTTAACTTTTTAACATTACTACAAAATTTAAACTGACACGTCCTGTTACATTTCTATTTGACAAGGCTAACCTAGGCCTCAAGTGCAGGTTAACAGCTGATGCATGCAGGCTGGGGGGAAGAAATGCTCTCGGTCCCTCCCCTCATTGCCTCCAGCCTGGGGCTGCCCTCCAGGGCTGGCAATCACCAGCGCCCTCCTGGCTGACCGCACCCTGCTGTGTGAGGCCCTCACACAAAGGACTCCGCCACACATGTGCCCTCACAGGCACGCCCCTGCCAGGCGGGGCAAGACCCACTGTCCAGTTCACTGCCCACTCCTCAGGGCCTGCCACGGCAACCACACACAGACAGGCTTCTCTCAAATGCCATTGACAGAGTCGCACCTACCTGCCATCATCAACCCCACTACACAGATGAGGAGACTGAGGCTCAGAGCCTTGAAGTTCATACAACTGCTGAGTGGAGGGGCCAGATTCAGACTCAGTCAGTATCCCTGGGTGCCTGGATTCAGAAGGTGTCGTCAGCACCCGGGGTATTCTCATGGGGCTGACCCAAAGTCTCAGGACCTGACTCACTCAGGTGCAGACTTCAGCATTCAGCATCCTTGAGCCTTAGATTCCCTGAGCCACAGGACCAGAGTAGCCTAGACTCACAGTCCCCACAGTCAGAGACTCCAGGAGTCTGAAACCCACAGAAGGAGGGTTTCAGACCCACAGACTGCGAGACACGCAAGCTTCAGCAATCACAGAGGCTGCACTCAGGGCATGTGCTGGCTGCCCCCACAGGGACTCACAGGAGGCCTGCCGGGAGCCCAAGGCACAGCAGGGAAACAAGGGAGAGGGTGAGGGACAGGCGCTGAGCCTGCTGGGGACCAGCCCCATAGGGAGGACTTAGGACCACAGACCTGACCAGTGTGCAGAGGCCTCTGGGGACTTCACTGTCCTGGAAAGAGCGGTGATTCAAGGGAAGGTAAAGGTCAATCAGGAAAAAATTTCCTTTCTGAAGGCAGGAGTTCTCTAAGCTGGGGGCACAGGACTTCAGATAAGAGAGGAGGTCTGCCCAACTGGGGCATCTTGGAAGGCTTCCTGGAGGAGGTGTGACTGGAGCCAGACCAAGGGAAGGTGGGCTAGGCCATGGGCTCGTGAACAGGGAAGTGGGTGGAGAGAGAGGTCAGTGAGGAAGATAATACCACACAGAGCACACAGCATCAGGAAAGGGTGAGCCACGTTTGAAGAACAGTGAGTGTTCTGGATGGCTGGCAGCTCAGACAGGTGGGCAGGAAAGAGTAGAGATGGCAAGAGACAGGTTAGCAAGGGCCTGGAGGACTGGGCTGGAGGTTGGACTTGAGGCTACTGAGTAGTGTCCAGTGCTGAGATATCAGTCACATTTTTGGAAAAGGGAAATGACTCAAAGTTAAGCCACCATTTATTGAGCTTATACGATATACTAGGCACCAGCCGAGCACATTGTATGCATTCCTCATTTATTTTATTTTTACTTTTATTATTACTTTTTGAGAAGGATTCTCACTCTGTCACCCAGGCTGGAGTGCAGTGGTGCAATCTCTGCTCACTGCAACCTCCGTCTCCTGGGTTCAAGCAATTCTCCTCCCTCAGCCTCCCGAGTAGCTGGAACTGCAGGTGCCCACCACCACACCTGCCTAATTTTTGTATTTTTAGTAGAGATGGGGTTTCACCATGTAGGCCAGGCTGGTCTGGAACTCCTGACCTCAAGAGATCCACCTGCCTCGGCCTCCCAAAGTGCTGGGATTATAGGCATGAGCCACTGTGCCCAGCCTCCTTATTTATTTCTAAGACAATTCTCCTAACACCCATTTGAGAGATGAGGAAACTGAAGGTTGAAAAGATTACAAAAAACAATCTCACTTCAGTTCACACGGCCAGCAAGAGGTGAGGCCGGGAAGGCACCTGGATCTGTCTGACCCCAAAGCCCCCACTTTAAAAAGACGACCATGTGATGGGAGGGGACTGGAAAGGGTGAGCCTAAAGACAGGGTCACAGACGGCAGCCTAGGTGTGCAAGGGACATGACCAAGCCCCAGACCCTGCAGGGCTGTGGGGAGGGGAGGTAGGGAAAGGGTGGGGAGTGAAGGTGTTCATCAGCCTCAAGGGCCAGGGGAGTTCAACAGAGCAGAGCTGAGGACCAAACAGGCCTTGGGAAGCGGGGCAGGGAGTGGGGGCGGGGAAGGTTTGGGCCACAGTTCCCAGACACCAGAGCAGGCCTCTAAGGGGCTGGGGGGCCTGGTTCCCACTTCTGCTGAGGCACTGCCTGGCTCCCAGGGAAAAGCCAAGAGGAGGAAACCCGGACTGTGATTGACAAACTCTGCTCCTAATCAGTTATGGATCCTCATTAGGACTAACTAATGTTGCATAAACACTCACACTGGGTAATGGTGTATCTGATAAACAATCTCAGGAGCACTAAGGAGGTCCAGTGGAGTACAGGGTTAGGGTTAGGGTTAGAGCGGCCATCCAGGGCAGCCCATCAGAAAGAAGGACTGGGACTTTGGGTTTAGGCAAACCCAGATCCCTATCCTGGTTGCAGTTTGTTACTCTCTTGTAGATGTAGAGACCTGCAGAGATACAGGAATTGGCAGGCACAGCAGAAGCAAAGGTCCTGAGGCACCACGTGTGGACTTCAGTAAACCAGTATGGAGCCTACTTTTGAGAGTGTGTGAACCAGGTGGAGACACGTGGGCTGAACATAGTGTAGCTTAGTGGACTTAAAATAGTCCCCAAATGCCTGGATTACAATCAGGTTACCTTGTATAGCTCTGTCCCACATCCTGCCCCATTTCTCAGGGTCACCAACATTCTGATTCATAAGAATCACCTGGAGAACTTCTCAAACTGCAGATTTCCGAGCCTCCCCACTGCCTCTGCAGAAATTCCAAATCAATAGCCTGGAGCCAAGCGCAGGAATCTGAATTCATGGGAGCTCCCAGGTTGTTCAGAGGCGGGATTGGCACAGGTCCTGGGGGTACTCAATGCCTCTGAGGAAGAGGAAGCTGAGCAGGGGCTGACGAAGATGCAGATGATGAGTGTATTAGTCTGTTCTCACACGGCTATAAAGATATTACCGAACTGGGTAATTTATAAACACAGGAGGTTTAATTGACTCACAATTCCACATGGCTCTGGAGGCCTCAGGAAACTTATTATCATGGTGGAGGGGGAAGCAGGCGCCTTCTTCACAAGGCGGCAGGAGAGAGAGAGGAGCCCAGGGGAACTACCATTTATAAAACCATCAGACCTCGTGAGAACTCCCTCACGATCACAACAACAGCATGGGGGAAACCACCCCCATGATCCAATCACCTCCACCAGGTCCCTCCCTCAACACGTCAGGATTACAATTCAAGATGAGATTTGGGTGGGGACACAGGGCCTAGCCATATCAATGAGTCAGGACCCCAGAGGCCTCAGATCCACTGAAAGAGCTGGACACACAGGACAAGATGGAGCAGAGTCGGATGAGTTCCAACCTTAGATCTCATCTAAGTCCAGCTGCCCAAGGACAAGAGGTAGGGCTCCAGTGTCTGCAGGAGAGAGGCTGTGAGTTGAAGATTGAATTGAGGCTAAATTCACACCAACAGTGTGAGATGATTGCCAGAAATACTAACCTGTTATTCATTCATTTATTATACAAAGATTTGCTGAGCTTTGATATGCCAGGCTGTGTGTAGACTATTTAATGAAGGTCTAGTATCAAGGATGAGACGGGGGTGGTCCTATCCTAATCAATGCTGGCAGATTGCACTCAGCTTAAGGACTTGTGAGGCTGATTGATCAGACTCAGTGGAAGAGTCCACAATGGAAAGAGTCAAGGAGCTAGGCTGCTCAGCCTGAAGAAGGACAGACTCCAGGGACAGTATGATGGCCTGCAGATCTCTGACCACAGCACAAATGGGTGGACCATTCACTGACCAGAGCTAGAACTGTTGAGCAAAGTTTATTTCACAGACATTGGTTTATTTACCACTGCTATAGGCCAGGCCCCATGCAGTTTGCAGGACTCACAGTGATGGCCCCAGCACTCAGGAATGTCACAGTCCAGGGGGGAGACAGACACCTAGACAAACACTCTAACATAACACAGTCAGCGTTCAGGACTCCAAGGAAGTATGATCAAGTATGGGAGATTTCGGTGGCTTCCTGGAGGAGGCAATATTTCAACTAAGTCTTGAAAGATGAATAGGAGTTGTCCAGGCAGAGAGGAGGGGAAAGGCTCTCTAGGCAGGAGGAGCAGCTTTTGCAAAGCCCTGGAGGGAGCTGCTTTGGAGAAGTGGACAGAGTTCAGTCCGCTGGAGCAAGACCCATCAGGGAGGGGCATCCAGGCAGGGCACAGGCTCACTGCACCCACTGGAACCCAGGAATTCAGGTCATGCCAAGGGGGTGGGGATGGCAAGGCTAGATCTGATGGAGCCAGCCAGGGACATCAGTCCTCTTTGAGTATGAACACTGGGAAAACAACAGGCTTTGGGGTCCGACCTCTATTTAAATCTCAGCTCTGCCATTCCACAGCTGCATGACATTTTCTAGTTTATTTCACCTCTCTGAGCCCCAGTTTCTCCATCTATAAAATGGGGGTGCAAACTGTAAAAGTCTCAGAGGGCTGTTGTTTGGAGGCTGAGACTACCCCGGGAGACCTGTATCCTCTGGGAATGGGGTGGGGGAACATCAAAAAATGAGGTGCCCTCATTCCAGGAAAGGGAATTCCTTCTGGTCCATTTCTCTTTCCTTCCTTCTGAGGGAGTGCTGACAAGGAGTGGAGGAATCCTCTGGAAGTCCTGGGGGATGAAACACAAGCGTTTGGGCTATTCCTGGGGGTTTCTTTACCTGCCGGTTGGTCTCCACACTTTCAGGCTGCCTAATGTGCATGCCATTGCTTGCATTTACCTAGCAAGGTAAGGAGGCCTTAACACAGGTTCTGAGCAAGCGAATGACTCCAAGGGAGGGACAGGACTGTGATAGAATGGGACTCCCTGCAAGGGGGAGGTGGGGGTCTGAGGTCAAATCTGGACTCCATGGGAAGCTCTTCACGGGGATAGTGGTGTTGAGCAGCCTGTGTATGAATGGAGAAACCAAGGAGGAAGAGGGTGGAAGGCAGCACAGTGATCTGGCAAGAGTCCTCAGGTTCAAAATATTGGCCATGTCATCTCTACTTTCTGAACTTTGCGTGCTCACTACAGAAAAGTTTGTGTGCTCAAAACTTCAATGGGAAGTTTAAATGAGGTGAGATAGGAAGGAGCCCAGTAGTGTGGGGCCCTGTCAGAGCTCCAGAACTGTGAGGGGACACAATCCCTCCCCCAAAGGGGCCACAGGACCTCAGATAGAGCCCACTCCTGGAACTGTTGGCTATGGAAGGGGAGGCCCTCACCTGTAACAGGTAAAAGGGGCAGAAACCCAACCTACCTGCCTGCTGATCTCCTACCTGCCTGCTCACCTCCTACCTGCCTGCTCATCTCCTACCTGCCTGCTCACCTCCTACCTGCCTGCTCATCTCCTATGTGCCTGCTCACCTTCTACCTGCCTGCCCACCTCCTACCTGTCTGCCCACCTACTACCTGCCTGCTCACCTCCTACCTGCCTGCTCACCTCCTACCTGCCTCATCATCTCCTACCTGCCTCATCATCTTCTCCCCACCTAGTCACCTCCTACCTGCTTGCTCACCTCCTACCAGTGTGCTCGCCTCCTACCTGACTCTGCATCTCTTTTCTGCCTAATCACCTTCTACCAGCCTACAGAGAGACTATGTATTCATTCTTAAGTGACAAAAAAGATAAATGAAATAAAATTCCCTTTGCCCTCTGGAACTTTATAACCTGTTTCTTACACTAATGTATCTTGGACCCATGATCTTCAGCAGCTAATCTGAAGGTCAGTGTAGAGGAGTTGGGTTAGAGCTCAGGAAGAACTTCTCTGAGGTCAGAGGAGGAGGCAGCTCTGTGCAGCAGTTATAGACACAGATTCTGCAGGCAACTAACCCAGGACTGAATCCCAGCTCCACAGTTCACAGGCAAGTAACCTGTGATTACTTGCCTCTCTGAGTTTCAGGTTCCTCATCTAAAAAGTGGTGGCCACCGCATCTGCCCTATAGGTGGTCAGGGTTCAGTGAAATGCAAGATGGGAAGAGTCAACTTCAGTGCCTGGTGCAAGGTAAGCACTGGGTACAGGGAAGAGCAGCCTGTACTCTTTTGGAGACAGGAGTACTTTTGGGAAACAGCCAGGCTTGCCTGGGTTCAAATCCCAATTCTGCTACTTACTGCCTCCTTCAACCTCTTTGAGCCTCAGATTCCTCATCTGTGAAATGAGAGAAAACACAATCTAACCGTTGAGATGATCTTGGGGAGGAAATGGAGAGGCAGGGGAGGGAATCAGACCCTACATGCCAAGCCCAGCACATCTGCCACACAAAGTAACTGCTGGCTTCTCCCTCACCCTCCTCCACTCTGGTGTTGGGTGGAGGGTGGGGTGGGGAAATCTGCAGAGAATTATGTCCCTGTCACAACCTCAGCCCAGCATTTGCTGCCTTAGTTCCCTGCCAAGAGTTGCCCAAACTACAGGGACCCCTCTAGTGAGCACCTCCTGGACTTGGCAGCAAGAATCACAGGGTTGACCAGAGAGGATGAGACCAGGAGGCCTGAGGCACTGCCGCCTCGGCCACGGTGCCACCTCCAGGCCCCAGCCCCTGCAAGGTGCACCCTGAAAGGGGCTCCAGCATCACAGGAGCAGTTTCCTCAAGGACCACTAGCTTCCACAGGAGAGAGAGTCCTGTGTGTTAGAAAGAGAGAATTATAAAGAAAGAAAAAAAACAGTAATAAAGAAAAAGAAAATCTATAATCTTCTGGGAAAGGACAGGACCCATTTATCAACTTCTCCTTGAACCATCTGAAAAAATTACGCTATAAATACAGTGGCTCCCAACCTATTGATTCAGGATGACAGAGCCATTAGCCACGGCCTGAGGGGCAGAGTCAAGAAAGCGGCCACCACGGCCCCTGGTTATGACGTCCAGCAGGGAGCTGGTGTTGAGGGCACAAAGTGGGGCTCTGGAGCCGTCTCCAGTTCTGCCCATGTTTGCTGTGTGGCCTTGGGAAATCCTGCTCCCTCTCTGGGCCTCTTCTCTTCCCTGTTCATGAAGGATGGGATGAAGGCATCTCTAAAACACATTCAGTTTTGACCTGATGTTCTGATCTGAAATGGCCAAGGGGGTAGGAAGGAGCCAATAAGAGAAGAGGCCTCTTCTACCTGGGGAGGTGAGGAAGGGAAACACCAGAGAAGCCCGGCCACAGTGACCACAACTTTGTCCCTGAAACCTGGCTTCCCAGCCCTGACTGTGCTGAGGTCTTCACCCCTCCACCAGGAAAGCTCAGCAGCAGCATCCCCACCCTCCCCCACCTCTTCCCTGCACGCCACATGGAATCCACCTCCAGTTTCAACTCCTCAGATCACTGCAACCCAGCCTTCCAGCTCCCTGGCCTGTTCTGTCCCCATCACCTCCCTCTGCACCCTTCCTCAGCCTCTCCTGGCCTCCTGCTGCTATTGCCACCCCACAGCCCTTGACCAGGCATCCAGAGAAAGGGGTTTACTGCAGAAATCTGCTCCTGCCTCCCTTGATTAGCCTTCTCGGGAGCATCCTCATACTGTAAAGAGAAGAACAAACCTGCCCCCATGGCCACCATGCTCCCTGGGGGCCTGGCCCTGTGCCATCCTCGCCAGCCTCATCTGTTCCTCAATTTCCTCAAGTCTCCACCCCAGGCCCTGAATTCCCCTCCCTCCCTCCCACCAGGGACCTTTGCTCACTCTCCTCCTAATCCCTGAAGCTCACCTCCTCCTCGTTTCCCAGAGTTTTCTCCCCCGATCCCTCAGGTCTTGGTGAGAGGGCCACCTCCTCAGGGAAGCCCTCCCAGCCTTCCTGACAAGGTTAGACTCTGGCCCAGGGTCCCAGAGACCTGGGAACCATGTCCTCATGGCACTGATCCCAGGGGAGGTCCCTAAGTTATTTGGTGACCATCTGTGTCCCCACAGGGATGTGAGCTCTGGGTAGAGGGTGTCGCCTGTTTGTTCACAGCTGTAGCCCCTAGAACAGTGCCCAGCCCCTCACAGGAGCCCAGTGAACACTGGTGGGAGGGGGACAAGGAGGGAGGAGTGCTGTTCAGAGAAGGGTGAGGCAGAGCCAGGGGCTCCAACATAGCCTGAGGGACTTGGAGGCATATCTCCAGCCCTAAGCCCCCGAGGCCACATCAGGGACACAGATGACACTCACTCTGTGTAGCCCCAGGTAGAGCCTGAGGAACAGGAGTGACACTGTCTCCCTCGTGGCTCCCACTCAAGGCTGCCATCTGCGGAAGGACCTGACGCCCTGACCACAGCCCTCCCCTGTCCCTCAACTATTACTAGATCTTTGGAGTGTTGCTCTTCTGGCCTCTGTGGCTGGTGGTGCCTTTGCCCAGGCCTGCTCAGCTCGTTCCACCCACTCAGCCTGGCAGGCTGTGCTCAGCTCATGCTACCAGCCTGGATCCCAAACCTGCCAAGGGTGGGCCAGGCATGGAGCAGTGAGGGGTGTATGAGCCAGCAGGCATGGGGTCTGGCCACTGTGCACAGTCACGCATGGTGGCTGCTGCAGTGGGCAGGCAGCTCCAGGTGCTGGCATAGGCGCCGACTCTATGTGAGGCTGCAGCTGGACCAGGCACACCGCAAGCAGCTTCCCTGTCTGGTATCAGGAAATGCAGTGGTGCCCAGAAGCTCAGAGACACCAGGAACCACAGAGCCTCAAAGAGGGAGCCACAGCCCTGGCTCAGGGAGCTCCCAGCTCTGGGGTCCCCAGAGGGCCACAGCACTTCTCTCCCTCTCTTCACCTGAAATGTGGTGAGCAAGGGGGTATGTTTCGGTGCTGTTTGTATTACAGCTCTTCTAGCCTTGCCATTTGGCAGCCCCTGAGTTCTTGTCCTGCTATCCGGAAGAATGAGGTATGCAGACAAGTGGAGGATGAGCAAGATGAAGAGGAGATTTATTTAGAAGTAAAACAGCTCAGAGACCCACTGTGGGTAGCTCCTTTCTGCAGTTAGGGTGTCCTGATGAGTGTTCAGCCCTCAGTAGAGAGGAGGAGGTCCTGGGGTGGGTGGCTTCTCTCTGCAGGCAGGTCATCCCATTGTCTCTGCAGCTCTTAGCAGAGAGGAGGCCCTGGAGTGGAAAGCTCCCCTCTGCAGCTGGTTCTCCCATCATCTGCTCAGCTCTGGCTGAGCCTGGGGCTTTTATGGGCCTCAGAGGGGGGAAGTGAGTACTGATTGGTCCATGGGCAGCCATGGTCAGGCCCAGGAAAAAGCACCACGAGCTCTCCCTCTCATCCCCCTCCAGTTGTTAGGACTGGCAGCCAGGCCCCCAGGCTTCAGGCCTTCCCCAGCCTGAAGGTGGGGCTTCACCAGGGACCCACCCCCTTCTGCCCAGGAGCCTGTCTGCCTCCCACCTTCCATGGTGCCCAGGCTGCTCGCACCAAGGGGCACCTGCAGGCCAACACCTGGAGCTGAGCTGCCCTCAGGCCCCTCTCAGCTTCCCCTCCCTGGCTTGTCAGCACCCAAAATCCAGAGGGATATGAAACGGCAAGGGCTGGCATGTCAGCACTGCCCCAAGTGTGTGCACATCTAGCTGGGCTGTGACAGTGCCCAGGTTCAGCCCCAACTCTGCTCCAAAATCAGAGCAGGTGCCAAGAGTGAGGAGAGGCCAGGCAGTGGGAGCAGACACCCCCAAGCCAGTGGGGACAGAGGGGCCTTCCCAGGCCTCCAAGGGTGCAGACTGCAGAGATGCTGGGGGTCCTACACCTGGGAAGGTGGCTGCAGCTGCACCCAGGGAGCTCCCACCCCACCAACTCAGAAGAGACAGGCTCTCATTTTCACCCCCCAACTGTCTCCCACTGGCTCTGTGAAGCATGCAGCTCTGGCCACACCCCCAAGATCAGAGCAGGTGCCAATATCAGAAGAAGCCAGGCCATAGGAGCAGGCACTTCCAAGCCTGCCAGGAACAGTGGGGATTTCCTGGGCCTCCAAGAGCACAGATACGCCCAGATCCAGAGCCCCTGCAGGGTGGCTGTGGTAGCACTCGGGGAGGGTGGGGCTCCTGCCTGCTCCATGGAGTGTTATAGCCTTCACCACTCCTCCCCACTGCAGCTGATACCTTGGCAGCAGCCACTCTAGATGGGCCACTGCTGCCATCACAACCATCCATGGCTCCCAGCATCAGCCTGACAAAGTCCAAACTCAGGTCCACTGTGATCTTGCCCCACCCCACCAGCCTTCCCTGCCCCACCTCCCTCCACTTGTCCTCACAGTCCCCGGGCTTCAGGCCCAGCCAGACCACCCCTGGTACCCCCACCCACCACTCTTTATGCTTCCCTGCCATTGCTCTGCTCTCCTCAGCTGGAACACCCCCCAACCCTGCCCCCTGGAATTCAAGCCCCATTCCAGTCTCAGCTTGAGCATCACCTCCTCCATGAGGCCTCCTCTGATTCCCCTGGATGCTGACTTTGCTTGTCCCTCCTCCATTCCCACAAACACCACTATGTCCCCCTCCTAGAGCTGTTTCTGGTCTCACCACTAGACCATGAGCTACCCCAGGTGACAGGAGGTATGATTCTTCTCTCTCTGATGCCTGGTGCATGGCCTGGGACATAGGAGGCCTCACAATGGGCTAGGTGAGTGAATGAATGCATATCACCTGCTTCCACTCATTCAGGACCTACAATTTACCAGGCACTGTGCTGAGCGTGTTACAGGCATCGTTTCATTTAATCCTCCATGTAATCCCTTGTGCTGTGAATATATATGCCCATATTATAGATGGGGAAACTGAGGCCCAGGGAGGTTGGGTCACGCACCCAAGGCCACGCAGTGAGTAAGCTGAGGCAGCAGCACCCTTCCTGCTCACCTGCTCCAGTGCCTCTGGCTCCCCTCCTGAGCTGAACCTGAGCTCACAGCCGTGTCTGGGGAGTCTCTGCTGATTCACCACTCACTGGGGACCCGATGGCTGCTTTGGCTGCAAGTCAGGATCCTGTTGCTCTAAAGCTGCAGCCTCAGTTCTAGAGCAACAGAAGGATCCACCAGGAGCATGTTCCTGGGAGGGTCTCTGCACCCAGGGAAACCCTCCCAGTCCCACTCGCCGACCCCCACCTTCCCCATTGTCAGTGAGGACCCCTCCCAGGCCCACGAAGACACTGGCATTTTCCTCCCCTCAGCCCTGGGAACGTGGTTTATCCATCACAGGGACGTGGTCTGTAGTGTCAGGATTGTGGTGGATCTCTGATGAGGAGCGGCTAGGGAGCCATTCACATCCCAGAAATTCCAGCGAGGGGAGGAAAAACCTCACATGAAAAGTGGAATCAGTGAAGAGAAAATAGGGACATGCCAGGAAGAATAATCCACCACTCAGACATGAAAGAAATATGTTCAATTATGTTGTACTGCATTTCATTTTAATGTACACATCGTACTTAGCTGTCTGCAAGCCTCAGATTACTCAGAAAGACAGCGCAATGAAAGATGAGAGAATTACAAAGAGCCAAAAAATATTCCTGAAATTGGAATCCCTAAGGGAGAGAAAGAAAAGCCAGGCTTGAGACAAAAGAGGCTGCTTAGCACCAAGGCCCTCTCAGCTCTGATGCCGGGTGCCCTCGCCCACACAGCCTAGCACGGTTATCCATGTCTGGCTGTCCTGATTGCCCAGCATCAGAAAAAGTCCAGGCCAGAATGACAGGGCTCAGGCTGTCCTCCTAGAGCTGCTCCCTACAATCTGTGTGACCGGGGGCATGTCACTGACCCTCTCTGAGCCTCATTCTCAAGGGTGAAATGAGAAACTTGGATGCCCTCAGACATATTGGGTGGGAGGGGTAATGTTACAGCAAGAAAGAGTCACACCGGATCCCATTCCAGCGCTAAGGGAACCCATAGACATTTCATGGAGGTTGTGATTCCCTGTTATGGCCTGAATAGTGGCCCCCCAAAATCCTGTGTTGAAGTCTTAACCCACAATGTGACTGTGTTTAGAAACAGGACCTTGAAGGAAAGAGGTAATTAAGGTTAAGTGAGGTCATACAAGTGGGTCCCTAAGCCAGTAAGACCGGCATAAGAAGAGCAGGGTCACCACCAACGCAGGCACACAGGGAAAGGCCACGTGAGGACACGGTGAGAGGGCAGCTGTCTCCAAATTAAGGGGACAGGACACAGAAGAACCAACCCAGACCTTTTCTTGATCTTGGACTTCCCAGCTTTCCAAACTGAGAGAAAAGACATTTCTCTTCTTCTAGCCTCCCAGTCTATAGCATTTGTCACGGCAGCCTGAGCAGACTCCAGTAGTTGGGCCCATTGGTGAATCTGAGCCAAAAGATACCCAAAGAATCAGGACAACCATGCTGAGGGCAGGTGGGTACCTTCTGCCCTCCCTTCCAGCATGTATATCTGCTCCTGGACCCCAGTCCCTGGGCGCTCTGCCCCTCCCACATGAAAACTAAGCTCAGGGAAGGCCCTGAAAATTCTCTCTCACTGCAGCATGATTGCTGAGGAGGGGACAGGGACAGGGACATGTGCCTGGCTCCCCACTAGCAGCATCCTCTATCTTCTAAGAAATGGGCATCAAATGGGCACTAAGAATCTCAGGAATCAAGGAGAGAGGATCCTGGTGGAAGGGGAACCTCCAGCTTCCTGGCCAATTGTTCTGCCCCCACTCAAGGCTAGAAAACCATGAAGGATGCATTGGGCAGAGGAGCTCGGAGGAACCCAGCTGCTGTGTGTGTGTCTGTCTATGTGTGTGTGTGTGCTGTGTGTGTGTGTGTGTGCTGTGTGTGTGTGTGTGACTGTGTGTTTGTAAGAGAGAGACAGAGAAAGAGAGACAGACCAGTGCCTCAGTGACAGTGCACAGCAGGCAGCATCTCAGACACACTTTTTAAGCCCTAACATCAGTGCAGTTCCCTCAGCTGCCAAGAGCAGGAGGGAGGCTCCACGCAGGATCTGTGGACACAGCCATGAGCCAGACACAACCCTGAGCAGGAAAGGCCTGCAGCCCAAATAAGGAGCCACCATGTTAGACAGAGACCCACGCACGGTGTGTCAGGCTCTGTTCTAGGCACTGGAAATACAGACAAACAGCCGCGAACAATACACAAAGCTCTCTGTCTTCATGGCAGGCTGCAGCCAGCATTTATTGAGCAGTTACGGCATTCCAAGAACCATGCTAATTACTTGGCCTGACTCATCTCTGAATTAGGTATTATCGCTGTCCCCATTTCACAGATGAGGAAATTAATACGTAGGGAGGTTCAGTAGCTTGACCTGTGTCCCACCCAGCCAGTAAGTGCTGGAGTCAGGATTCATATTTAGGCTGCTCAGATCAAGTCCTGCTTTTTAAACATAACACTGTTAGTAATAATAGATGCATCTATTACTACTAAGGCAGACATCTTCATTATCTCAAAGCTGCTAGATCCTCCAGCAGCCTAGACATTACCTGACTACAAGGGCTAGAAGCCTTCCAAGGTCATGATGATAACCCCTGATGGTCACTCAGCAGAGTCAACCAGGCACCCCTTCCTGTGGCCAGTGCTTTATATCAGCATCACATTAGCAAACCTGGGAGGTGAGGACTTTCATCACTTCCATTGCACAGATGAAGAAACTGAAGACCAGAGAAACGAAGGGATTTGAGAGCATCCCAACAGCCAGTGAGTGGCTGAGCAGGATTACATCTAAGTGTAGGCTCCAAACCTCTTCTTAACTAAGGTTGAGAGAGGTTAAGTAGCTGAAGTAATTAATCCCACCCTATTGAGACTTGTAAAGCCAGACATTTTAAAATGGCCAATTAGACACAGCCTACTGTGGATATGAACAATCCTCGTTTCTTATTGCCAAGAAACATGTCTTTGACACCCTTGCTCTCTGCCCCTACTTGAGCCATGGAGATGAGTACATCCTCAAAAATGGACTGAGAGTGCCTGTTGCAAACACTGCTGAGCTGTTTGAAATAGCTGAAAGTGTCATTTTTTCAAAAGCAAAACATTCCCAGCATTGGGGTCGGGAGGTGGGAAGAACCAAAAACAGTGACTAGTCACAAATGTCCCAGTCCAGGAAGCTTTGTAGGCTTGAGCTCAAGACTCTACTCCCCTGCCAGAGACATCAGGATAGCTGAACAGCTCTAGTAGGGGGACCCCCTCCACAGCCTTTTTCATTAGAAGACACTCAGCAGACCTAGGGAAGCCCCTTATACCTCCCGAGGTAGCCCCAGAAGGGTTCAGTGGGAACCATGGCATTACCAGATAAACTGAGCAGACCAAAATAATGGCTTTGACAATTAAATTGCCATTAGGACCAGAGCCCACAACAGTAGGACAAGAACTCATGTGCTAAGCCGAAATAAACTAAAAAAATATAAAGAAGCCCTAGACTCTCCCAATATAGTAGACCAAATGTCCAGGATACAATAAAAAATTATCCATCATACCAAGAACCAAGAAAATCACAACTCGAAGGAACCAAGACAATCGACTGATGCTCAAGACCAAGAAGAATCAGATCCTGGAATTATTTGACAAAGATTTTAAAGCAGCCATCATAAAACGCTTTACTAGTTAGTTACCAATTATCTTGAAATAAGTGAAAAAACACAATCTCAGCAAAGAAAAATAAGTTATGAAAAAGAAACAAAATGATATTACAAAGCTGAGAAATACAACAGCAGGAATAAAAAATGTTCTAGATGGACTGAATAGTAGAGTGGCTATGACAGAATAGAATCAGTGAACTTAAAGACAGAACAATAGAATTCACCCAATCTGAACAACAGAGAGAAAATAGAATTTAAAAATTAAATAGAGCCTCAGAGGCTTGTGGAACAGTATGAAAAGGTCCAAAATTCATATCATCAGAATTTTAGAAAGAGAAGAAAAAGAAAGTGAAGGTGAAAGAGTACATATACTTCTCAACTTATGATGCGGCAGCAATGAAACTTACAGTGCGTTTACCCAGACATAGCTCTATCATAAGTTGAGGAGCACACTGAATACACATTGCTTTTGCACCATCCTAAAGTTGAAATATTTGTATATTGAACCATCCTAAGTCAGAGGCTGTCTGTATTTGAAGAAATAATGACTGAAAAATTTCCAAATCAGGTGAAAGACACAAACTTATAGAACCAAGAAGCCGAGTGACCCCCAGAGAAGACAAACACAAAAAATTCACACCAAGACATATGATAACTAAAATTTTAAAAATTAAAGGCACCACGCATGGTGCCTTGTGTCTGTCATTCCAGCTACTTGGGAGGCTGAGGCAGGAGGATCACTTAAGCTCAGGAGTTTCAGACTAGCCTGGGCAACATAGTGAGATCCCATCTCTAAATAAATAAGTAAATAATAATTGGGTGTGGTGGCATGCACCTGTAATCCCAGCTACCAGGGAGGCTGAGGCTGGAGGATCACTTGAGCCCAGGAGTCTGAGGCTGCAGTAAGCTGTGATCACACCTCTGCACAAAAGCCTGGGGGACAGAATGAGACAGTTTCAAAAAAAAAAAAAATGAAAGCCAATGAAAATAAACTTAAAAGCAGCTGAGAGAAATGGCGCACAATTACCTACTGGGGAACACACATTCAAATGACAGATTTCTCATCTGAAACCATTGAAGCCGAAAGGACATTGCACAATATTTTTCAACTGCAGATAGAAAAATCTGTCAACCTCAAGTTCTATATCCTGTGGAACTATCTTTCAGGAATTAAGAGAAAATGTAGACATTGTCAGACAAAGAAAAACAAATAATTTGTTAACAGACTAACTCTTAAAGATTGCCTAAAGGATGTTCATCAAATTGAAATAAAATGAAAAATAAAAAAACCCTTGCCACATCAGAAAGAGGTAACAATGGACAGAGCAGAAATATGGCTACATACAATAGACATACAATTATTTTCCTCATAAGTTTTATAAATCATATTAAATGATCAAAACAAACATTATAAAACCATTTGATACTCAAGACACGATGTTTAAAATTGAGGAAGGTAAAGAGATCTAATTGGAAATGAGGTTTTGACACTTAACTTGAAATGGTAAACTATTGATACCCTTAGACTGTTTTAAGTCATATGTGATATTGTGATTTCTAATAAGAGAAACAACTATGAAAACTATACAAAAAAGATGCACTCAAAGACACAGTAAATAAACCAAGGTGAAATCCTTAAAACAAAGTTCAAATAACCCACAGTAAAACAAGGAACAAGAATGAGGAACAAGGACCAGAAGAAACAAACAGAAAACATATAATAAAATTACAGACTTATGTGCAAACATATCAATAATCATTTCAAATGTTGATGGTCTAAATACACCAATCAAAAGAGATTGGAAGAATATTAAAACAGATTCCAACTACATCCTGTTTACAAGAAACTCATTTCAAATTTAATGACATAGGTAGAAAGTAAAAGGATAGATAAATCCTTTTACTTTAACAGATAAAAACATTAATCGGCCAAGGAAGCATAACAATCTTAAATGTATATGTACTAAACAAAAGAACCTAAAATGCATGCAGTAAAAAGTGACAGAGATTCTCCCCAAATTAAAATGCAGTTACAACACAATTCTTATCGAGATTGCAGGAAACTGTTTTGTGGACATAGACCAGTTTATTCTAAAATGTATATAGAAAGGGATAGGCCCTCAAATTGCTAAAATAAACTTGACAAAAATGAGTAAAGTAAAAGGAATCACTCTACCCAATATTGAGTCTTGCAAGATCAAGACAGTGTAGTATTAAAGGAAGGATAGACATGTGGATCAATGGGGAAAAAATAGAGAACCCAGAAATTGACCTACACATACAAGCTCAACTTATTTTTGACAAAGGTATGAAACTAATTGAATGGGGCAAGGATAACCCTGTTAATAAATGGTTCTGGTGCAATTGGATATCCATGGGCAAAAAAAAATGTACTTCAATCTAAACCTCATACCATCTTAAAAATAATTCAAAATGAATCATGGATTTAAATATACAGCATAAAAATATAAAACTTCTAGGAAAAAAACATAGAAGAAAATCTTTGGAAACTACAACTAGGAAAAGAGTTCTTATATTGACACCAAAAGCATGACTCATAAAAGGAAAAACTGATAAATTGTCCACATCAAAATTAAAAACTTTTGTTCTATAACAACTCGTGACGAAAATGAAAGGCAAGCTTCAGGCTGGGAGAAAATATTTGCAAATTGCTTATACAACAAAGGACTATTATCTGGAATATATAAAGAACTCTCATAACTCAACACTGAAAAATAATACTGAGAATCTAACTTCTGATTTCTGGTCCAACATGAAAAGAGCTTGGAAATCATTGCTCCTGTCCTCATAACAAGAAAAATACAATGAACAAAGTCAAAATCAACAACTATTCTTAGATCCATCAGAAAATTAAGATCACAGGGCAAATGGGTGCATCAAAAGTGAAAAATACAGGCAGATACTAAGAATCACAGTGTCCAGGAAGAGAAGCCCACAACTGGAGCCAATATCTCTAAGAACACTTTAAACAGTAAGTGAGGAATTGCTGGAGGCTCCGTGTACACTAGCTTGAGAATTACAAACTCCAAGGCTGCCAAGTCTTAGAGCGAGCTTGTCCAACCCACTGTCCCTGGGCCACATGAGGCCCAGGATGGCTTTGAATGCAGCCTAACACAAATTCATAAACTTTCTTAAAACTTCATGAGATTTTTTTGCAATTTTTTTTTTTAGCTCATCTGCTATTGTTAGTGTTAGTGTATTTTATGTGTGGCCCAAGACAATTCTTTTTCCAATGTGGCCCAGAGAAGCCAAAAGCTTGGACATCCCTGTCTTAGAGGGTCCCAAACGCTTCTGTGAGTTTTACCTTGAGGAGCAGCCCCAGATCTTCAATTTGAAAATAGGAGAAAAATCCCCTCTTGCTTGTGGCAGAGAGAGGGGAAAATAACCTTCCTGAAATATGCCTATGGCACTCTGTTCTCTTTAGCAAGGCCTCAGAGAAGAAAAATACCCAATTCCTGCTCCCTAAAAGATTGAGACCTAATTATAAGACTACTGAATATTTTCCTCCCCTAGACCTTACCACCACATCAACAGGGCTGCTGTATTATCAAAGGGGTTACAGGTTCAAGAACTATAAGCCTCAGACATCATTTCAGGAGTTTCTAGTAAAATCCAAAGACAACAGGGGACACAAAATACGGGGCAGTAGAGGAAAGTTCAGCCTCTGAACCACAGCTACAGCAAACAGGAAACACATGTTAACCTCAGCCAGATAAACATAAAACCTCACACTAGAAGCCTATCTACCCTAGTCCTTTGACTCAACACATCATGTCATGCCATCAATGAAAAATTATGAGGCATACTAAAAGACAAAACCCAGTCTCAACATCTTCAACATCAAGCAAGTATCCACAACTTCAAGCAAGTATCCACAGGATCATCCACAGTGGTCTCCAGCAAGGACCTGGGAGGAGGGTCCACAGGCATCCCCCATGAGGACCCTGGGAGGAAGGTCCATGGGCATCCCCCACGAGGACCCCAGCAGGAGGGTACACGGGCGTCCCCAGCAAGGGCCCCGGGAGGAGAGTCCATGGGCATCCCCAGCAAGGACCCCAGGAGGAGGGTCACAGGAGGGTACATGGGCATCCCCAGCAAGGACCCCAGGAGGAAGGTCACAGGTATCCCCAGAAGGACAGTCCACAAGCATCCCCCGTGAGGACCCTGGGAGGAGGATCCACGGGTGTCCCCCATGAGGACCCCGGGAGGAGGGCACACAGGTGTCCCCTGTGAGGACTGGGAGAAGGGTACACTGACCTCCCAGCAGGGAATTGATGTTCTTTTTACAGTGAAACAGGCCCAAAGTGAAATGCTCTAATCTGATGCTAGTGCACTTGAGACAGGACTCTCATTAAAAAGTGCAACAAGAAATATTTCAATCCAGAAATCAATGGGAGCTCATGGAAAGAGTTACTTGCTGAATAATGAGGAAGGACAAGTCAATAGAACATAGTGAATGGCAGAGGAGAAAGCCACAACTCATCTCTTGATTATGGGGTCTAATAAAACCATGACATTGAAATATGAGAAAACATGCAACTTCTTGGCAAAAGAGACAGAAACCAGCTACTCTGACAACCAACGGTACTGGAGGAACATCAGAGCCTGTAGCTGGGTCTGGGCGTTTTCTAAGCTCATGAGTGAAGGGCCCACCTATATTCTGATGTGAGCCCTGGGGCTGCACCCTCAGCCTGGCCCCACCCTCACTGTCTCCCCAACACCTTCTCTGGCCCAGAGGCCAGGGAGTCCCGTACACCCATTCTAGGATGTCTGCCCTGATTACTCCACACCCTACAGTCACCTGAGTCTGACCTCAGCTCATTTTCTTTCTAAACAGCAGGTGGTCACAGCAGAGTGTCCTGAGCCATGAGCTAACATTTAGTGGTAATGTGGGCAGGGGCACATTCTCATAGGTAAGAATTCGGACTCTGGAGTCAGAGAGACCTGTGTCCACATTTATTTATGCTAAACATAAAACGTCACAATGGCTGGCATTTAGCTGGTGCTCAAGAAATGTTGGTCACAGTTATCAAAGCACTTCACAGTCTACAGAGTCCAGCCACACCTGTCAGGTTGCGATTCCGTCCCCCGTAGAAGGGACTGCGTCTGGTCTTTCTGCAGCATTTTGGAGTTTGCAGAGCCCAGCCTCGGCCTTCATCTTAGGGATCCTCAGAGCAACCCCAAGGAGCAGAAGAGAGTGCGCTCCTGGGGCCAGAATCCCTGGGTTCACATCCTGCCTCCACCACATCCTAGTTAGCTTGAGCAAGGAATTTCCCCTGTTTAAGCCTCGGTTTTCCCACCTGTGAAATGGGACCGCCCATAATGCCTGCCTTACATGGCTGTCGTAGGTGCACACAGAAAGCATCTACCATGTGTCGTGTCTGGGACCTTCATCATCCTCTCCATTTTACAGATGAGGAAACTGAGGCTCAGAGAGGAAAAGTGGCCTCCTTGAGTCCTTGTAGCTGGTGATGTCACTGACCCAGGATTCAGATGTCAGTGCTTTGCCTCCCCCTCCACTGTGCAGTCCCGGAAGCTGCTTTATCTTCCCAGCTTTATCAGCACAGACGTGGACAGGAACCTGGAGTCCCTCACTTTGTCTTCATAGGCTCAGGACCAGGCCGGTGGCTGCAGCCCAGGCAGTGCCCAGGAGAAGGGGGTAGCAAAAGCATCCAGTGACGACTGACAACACGCCCATCATGGCACTGAGCACTTGAACTTCGTTTTCCCTTTTATCATGACGACAACTATTCCCACTTCACAGAAGGGCAAACTGAGGCTCCGGAGGCTGAGACACGTGTCCAGGATCACACAGATAACGGCTGTCAGAGTCGGCTCTAACTTGGATCTGTCTTTGTCCAGGCCCCACGTCTCAACCGCCCGTACCAAGTGCCGTGCGGCTCCCGGCACACATTCATCTCATTGAATCCCGAAGCTTTCTTGGAGGGAAATCTCCTCACCCTCCATTGCACAGGTGAGGAAACTGAGGCCATGCTGGGCATGGAAATCCCCAAGGCCCCACAGCTAGTGAGTGGAAGAATCCCACAGAATTCAAACCCAAGGCCGTCTGTTCCCAAACCCACAGTGAAGGTGGTTCCCTCCTCCCTGCCTTATTCTCAAAGCCTGCAGGAGGCTCGATGACCCCACCGTGGGGAGGGCACTGCAGGGACAGAGGGGCCAGCTGGGGCCTGCAGGAGGGCAAGCAGGGCAGTTCTGATTTTTGGAGTCTCCAGGAACTTTCACAGACTTCAATCCTCCAAGAGGCCAGGAGGGAAGACGGGAGGAGAATCTCATTCTCTGGGTCCTCTTCCCCTGGCCTTTGCAGAGCGATGTAACTGCATCAAAAGTAGAAATTGTCTCTTCAAGGGTCTCAGGATAAACCCCGCAAAGATGGATTTTTCTTAACTTCTTTATTTTTCCCTCCCCAGGGTCGGGGGTCAAGTCAATAACTTCCTGCCCACTGCCTGCTGCAGATCCCAGCAAGGCTGCAAACCTGTGTCAGCTGTAAATCCATCTCCCCCTGGAAACCAACTGGAAACCCAGTTGCTAAATCCACCCTAAACCCAGCAGTTCACAAATCAAAGGCTGCTTCTGGGCTCGTGCTGGGCTGGGCAAGGCGCCCTGGGGACGCCGTCCTTGAGTCTCCATCTCCCCAGACTCAGATTCCAACCGGGGTCAGGGGAGCGGCGGGGACCTGCCAGGGCCAGGCCCAGCCTGAATTGCAGGGTAAACCCCAAACCAGTGGTTGTTGTTCCAGCCCACCTCGCCCTCACCAGTGAGCTGTAGTGGACACTCCTGCCGACTGGGCCCAGGAAAACTCCAGGCATGCATGCAGGGAGAGGAGGGCCTCAGGAGCACAGAGAAGCCACCCTGGGCCCAGAACTGAGCTCAGGCAGGTCTCACTCAGCCAGAAGCACTTGTCAAGCACATGCTCCAAAGAACACCTCGGTTCTGAAGCTGCCCGGGAATTTACCTCCAAGCTCATTGCTTTCCAAAGCCAGAGAGCTTAGGCAGAGGCTCTTGCAGGTGGGGAGGAGGGCAGGAAGTGGAGCCCATTCCCAGGCTTCTCTCCCTGCAGCTTCTGGAGGGTGGCACGGTGCCAGGCAGGGAAGGCTGAAGATCATGGGGACTGGCTGTCTCTGCCAGAGACCACACTGGGACTAGGCCTAGCCATCAGGCAGGCTCCTGAGTTAGTGCTCTAACCACTTACCTACAGCCTGCAGGTTCCCAGGAGAGGCTGACTCTCCCGTGTGCTGCAGGTAGGCAGGGCCAGACCTGAGAGCCCCAAGTCCTGGGTCACTCCTCAGTCCCTTCACAGTATAGAGGCTGGGGCAGGGGCACATCTTGAAGTTTCCACCCCTCATAGTGGAAGTTGGTGTGAGTGAATTACTCCCGGTAATGCAGATGTTTGCTTGGGGAATTAGGGAGGCAATAAATAGAAGTCTGAGTAATTAACCACGACTGCTCAGATGTGCAGGGCCTGCCAATGCTCCCGCCCCTGCAGGGGCCTCCCCTGCACTGTGATGGAGCCACTGGGTGGCATTTGTCTGCTGAAAAGAGCAGTTGACAATCAGAATAAAGAAGCTAGGGAGAGTTGGGGGTACTTGGGGAAACACTGGGAAACCAAGGCCCTGAGAGGGAGAAATCCACCCAAGGACATAGAGCACATTAGTGACAGAGGTGGGCTGGATACCTGCTCTCCCGGGAAGGAGGCCAGGGCTCTTGCCAGGTCAATGTCATGGGGCTGGTGAAGAAGAGTCTGGCAGGTGACAAAAGAGAAAAATGAGGCTCAGAGAAGGTAATTAATTAGCCCAAGGATTCACAGCAAGTTAAGAAGAGGAAGGAGGGCTTGGGCAAGGCTGACATCTCTTAATTGTGCCCCACTGCCTTTCCCTGTCAGCTTCTGGGTCAGGATTCCAAACCCCAGAGAGGGGCCCTGATGGGAGCAGGGAAGACCCCCACTGGAGGAGAGATTTAGAGACCAGATCCCAAAATGTGGAGCGGGCCACCTGCCAGCTCATGTTCCTTCCTTTTTATTAAGCACTGACTGTGCACTGGGTGCTGAACATGCTTATTTCAGTCAATCCTCACACAACCCTGTGGGAAGGTGGAGACTCGCCCCCTTTACAGATGAGGAGACCAAGGTCCTGAGAAGGGAAGTGATTTGTCCAAGGTCACAGGGGTGTAGGATACCCACGTGTATCATTTGTCAACTTACTGCCCCTCAGCTCCAAATCCTTCACCACCTGCTTGTGATACTGAAACATGCTCCCTCGCCAACTGCTATGAGGTTAAGTTTTGTCAGTAATAGGGATTGGAGGGACCCAGGATGAAAAAAGGGGCTTTTTTCCTGGTTGTGGCATGTTCTTCTCCACCTGTTCCTGAGGTGTGCAGTGGCCATCGGTGTGGACACCCTGTAATGTGCACCACCCCCGTGAGCAGCTGCCAACACGTTTCAGGGTGCAGCTCATCCTCATGGTCTGTTTCACCCCGGCAAGCTCCTCCACCGTCTGGGGGGCCACATCACACTCTCTCCCCAGGCCTGGAAACAGCCCTGGCGGTGATGGCAGAGCAGAGGGGAGGTTCTTCTAGATCTGTGCCTTCCTCGATGGAACCCTAGAGGGAGCGGCTGCTTTGGACACCTGCTATTCCTGCATTCTTTGGAGTTCTGCTTATCTCTTGGTAGGTGATCCTTGGTTCTACTTCATAATTATTTATATTCAACTTTCCCTGTTCAAATTCAATGTGGTTTCCATTTCCGGTTTGGAGGCTGGATGATGAAAAATTGATATTCCAAGGTATAGACCAACAAAGATGAGATTCTTGGGACTGAATTGGTCACAGCCTTGGGTTTGAGCACAGTGCTGACTGAGCTCTTTCCCATGGGGAATGGGGGGCTAGTAATTCGAGGTGTGCAGTGGTAACACAATCAATTGGGCATCACCTGTGGTTGATTGAGCAACAGAAGCAAGTGTCTTGAGACAACAAGTGGCTGCAGCACTTGACAATTACGGCAGCAATGAGGACTACAGGGACCATAGTGGGTGCTCCTGAACGCACTGGAGCATTTGGGATAAAAGTTATAAGCTCAGTCCTTTAACTCTTAGCTCTGACAACCCGAAATAAATCTCTTACTTCTTAAAGCCAGAAGATAGTGCTTGACAATCAAATACAAAATTAACTGTGCAGAATGCTAAATTCCAACATCCATTGAATTTACAGTCTTGCCAAGTTTCTCATGGAAAGTTAGGCCCTTAGGAAACTATTTCTCATGGGAAAGAATGGGATCCTGAGACTTGGAATGGGAGCATCTGATTGGACCACATGAAACCCAGACCTTGAATTCCAAGTCACTCTGAGCATCCCTTGACAGTGGAAGCTGCTTTCCTCTGCTTGTAAACCTTGTGATAACCTCACCTCTAAATGAGATGCTTGCTCACCTCAAGATCCACCACAACCACCCCCTGTTGCCTCTGGACCCATAGCTATGATGAAGTCTCAGCATACTCCAAAGAGACAGGTGCAAACTATGACCTGGGAGGAAATAGTTCACACAACAAAAGCAAGACTTTGCTGGCATATATTGAAGAAAACCTGGAAAACATAGAGAATGAGTGGATTCTATGGGTATAAGACCAAGGAGAAAATATACCAAGATCAGGCCAAATTTATTGATATGTAAGCACTTACCAGCGATTCCAGATTTAATGTCTGCAAGTGAAGGTAGGTCTAGCAATTTTCTTGGTTGGTTGGTTTCTTGAAAGTTATATTTAACAGTGACTACATTTGAGATGCTACAGCTTCCTGGGATGGTGTAGAGAGGGAATCCAAAGGCTTAGAGATATAGGAGTGTTGGGCATGGTTTATCATGTGCAATCTACACACCCACCCCCAAACTATGTTCTATGAGAACACCCAGAAGAAACAAGAAACCCAAGGGATTCTTGCAAAGCTTTCTGGTTGCTCCTTTTTCAGCTAAGTATGATCTTGAGTGAAAGCTGCTATTGAGGTGGGCTCACCAATCCCAGTGGGGATGGTGGGGTACTAGAGGAGCAGAGGCCAAGGAACACTCAGCTGCCACAAACAAGGTGGGAGCATCTACTGAAAAGGACAACAGGGAGTTACAGGCCCTCAGAATGCCTTGTCCTGTAGGGATCTTTGGTAGTGATCATGGTGTCACTGGGAAAGAAATAGATAAGCAGCCTGCCAGAATATTTCTTGGTCTAACTGAAAACAAACAAAAAGCCCCAGGTTGACAGTCATCAGCCTGGATGGATTCGCAGACACAGATGCCCTTGAGAGAAGGGAGGCTCAGCTCCTTTAAGGACAGCCTCTGTGCCATGCCTGCAAGTACACACCATCGATCTTCCTCCAAGCCTTCTCCTAAGGGATCCATGGCCATTTATTTGAGTGAATGTGCACTGGGAAAGGGAATTCATTTTGGGGATTACTTGACATTGAGTTTGAATTGACGCTGATTCCTGGGGACTCCAGATGCCACTGTAGTCCACCACTCAATGTAGGAATGCACAGTGGTTGGTGACAGGTGGAGTTCAAGCCATTCACAGTGGGTATGACCAGTCCCTCACCCATGCTTCTCAAGTCCCTTCACCCTGGCCTCACCTTTATAAATAGTCCATTTATGAAGCTCTCCTCAGAGGCAGCTGGAGCCATAAACTGGTAGGAATGCTTCAATGATAATTTCGAATGAATTTTTGGAGGCTGAGTAGAGACTATTTTGATTGAGAAACTCCTGGAGGCCATAGGAATAAAGAGAAATCACCCTATGTTCCAGCAGGGGGAGGAAAAAGGCTGTTTTCTGTAACAAAAACCTCCTCTCGAAAATAACCGTATTACATCTAGGGGAAAAGAAATTTACCTAACTCCAGCCCTCTTTATCCTCCCTGTTTTACCTAACACAGAAAAAAATAAAAAAAAAGAAGAAGAAGAAACATTTCTGAAGGTCACAGCCCAGGAAAATTATCCCAATAAAAGACCAAGATTTAACCATAACACTCTCCCCACACCCTACTCCTGCCACATCGGCAGAGCTCCAGTACAAAACAGTGGATCATAGCTGGAGAGGTGCCAAGACATGGGCCCTATCTAAGGAGGAGTTCTTAAGGAATCTTAAAGACAACAAAGGAGACAGAAACAAGGATGCTGGGGGAACTGGAGGCCTCTAGCACCTGCAGCTACATCAGGCATTAATCACATGAAACATTACATCTAACCAGATCAAAATATTGTATTCCCCCCTTATCCTCAGAAAATACATTCCAAGACCCCTGTGGATGCCTGAAACTGCAGATAGTATCAAAGTATATATATACTATATTTTTTCCTATACATACATACCCATGATAAAGTTTAATGAATAAATTAGGCACAATAAAAGATTAACAGCAACAACTAATAATAAAATGGAACGGTTGTAAAAATATGCTGTAATAAAAGTTTTATGAACGTGGTCTCTCTATCTGTCTCTCTCTCTCTCTAAATATCTTATTGTACTGTACTCACCTATTTTCAGATCTTGGTTGACCATGGGTAACTGAAACCACAGTGAGCAAAATTTTGAATAAAGAAGTTCTGCTGTAAAATCTCACACTGAATACTTTTTTTAACCTCAGTTCCTATTACTCGATACATCATGTCTGGCTTTCAAAAAAAATTATAAGGCGTGTGAAAAGGCAAAAACAAAACAAGAGCCATGGATCTGAAGAGACAAGACAAGCATCAGAACCAGACTCAGATAAGACACAGATTTTGGAATTATCCGCAAACAGAGAATTTAAAACAACTATCATAAACAACATTAATATGTTAAAGACCCTAATGGAAAAATAGTCAACATGCAGGAACACATGGGTGCTGTCATCAGATAGATAAAACCTCTAAGAAAGAGTCAAAAGAAAATGCTAAATATTAAAGGCACTGTGAAAAGAAGGAAGAGTGGCTTTCATAGACTCTTCAGTAGACTGGACACAGCCAAGGAAAGGATTAGAGAACTTGAAGGCAGGCCAACAGAAACTTTCCAAACAGAAATGGAAACAAGAAAAAATGAACAAAGCAGAACACAGTGTATATAAAACTATTGGATATTTCAAAATGTGTAATGTACATATAATTGGAATACCAGAAGGAGAGGGGAGAACAAGACAGAAGAAATATTTGAAGTAATAATGGTCAAGAATTTTCCAAAAGTAATGACTGATCTTTGACAAAGGGGCAAAGCAATTGGATAGACAAAGGGTAGTCTTTGCAACAAATGGTGCTAGAACAATTGAACATCCATATTTTCAAAAATGAATCTATACACCAATCTTACATGTTTCATAAAAATTAGCTCAAAATGGATCACTGACTTAAATGTAAAACACAAAACTTCTAGAAGAAAACCTAGCTGGCCTTGGATTTAGTGATGAGTTTTTAGCCAAACACTAGAAGTTTGATCTGCAAAAGAAAAAAAAATGACAAGTTAAACTTTATTAAAATGGAAAATTTCTGCTCTCTGAAAGACAGTTAAAAAGAATCAGAAGACAAGCCACAGCCTGAGACAATGTATTTGCAAAACACATACCTAATAAAGGGCTTGTATACAAAATACCTCTTAAAATTCAACAACAAGAAAAATTTCCAATTAAAACATGGGCAAAAGATCTGAATAGATACTTCACCAAAGAAGACAAACAATTGGCAAGTAAGCAGATAAAAATAAGCTCAACATCATTCATCATTAGGGATTTGAAAATGAAAACAACGATGAGATACCACTACACACTTATTAGAATGGATAAGCTTTAAAAAACTGACAATATCAAATGCTAGAGGGAGCAGAGAAGCAGGAACTCGCACTCATTGCTGGTGGGAATGCAAAATGGTGCAGTCACTTTGAAAGACGGCTTTGCAGTTTCTTACAAATCTAAATATAGTCTTACCATATGACCCAGACATAATGCTCCTAGGTATTTACCCAAATGATCTGAAAACTTATATCTACATAAAAATCTGCTTATGAATATTTATAGTAGTTTTAGTCATAATCATCCCAAACTGGAAACAACCAATATGTCCTTAAATAGGTGAATGAATAAACAAACTGTGATATACATTTCTACAACTGAAATATTATCCAGTGATAAAAAAGCTTCTATCAAACCACAACAAGACATGAATAAATCTTAAATGCATGTTGCTAAGTGAAAAAAGTCAGTCTCAAAATGCTACATTATACATGATTCAAATTTTATGACATTCTGAAAATGGCAAACTATTGAAAAAGCAAACTACGGTCCAATCATGTGACATTCTGGAAAAAGTAAAACAATCAGTGTTTGCCATAGGTTGAAGAGATAAAGGACAGGGGTTGTTCAGGGCAGTGAAACTATTCTGTGTGATACTGCAATAGTGACCACAGGACATTATGCATTTGTCAAAATCCATAGAACTTTATAGCACAAAGAATGAATCCTAATGTATGCAAGTTTTTAAAAAGTCATTTAGGTGATCAGAGGATCCCAGGAAAGAATGAAAACTATGATAAGGAAATCTAACTGTATCACAATATATGAAACAAGCAAAGGGGATGTGGGGAGGTACTGACCTAAGTAACTTTGGAAATGGTAGTTTATAAGACTAAAGGCAAAAGAAAGTACATAATCACTGTACTCTAGTTGATAAAGCTGTTTCCCACCAGGATATGGGTTAACAATATATACCTATTGTACCTGTATACGCTGAAATTAAACAATGAAGTAAATGGGTAGCAGATTGTGGGAGCCAGGTTTCTTACTGTTGGAGTAAGGGTTCACGTATAAGCAAGGGGAAAAGGCTACAGTGATCCACATGGTAATGAACTAGATTTGGAGACATCGGCATGAGCTCATATTTTGCTTAATAGAGAAAGATATATAATTTGGATACCGGCTATAAATATAAAGAAATATTTATAGTTATGTGTATATACATTAGTTAGTATACACACATACATATTCCTGCTTTGTCAGCTGAAAGAGCCTACAAGAAATGACACTTCAATAGTAAGAAATATACCTAGTTCCCAGATCTTGGTTTCTTATATCATTCTCCAATAAAAGGAATTAAGGTATAGTGAAGAAATGGCTGATTCTAGGACTGAGGCAGGAAATATACAAGATGAGCTTAGATCACACTGTAGTGTGAGAAAGTGAGAAAGACAGTAAAATAGAAACAACTCAAAATAAAATCCACATTGATGGAAGTATGACAAAGGGGCACCAGTGCCAACTGAAAGAGCTCCCAACAGCCAAAGCTGGAGGAACAAAATGAATAAAGCAGTATTTGTACTGTAACCCAAAGTACAAAATAAACATCCATGAGTCCAGACTGATATAAATAAATGATTGAATAAAATAATAAGTGGGGAAAAAGAGACAAATCTCCCATGAAGAAGAATTCCACATGAGGTATGCAGATACTCCACCCTAACAGAAGGGGAGTATTAGTCCCCACTAGTTAAGTGTAGGCTGACATGTGACTTCCTTCCCAAGAGTACAGTTAGGAGATGGGAGGAAGGGGAGAGTAATCTTACAGCAGAGAAACCTGATGCACACCATCTTAGCCAGATGATCAAGGTCAACATCAACAGCAATAAGTCATATTGATGGCACCTTTGTATGATGTGATGACAATAATGCTTTACCTTTGTGGTCTTCCTCCCAAAACCTATAACCCCAGTCCAATAATGAAAAAAGCATTAGGCAGAGCCAAATTGAAAGTAGTTCTATAAAATATCTGACCAGTGTAAAGTCCTGATAAGTAAGCAACAACAAGAAAGGGGCCCCAGGTTGGGGAGGACCCGAGGTAGGGGAGAAAATGAACTGTTGTTCTGAGAGATGGCTAATCACAAACTACCCTCAAGCACAACAACCTTGCTCTGCAGGTAACTTCAGTAGCATGACCTCAATTCTGCATGTAGCCCACTCCAGCATTACCCTATAAAACTCCCTTCCCTCCAGCCCTGCCTCCTTGCAGACAGCCCCTTCTCTGCTGTGCTACCCATTGCAACCTTGCAACATATTGTCATACTTTCTTAATAAATCTGCTTTTCTTTACCTACAATTGTCTTGGTGAATTCCTCTACCACCCATGACACTGGCCCCAGCTAATTGCACCTGTGACAATCCATACTCCTCAAAACTGTCAAAGTCATCAAAAACAAGGAAAGTCTGAGAAATAATCAGAATCAAAAGGAGCCCAAGGGGACATGATAGCTAAACATAAGGTAGTGCCCTGCATAGGATCCTGTAACAGAAAAAGGAAATAGGTAAAAACCAAAGGAAGCTGAATAAAGTATGAACTTCTGTTGATAATAACATGCATATATTGACTCATTACTTTTTAATAAATATACCCTAACAGTATTAGATGTTAGTAATAGGGGAAATCAGGTGCAAACTATATGGTGATTCTTTGTATTATCCTCTTGATTTTTGGTAAATCTAAAGCTGCTCTAAATCATAAGATCTGTTTTATAAAAGGAAAAATACAACAAAAACTTTATATTTTCAACACTCTGAAAACAACTGTGTTTGACATTTCAGCTTCATTGCTTTGAGCATTCTTTCTTTTTGGCTCTTTTGACACAGTTATTATTGATCTGTATGTATAATTAAACATGCTGGTGTGTTTTTTTTGTTTTTGCATTTTTAACTCAACATTATGGCATTAGGCAATCGCCATGTTGTCATGAGTGTAATCACTGTTTTTATTCACTGTGGAACACTCTGCCAAGTGGATGAGGCTGAGTTTAATTAAATGAATCCCTTCTGTTGGGTTGATTTGGTTGTTCTCAAATGTTTGCTGTTACAAGTAACCCTAGAGCCCAAAGCTTCTGGGGTGAGATATATGGCAGGCGCCAGACCTCATTTTTTCTCAAAAATACACAATAAATATGTCACCAATTCACTGAATGGGCAGAATCTGATGGAGCATACATAGGAAATGGCATCAAGTCCTCCAGCCCTGCCTTCAATCAACCCCCGTCTGATTCCCCCAAGGACATCGCAGACAGTCGCCTTTGCTTTGCACTCATCTTTACCTGTAACAGAATCTTTTGTTAAGTCTGGTCCACTTACCAGCATTGAAAGGTCCAGTCAGTTCTAGCCACACACCTGTCCCTTATCCTCAGCTCAGGTCTCACCAGGGTGCAGAGGCACCAGCTAGTAAGGGGTGGGGGAGGTGGGGGTGTATGGTCTGCTCATTCCGTCTTCCTACCCTTCTAGGATGCTGGTAGAGGAAGGGAAGCCCTAAAGGAAAAAGGGAAGAGTTTTTGACTTAGCCAGTGCTGTTTCTGGTCCTTTCCAGGTGTAGAGGACCTAGGGCATGGTGGGTATGCATGCGCCACTCTTTCCTTGTGGCACAGGACAGGCAAATGTATTTATTGGAGGAGCTGTAACTGAGCCTATGTTATAAAAATCATAAAGTGTTGGTTTTATTTATTTTCCCTTCTCTTTATCCTTTTCTTCCTCCATGCACAATTGCCTGCGTTTAGTCATTTCGATAGAAGGTAGTCACTAATAATTAACTTCATATCCTGACCACCCCCGGGCTGCCTGCAAGATTAATGAAATTGTTTTTCTTTCAAAGAACAATGATCTTTAGGTCATACAGACCTCCTTGATGGCAGCCAGAAGTTTGATGGAATGAGGGACGCAAGCAACTTTGATCATCGGAGATCTCACCTCCTGCAAACCTACCTTACTCACAGAAGCCCCCAGTTATTTTCAAAGATAGGTCAGATTGAAGAGTTGCCTCTCCTGCCCTCATGCTTTGGCCAAATTAAATAAAATTTTCTCTGCTTTTAAGTGCTGATGTGTCAGCGTGTTAGAGGCGTTCGAACCACAGCGACTCCGTCTTGAGTGAAGGATAGGAAAAATGAGGCTGGGATTTGCTTGGCTGCATTCCCAGAAAGTTAGGTAGTCCTAGCCTCTAGATGTTTACAGTTAAGAGAAAAAATTGATATTGTTTACTAAACAGACCAAGACAGGAGTGTCCTGATAGCCTGATATCTTGAGAACAGAAGCATTCCTAGTTTTGCTTTAAAGATAATAATATCGATTCTTGCAAAATATAGCAATTAAGAAAATTAATCCTTTATCACAAACCCTTGTAGCAAAGCACATCTCCCCATGATCTTTTTTATTCTATCATCTATCTATCTATCTAGCTCATCTATCTAGCTAGCTAGCTCGCTAGCTATCATCTATCTATAAATAAATATTGTACCTAGGGTGGATGCGTTCCTCCTCTTACTTTTGGGGATGCCCTACTCTGTCTATGGAGTAGCTGTTCTTTCACTACTTTCCTTTCTTGATAAACTTGCTTTTGCTTTTCACTGTAGACTTGCCCCAAATTCTTTCTTGCGTGAGATCGAAGAACCCTCTCTTGGGGTCTGAATCGGGACTCCTGTCTGGTAACAAGTGTTTTGCTTACTGCACGCTGGGCATTGAAACCTAGCTTCTGGGGTTCTACAGCAGAACTACACAGTTCCCTGATACAGGCGATGCTCTCTCTAGCTGACCTTTTGTGCCCCACTCCAACCCTAAAGATCCTTCTTGTCAGTGCACCCAACTGCTGGGATCCCCTCCTCCCAAGAAGAGGCCCTGATATGGTTTGGATCTGTGTCCCCACCCAAATCTCATGTTGAATTGTAATCCCCAGTGTTGCAGGTGGGTTCTGGTGGGAGGTGATTGGATCATGGGTTGGAATTCTCATGAATGGTTTACTACCATCGTCCTTTGGTACTGTGTAGTGAATGAGTTCTCCCGAGATCTGGTTATTTAAAAGTGTGTAGCACCTCCATTACCTTTGCTCCTGCTCCCACCAGGTGAGATACCTCGTTCCCCATTAGCTTTGTGCCACGATTGTAAGTTTCCTGAGGCCTCCCCAGAAGCCAAGCAGATGCCAGCATTATGCTTCCTGTATAGCCTGCAGAACTGTGAGCCAATTAAACCTCTTTTCTTGATAAACTACCCAGTCTCAGGAATTTCTTTATAGTGCTGTGAGAACAGACTAATACAGTCCCCCGTTTGATTGCTCAAGGCTCAGCGAAATTCACTGACCTCCATATGGTCCACAGAAAATTCTCCTCCCTTCACCATGCCCCAGGAACACAAGCTGCCCTACCCTGCCCTCTGTTCCACCCCTGCCCTGGCAGACAGCCCTGGCCAACCTCAAACCAACCTCCAACCTTCTGAATTCTCCAGGCCTGTTTGGCACAGTGACTGTGCCTCTCAGTGTCACATGAGAAAACTGAGGCACAGAGAGGTTAAGTTCAACATATAACAGAGAGATTCAATTAAGCCAAAATTCTGTTCTCTGAAAAAAAAATTAAATCTTGGAAGGCTAGAATGATTGAACAAAAAGAAAAGGAGCACACAAATAAGCTACATAAGCAATGCAAAAGAGACATCACTACAGAAACAATGGAAAATTGTAACTTGTTTGAACAATGTTATGCCAATACATTTGAAATTTTAAATTAGTTAAATATAGTCCTAGAAAAATATAACTATTAAAAATGACCCAAAAATAAATGTGAAAGTTCCACATAATTTTATAGCCATGAAATAAATTATATCAACAGTTAAAAAAAAATCTTCCCACAGATAAAACACTTTTACCCAGGTGGTTTTACAAGTGAGTTCTCTCAAACATTTAAGATAGGGATTATGCAAACATTACCATTTATGAGACTAACAAAGCCTTGAGTCTGAAGTCAGACCAAAAATGGAAAATTACCAAGCACACTCACACAAAAATGTAAGTGTAAAAAGCCTTTTAAAAATGTATAAAGAGAGTTCTAGCCATAAAGAAATAAGAGAATATATTATGACCACTTTTGGTTTCTCCCAGGAATATGATGTTAGTTTAGTATCAAGTATATTAATTAATATAATGCATCACATTAGGAGAATTTTTTAAAACATATGATTGTCCTAACAGATCATCCTAATAGAAAATCCGTTCAGTAAAAGTTGACATTCATTCATGATAAAACCTTAGCAAACTAGGAATGAAAGGAATAAAAGATATTCTTCAAAAAAAAAAAGCCTACAGCAAGCATCCTATTTCATGGTTAAATGTTGAAAGCTTTCAAGATCAGGAACTAGACAAGGATGGCTGTCACCACCATCACTATTCAATGTGGGAGGTCCTTTAGAAAGCATTTAACCAGAAAAAGAAATGAAAGGTATACAAATTAGAAAGGAAGAGGCAGAGCTCTCATTATTTGCATATGCTGTGATTGCCTCTTTGGAACCCAAAAGAGTCTACAGATAATGAGAGAGTTTAACACATTTGCTAGATTCAAAACCAATACACAGAAATAAAGATGCCATTTACACTAGAAAAAATTTACAAAGCTTCTAGGACAAATTATACATCTAACAAAAGTTGTGAAGTTCCTTATGCAGGAAATTAATATGTGATATGAGCTTGGAACATTATAGCATTTCATTAAATGTGTGTATAGGTTTTTCCCTAATTTATACCTGAGGTATTTATGTTTCATCCTGAAGAAACACTACCCGGTTTGTCAGAATAATTTTTGCCTATGGAGTCTTACTGACCCAGTGCTACTTTAAAGATGAATATATGAATATTACATTTGCCAAACACTGTCACACTCATTATCTTTTTCCCAAGAGCCCCCAGAAGTGGGTAAAAATATTCTGATTTACACTATAGCCTGGAGAATGTGGTAAGTTTGGGAGTCAGATTTTGTTCCCAGGTCTGTCCTGTTTCCAAGGCACCTGTACTGCACCTGTTGACTTGGGTTCATTCGCTGAGTAACTAAAGGGGTCTTTTTTGAGCCTTGTGTCAGAAGCAAGGGGTGAGGCCACAAAACTAGCCTTTGGGGAGCTCCTGTCTACTGGATGATCCAGATCATTACGCAATGGGAAAATCCTGTGCTACAGATGATGCTGAGTTCAGGGAGGGAAGCAAGCAGGCTTCTTGGTGGAAGAGGTATTTAATTCCAAGCCTGAAGGATGAGTCATCCAGGTGAAGAAATTGGAAATGAGCTTGAGGTAGAAAAGACACAAAAAGGCACCCAGGCCAAGGAGACAGTCTGAGTGCCAAGACGCGGGAGAGAAAGATTTGCCTGCCATGAAACAAATAGCCTGGTTGGGCCAGAATCTAAGGTGTGCAGGAATGAGGGGTGAGAACAGCTCTTGCAGGGTCCTGCATGCCAGGCTCCTAAGAGAAAGGAGCAGCTGCCCAAGGGTAAGCAAGGGTGCAACAAAGCTACCCCTGTACTCTGAAAGACAGAAGACACCCTATGGCAGGGTGACACACGTGGAGATGCTGAAGTCAGCAAGTTGGGTTGGGTCAGAGAGACACTGGTAGGTACCTGGGGTCCCATATTCTACCCATTTGGAGCCCTCATGACCACATAAGCCCACTCCCAGGGTCCATCAGGACTCTGGGCAGCAGCCACAGACCCCAGTCTAGCAGCTGAGGGCTTTAGGAAGGGGAGGGGAAGAGGCTAGGGAGCTCTTGTGATACGAGAGCTGCCAGAGCCAGGGTCTGCATGCCCCAGGACCCTCCCCTATGAACATCTGTCATCTCTGCTTGTTTCTATCTCTTTCTGCAAAGTGGCCTCAGTTTCTTCCACTGCACCCAGGGCATGCTCCATGAGCACAAAAATGTAGCCCCCACCAGCTATTTCCAACCCAATGATCTCAAAAGCAATAGGGAGCTTCCCCTAATAGCTACAGAAGAAAATTTCAGGGAGGGAGCCAGATGACTTTTGAGGGGCATTATGTGTAAATGGCTGCTGTATTAGTCTGTTCTCACACTGCCATGATGAAATACCCAAGACTGGGTAATTTACAAAGAAAAGAGATTTAATTGACTCTCAGTTCCACATGGCTGGGGAGGCCTCAGGAAACTTACAATCATGGCAGAAGGCACCTCTTCACAGGGCAGCAGGAGAGAGAATGAGTGCAAACAGGGGAAATGCCAGACCCTTGTAAAACCATCAGATCTCGTGAGACTCAATCACTATCATGAGAACAGCATGGGAGAAACCACCCGCATGATCCAATTACCCCCCACCTAGTCCCGCGGTTGACACTTGAGGATTATGGAGATTCTAATTCAAGATGAGATACTGGGTGGGAACCCAGCCAGCCAAACCATATCAGCAGCATAGCTGGGAGATCTTACCTCTTCTTTAAAAACAAACCATTGCAGGAGTTGGCTGTGTCACCAGGAGCTGTCCAAGAACCTGGCCACAGACGACAATGGACTATTAGGTAAAGAACAGATCCCTTCCATCTTGCCACATGCTCCCTGTAGCAAACAGCCACCTGGGACTTACAACTCAGATGCTCCTCAGCCTCCTGTGGCCTCAAACAAGATCTGGCCTGGTAAAACCTTCAACTCAGCAATTCCACATCTAGGTATCAGTACTGGAGAAAAGCTCCCACATGCACCCAATGGAGCATGCACAAGGATGTTTGTTGTAGAATAAGAACGTTTATATACAGAACAAAATGGAAACAACCTAAATAGCCATCAGCAGGTAAATAAAAAATGGTGAAAGAAAGGGAGGAAGAGAGCAAGAGGGAGAGGGAAAAAGAAGAATACAAAAGGAGAGAGAAAGGAAGAAGGGAAGGAGGGTGGGAAGAAAGGCAGGGGAGGGAGGGGAGGGGAGGGGAGGGGAGGGGAGGGAAGGGAAGGGAAGGGAGACATCCAAGTCTTCTAATGGGATACACAGCTTCATTAAAATGAATGAGGTCCCTGTGTATGTACTGATGTAGCAAGATGTGTAGCATATTGTTTAGTGATTAAAAAGCTGGATGCACGAATACATATGATATCTTTTATCTGTTGAAAAATACACAGAGCAGGACATATATAGCTAGGCATGCATATAAATGTGCATGAAAATGCGTATCAGTTTGTGTATAAATGCATAGATAATGGTCTGTAAGGGCAACAAAACGCACTGACAATAGTGGCTACTGGAAGGCAAGCGAAATTTGGAGACAAGTTGTTAGGGAGAGTAGCACAGAGGTATTTGTTTCCTTATATGACCTGTTTGAAAATACAACAATAGGAATGCCTGCATATGCCACTTGTATAATTAGAATTAATTTTAAATGAGGGAAAATAAAATGGCAGGTAATGTTGCTTGTAATAGAAAAAAAAAGCCACCTAAATACTAAATACAAATACATCTAGAGGGAAACAACTGAAAGAAATGATGATGCCCATTACAAGAGAACACTAAGCAGCCACAGAGAGATGAAGCAGATTTGCACAGAGAGATATTCTCAAATGAAAAGCGAGTTACAAAGTAGTGTGTACCAAGTGTTCCTATTTTGTAAAAGAAAGAAAATTTAAATATGCATAGAAAACCATAAGCCACGGTGAAAAGAGTGTGGCTTTGGAATCACGCAGACCTGAGATGAAGTCTCAGATAGTTATCAACAGAGTATTGGGAGGGTCAGTCTACTGCTCTGAGCCTCAGTTTACCCATCTTTCAAGTAGGAATAACAACGATGTCTACCTCATGGGGTTAATGTGAGGGTTAATTGAACTAATGTAGCCAAAAGGCTTATCACAGAGGACACAAGACAGTAAGATTATTATTATTAATTATTATTATTTCCAATGCTTAATCTGGGAAATAGGTTTGGGACTAAGGGAAGGAAACAAGGTGCTTTTACATTTTTTGAATATTTCACAGTGAGGTTGTGTTACTCTCTGCTGTGGACTGAATTGTGTCCTCCCAAAATTGATACCAATGTGATGGTATTTGGAGATGCGGCTTTTGGGAGATAATTAGGTTTAGGTGAAGTCAAGAAAGTGGACCTCATGATGAGATTAGTGCCTTTATAAGAAGAGGTACCAAAGAGCTAGCTCTCTCTCTCTCTCTCTTTTCCCCTCCCCTCTTCTCTCCCCCCTCCCCTATGAGGACACAGTGAGTAGGTGGCTGTCTGCAAGCCAGAGGGACCTCACCAGAACCTGACCATGTCGACACCCAAATCTTGAACCTCCAACCTCCAGAACTATGAGAAACAAATTTCTGTTGTTTAAGCTACCCAGTCTATGGGTATTTTGTTATGGCAGCCCAAGCCAACTAAGATACTCTCAATTTTAAAAAATATAATAACTAATAAAGATTAAAAGAGGAAAAATAACCTTGACCCAGCAGCTGCCTGTGATGTGTTTGCTCTGATGAGCTCTACGCCCTGGTTTTGCCCTGTGGGAGGCTGTTAGACCAGGTGTTCCAGTCACCATGGGCTACAGCTTATGAGCAAGTGTGCTCAGCCACATCGATTGTCATCTTGAGAAAACCACGTCCGTCCGGTGGCACAACAGTAATTATGGAGAAGAGCTGGGAATTGAGCCAGGCCCTCAGAGCACAGTGAGACAGGCAAAGGTGGTCCCTCCCTACTGGGGGCTTGGGAACTGGGGGGACAGACAAGAGGTGGGTGACAAGTGTTCTCCTGTCTGTGTCTGTGATTTAATATAATGTTGACATTTCCCCAGCCAAGTGGCAGCTGGGATGCCAGCCGCATGAAATTGGATGGATAAAAGCCGGGGCAAAGGGCATGGTGACCTTGACTCTCTGTCATTTTGCTACCAACTCTGTCAGAGACAATCTGGTACACTAAGCCACTGAAGTCAATAACAAGATGGATCAGAGATGATGAAAAAAAAAAAGAGATTGAGAATCCCATGTAATTGTTCCTTTTTTAAGGGTCATATGGTTCTGCTGCTGTCTCTGGCAGAAGGGTCATGAGTAAGAATCCATCCAGTTGTGCAGAGGAGACCCCCAGCTACTGCAGTGGAGTCTGACAGGCTCCAGTTTCATGCACTGAGCACCTACTATGTGCCAGGCCAGAGCACACCCCAGGAACGCCACAGCAAACGAGACAGGTGAGTCTCCTGCCCTCACAGACAGTTATCCTGATAATAATCATAACAGTTAGTAACCATCTTTCATGCCCACTCTGTGCTTGGCACTGTCCTAGGTGCTCTCACTTCTCTTTGGACCCTCACAAGCAGTCAATGAAGCAGCACTATTACCACCCCTATTTTACAGAAAAGGAAACTGAGGCTCAAAAAGGATAAGTCACTCCCCATGATGCAACCTGTGGTAAGGCTGAGTTAGGACCTGAACATAGGTCTGTCTATGCCAAATCTATCCCCTGACCCACTGCAGGGTGTGGCATCTGAGCATCCTCAGCAGAACACTCTAGCAGTGAGACCTGTGCCAAGATCTCATGGGATAAGGAACGGACCCCCAAGTGAAATCCCTTCCACACAGCTAGAAGGGCTGGATGAAGCTTTCAGTGGTTCCTTAACTCTAATGTTCAAACCTGGTGCAACACCATCCTCTTCCCATCCCACACCTGCAACCTGCAGCCACACACAAGCACATTTCCCTTTCCAATTGCACCTTTTGGATTTTAACTGTTTGTGTATCTGTCTTCCTGATTCATCTGTAGCTCTTCAAGGGAGCACCCAGCACAGGGCTTAGTGCATAGTAGGGCAGCATGGTACATGGTGTATGATTCTGCACAGGGACTGGGAGTCACATGGGCTAGGCTTTGTTCTTAATGTGATCTGGGGGTCAGGTGACCTTGCTTCTATTGTTCTTGGTTTTCTCAGTTCCTGTAAAATGGTGACAGCATCATCACCTCCTTAAAGGGTCATTATGAGGATCAAATAAGACAACAGGTGGAAAACAAGACAGGACCCAGCACATATGATGGGTATAATAAATACTGACTTTTAATACAATGGTGGTTATATTTATAACAACTACTAAAATAAAATGTAAAAATAGTCTTCCTCCCGCTTTCCTTCGTCCCTCCCATGGTGGGTGACTGCCTTGGCTGGAAAGGAGACAGATGGGGCCCCTGCTCTCTGGGACTGATTTCCAGTGGGAAGAAGGACGATCATCAAGGAACCCAACAAATGAATGACACCACCACAGGCATGACAAGGGAAGCACAGAAAGAAATATGATGCTATGAAGAGGGCGAGGCTCTTCTGAGAAAACTCCTGCTCCAGGTGAGAGCAGAGCGAGCAAGATGGACCTGAGGCAGGAGGTGGGAATGGACTCAGCAGGTGGGACTTGAACATCAGACCAAATTGAGGACCAGCTAAAACAGGAATGGAGCAGAAGCAGCTTTCCATAAGACACACCCACCAGGGTGCCTCGTCAGTTTACCATTGCTATGGTAACACACAGAAGTTACCATCCCTTTCCATGGCAACAACCCAATGATCCGTAAGTTACCACTCTTTTCCTAGAAACTTCTGCATACTCTGCCCCTTAATTTGCATGTAATTAAAAGTGGGTATAAATATGGGTGCAGACCTGCCTCTGAGCTGCTATTCTGGGCACATTGCCTATGGGGTAGCCCTGCCGTGCAAGGAACAGCACCTTTGCTGCTGCTAAGCCCTGCCACTTCAGTGAAAGTTGCTATCTAACCACTGGCTCACCCTTGAATTCTTTCCTGGTTGAAGCCAAGAACCCTCTCAGTCTAAGCCCTTGCGTGCCCTGCATCATCTGGTGACCACAAAAAGACAAAGACAGCAGAGATGGCAGCAATCGGTGATCAGCAGAGAGACAGCAATTGGCAAGATATGACAAGAAATGGCAGTCAGTGAGATGGCAAGAGTATAGTGAGAGATGGTGAGAGACAGTGATCAGCAAGACAACGAGCAGAGATAGTGAGACATGGTGAAGCAGCCTGTGATCGAGACCGTAAGAGCTATAACACTGAGGCTGTAACACCTAAGAGCTGCTCAAACTACAGAGCTGTAACTCTAGCCTAAGGCTCTTTGAAGAGCCATCATCTTTTCCCATCAGGTGGTGCAGCCAAGTAGACAGCAAGTGACCATAGTGCCTCTACCTTGTGTAGGACCCACTGTTCTGGCTAGCAGGCCAGTGGGTTACCCATTCCTGTGCCAGCCTGCTGTGTGACAGCCGAGCCCACCCAAGCTGAGGGAACCTGGAGAGACTGTCACCCAGGTCCCATGTGGAAGATCAGTCAGTGCCATTTTGGCTCAGTGACCGATCCAAAATGGGTGGATGAGCGTCCCCTCTGCCACTCCCAATAATATCAGGTGAGCTAGGGGATAAAAGCCTTTGGCTAAGTGGTCAGTGAAAAGCCCCCCAGGGTTTGAGTGCCCCAAAACATGCCCTTATCACCCCTTCCCCTGTCCTTTCTCCTCTGACTCCATTTTATTTTCTCATCAGTCATTTTATTTTCAGTTCTATATGTTTTGTTTGCAGTCTTCTTTTGCTTTTGACTTTCTGTTAACTGTATTTGGCAATTGTTTAAGGCAGAACACTTGGTTGTGAGAGATACCCCATTGTATTGACTCTGGGGTGCCAGAGTCTCATTGTTCTGTGACCCCATTGTGGTCTTGGGTTCACTGTTGGGTGCCACCTGGGTGCCCTGGAGTTTTGAGCATTTTAGAGAGGGGACCCTCATTGACTGAAGCTTGGGCACTCTGAGTTTCCAGTACTGGTATTTTTGGCCACCCCCAAGATGCTCTGCAGTTTTCAGCATTGACATTCCCTCTAGGATTGTGGCTTAGAGTCCCCTCCTCCCAAGGGAATATTGGTCTCGTCTTTTTCTCCCCTGAAGTTAGAAGTATTATTTTCCTAATAGCCAGTTGCAGGCCCCTTCCTGTATGCTATCTTACAGCTGCCTTGATCAAGCCTCTCTTGATCAAAGTGACCAAAAGTTACCAGGCCCCTGGCCTGATGGATGACAAGCTACAGCAATAGATAAGTGGCCACACAAACATTTTTTTCAGTATCTCTGCTACTGGGTAGGTTCTCTGAAAACTCAGGGCCTCTGAGGTCTCCCTTTGGGCAATGCTGTTTACACCCTTCCCCTTCTCCCTTCCACTGTCCCCATTTGTTCAGCCTCCTCTCTGTGCAACCCTCCCTCTCTTTGCAGAACTTAGGCTCAATATTCTACTGCTCATTTGTAGCTCATAGTCTGCTTGTGTAATGCCATGCTACCTATACTTACACCTTCCCCATAGGAAGTGGGAGTCTAAAAGGGAAAAATAACAAGGGCCAGGTTGCTTTCCCTCTTGCTAGACTTAGAAAAACTTCTGTGTCCAGTAAAAATCCTTGTTAGTTATGGGGACAATGATGAGCATCCCAGAGGACTCACCACTAGGGTGTCTTTTAGACTATTGGAGCAAAGTCAAATTTGTCTTAAAGAAAAAGAAATTCATTTTCTATTGCAATACCATTTCGGTTCAATACCAATTAGAAAACCAATAGATTTCACTTAAATATGGTGCTATACTTTATAATGATGTTTTGCAACTGGCCTTATTTTGTAAAGAAGAAGAAAAATGGGAAGAGGTCCCTTATGTACAGGCTTTTATGACCCTTTACTGGCTCATGTTACTTTCAGGCATCAGAAATCCATGCCTAGGGGATCCCCTCCTAGCTTCTCCCCCTAGAAGGCCTATGCCCTCCCCAGAGACTCCCCAGTCTCCCAGTTCTGAGGAGTGTCCCGCCAGTTCTCCAATGAAGGATTCCACCTCAAGGTCATCAGGAGCCCCCTCCCTCTTATTCAACTAGCCCCAACCTATACCCTATTTCCCTGCTGCCCAAAAAAGTAAGCCTAACAAGTACCACCCAGTCAGGGCCCCATATCAGCCCCTAAAACCAAGCCCGTGTCCATTGCGGGAGGTAGCTAATGGAAATAAGGGGACACTTAGAGTACATGTGCCGTTTTCTATATCTAATTTGGCCTTATACAAGAGAAGATTTGGCCAGTTTTCAGAGGATACAGATTCACAGAGGAGTTTATTAAGTTGGCCGCATTCTTTGATATAACTTGTCATGAGTTGCAAATATTGTTGTCCACTTGTTGTGTGGTGGGAAAAACACAGGAAAAAGTGTGGTTAAGCCAGTCAATTGTGACAAGGATAGAGCAATAACTCAGGGAAGAGATGAAAATATCGCTCTGTTTCAGGGTCATCTAGTTGAGGCAGTAGGGAAATATACTTAATGCAGACCTAGACTTCCCAGAAGGGTAAGCTCTCCTGGGTACACGTTTCATTACTCAATCTGCCTCTAACATTACAAAAAGCAGCAATGGGGCCTCAAGCCCCTATGAGCCAACTCTTAAATGTGACCTTTAAAGTTTACAACAAGAGGGGCAGGGCAAAGTGCTGGAATAAAAGAAATAGCTGAAAAGTGCAATTATTAGCAAATGCTTTAAGCCTCCTGCCCCCTCAGGGTTACTCATCCTGAGAAAGTGCCATGAAATCAGGATCTGGGATGCGCAGACAACAGCCCTCCATTTGCCGGCCCTCGGGCCAGAATCAGTGTGCCTACTATAAGTAAAATGACCCTTGACAACTAGAATGTCTAACTGTACCTGGTGAGAGAGAGAGAAAAAAGTAATCTCCCTCTCAGTTACAAAGCTAAACTTCTTCCACTGGCCCCAAAGAGCCACCTTACCCAAGTAAGTTTACTGGGAGTTTGGCTCCTTGACATGACAGATAGATTCCCACAGTGGCAGATAAGCAGCTGCCCAAACATTTTTCTTCAGTGTCTCTACTGCTGGTTGAACTCTCCAATGGCTCGAGGACTCTGGGGTCTCCTCTTGAGCAATGCAGTTTTACCCCTCCCTTCCTTATTTGATGCCATGGGATCCCCTTTCCTGCCTCTTCTTGTCTTCCATACCTGTTGGGCAAACAAAATTTATCCAGTAGATGGGTCCTGGTTTCGTAAATAACTTGAATCCAGTTGTCTTGTACAGGTCATTTTATTTAATGTGTTGTTTAGAAGTAGATACAGGTATTATAATGTGTGTTGTATCTAGCATGCTATCAAGTTGACTTGTAAATAAAAGGACACTCATGAATTAAACAAGACTAGCCTAAGCTTATTAGTTTGAAGAGAATGTTGTGTCTTCTAAAATTTTACTTTAAGATTTTTACCTAGATAAGTCATTGATGTTATTAGGCTTTAAAATGGTTAAATGGCTTTAAATGGTGACTAGTTTTGCACGATATCTTGGTTCTTGGAGATGGTCTAGATAAAAACCTTTAAAAGTGAAAAAGTTCAATACATGTGAATGAAATCAATGCTTAAATACTGAGATTTTGTAGAGTAAAAAACCTTAAAATTATAAACTGGTTCTCATCTATAGAATGCCAATGTCTGGTGAGCAGTTCAGGATTTCTTGCTTCCTAGGTTTATATAACATGTGCCAAAGAAATGTCTTCTTTATTGGGAAAAAACATAATTTTTGTCTAATTCAGTAGTTATTAAAAGTGAGGTTCAAAATATGAGGGAACCAGTGAGCAGAAAAAAAAGAGATGTAAAGAATGTTATGGATAGAAACATAACTTTTTTTTTTGCAAGGAAGGATATAAAGAAAGAGCAATTTTGTATGTGGAGGGATCTTGAATAGTAAGTTCTTAGATTTTCTGCACAGCAAAAGAAACTACCATCAGAGTGAACAGGCAACCTGCAAAATGGGAGAAAATTTTCACAACCTACTCATCTGACAAAGGGCTAATATCCGGAATCTACAATGAACTCAAACAAATTTACAAGAAAAAAACAAACAACCCCATCAAAAAGTGGGCAAAGGACATGAACAGACACTTCTCAAAAGAAGACATTTATGCAGCCAAAAAACACATGAAAAAATGCTCATCATCACTGGCCATCAGAGAAATGCAAATCAAAACCACAATGAGATACCATCTCACACCAGTTAGAATGGCAATCATTAAAAAGTCAGGAAACAACAGGTACTGGAGAGGATGTGGAGAAATAGGAACACTTTTACACTGTTGGTGGGACTATAAACTAGTTCGACCATTGTGGAAGTCAGTGTGGTGATTCCTCAGGGATCTAGAACTGGAAACACCATTTGACCCAGCCATCCCATTACTGGGTATATACCCAAAGGACTATAAATCATGCTGCTATAAAGACACATGCACACGTATGTTTATTGCGGCATTATTCACAATAGCAAAGACTTGGAACCAACCCAAATGTCCAACAATGATAGACTGGATTAACAAAATGTGGCACATATACACCATGGAATACTATGCAGCCATAAAAAATGATGAGTTCATGTCCTTTATAGGGACATGGATGAAATTGGAAATCATCATTCTCAGTAAACTATCGCAAGAACAAAAAACCAAACACTGCATATTCTCACTCATAGGTGGGAATTGAACAATGAGAACACATGGACACAGGAAGGGGAACATCACACTCTGGGGACTGTTGTGGGGTGGGGGGAGGGGGGAGGGATAGCACTGGGAGATATACCTAATGCTAGATGACGAGTTAGTGGGTGCAGCGCACCAGCATGGCACATGTATACATATGTAACTAACCTGCACATTGTGCACATGTACCCTAAAACTTAAAGTATAATAATAATAATAATAAAAATTAAAATTAAAATTAAAAAAAGGAATAAAAAGGAGAGTGAGTCTTTTGCTTGAGCTAAGGCAGGGAATACGGGCATAGTGGAAAAAGAGCAGCTTTGGGGTAGGAGTGAAACCACAAATAGTAGAATATGTTTCCCATCATGATTCTGCATTTTTCAGTAATGTTGTCTCATGTTGACAGTTACAAGTTGAATGAATAAATGGTCCAAAAGGAAAAAAATAAATAAATAAATAAAAAATAAAATAAAATAAAATGACCGGTTATTTAAAAAAGAAGTATAGGACATGTCAGAAAGTTCGAGCATGTTGTAGATGATCTGTGTGAAGTAGCGATAAAGTTCCTAAAGGGGAATTTATGAAAGGAATTTTGTGTGTGACTAAGCTAGCTATAATTAAAAGGAAATTATTTATAATAGATTTTCTAAATAATAGTCTATATTTTAAAGTAAAATTTTCTTAAAATATTAATTTGCTAAATTACCAGAAAATTTATTTTTTATTCCTGTGATCTGTTTCTTTTGAAAGCTTCTCAGATTCATGTAACTCTTTTAGCCTTTTTTGTCAGCTCCTGTGAGTTTTTCTCCTCCAATTCTGATTGTTGTCGCAGCTTGATCCTAAAGTGTTTTATCTTAGAGTTCTGTGGGAGCAATGTTTTTCCCCAGTATAGCTTAATTCTATGCTTTTGCTTTTTCTTTACATGTAACCATAATTTTGGCTCTTAGTTTTTGACTCTTACATTGCTTAGATGGGTTTTGGAGCCTGGTGAGTGCCTGCCCAGCTCCATTCCCTTTGGCCAGGAGGGGAGGTATCCATTCAGTTTATTGGGGGACTACGGATTTTGACATTGGTTTGTATTGCCCCTTTCTGTCAGAGTGTGCCGAAGGCAGTGTCAATGGCCAAGCTTTTAGTTTGTCCTGTGCCAGTGCTGAGGTGGCGTGCTGCCTGCCCTGGGTCCACTGTGTCACTTGGTGGGAACCCCATGGCCAGGGGATTTGGAATCTGGGACTTGTAGTCAGCTGGATGTTCTGGGCCAGATGAGAGTGGAGGTGGCTGGGCACTCTTTGGCCCTTGAATCTCCTTTGAGCAGTGTGGGAACCAAGGCCTCAGTGAGAGGCCTCCCTTCCCCACAGGCCTCGGCCCCCACTGCTCCCACAGCACCCCCAGGACTCCTTGTCACTTCCAAGGCCCAGGCTCTGCCCACAGGGCCAAGCTCTTGGTGGGTCCTCAGTCATGTTTGCTGAAAGAATGAAAATGAATGAATGAGACTGACAAAACCTCAGAGGCCACTCCACCGTGGGAGAGCCAGGGCCAAGGGGTAGACAAACCTGGTTTGTTCCTGGCCCCAAGGTTTCAGCCTGGTCTGCAGCCTCCCTGAGCTCCCACATCCTCGCCTGCAGCATGCGGGGGGCCAGGGCGTGGCTGGCAGTGTGGGAAGAGCCCGGCACACAGGGACCACCCAGTCAGTGCCAGCTACAGTGAGAGCCGTGGCCCAGTTCTTTTTCTTTTTAAAATGACAAATTTAACTTCAGCATCCTTTTTCTCTCTGACTATCCCGAAATCTCTTGTTCCTAGAATCCCCTCTCCCCACCCCACCACTGCTGGGGAGAAGGGGGTGCATTGGGGAGGCTCAGCCTCTGCACAGCCACTGGAGGCCAGTGCTTGGCTGGTCATTACATAGGCCTGGTTACAAGGAGGGGGTGAAGCCCAGATCTCTCCGCTTTCTGCCTCCAGCTCTGTCAGCATCTGCCCTAGGAGTGTCATTGCAGAGATGGGAAGTGAAGGTGGGTGAGGGGCTGAGTGGGAGCTTTGATCCATGAAGCTCTAGATGACAATGGAAATGAGGCACAGAGGCCATGGCTCTGGGAGAGGGAGGAGGAAGGGAAGAAGAGAGGCCATGAGCAAGGGTGGTGGGGCTGTGAGGGTGGTGGGGCTGGGAGAGGGTGGAGGAAGGGAATGATGGTTTTGTAGATGCAGAGAGGACTTAGCCCTTTATATAGTGTTTTAATATTTCTAACAGCTCATCAGCTTGATAGACTTGTTTTCAAATTATTATTTTAAAATCTGAAGTGTCTAAACCTCCTTTTCAATGGTTCAGGTTTCATCCCCCACATCACTTCCTTCCCCAGCTCACCTGGGCTGCTCGCTAAGCTGGGTGGGACAGGATGGGGGCAGGGCTGCTGGGGGCAGGCATCCATGGCTGGACTGAGGTCCCCTGTGCTCTGTCCTCTGATACTCAAGGGACTGATCACTCGGCTGGGAAAGTGGCTGAGCTGTCCGTAGTCTGGGCACCCGGGGAAACCGCTCCTCCTCTGTGCATCTCATGTGTAAAATGGGGAAGATACATTCTAAGACTTGTGGGGGTGAGGGGGTGATGCCATAGTGTGGGCAGAGGCCTAGAGCCGCATCCTCTGCCCTGAGCAGTTGCTCAGAGACTGTTAGGCGCCCTATGCCTCTTACCCACCGCTCCCGCCTGCAAGGACAGAGCAACCCAGAGGGCTATTTGGAAACTTTTCACGCAAATGATAGAAATCCACCCAAACTAACATAAACAAAATGGGAAAGCATTAGCTACAGGAACTGAAAAATCCATGGGGTGTTCCAAATTCTGAGCTGGCTTCTTCAAGAGAGCCTCCATGATCTCCCCAGGACCTGGTTCCCCTCTCCTCCATTTCTCTCTCCTGACCTGCTCGGGTCACAGAGTCTTGTCCTCGGAGCTCAGCTCAAGTCTCACATGGTTGGGTCCCTTGGTAAACTCCTATTCATCCACAAAAACCCAGATGAGAGGCCTCCTCTCTGCCTATAAAGTAAATCATCTTCTCCTCTCCATTGCTTCTGAACTAGGTAATGGAACTGTGATTGATTTATTGTCTATTCATCCACACGGCTGGGTTTGAACATCGGGGAGGTCAGCACATCAACTGACCAGGGTTGGAGCCATTCATGCACTCCGAGGCAGAGTCATTCCTATCACTGGGGGCTGCTGAGCTTGTGTCCCAAGACTCCCCTGGTTCTAAGCCCATGTCCCCATGCAATGTGGTGCTCCTGACGGGTAGGCTGAGACCCCCAATTCTTGATCTCCAGCCATGTTGCCAGCGGAAGCTGTGCAAGGACCCAGGAGACCAAGTGCAACATGGAGCTGGGAAAGGGGAGTTTTCTCTACTTCTGTGCAGAGCAGGCACCTCTCAGGAGACCAGAGAGCAGGCAGCTCTGGAAGCCTGAAGACCCAGCCCCATTAGCATAGACAGTGGCCTCCCCACACCGCACTGGGGAGTGACAACAGGGCAGTCAAGGGGCACCTCTATAGGCTCTCCGAGTAGAGACATTGACAGTGGGAGGGGAGCAGCCCTCATTCTGCAGCTTTCGCCGACTGCAGCTGTTGATGGGAAGGTTTTTGAGTCCACGTTAGACCCTCAAGGGATTCTTAGATTAGGAAAGGGCAGTTGCAAGGCACAGTTCCCTCAGGTTCTGGAGACACTCGGAGCTGAAGAGACCCAAGCTTACCTGTCACACTGTGTTTCCATCCACAGGCTGGTGAGACATTCAGAGACCAGCCTGGGGCACCCAGCATCCTCACACCTGTCCCTAGTGGGTGGCTTGACACAGAGTCAGGAAGACAACCTGGCTCGTTTTGTAAGTAAAGACCCTGGCTCTTCTGACCCCCGTGTCCCCAGTCACTTCCCCAGCCCTGGAGCTATCAGAGGCTGCCAAGGGTACCATAGCGGCTGTTGGCCCAGGAACCCGCTGCACTTTACCTACCCAGATCTGTACCTGGGACACAAAGAGCTTGTCAGCACATTTTATTTTCTGTGAGCACATCAACTTTCCAAGTAGCATGGAGATTAAAGTATGTCTAGACATCAGAGATAGAAAAACTAATATCCAATTCTGCAGGTTTTACTGGTCTCACCCATGGTCACCTGCTGTCCCTTCCTGGGGATCACCTGAGGCCTGGCTCTGTGTTCTCAAAGTCTTGTGCTTGCATCCCCAACACGAACACAAAACGGCAGTTTTCCCTCTGAGGACAGGGGAATGTGACCTCAGAATTGTGTTGTCTTCCTCCAATCAGGACCTCATTCCTTTTCACAGAATTCACAGATGGAGGTTTCCAAGACAAGGAAAGCCTTAGTGGTAATTAACATTTCCCTGCACTCTGGAAAACACAGTGTGGAGTTCTTTTTAAGGAGCTTCAGCATGAGAGATTCTGGGGGGGCAGCCAGGCATTAGCAGGTACCCCAGCAGGAAGAGCAAGAATTCAGAGGAAAGGAGGGGTGCCAAGTTGAGAGGTGAGAGGGTGAGCCTTGAGGTAGGATCAAGAAGACCCCATGACAGGGGCAGGAGCCAGCCTGGACCCCCTCCAGCAGGGTGATGGGTTGCTCTGAGCCTCTAGGGAGGGAGGGAGGGAAGGGAGAAGCAGGGAGGCACCAGGAGCATCCTGCGGAGTTTTAAAGTCCCTCCTGGTCTTCTAGCTCTCCTGGTCTTCTGGCTCTCCTGGCCTTCTGGTCCTGCCCATTCCCCGACCCTGCTTTGATTATATGGTCTCCTCCATCCCAGATGGTGATGAGGGAGGATCTCATGTGGCTGAAGGAGGGGGCAGTCTAGGGGAGCAGCAGGAAATGTGGGTGGAGGAGAAGTTGAGGTTAATTCCCAAGAACATCAATTGCTGTGCCTATGAGCTTGAGTTTTAACTCGAAGGCAAGAGGAGCTGCAGAGGGCTTGGAGTTCTTGTCTGAGTGTTTGTTTTTAACAGGGGGAACATGATGGGCGTGTGCCTCTGTGGCGGCTCACTCAAGATGGATTGGAGGGAACCTGAGGCAGGGGGCCTGGGGAACAAGAGTGTTGCAGTGGTCGGGTGGGAGGTGAGAGTGGTCTGGAGCTGGCATCCAGGGCTGGAGAGGAGGCGACAGATCTCATCACGTGGCAGCAGGCAGAATTCAGCAGCAAGAAGAGGGGAAAAGGAGAGAAGTGGCTCCACATCCAGCAGCCACTGAACACCCAGTGTGCACCCACACCTGCTCTTCAACAGAACTTACCAGCTGCCTCAGGAGATCAGCTTGGGCATCTCTGATTGTCAGATGGATAGAGAAACATGAGGCAATGTCATGTCCAAACCTGGAAGAGGTCAAGGGATGTTTCTGAGGCAGAATTGACAGTTTCTGTGACAGCACAGGCGTGGGGAGGGCTGACAGCCAAGGAGAGAAGACGTTAGCATTTTCCGACTCCCTCTTCTCCCACAGGCTCTGGCTGGGTCCTTCTTTCCCACCCCAATTCACCCTGCATCCTAATGGCTGACCTGCTCCTCTCTACTGTGTGTCCCTGGGGAAATCACTTGTCCTCTCTGAGCCTCAGTTTCCCTGTCTGTGAGGTGAAGGGCTTGAACAAGGAAATAGAGCTCCCACTAGATGAGCCAACATGCCCACCTCCCCAGAATCCTAGACACCCAGGATCACTGCTCCTAATGGATGAATCCTGAAGCACAGACTCCTGCTTCTGCTTCTTCCTGTTCCTGTGTGACATCAGCAGTCACCAGGCAGAACAGCTGTTCTCCACGTCACATGCATCTGCTCAAGGACCACTGTGGCTCCCACTGTCAGCTGCCTCAAGCCATCAGCATCAGCATCAGACATCCCTACTCAGCAGCTTTACCACTGGCCATCTCTCCCACCCCTTCCCTACAGGAGATTCCAGGCAAAGCAGCCTAACCCCACCCTCACCCTGCCAGGGATTTGCTTCTGCTGTATCTCTTCCCTCCCTTCTCCTCCCCCTTCTGAGAAACTCCTATGCATCCTTCAAAGCTCAGACTTCATCTCTTTGGTGAAATCTTTTCCAGGCAGAAGGAATTCCTCCCTTAATTCTGCCCCTCAAGCTGAGAGGTGAACATGTTCTGAGTGCATAATAGGTGCCAGGCTTTCTCCTTGTCCATTACTGCATCATCTCACTTAATTCTTACCACCACCCTGTGAGACAGAGATCATTACTCTCTACTGTACAGATGAGGAGACTGAGGCTCGTAACTTGCTGAGACCACACAGTGGAGCACCTACCTCCACACTGTTTGTAATTATCTGTGTGGCAGGCAGCTTCTGGCATGCTCCCAGTGACCCCGGCCTCCTGTACTCATGGTCTTTTGTAATCCCCACCCCTTGAGTGTGGGCTGGATCTAGTGACTTGCTTCTCATGAATAGAGTGTGACAATAACAATGGGTATCATATCACTTATGAAATTAGCTTACAAAAGACTGACAGCTGTCTTGCTCTCCATATTATTATTTTTAGCTTTTATGCTCTCATGAAGCAAACTGTCATGTTGCAGAGGTCCACAGAGCAAAGAACTGAGGACACCCTCTGGCCAACAGCAGCAAGGAAGGGAGGCCCTGAGGCCCTCAGTCCAGTGGGAAATTAGATCCGGCCAACAACCACATGAGCTTAGAACCAGGTCCTTCCCCAGTCGAGCCTTCAACTATGACCACAACCCTGGCTAATGCTCTGATTACAGCCTCTATGCAACCCTGAGCCAAAAAACCTGGTTAAGGAATGACTGGATTCCTGACCCACAGAAGCCATAAGTCATCAATATGGGTTCTTTTAAGCAGTTAAGTTTTGGGGTGACATATCACAAGTCAAGAGATAACTAATACAATCTGATTCCTCATCTGGATCTCTAGGAACTGCAGGCAGGAGTCATTTCTGAATCATCTGTATTGCAAGTACCAAAAACAGTGTCTGTAAGTATGAATAAATTTCTGTTGTTGAAGGAATGCATCAGTCAGGTAATTCCCACTTCCATGCCTTTTCTCATGCCAGTCCCCCTGCCTGAGACACATTTCCCACTCTTTTCTGCAAAGTACCTTTCGTGTCCATAGCCTGTCTCTTCAGGGAAGCCTTTCTAAGCATGTAATTCCCCAGAATATCTTTGCATGCCTCTGTTCACCTTCGTGGAGTTTCCCCATCACACACACACACACACACACACACACACACGCATACACTCATGAGATGCATGTCCCCAGAGGGCTGGACCTGCCTCATTTAGCCTCTTCCCCCAAAGGACCAGGCCTTGTGCTTCACAAGAAAGTGCTCAAGATGCAATCAAATTGAAATTTGATCCTCCGAACTTAGCCCCATTTGGGTTAACGACAAATCCCACCACCTATGTCTGCAGTGTCAGCTCCCCATATCCCTCCTGCAGGGGGCCAAGAAATGAGCAGCGACCCCAGGGTCAACCAGACCTGGGTTCAAATCCCCCTCCCACCACTTAATGAGCTGAGTGGCCTGGGACGAGTCAATCATCCTCAGGAACTCAGACTTGCCTCCAAGATAGTGGGAACAGCCGTGTTTATGTTGGGGAGAGTGCGGGGTTGATGGGAGGTGGCCCTGGCACACAGTAGGTGCTCAGCAAACCTCAACACCCACCTCTCTCAACAAAGCCAGGCAAACTATAAGCTGAATCTAATGCAGAACCCACAGTGAAAGAAGCTTCTGCATGAAGCCTTGATCAGAGCAGCCTCGGGTCCCCAGCCCCTCTCCTCAGAGGCCCCAGCCAGGCCCAGGCCTCAGCCCACCTCAGCTTACCTCTCCCATCACAAAGTGTGTGGTTTGTGCACAGTTGCACTTTATACTTATTATGTAGAATAAATCTTCCAGGCTGTTCAAATTTCAATTAAAAAACTTCTCCCCCAGAGGAATGGCTGCACTCGGCAAAGGTCACACATAAAACATACTGTACTGGACGGGAAAGGAGGTGAGGGCTGGATAAGCAGCAGTTGCCATTCATTAGCGGAAATTACAGCATCTCCCTTCAAGGAGCACTTGCTCTCCCAAGGCTCCAAAGCCCAGATGACTGCACTTTCCCTCAAGAGGCACTGCTTCTTACAGCAAGGGTGTGAGTTGCCTTTACAGAGCGCTGCCTCCTCAGACCCACGCGAGCCCTGCACCACGAAAGGATCATTACTCCCACTGCAGGGATGGAGACACATAGGCTGAGAGATGCAGGGTCTCGCCCAGGATCACACACAGCAGGAAGGGGCGGGCTGGGCTTTGAACCCAGGTGTCTCCGGCTCTAAGGCCCCTTCTCCTTGCCCCCCACTCTCCTGCTCCCAGGGAATGTGGGAGGATTACAGCAGGAAAGGTGAGCAGAGAAATCAGCCCAATCCAGGCAGATACTTCCTAGACTTTGGGTTCAACCCACTCTTCTGCTCATTAGCATAATATTTGCATGCCATGAGGCCTTAAGTACAAGCTAAAAAACTCCAGAAACAAAAAGCCATCTATTAACTAGTACAATCCACTGTGTATGTAGCTGCAGGATGTCTTCAGAGCACCATAACACGGAGAACAGATTGTGAAATGATCCATCTCACGGCCTCCAGGGGCGGCAGAGCCCACCTGGCCTGGAAACAGCACCACCGTCTCCCCGACCCGCCCACCTTTCTCCCTGTCAGAAGGAGGAACCCAAGGGAGTGTCTCTATGTGTCGCTTTATCCTCTGCACTGCTGCATCTTTACCGGCCATCCTGGAGGAGAGTCTGAGCTCCTGAGGGTGATTGACTAGACCCAGGCCACTCAGCTTGTTAAGTGGCAGGAGGGGGATTTGAACCCAGGTCTGGTTGACCCCAGGGTCCCTGCTTTTTCTTTTATATTCATGTGTTCTTCCACCATGAAACCAGGGCTGCAAGAAGGATGGATAACTAGCCAGAGGCAGAGCCTTCTCCCAGCCCAGAGCCACAGGGAGTTTCAGACAACTCCCCATGCCCAGAGATGAAAGGATTTCCTGGGCAGAGTGAGGACAGGTGATCTGGCCCAGGTCACACAGACACCACTGAGAAGTGGCAGGCTCCCCTCCGATGGGTGGCTCTGGACTCCCCCAGGGTCCACCCATTAACGCCCTGCCCCTGAGTGACCTGGGAGGAGGAAGCTGGGTGGGGACCTTGGGGACTTGAGGCCTAAATGAAGTCACACTGGGTTCTTTAAACTGCCCGGCCCCCTTCACGGGCACAGGAAGGATCGTGGCTACTCACAGCAGAGGCCAGAGTCATGCACGGGTTGGGGGCTGAGGGAGGGCTGGGCAGTGAATAAATGCACTGAGGAAGGGGAGCTCAGGGCTGATGGGGAATAAACCCACGCCTGGTGAATGAGGGCACAGGTCCTGAGTGGGCGGGTGGGGGAATGGGAGAGAAAAATGAATGGCTGCCCGGGGAACAGGAGACAAAGTGAAGCCCGGGTGTGAGGAAGCTGGGGCCGCCTTTGAGCTGCCTCCTTCAGTCTACGCTGCTGCCCTGCACGAGAGCCACCAGCATCAACCCTGTCCTGCAGGAGGAGCACGGGCACAGAGAGGTTAGGCAACGTGCCCCACATCACACAGCTCACGGGGGCAGAGCTGAGATCCCAGCTTCCTATGTCCCCACAGCGTGCCTCCGGCTGCTCCCCCACATCTACCCTGGGCTGGTGCCAGGGCCCAGGCTCATCAGGGGACTTGGCCTTTTTTATTCCCCAGTTGGCATTTGAAGTGAACTTAATGAGATCCAGCCCTTTATGTCAGAATAAAACCATGCCAGACCCTTCTAAACTGCCCTAATGTTCCGGTGCTGGGTTTCAGCATCCAATCATTCCATGTGCTCAGGGCTGGGGTTTGGCTGGGCACGGACCTCCTCTGTCTGATGATTGTTTCTGGTGTGCTCTCATTGGTTCCACTTTTCTGCCCCTGCCTGGCTGGTGGGGTCCCACGAGGCTGGGCAGCTGCACTCTCTCCCCCAAGCTGAGACTGGGCACCAAAGGAGGGTGGAGGGTCTCTGCAGGAGGCTACCTGTGCCTGCCATGGCTCCGAGCATCCTCACCCCCCCATCCTGGATGGTGGCATCCAGGGCCCACTGCCCCCAGACCAGGCCTGCACTTCACCCCCACATCCTGACACTCCAAGTCTTCATGTGCTCCCGGCTCCCAGGCCTTGGCACAGCCTGTTCCCTGCACCTGGAATGCCTTTCCCAGATCTTCTCCATCTGGAGAATCCTGCTCATCCCCCAGGCCCAAGGATGGAGGGACGGGGGGAATTAATATATTTTAACCTGACTGTGCCAAGGACCGTGCTGGGAGGTGAGTGCCCTCCGTGAATCCCAACACAGCCCTGCACCAATCACACAGAGGGGGCTTCATAAGCCCATTTCACAGATAGAGAAACTGAGGCTCTGAGGCATTGAGTAATTTGCCCAAATTCATCCCATGGTCGGTGGCAGGGCTGGGATAACTCCGACCAGTCAGCTGACCAGCTGGCCCACAGACCAGCCTTGTCTGTCCACTCCTGGCTCTGGGTGTTCTCTCAGCCCCTGAGAAGGGGCATCATCCCTTCCTTCATGCCCGCCCAGGATGCGGAGCCTCCTTCTTCCTCCTTTCATCTAGTTCTTCCCATCCTCCTCTGTCCCTCACTGGTCCCCTCTGGAGGGAGGTGCCCCTCCCTGGCCTCCAGGCTCCAGCCTGAGCAGTCTGCTCCAGCCTTGGTGAACAGAGGTGGCTGCAATGGGCTGACGCAGCTGCTGTGTCCATGGCCAGTGTCCAGGCTCTGCCCCGGAGAAGGACAGGCCCCTCCAGCCCAAGGATAAGCTGGCTCCTGTGTTTGTCAGAAGAAACTTGGCTTCCTCAACAGTGTCAGGTTCATCAGTTTTCACATTTAGCTCCTCAGGGGCATGGAGTGGGTGGGGGGAGGCAGGAAGTGTGGGCAGAAGGGGGGTGGGATATGTGGAAGCAGATTTAGGTTCAGCATCAACAGATCTACCAACCAGTGGGGCAGACTGCCCTGGCAGTGGGTGACCTCCTAATCCCTGGGAGGATTCAAGTTCTTTCTCAAGGAACAGTGAAGGGAAGACTTCCCACATGACCAGGGGGAATTGCACTAAGGTCACGTCCTGTGCTGAGATGCTGATTCCACAATATCTATTTCAGCTCCATGCTTCTCCTGATTGTTCTGTGATTCCAGGGGTCTGAGCTGTGGGTGAGGCTCCAAGTCTTCTCCAGAGATGCCTTCATTCTGAGAGTCTTGAGTCCGTGAGTCCACAAATGATTCTGTGATTCTGGAATTCTAAGATTCTGTGAAAGGGAGCAGATACTCAGATTCTGTGATTTAAAGCTTTTATGAAAGTGTTTTGAAGCTCACGAAAGAAGCTCTGACTCCGAGATCCCATGTGTGACAGCTGCCATGGAGGGGACTGCAAGATCTGAAAATCCTCCGCCCGAGTGTGGGAAGGAAGGTTCCAGGGCCCTCTCCTCCTGTTTCAGAATCTGCAGGAGGACGTTGGGCCAAAGATCTCTAAGCTCCTCTCATCATCAAAATGCAGGGTCCTGGTCACTGACTCTAGATTCCCCCCTCCCAGGGCTCACCCTAGTCTGCCCCTCCCAGCACCTTCACGTCTGAGTGGGTTAAATGGGCCCTGAATCCCCAGGTGACAAATCCATGAGCCCAGCTCTCAGCAGATGCATCCCAGCTGAACAAGCAGCTGCTGCTAGGGTTGCTGTTTTCCTGTCATATTAATTATGAGGAGTGAGACTGGTAGGCGGCCTTCGCTGAGAGGAGTTTTCTGGTGCATCCTTGGGATGAGCAGCTTGGGAACCAGGAGCCAGGAGCCCCCTGTTGTTTCGAGTCTGTTTATTCTTCTGATGGACTCGCCCTGCCCCGCTGTGGAGGTCTTCTCCCGTATTTCCCCATTTAATTGGTTGTATTCTCAGTGGTCTCTGAGCAACGGTTGTCCTGCCAGGGTCAGTTCGGGTTTCTCTGGAAAATAATGATTCCCTGGCAGGGGATAAACGGGAGAATAGGCAAGGAGGGGCTGGAATTCTGGAGGAAGCCAGATCTGCACTGGGTCTTCCAGGACATCCCAGGGTGGCCCCCTCTCCTCTCACCCCAACTTTAGCAGCTCCCGAGCAGGAAGGTTGGAGTCCCAGGGTCACCTGCTGAAGAAAGGAAACCAGAGCCCAGAACCCAGTAGACTTGGTGGGGAAGAGACAAGCCACTCCCATCTTCGCTCCTCAGGGGCCTCTCCTGAGACAGCCCCCGAGCTGGCCTGGCCTGGGCCCCTGTGAGCTGGTGGGGAGGCTCTGACTGTCACCCCAGGAAAGGTGGGACAGAGGCTTCCACAGGCTGTGCAGACCCAGGCTCAAGGCTCAGATAGTTCCAGACTTTCCAGGCTGAGGCTCAGGGACCCAGAAGGGCTGTGCGCTGGTGACCAGGACCCAAGAACCACTGCTCCCACCCTCTGCCTGTTTAATGACAGTCTCTACTCCCACCCTCCAATTGACTGGGCTCCTTGACAACAGGGACCTTGTCTTCCTTGTTCAGTGCCATGTCCCTCCACTGGAGCCTGATGCAGGGCCGGGAATCGTGAGTGGGGGGGAGGAAGGGGGCTGGGGGAGTTCCGTGATCTGCCTACCAGCCAGGCCCTCCACACATAGCGCACAGACACACACACACATGAACACATGTGCATGCACACACACACACACACACACACATCTGTGCCCCGTCAGAGCCTCTCCCACAAGCTACTCTCTCACCTGCCTGTTTTCTGCCCCTCTACCCATCAGACTATGACCTCCTCTCAGAAGGACCAGCCTCCTGGGGCCGTGTTCCCCCCACATCAGTGAAGAGTGCCTGATGGTTCAACTGAAATCCCTTTAACCCTTCTCCCTCCATGGTGCCCAGACTGGGGTTGTATGATAAATGTGGCAGGAACTGAAAAACTACTGGTGAAATAAAGAACAGGTAAAGAAAGGAAAGAAGTGAGTGTCCACAGGTACCTGGACATGTGCACACCTGTGCGGGAACTGCATAGCAGACTGGGGTCTGCTGAGGGTCAGGCCCTCTCGCCACCCCCATCCCTACTGTAGGTGGTAAGGCAGGCCCAGCTGTGGGGCCACCGGAGAGGGAGGGGGCGCTAGAGAGAAGCAGTGGGCATTGATTGAGCCCATGTCCAGGGTCAGGCTCTGTGCTAGGGAACTTATGGTTTCACTCGACAGCACTTACTGAGCACCTACTGTGTGCATTGTTCTAGTACTTGGGGCCATCAGAAAACAAAACAAAGATCCTTGCCCTCTGGGAACTGACATTCCAATGGGGCAGTCAGGTGATAAATAGTAAGCATAATACATAATTAAGTTATAAGGAATATTGGAGGGAGTGTGGAGGCATGTGGTAGAGGCAGGGTTGAGAATTAAATGAGATGGCTGGGAAGCCTCCAGCCTTGAGGCACAAGGTTTGGGTAAAAACTTGTCGTCTTGTTTCATCATCAAAATTATATTTATAGAGGAGGAAGCAGAGCCTCAGAGAGGTTGACCATGAGCCCAAGGTCACACAGCACAAGGTAGAGGCAGGACTTTCTGCCCACAGTGCCCTGGAGAGGAGGATGCCCCCAATTCTGCCACATTCCAAGCCCCCACAGGCATCACCCCCAGTGGGTCTTTCCACCAGCACTGTGACCAGGAAGTTATGATCCCCACTTAACCAGTGACGAAGTGGAGCCATGGGAGAAAGTTTCACAGCGTGGAGGGACAGAGCAGGATTTGAACCCAGGTTTCCTGGAATGAAAAGCCTTTTGCTCACTATGAGCTGCCACTTGAAAGGAAGCCACAGTGAGCCCAATGTAGGCTCTCAGGCAGCCTGTTGGTGGTCGTTCCCAGGAACCTCAGCTCACTGCTAGATCCAGGCATTGAATGAAACCAGGTGGGAACTGATGCCAGGGACAGCATGACTCACTGTGGGAGGATCAAGGAGGGACCTTCTGAGGCCCGAGGCCCAGACAGACCTTCCAGGCTCAGTGTCTGGGCTCAGAGGCAGCTGGCCTTTGATCCAGGTCCCAGACATAGGCTGCCTCTGATGTGCAGACGATGCCTTGTGAAGCCAGATCCCATCAGGGAACAGATCAGCACTGTGCAGCCTCATTACTGATCTGACCTATTTTCCGCTTCCCTCACCGGGAGCTGAGGTGGCTGCTATAGTAACAGCACCAACGGAGGTGACAGAGGCAGCTCCCAGGACACTGTTTTCCACTGAAAGGAGAAAAAGCTTATGGGCCCTTTGGGGCAAACAGGCCCAGCTCTTCCTCTGACCACCGCAAGCCCTTCTCCTCTCCCAGCCTCACTGTTTTCTTCCATGAAATGGGATCCAATAGTGCCTCTCTCCTGAGACTGTAAGGATGCAAATCCCAGCACAGGAAGCCTGTGTGTGTCAGCTCTCACGGTCTTGTGTCATTTCGTATCATTTACTGGTGTTTCCACTGATGGGCTGTGGGCTGCGACAGGGTGCAGGTGTATTGTCTATGGCACCAGATGGATGCCTTAATTCATTTATTCAACAAGTGCATTTACTGAGCGCCTGTCTTGAGCTGGTCACTGAGTGTGGAGACCAGGCAGAGCAGGGGCTGTCTGGGAAGCAGAGTTTAGTTCAAATCAGGAAATGACTTACCCGCAGTCACACTCACCCAGTGGGACACCTTAGACAGGGCTGGCTTTGCTGGTGCTGGGGTTTGGGGGACGTTTATATGGATAAAGTGCCTACTGTGCACCAGGCATAGGCACTTCCACCAAAGCACATTACTGAGCCTTCAGTAGGGGCCTGGCAGCATCAACCCCACTCACAGATGGGATAGGAGAGAGCAGGGAAGGAGAGGGACTTGCACCCAGGCCTGGGCAGACGCAGGGTGGCCACTCAGAATGCCCCAGAGTCTCCCTGAAATGCCAGTTTCAGGGCTCCTCACCCATTTCAAGACAGGATATCCGGGCTGGGACCTGGGAATCTGCACTTTGAAGCTCCCCAGGGAACTTGAGGAGCCTTGTGAGACACCCCACACCCTGGCAGGGCAATGGGAAGGAAGACACTTTGACCTGGTATAGGTTTTCCATGAGGGAGGAAAGGAAGCTGTGAATGTGGAGGAGAGGCTGACTCCTTCTTGAAGCCCTGGTGGGATTGTATGACCTGAGCCTCGAACCTGGGCCCAGACCCTGTGCTGCAGTAGCCACAATGGTGCAGCTTCGTCTTGAACAGCGAGGACGCCCGACCTGTGCTCTGCACTTTGCACACATCCCCTCAGTTTGCAGTCTCCCCCCAGCAAGGGGGAATCCTTCTCCCCATCTCCAGGGGAGCAAACTGAGCCCCAGAGAGGCAGTCACATGACCACGGCCACAGGGCACCCCAGGGACAGAGCCACTCACATCAGGGCTCTGGATGGCAGAGTCCAGAGTCCATGGTGTCTCCAAGGTGCCTGAGAGACTAATACCTCTCAGGAGCCCCTTGGCCACCTCTGCTTGACCTTCCCAACATCACCCCACCCCACCCAGCCAGGCCATGGGAGAGGCAGGCTCCAAGCAAGCCCTGCACGGAGATTGTGCTGGGTGTGCCCCGCTGCAAGGCCCAACTGTCCCCTCTCACTAGGCAGTTTCTTTGGCTGATCACATAGGCCACTAAGCAGGTTAAGGTGCTCACAGTGTGACTGCTGAGTGCCTGTGGACTCCCCTGGGGAGGGGCCTGTCTTCCTGGCTGCTTGCTATCAAAGGTGTAGACCCCTTGGCTCTGGGTTTCTGGGCTGCAGTGTAAATGACCACGTGTACAGTCACCATCTGGACTCACTGCGTCTGCTGATGGGACTTGGAGGCAAGGAACTGGCCCTATGGTGCTGATGGCACTATTGTTTGCTGAGCTGGGGGTGATAAACTCCGTTGATTTTATTTCTCTGATCCATTAAGTCTCTCTCCATTCAGCATCTGTGGAGTTGCGTGGTCATCTCCCCTTTGGAGTTGGTTACTCTTTTCCATCCCCTTGCAGTCAGAGTTCTTTCCGGAATATTTGGCTTGGAGACATTCACAACCTGATTCAGGGACAAAAACGTGGCCATTTGGAAAGAGAAACTGGAGAGAATGGGAGCTAGAGGGGCCATCCTTGGGGTGCTCCTGCTCAGCCCCCGCCCACCCTCAACAGCCAGGTCTGAGCTGCCACCCCTAGTGTGCAAATCCTCTGCACAGCTGGAGGCCGGGGCCAGAGTCAGTACCCGGGGACCTTCCCAGACATTTCAGGGTGAAGGGAGTGGGAGCTAGAGAAGGCAGTTGCCACCCAATCCAGAGTCTTTGGTGTGGGAAGTTTAAAGGGACTGATTCTGCCGCCCTGTGCCTCCCCAGGTCACAGGGATGAACGGAGCTCTCTTTGATTGCACCTGTGCCCCACTGTGGACTGGAGCCCCCCTTCTTCAGAACACAGCACACCGAAGCCCAAGCGGCCTTCAAACTCATCTTATCTGGTTTGCAGGGCCCATTTTACAGATGAGAAAACTAAGGCACAGAAAAGTTCAACAGACAGCAGCAAAGAGGGACTCGAAATAGCAGAAACTTCTGAGACAACAGGCCTGGTTTCTAATTCCAGCCGCATCTCGACTGTCTCAGCCAATCTTGCACCTCAGAGTCTCCATTCAGCAGCTGTAAAATGCTCAGCCCCCTTCCCTGCATCCGATACCTAGCCCAGGGCCCTGCACACATCTGTCTGCCTTAGTTCCTTTGCCTATAGAGTGGGTCTGTAAAATGGATCCCTGTGAAGTTCAGTTTAGGAAATCCATGTAAAGCACCTAGCACATAGTAGATGCCCCAAAATGGTAGCTCATACAGGACCAAGCCTTTCCTGACCCAAATCCCTGGATATTGCATCCCAGTGATCAAAGCAGCCCTTCCCTATGCCATCACACCTGAGGCCAACTAAGCCCCAGTGGCTGAGCCTCCAAGCCCTAAGGCGACTCTGAAGAAGAGGTGGGTGCAGGCTCCTGCACAGAAGCCCCATCCCCACAACCATTTTCTCCCCTGTTAATTGCATTCACATTGGGAACAGTTGAGCCTTTCCCCATTTTCACAGAGTATAGTCCAGGAAATAACCATGTAATTAAAGAGGAGAAATGTAAAACAACACTCTCATTGGGACTTTAGACCACCCCATCTTCTCTCCTTGTAAATTAATTAGCGAACTGCGACTGTGAAGACAAACCCCTTGTTGAAACCCGGTAACCAATTCACTATGGGGCCAAGAGACTCCCACTGTAGTACAAGGCCTGAAAAAGGAAAGCAAAGGAGCACTAATTAGTTCAGTCCTATTTATCTACACAAAATAAAAATATAAAAATATTGGTTGCAAAACAATTTGCTGGCTGTCAATAGACTGTGTCTACCCCGGGGAGACCCTGGTTTTGCTTCTTTCTGGAATTTGTTTATAACCTTCTGTTAATCAAACCTGAGCAGGGAGAGATGTGGAAATTAGGTAGAGAGAACGGACTTCATGACGACCTGGAGCAGACCTGGGAAGAATTGGGATGAGTTCGTGGCAGTAGCTTGGGTTGCCAGGTGCCAAGACACTGGCCCTGCCTTGCTGGGAGCCTGGTGATAGGGCCTTTTTGGAATCAGGCCTTCACACAGGGAATGTAATCTACAGGATGGCAGGTGTGTGAGGATGGCTGTTCCAGAAGATTCCATATAGGTCGGGCTCCCTAGAAGCTGAGTCTGAGATGGGGACGTGTGGGGATGTTTGGGACTGTGGAGGACATAGGCTCAGGAGAAGGGGAGTCAGGGAAGCAGTGGAGGGCGGGCAAGAAGCAAGGCCAGGGCGTGGGCTCAGTGCACCCAAGGAGAGCTCTGGAGCCTCGTGTGTGGCACCACATGGCTGTCCCACCTCAGGCAGTGAGATGGGTCTTTTGCACCCTGTGTCAACCCGTCATCAGTTGCGGTTGCCCCCAGTGGTAGTTCCAGCCAGTCAGCTCCCTCAGCTAAGGACAGTTCTCCAGACAGGGCACATCTGTGAACCGTTGGCAGCTGACACTCCACAGCTGGAAGATGGGTGCACTGAGCCAGCAGGATACTAGGTGGTGCCCAAATACCACCACTCCCGTCTGTGACTCCATTACCAACATCTACCTCTCGAGCATCTGGTTCAGCCTCAGGAACACCCCTCTTCATTTTCCTTGGGGAACCACCGCTCAGCCCTGACAGGCCTTGGGGGTCCTGCAGAAATCATCAGAATCAGGGCCAGTTAGGGAAATCATCCCAGCCCAGATCAGGGATGAGCTGAACCCCATGCCTGGCCAATCAGTATCTTGCATCCTCCTGGACACAGCGATCAGCTGAAGGAAGACACAATCAAAGCCAATGGGACTGAACTGAGGGGGTGGCCATATGCAGAGCTGGCAGGCATGAGAGCCATCTTGGTGGATACCGGAGCCAAGAGTGGTCTGGAGAACATTGCTGAGCCCAGAACACCCCCAGGACCTCCAGTCAGGGGATCCCATCAGCTCCTTTCTGCTTAAGCCGGTCAGCATGGAGTTTCTGTCCTTTCCAACCCAGGGCTTTAACTCACCCCCACTCTGACCCACAATGCCCATGGCCCAGTTCCCTGGGCCACTTCTCAAGCCAGCTGCATCTTACACTCTCCTTTGTGCCATGGGGCTCCCCGGGTAGGGAATCCCCCACCTTTCCCTCCACCCTCATGAAGAACTGAGTCCTGGGTGTACCCATACACCCACCCTTTGTGGCTTTCATGGAAAATCCTGAGGCTGGACACCAGACGTTTGTAGACCCCACTCTCCACAGCTCAGGCCATCCTAGGTTCAGGGCCAGGACTGACAAGGTCAGAGGACCCTGCAGCAGCCTCAGGTCCACCAGCTCTAAGCCGCTGAGCTGTGGGCTCCAGCCTTTGCCCCGGGGACCCCTCCCTAGCATGGCTCTGATTGTGTTCCTCCATCCAGTCCCTGTCCCCTTTCACCCCAGCGCCCACCTCAGAACCCCAGCCTGCCTAACAGAGCCCTCACGCACTCCCCAGCCTCCACCAACCCTTTGCTGTAGGGTCCAATCTTGTCCTTCTGCCCTCAGGACTGGTGGGCCCAGCTCCAAGTTGAATGTTGCCTCACGGCCAGGACTGTCTTCTGCCCTCTGTGAGCCTGGAAGAGGGAGAGAGAGGAGAGAGGCCATCACTGTGTGCCCAGGGCTCACACTCATGATCCCAGGCATGAAGCCAGCTCAGCTTCTTAGTACTAAAGGCCTGGGTACTGCATCAACCCGGCAATCACAACTCTGCTGCCTTTCAGGGCCAGTGGACCCTGCAGGTGAGTCCTTACACACTTGGAAGAGGATCCTGGTCTCCTCGGCCTCCAACCTGCTTGGGGCTTCTGCATTCAGAGCTGTGGGAGCAGCAGGGGAGCCCTTCATCATCCTATTGCAGAGCACTGAGACAGCAGGGGACTCTGTGGGCAGATTCTGGCACCCCCTACCCCATCCCCGACTTCCTCCCGCCCCGCCGGTCCCCTCTCCCTCCAAGGCTGTCCCGGCACATTACGTGATGAAGTGGCCTCATTCCTGGCACCTCCGACTCATAGCAGGCAGGCTGGAGGGGGCTGGGGGGAGCACTCAGGAGAGACTGGATGGGCAGCGGGCATAGAGGGGAGTGCGACTGGAATAACAGTGAATAACTGCACAGCACTTTTCAGTTTGTGCAGGTGTACTGTACTGGGCTTTGCGTTTACTCACCCATGGCCTCATTTGAATTTGACAACAACCTGTGGCATTGTATTAGCATCGTCCCCATTTTAGGCTGTGGATATGGGCACAGAGAGGGAAAATGATGCCCTCAAGGTCAGACAGCCAGGAGGTAGCCGGGCAGGGATGCACACACGGTTCTAATCACAGCAGCCCACATTCACTGAGCGCCTGCTGTGTGCAGGCCCGTTACTTGCACAGTGGGGCACTTATTCCTCATGGCAACCCTCTGAGTCTGGAACCATTATTATCCCATTTTAAGACAAAGAAACTGAGGCACAGAGAGGTCATGCTACTTGCCCAAAGTCACACAGCTACATCCTTCTTGTCCTCAGACCCCACTTCTTCCACAATGAGATGGAATTGGGGTTCTCCAGGGAAAGGCCCACACCTCCTAGGTCCCCAGTCCTTGAGTCCTTGGTCCCCAGTAAAGCTGTTCTCCTCCCCGCCTCATCCCAAGAGCCTGGGGTCAGTGTGGGGCCCAGGGCAGAGCTGATGCAGCTGGAGAGACAGATTCCTGAGCACAAGCAGCTGGCAGCAGATCGGATCAGGACCCAGGCAGGCTGAGTTCCAGCGCTGGATCTACCACGCATGTGCTGTGTAGCCTGGGGACCACCCCCCTTCCCCTCGCTGGGCCCCCATTCCAAGGCTTCCAAAGTTCCAGAACTCGGGGACTGTGTGGACCCCCTCTGAGTTCCCTGCACTCATGGCAGGAAGAGGCACACACCGGCCCCTCCTTCCTCTCCTTCCTCTCCTCTCCCGGAGGGGGCGCCCTATGGAATAGTCTCACCTCCTCCGGGATCTTTCCTCCATCTCTCCTCAGTGCTTCTCCGGCCTTCACTCCAACTGGAAGGAATTGAACTGGGAACTTATTGAATGCCTGCTGTGTCCTGAGGCACTGAAGACACCTTGCAGCCTTCTAACGCTTCCACCCCCTTCTGAGGTGTGGAACTATCATCCCCATTTCACAGATGAGGAAACCAAAGTCTTGGAGAGGTCGAGTGATCCAAGAACACCAGTTAGGAAGTGGCAAGGCTGGAATTTGAACTCAGGTGTCTGGCTCCAAAGCCCACTTTCTCCTGGGTCCTGCTGCCTTTCCCTCGCAGTGCCTGGTGGGATTGTGACGGAGCCCCTGACCTGCACACCACCGAAGGATATGGTCTTCCTTAGGTGAGAGGGGCCCCAGGAACCCAAAGGGTGTATCACTTAGGACAATTGTGTATGTATGCCGAGGATGTGCAAAATGGTGTGCATGTGTGTCCACGTCTGGGAATGCCCATGTCATGATCCCACCATAACTCATCAGGGATCGTGGCAAAGGTCACTTGTCAAGCCCCCCTGTGACCTGCCATCATGCCTGAACTTCACTCTCATGGAGGCATCTCTTCCTGGTTGCAGCCTCTGAGTGTGCGTCATTACTCTTCCATATCAGGATTCAGATGCCCAGGGAAGTGGCTGGTTTGTAGGCACACAGCAGTACCTGCTGGAGCTGAGAGCCTCCATGGGATCCCCTTTTTCTGCAATGGTGTGTGCACCTGTGAGGGGTCGGCCCTTATGTGGTCAGTAGAAGGAGGAAGCCCAGGGGTCCCCAGAGAGCCCCCCAGGAAGGAAGCATGTTGTCCTGGTGCCTTGAGAGTCCCTGACTCCCTCACCCCTTTCTGTTTATCCCTCTGGGCCTGAGTTTCCTTACTGCATACTGAGGAGCACCTTGCCTGTCTTGCAGGCTGGTTGTGAGGGTTCCATGTGACTACCCAGATGCACTTTGTGAACAGAGTGAACATGCTAGAACATGCTAAACCACAGGCCAGCGTGGAGGCCGTCCAGAGGCTCCACCCACTCTACCCAGGTGGATGGTGTCTTCCTCCTTGGGGAGTGGTCGCAAGTGCTGGTTCTATCCTCAGAGTCACAGGTTCAGAGCTGGCTCTGCTGAGTCACCCCAGACAAGACCCATGATCACCCTGAGCCTCGGTGTCCCCTCTACCACCAGGGCAGCCCCTTACGTCCTTGAACCATTCCTGCTGGTCAGAAGGATGTCCTGACCTCTGACCAAATCCACATCAGGACACAGTTCCCACTCTAGAGTCCACTGTGCACATGTGTGCCTGTGTGCATGGGGCAAGGTTGACCTGCTCAGACACTGGCAGCTCCTCCCACAGCATAGATGACTCTCAGGTCCTCACGGGCCCCTTCTCCAGCTGAGCAGCCCCAGCTCTGAGACCCACGACCTCCTGGGCCCCTCCTTTGGACCAAGCCCTGTGCTCAGTTCTTGACAGAGTCCTCCCAACAGCTCTGAGAAATAGGAGCTCTTATCACTCTCACTTTACTGATGAGGAAACGGAGGCTCTGAGAGACCAAGGGACTTGTGGAAGGTCGCAGGATGTGCTGGAGCTGGGACACAACCCAGGCCCCTGCTGACTCCACAGCCTGCCGATGCTACTCTGTCTTCTGTCTCTGTCTTCTCCTACTCTACAAGCCTTCCAGAACATTCCTCCTGCACCTGTGCTGCTTTTCCCTCCCTCGAAGAGCAGGCCCAGAGAACGCCAGGCCAGCCCTGAGGACGGCGGGTCTCTCACCTCCTCCTCCCTGGACAGCTCCTTACCTTGCTGTTTCTCAACATGAGCTTTCCCAGCAACTCAACACCCAGTGACTCACGCTGAGCCCCCAGCTCAGCTCCTGCAGGGGCTGTGGACAGGCAGCTCTCCCTCCCTGCTGCTTGTGCAGTTAGTTTTCAAAACCAGATGCAGAACTTCTCAAAGAACCTGTATTAAATTCTATCTGCTTAATCTCGCATTGAGCTCCGCCGGATGCCAACAGCGTTTGGTGTCCCTCCCGGGTTCCATCTTCTGGGGATCGGGTTGGTTTGTTTCTGTAGCTCTTCTTTTAGGTAGGCCAAGTGTCCTGGGCTGGGAACACAGCCTGTGGCACACCCCCAGAGACTGCCCTCTAGGCCAGCATCCGCTCACTGACAGGTCCTCTCTGGGCTCCATGTTCAGCCAGCCTGGCCGGCTGTCCTCTGTCTGTGGCCCTGTCTGTCTTCCCTGTGGCTTGCTGGCCTGTCCCCTTCCCCATCCCTCTCTCTCTCTCCTTGTTATTGTCCCTTTCTCTTTTCTTCTCCCCTCCTCCTTCTCTGTTTCCCCCAACACCTCCCCCGCCCAAGGTGGTCAAGGTCACAGCCACAAAGGCTGCTCCTCACTTGCCTCCAAAGGCTGCTTTGGCTACATCCTGGGCCACAGCAAAGATGGCGCTCAGAGCCTGGCAGGGGCACAGGGGCAGGAAGGAGTGCTGCTGCGTGATCCAAGGGGATCCCAACAGCCTCACCACTTATTGAGCAGCTGCTGTGTGAGAAGTGGGGACCCACTGACTGAGAGGAACCCATCTGCGGTCACACAGACCTGGGCTGGCCTCTCAAATCCCCTTTTTAATTGTGTGACCTGGGGCAAGTCGGCCTCTCTGAGTGTCTGCTTCCTTATCTGTGAATTGGGGTAAATGTCACAGTCTGCTGCGAAGACTGAAGGAGACCATGTATGTAAATACTTTGATGTAATTCTTGGCCAGAAAATAACACTGGAAAGAACACAGGCAATCTTAGCTGACATCATTTGTATTGCAGGGCCCTGTGCTAGAACCTTTTCATTTATTACTTCTTTAAATTTCTTCTTTGCGTGATGTAACTTTCCATACATACTTAATACAATGCAATCTACGTTACACATCTACCTGTCTATCCTTGTACCTATCCATGTCTCTAGAGCGCATCAACACACAACAAACACCAGTGAACTGCAGTCTGAGAATTAGAACATCACCAAGAGGAAACAGAAGTCCCTCAGGTCCCTGCAACAATTTCATCTCCCACACCCTACTGGAGGTAACCACTGTCATGCAATTTACGTTTTGCATTTCTTTTTTTTTTTTTTTTTTGAGATGGGGTCTTGCTGAGACATCCAGGTTGGAGTGCAATGGCACAATCTCGGCTCACTGCAACCACTGCTTCCTGGGTTCAAGTGATTCTCTGGCCTCAGCCTCCCAAGTAGCTGAGATTACAGGCGAGTGTCACCATGCCCAGCTAATTTTTGTATTTTTAGTAGAGAAGGGGTTTCACCGTACTGGCTAGGCTGGTCTCAAACCCCTGACCTCAAGTGATCTGCCCTCCTCGGCCTCCCAAAGTGCTGGGATTACAGGCGTGAACCACCACACCTGGCCTACATTTTGCATGTCTATGCTTTTGAAAGAAAATATAGTCTACTTTTATGACTTTGGGTTGGAAAAAAGGTATTTACCAAAATACATAAAGTGCCAAGCATAAAGGAAATGATTGATAAATTTGATTCAATTTAGGCAGAGTTTCTGTTCATCCGGCATCACTATAAATAAACTAGAAAGATAAGCCACAATGTGGGAGCAGATACTACAACACACAAGCAAGAAATGATTGCATCCTGAATATATTTTTAAAATTTCCTAAAAAGATGAAGAAACCCATAAGAAATCCAACAGAAAATTAGATAATGGGCATGAATAGGCATTTCAAGAAGGCTGAATGGCTAATGATCATTTGAAAATATGTGCAACCTCATTAGTAATCAGAGAAACACAAATTACAGAACACTCAGAATTCCCATTTTACACCTGCTAGTTGGACAAAAATGAATTTCAAGTCTAGGTGGAGAAACAATAGAAACTCTCCCACACCACTGCTTGGAGTGGAAATGATACAGGCTCTTTGAAAACCAATTTGGCACTGTCTTGTAACATCGAACATGCACATACCTTATACTTCAGTGGTTGTACTTCTAGAGTTTACCCCAGAGAATCTCCTGTACATGGGCGTCAGGAGACTTGTATAAGAATGTTCACAGCAGCTTCATTTGTAATAACAAAAACCAAGAAACAACCCAATCAATATCTTTGAGTAAGTGAATGAATCTCTCGAGTCCTTTCCAACTTCCAGATGGAAGTGTCTGAGGCCTCAAACTGGGCTTCACAGCCAGTGACAGGCACTGAGTCAGCTACCCCCATCCCCTGGGCAATCAGTGGGGCTCCCTGCAGATTTGACTACTTCAAACAGACCCCAGGTGGCCCCTCACTGACAAGTTCAAGGCCATCTAAGAATTGGAGCCTCTGGGCTCCTGAGTCAATAGGACCCACGTGACTGGGGTCAGGCATCGGAGGCAACAAAGACACCAGGAGTGGGTAGGGTTATTCCAGGGCTTCTCCACCTGACAGGCCCATCCACCAGGGTCAGAGAGCCCCAGCCCAGAGACTCAGGACTCAGAGGGTCTCCTTTCCAGGCCCCCAATGTGCAGATGGGCACACTGAGGCAAGGAGGCAGCTGGAAGGGAGGGCATAGCTTCCTAAGTTTAGTTCAAAGATCTTCCCAGTACCCCATGCCACCCCTCCATGACCCCCAACCCCTCAGCAGGCCAGATGCCCAGCAGACCAGATGCCCACAGGCAAGATCCATGCATGCACGTACACACACACACACACACACACACACACACACACAAACACAGAACACAACACACACACAGACACACAACACACACACACACGCACTCATGCATCCTTCCAGGCTGAGTTACAGTGACTGATGGGCCTTTCTCATCCCTCTACCTCCCCTTCTCCTCCTCTCTCTTTGGTGGCTGGGATTACTCACTCCTCCCTCTCCCCCATCCAGCTCATATCAGGAAGCCCCATGGAAACAGTAGATGGAGTTCCTTCTCTTTGTGGGACCATGATGACTCCTGCACCCATCCCTCCAAAGAGTTTTGTCTGGCAGCCAGGCCAATAGACCTTCTGCTATGCTTACATGCCCAGCAAAAGAGGCGGAACTCCCTCTGAGCTGGGAGCAGGAAAGAGACTTCTAAGCGGCTCCTGAGCTCTTAGGCCACAGCCAGGATGGGGCCAGGGAGCAGGTCACCATCCCAGGCCAGGTCCTGGAGCAGACTGCAGCTCAGTCTACCCATGGCAAGCTACCCTGGCTCCAGACATCAGATCTCAAGTCCCAACCCCAAACCCTCAAGGCCTCCCCAGCCAAAGTCCCCTAAATTCCTCCTCCTACCCCAAGCTCTGCTGGGCCTAATCCGGGAGACAGCCTTGCCTGAACTCCACAACCCAGACCCCACTCAGGCCAAGAGTACTGAGGACTGGTGGGGTGGGGCACCAGCTCTGATGCCACTGGGGGAAGATCACCCCATAAGCCTGAGGCCTGGTCCCAGGTAGGACAGAGAAGAACCCCACTCCTTCCACCCAGTGGAGTCCCCAGGCCTTCCCAGATGCACTTTCTCAGGCAGTATGCTTCATTTTGAGACATGAGAGGGCCACTGAGCTGCCTCTCACCCCACTGAGGCCCTGGATCATGTTCAACTCTTTCTGGGGCATCATGAGAGGCTCAGGCTTTGGTGTCAGGCAGATGGACCCCAGCAGCTGTGAGACCTGGGTGAGTTGGCTGCCCTCTCCAGGCCTCACTTTCTCCTCTGTAAAATGATTAAGTGTCTTACGCAGTGCCAGGCATGCTGAAAGGGCTCAGCTTACAAACACAGGGCACAGACAGTGACAGAGGAGATACAGCCCTGCTGGGGATGACCATCCTGCTTTCCATCCCAGCCCATTCCCAGGCCCTGCCTCCTCATGGGGTGGAGAGGGAAAAGGAACAAACTGGCTAGTAGGGACCCGAGTCACTCCTGGCTCTGTCAGACTTGCTGCCTGACCTTGGACAAGACAATTCTTGTTTCTGAGCCTCAATTTCTTGATATGAAGTCTGGCTCTATGATGTACTCATTCTATTTGCATGCTGGCTAACGCTCTGTGCCTCAGTTTCTCCACTGGCCAGAGGATACAACCCGTTCTAAACTATCTCATGAGCCCACATCACTTAACCTGAAGTAAGGGTCTATTCAACACTCTGAGCCCACTGGCGAGGCCACATTTGACCGCTTCCCTCATCTGGCTGGTTTCTTATCCTCCCCTGAAAGCTTGAGAATGTTTGGCACAGAAACAGGCCCGGCAGCAGCAGTGGGGAGGGTGTGGTGCGAATATGCCCACGTGGGAGACCACTGAGTCCCAAAGACTCTGGGATGAGTCCTGGGCCTCGTCCTGGATGGAGTGGGACTACAGTCCTTCCCACGGGCAGCCGGATGGAAGCCACGGCCTCTACCAAGACTGTCTGTGGCTTGCGAAAACTGAACAGAGGCAGGAACAAGGTGAGGGTGAGCTGGCGCCACTGGGCCTGGCTGGCACAGCCCCTGTTCCACCGAGTCAACGAGCTCAGATGTACTTTCTGGTCTGGAAAGCATCACTATCCACCACTGCAGAGTTTAATGTCTGGAAATAGACCCAGGGCATGCCTGTCTGCTAGTCAGCAAAAACAGGAGCCCAGAGCTGCCACTCATTAGTCAGGGAGAAGGGCACCGCTCCCCTGTTGACCTTCCAGCTCCTTCCTTTGATGCCATCACTTCCTACCAGCCATGGGAACATTTCCAGGGCAATTATTTTGGGAGAGGTCCACTTAGGCTCTGGGAGAGTGGCTAATGAAGGGTCAGTTACAATCCCTGCTGCCCAGGAAATGTCAGTCCCCCTGGAGGAAAGACACCCACGGTGTTGCTAGCAGTAAGTCAACTGGGGAGTAAGGGTAGCTTTCAGATTTCAGATGACAGGTTCTTGGAGGAGGAGCGAGCATTTTGGATGCCAGACCTGGGTTGGGAAGAAAATCCCCACAGGCTGGAGCCCAAGCTAGACTCACAGGATGGTATTTCAGTGTAAATGTGAATTTAGCATGCAATGCAAGGCTCTGAGCTGAGAAAAACAAATCAAGGCGCAAGTAGGGGAGGGAGCCAGGCCTTGAGAGGGAAGCTCTTAAAGAGCTCATTGTGGACCCAGGCAGGTGTATCCCTCATAGCATCTGTCCGTTTGTTATTCTCCCCACCCCCAGGCCAGCCCTTCCCAGCCAAGGCTTTTCCCATGAGATGGAGAGTCTTCAAATCTAGCTAGCTTAATAACAACAGCAACAACAATAATAATTATGGTAAAAATAGTGATCTGATAAAAAAATTACCCTCACATCTGAAAGTTTACTGAATGCTTACTCTGAACTATGTACTCACATAACCTCTATTTTCATGACTTTCCAGGCTGGTATTATTAAGACCATTTTACACAAGAGGAAACTGAGGCTCAGGAAAATGATATTACACAGAGCTAGTGGGTGGCAGAGATGCGATTTGAGCTTTAGTTTATCTGACTCCAAAGCCAACACTCCTCTGTGCACATCTTTTTCTTCTTTTTAGACCATGTTAATAGAGGTATGGAGTCTAGAAAAAGGGAGATGAGAGTCCTCTTCAACTGGAGGGCTCAGAACCTATGTGCTGTTCTGAGAAATAAATCTAGAGGGTCATCGATAGCCTGAACCTTGTCTAAAAGCCAGGCCTCTGAACTGAGAAGGGCATGAGAATCTGGTCATATGGATTAATTTATTCAACACTTTCATTATCATTCTATTATGTTGTTGGAGGCTCTTCCAGGTCCCGGAGATAGAACGGTGAAGAAGATTGACAATGCCCCTGATGTCATAGAGTTCACATTCAAGTAGAGCAGACAGATAATAAGCAAGTGAGTATATACCAAGAAGTGATGTTTCCTGTGAGGGAAAAGTGTGACGAGAAAGGAACTGGAGATGAAGGGCTGCTCCAGAGAGGGTGGCCAAGGCAGGCTTCTCTGAGAAGGTGGCATTTCAGCAGAGACTTGAATAAAGTGAGAGTCAATTTTTGCCAATAGCTGTCAAGAGAATGTTCCAGTCACATAGAGCAGCAGCTGTGAAGGCCCTGAGGTAGGGAATGAGATAGTGATGATGACGATGGTAATGATGGTGATAATGGTGATAGTGATGATGGTGATGATGATGATGATGATGATAATGATGATGGTGGTGGTGATGATGATAATGATGGTAATGATAATGATGGTGACAATGATAATGGTGATGATGATGATGGTGATGATAATGATGATGATGGTGGTGATGATGATAATGATGGTAATGGTAATGATGGTGACAATGATAATGGTGATGAGATAGTGCTGATGATGATGGTGAGATGATGGTGATAATGATGATAGTAATGGTAATGATGATGGTGATGGTGATGATGATGGTGTTGATGATGATGATGACAATAGTGATGGTAATGATGGTGATGATGATGATAGTGATGACGATGATGGTGATAGTAATGGTTATGATGATGATGGTGATGGTAATGATGATGATGATGGTGATAGCGATGATGATGATAGTGATAATGGTGATGGTGATAATGGTGATGGTGATGATGATGGTGGTGGTGGTGATGATGATGATAATGGTCATGATGATGATGGTGATATGATGATGATGATAGTGATGATGGTGATGGTGATGATGGTGGTGATGATGGTGATGGTGATGATGGTGGTGGTGGTGCAATTGAGGAAGAGAGCAGAGGCCAGTGTTTCTGAAGCAAAGTGAGGTGGGAGGAAGGAAGGGGAAAGGAGAGATGTGAGGGGTTGGCAGAAGGAAGGTCATTAGAGAATTCAGCCATAGTGAACTTTGGATTTTATTTTTTGATGTCAAGGAGAGTCATTGCAGAGTTTTAAGCAAGAGAGTGGCATGGCTTGATTTATATACTAAATAGATCACTTCAGCTTCTGGGTGAGGATCACTTTGGCTTCTGGAGGCAAGAGTGGAAGCAGTAAGACCAGGTAGGGAGGATCACAGAAGTTCTTGTGGACCAGAGTGGGGCCAGAGGAGAGTGTGCAAGGTGGTCACTCACCCAAGGAGTTACTGAAGGAACAGCATGCTTGTCCTGAACAAGAAGAGTTGAAAGTGATCGTGAAAGCCATCTTCAAACATTGGAAGGCTGTCACATGGACCAGAGGTCAGAACCAAGACTAATGAGTGAGACCATAGGAATGCTAATTTCTCTTTGAAAAGTTTTTTTTTTAATGTTCTGGCAATGCTGACTCAAGATGGAGCATGCTTCCTGGTGTAGGCAATGGCCTTCCTACCACTGGAGGTGCACAAGCATAGGTCAGCTCTCAGAGCTATGAGGTGCAGTGAACACAGATTAACACTTGTGATCAGACAGACCTGGATTCAGAACCTCCTTTCTCTGCTTATTATCTGTACTGCCTTCAGCCACTCACTTTTCTGAGCTTTGGTTTCCTCATCCCTAAATTCCTACCCAATTAGATTGTTGTGAAAACATTAAGCATTCAAGTACATAAAGCACCCAGCCCTGTATCTGGCACAAAATAGGTGCTCAATTAATGTCAGTGATGATAATGATGATGGTGATGGTAATGATGGTGATGATGATGATAGTGATGGTGATGATGACGATGGTGGTGGTGATGGTGGTGATAGTGAACTCACCAATCAATTCCCGACTAATCACTCAGGCATGAAGGCTTCAAAGGTATGCACTTAGGGTCCTGGGTGAGAGGTCCAGGAGCCCAATGAAGAATTCTATCCTATCTGAGTCAAAACACCATAACTGTTAAAGAAAAAGTTATTCAATTATACTTGAATTAAAGCACGGTAAGGCAGACTTTATTCAGGACCATTGCAGTGGGATTTTGCAGTGTGGGAGACACTTTGGGCTGAACTCCAAATATCGCATGGGCAAGTGGGAATTTATAACCAAGGATCACTGGATGGAAAACTACTAAGAGAAAACATCAAGGGTAATGGAGATTCTGGAACAACTGACATAACTGGATTCTTGCTGAAGACAGGCCAGAGTGACCAGACACCACCTAGAGGATGGTGGAGGATGGGAAACCTGATCAGATATCAAGGGTAATCAGATATTAAGGGTGGGAAGTTCTTTCTAAACTTGCTGAGTTAGAAGAGTTCTTTGCTGAAACTGGATTCTACGAGGAAGTGGATAGGTGGGTCTCAAAGAAGGTTCAGAAGCCTAACTAAATTTTGGTCAAGTAAATAATTTTTGTCAGCTCCTGTCCTATTAACAGATGAGACACAGCCCAGAAACAGAGAGCAATTTTCTTAAAGTCACAAGCAAAGTTCATGTTTCCTGGTTTCCGGTTTAACTCTCTACTTTGCCACAATGTATCTTTAGCGTCTATGTTCTGGGAAGTAATCAGCATCCACCTTTGTGGCCTCAAATTCCTGATGATAAAACCCCTTCCTTCCACACCAGGCTGATCTTCATTTACAGGCATATAGCCAGATAACCTGGGCCATCTTGGCCCATTAGGTATTATTTTATAAGTGTTATTTCTATTTAGAAACTTCTCTGCTCAGTTCATCTTGCCTCAGCCCCACTGTCCTCTGCTCCAACAGAAGTTACTATTTTCTTATTAATTTCATTGAGATTTCTGTGTATTAACTAGCATTTTGTCTTATCTCTGCCATCCTTGACTGTCCTCCGGTGTACCTTTTAGGAACTGCATTCAGCTGCTAGTAACAGGGATCTGAAAACTAACGGCTTAAATAAATCAAAGACTGTGATTTTTCCTCTCGTTTAAAGAATCATGGACATAGAAAGTCCACATATCCTATGTTAGATCCATAGATTATGTTAATGTCCCAGTTCCTCCTTTGTTTTGCCTTACCATCCACAGTGCCTGAGCTCATCCTAAAGACTGCCTACTGGTCATATGATGGCTGCTGGAGCTCCAGAGATTACTGTCACATTCCAGATGGAAGAAAAAGGAAGGGAAAGGATAAAAAGGCAGGGAGTTCTGCCAGTTTAACACCTCCAGTCACATTCCATTGGCCAACCCTATCTGAAATGGGCAGGGGCTGGTAAATGTAGCTTTGAGGTAGGACACCTGTCCACCCCAACAGCATTGGTATTCTGCTACTAAAGAAGAGAAGACAGGGTTCTGAACGACAGCCTGCAGCCTGGATCCCAGCCAGCATCTAGGAGACTGAAATGAAGACCTAGGGCTCCTGAAATGAGAATTCTGGCCCCAGAGCTGAATCCAGGAAGACTGGATCATAGGGAAAAGGTGTACAGATTCTTTCCTACCTACTTCCACTTAAAAAACAAATTTAAAATAATAGTTTAACCATAGATGTTTATTATGAAAACTTCCAAACATAAAAAAATAAAGAAAACCAGAATCCTTTATAGTCCCCCACCCAGAGATAACCTCTGTTGGTATTTTTGCATGCATCCTTCTGGCTTTTTTCTATGAAAAATTAGAAATGGACTTTACAACCAGTTTTACATGCTGCTTTTATTCCCTTTATTTTTATAAGCATTTCCCCAGGTGAATAATTTTCTGAAGGTTTTGGGTTTAGCAGCTAACAGTTCATCACATGATGTTCCACAATTGACATACAAATCTCCTATTGTTAGGCATTTAGATGTTTCCCATCTAAATTTCACCATCATAAATTATGTTGAGATAAACGACCCTACACATAGATCTTTATCTCCATCTCGAATTCTTCCTTGGGATAGATCTGTGGTCTTCTCAGGTCAACAGATATGGGCATTTTTAAGGCTTTGCCTGTATGTTGCCCAGTGGCTCTCCCGGGTGCCCGGCCTGGCTTCCACCCCTCCGGTGGGGTCTAAGAGCCTCTTCAAACCGGTTTCTGAGGCCTTCCCCTCACTTCTTCACCGTCTTCTGTAACTCAGGCCTCTGCCTCCTTCCCCGGCTCCCTTGGGGAAAAAAAGAAAAGAAAAAAAAAAGTTTATACTCTGAAATATCTAATCATGTATTTATCGCTAAGTACTTTAAAAAGTCAATATAATTACTCTAGTCCCATTAAGTTTAATTTGCAGCAAATTATGCATTTAGCGTGAAGTTGGGGGTGCGTTGCTGGATGAAGCGAGTAGGGTTTGGTTATTTAAAACGGGCGCTGGCGACAGCAGCGCAGGCTGGTTAAGCTGCGGCAGGTCCTTGCAGAGGAGGGGCTCTTCCCAGGAGGGCGCTCCAGCCGAGGCCCCTCTGCCTTCACCTGCGCCATGACCACTTCCCTCGGCCCTCTCCCCTCCTCCACGCCTCCTGGGGCCGCTCTCCAGGGTCCTGGGACGAGACCAGCCCCGGGCAGGGCAGCGCGGGGAGCCAGGGGTCCCACACCCAGGAGGGCCCCTCACCGCAAGGGACGGGCTTAGGCGGATAAATGTCCGGCTCCCCTCGAGGGGCAGAGTCAGCACCCCCCACACGGTCCCTGAGATGGCCCTGGGACCGAGCCGCCGCCCCCGACTTGTGATTCAGCCTCTTCCTGCCTGGCTTTCCCCTCCCCACTGTGCCTCCTGGGATCGCCTCCCAAATCAGCCGCCTGCGCCTTACAGGGACCCCACCCAGACAGCAGGGGTCCTTCCAGGGCCCAGCCGCGGCTGGAGTACAGGGGAGGGCTTGAGAGACCCTGGGAGGGGGCCAGCGGATGGCGATGGACAGAGGTAGGGGAGAGAGGGCAGAGCACCCAGGTGGATGAGCAAGTGAGGGTGCTCTCTTACCCTCATCTATGTATATGTACAAAAATTTTGTGTGCATCCATCTAACCAACATCCTGCTAAGATACACCACATGTCCATTACCCCCAGTATCTCTTATGCTCAATTTCTAGCAATTCTCCCAGCCACAGCCCCTTTCTGTCACCATAGATTAATTTTCCCGTTCCAGAATGTCATATAAATAGAATTCCATGGTAGATATCTAGGATCTCTTGCTCACCATAATGTTTGAGATGTACCTGTTTGTCTTTATAAGTTTATTCTCATTTGTTGCTCACTGTTAGTCCGTTATGTAGATACACCACAATTTATTTATCCATTAACTTGTTGATGGATGATTGAGTTAATACCAGTTTGAAGCTATTGTGAATAAAATTGCTATTAAAATACTCAAATAGTCTATTTATAGACCACAGTTTTTATCACTTTTGGGTACGTAAAAGTAGAATTTTTACATCAGAGTGTGGGTGTATATTTTATACTATAACAAGCTGCCAAGTTGTTTTCAAAAGTGATTTTATTATTTTACATTAGCTACAGAAATAGGATTTTCGTTTGCTCCATATACCTCACCAATACTTGGTATTATCCATCTTTTTAATTTTACCCATGATGCAGATACCTGACTAATAATGTTGAGCAGTTTTTCACGTGTTTTGTATCTCTTCTAATGTGCAGTGTATGTTGAAATATTTTGCCCAGTTTTATTGAGTTTTTCTTTTCATGATTAACTTGTAGGGATTCTTTACATATTCTGGGTACAAGTCCTTTGTCAGATATATGTGTTATGGCTATTTTTCCAAATTTGTGGTTTACATTTTCTTTTTAAAAAAATTTTCAAGTGTATAATACATTATACACTTGATATAATAGGCGCTAGGTTCTTTAATGATATCATTTGAAAAGCAGAAAACTTTTATGTTGATAAGTCCAAATTAGTATTGTTTATGGTTTTTTCTTTCATGGTAATCATGGTTACTGCTTTTATGTGAGTGTCTTAAGAAATCTTGATCTACTTCCAAATTATGAAGATATATATTCAATATTTTTCTCTTATCTTTAGTTTTTATGTTTAGGTCTATGTTTTATGTCAAATTCATTTCTATGTAAGGTGTGAGGTAAGGGTCTAAATGTAAAATTTTTCCATGTGGATATTCAGCTGTTACAGCACCATTTATTGAAAAGACAGTCCTTTCCCCCACTGAAATATCTTAGTCTTAGACAATATATATGTGTGGGTCTACTTGGTGCCTCTCTACTCTGTTCCATTAATCCACTTGTCTCTTCTTACTTTGCCTTGATTATCATACCTGCATAGTCTTGAAGTCAGGTATTATATGTCCTCCAAGTTTATTTATTTATTTATTTTTGAAATGGAGTTTCACTCTCGTTGCCTAGACTGGAGTTCAGTGGCGTGATCTTGGCTCACGGCAACCTCTGCCTCCTGGGTTCAAGAGATTCTCCTTCCTCAGCCTCCCAAGTAGCTGGGATTACAGGTGTCCACCACCATGTCGGGCTAATTTTTTGTATTTTTAATAGAGACAGGGTTTCATCATGTTGGCCAGGCTGGTCTCGAACTCCCGACCTCAGGTGATCCACCCACTTCGGCCTCCCAAAATGTTGGAATTACAGGCATGCAGGCATGAGCCACCATGCCCAGCCTGTCCTCCAAGTTATTAATGAATGTTTTGGCTAGTGTAGTTTTATTGCATTTATGTGTAATTTTAGAACTAGCTTGGTGATTTATACCAAAAAAAAAAAAAAAATCCTGCTTGGGGTTTTGTGTGCATGTGTGTCAAATTTATTGGTCACTTGGGGTAGGATTGACATGTTAATAATATTGAATCTTTTAATCCACGAATGCAATATGTTTATTTATTTAAATATTCCTTAATCTTCCTGTGAAGTATTTGTGGTACTCAGAATACAGGTCAGACACCTTTGAAAAATGCTTAAATGTCTTGTTTTTGATGCTATTGAAAAATGGTATCTTTTAAATATTTTCAAATAAGTGTTTGTTGGGCTGGGTGTGGTGGCTCACGCCTGTAATCCCAGCACATTGGGACGCCTAGTCGGATGGATCACTTGAGGTCAGGAGTTTGAGACCAGCCTGGCCAACATGGTGAAACCCCATCTCTACTAAAAATACAAAAATAAGCCAGATGTGGTGGCACTCACCTGTAATCCTAGCTACTGAGGAGGCTGAGGCAGGAGAATCACTTGAACCTGGGAGGCGGAAGTTGCAGTGAGCTGAGATCCTGCCACCACTGCACTCCAGCCTGGGCAACAGAGCGAGACTCCATCTCAAAAAAAAAAAAAGTGTAGAGCAGGCGTCAGCAAACTTTTTCTATAAAGAGTCAGAGAGTAAATATTTTAAGCTTTGCAGACCATAACGCCCTCTGTCACAACTACTTAATTCTGCCATTGTAGCATGGAAGTGGCCACAGACAGTATGTAAACAAATGAGCTTTGGCTGTGTTCCAATAAAGGTTTATTTACAAACTGAGGAGAGCAAAGATGGCCATCAAGCAGACCACCCGGAGGCAAAAATCCTTATGGGAGAAATTCAGAAGTAATTAGACTTCCTTATTATCTAATGCAGCATCTGGTACCAGGCTTCCTTCTCCAAGATATATAAGTAATTAGAATTTCCATATACCTCTGGAATGCATGCCTTTTGATACCCATTGTGCAACCTTTGCTAATGTCAAGGCACCAAAATGTCTGCAAATGTAATCATTTACCATGACCTCCATGACTAATATGGTCTAAATTACCCTTAAGCTCCTGCTTTAAGGTTCATAAATACCCCTAAGGAAAAATCCACCTGGCGTGCTCAGTCCTCTCTTGCTGAGGTGCCCCACTACACTTTTCTGCACTGTTTTTTCTATCTCATAAAACTTCCCTTTCCAACCTATACTATTGTCAGTAAATTATTTTACAACCCATGAGCCAACCACTCTCCACTGCTGGGGCTCTGACACCTCACCTGGCACAAACACTGAAATTTGACTTCTCTACAATTTTACATGTCACAAAATATTATTGTTTCTTGAATTATTTTCAACTATTTAACAGTTTTTAAAAAGCATTCTTAGCTTACAGGCCATACAAAAACAGATGATGGGCCAGATATGGCTCACAGGTCATAGCTCACCAACCTCTGGCATAGAGAAATCAATTGATTTTTCCATCGTCTGGGATGTGAGGAGCGCCTCTGCCCAGCCGCCCCGTCTGGGAAGTGAGGAGCGCCTCTGCCTGGCCACTGTGCAATCTTCCAAGTGTGAAGTGACAGCCTTTCTGCAGGTGTACCCAACAGCTCCGAAAAGACAGTGACCATCGAGAATGGGCCATGATGACGATGGCGGTTTTGTCGAAAAGAAAAGGGGGAAATGTGGGGAAAAGAAAGAGAGATCAGATTGTTACTGTGTCTGTGTAGAAAGAATTAGACATAGGAGACTCCATTTTGTCCTGTACTAAGAAAAATTCTTCTGCCTTGGGATGCTGTTAATCTATAACCTTACCCCCAACCCCGTGCTCTCTGAAACATGTGCTGTGTCCACTCAGGGTTAAATGGATTAAGGGCGGTGCAAGATGTGCTTTGTTAAACAGATGCTTGAAGGCAGCATGCTCGTTAAGAGTCATCACCACTCCCTAATCTCAAGTACCCAGGGACACAAACACTGCGGAAGCCGCAGGGACCTCTGCCTAGGAAAACCAGAGACCTTTGTTCATGTGTTTATCTGCTGACCTTCTCTCCACTATTATCCTACGACCCTGCCACATCCCCCTCTCCGAGAAACACCCAAGAATGATCAATAAATACTAAAAAAAAAAAAAAAAAAGAGAGACAAATCAATTGATTTTTACTCTATGGCTCACACAGACAACATGTTAAATTTGCTTTTGGTTTCATCCTGAAATTGGTTAATTCTGATAGCTCTTTTTTTGTAGCTTCATTAAGATTTGCTATAAAACTCTTGTGTCATCTATGAACAACTAAAGTTTTAATTCATCTTTTCCAAACTTCAAGCTTTTCTTTCTTTTTCTTGCGTTATTGAACTAATTAGAGCCTTTAGCACAACGTTGAATAGAAGTGATGATAATATTCATCTTGACCCATTTCCAGCAAAGGGAATGCATTCAGCCTTTCACCGCTATACCTAATGTTAGCTATAGGTTTCGCATAGGGGCCCTTTTTAAGAGTAAGGAAATTCCTTTTTATTTCTAGTTTGCTCAGAGTTTTTGTCATGAACGGCTGTTGAATTTTGTAGGTGCTTTCTTGGCATCTATTGAGATGATCATGTGGCTTTTATCCTTTGTCATACTAATGTGGCAAATTATGTATGATTGATTTTCTTTTTTTTTTTTTTCTTTTTTTAACTTTCATTTTAGGTTCGGGGTACATGTGAAGGTTTTTTATATAGGTAAACTCATGTCATAGGGGTTTGTTGCCTAGATTATTTCATCACCCAGCTAATAAGCCCAGGCCCCGTTAGTTATCTTTTCTGCTCCTCTCCCTCTTCTCACCTTTTACCCTCAAATAGAACCCAGTGTCTGTTGTTTCCTTCTCTGTGTCATAAGTTCTCATCATTTAGCTCCCACTTATAAGGGAAAACGTGCAGTATTTGGTTTTCTGTTCCTGCAGTAGTTTGCTAAGGAGAACAGCCTCCAGCTCCATTCATGTTCTCACAAAATACATGATCTCATTCTTTGTTATGGCTGCATAGTATTCTGTGATGTATATGTACCACATTTTCTTTATCCAGTCTGTCATCAATAGGCATTTAGGTTCTTTCTATGTCTTTGCTATTGTGAATAGTGCCACAGTGAATATTCGAGTGCATGTGTCTTTATGGTAGAGTGACTTATATTCCTCTGGGTATATACCCAGTTATGGGATTGCTGGGTCAAATGGTATTTCCGCTTTTAGCTCTTTGAGGAATCACCATACTGCTTCCCACAATGGTTGAACTAATTTACACTCCCACCAACAGAGTATAACTGTTCCCTTTTTTTCCACAACCTCTCCAGCATCTGTTATTTTTTGACTTTTTAATAATAGACATTCTGACTGACGTGAGATGGTGTCTCATTGTGGTTTTGATTTGCATTTCTCTAATGATCAGTGATATTGAGCTTTTTTGCATATGCTTTTTGGCTACATGTATGTCTTCTTTTGAAAAGTTCCTGTTTGTGTCCTTTGCCCACTTTTTAGTTGGGTTGTTTGTTTTTCTCTTGTAGATTTATTTAAGTTCCTTACAGAAACTGGTTATTAGACCTTTGTCACATACATAGTTTGCGAGTATTTTTCTCCCATTCTGAGGTTGTCTGTTTACCCTGTTGATAGTTTTTTTGTGTTTTGTTGCTGTGCAGAAGCTCTTAAGTTTAATTAGATCCCGTGTTTCAATTTTTGCTTTTATTGCAATTGTTTTGATGTCTTTGTCATGAAATCTTTGCCCACTTTTACGTCCAGGATGGTATTGCCTAGGTTGTCTTCCAGGGTTTTTATAATTTGGGGTTTTGAGTTGATTTTTGTATATAGTGTAAGGAAGGGGTCCAGCTTAATCTTCTGCATATGGCTAGCCAGTTATCCTAGCACCATTTATTGAATAGGGAACCTTTTCCCCATTGCTTGTTTTTATCAGCTTTGTGGAAGATCAGATGGTCATGGGTGTGTGGCCTTACTTCTGGGCCCCTATTCTGTTCCGTTGGTCTATGTGCCTGTTTTTGTACCAGCACCATGCTGTTTTGATTACTGTAGCCTTGTAGTATGGTTTGAAGTTGGATAATGTGATGCCTCCAGCTTTGTTCTTTTTGCTTAGGATTGCCTGGGCTAGTCAGGCTCTTTTTTGGTTCCATATGAATTTTAAAATAGTTTTTTTTTCTATTTCTGTGAAGAACGACATTGGTAGTTTCATAGGAACAGCATTGAATCTGTAAATTCCTTTGGGCAGTATGGCCTTTTTAATGATATTGATTCTTCCTATCCATGAGCATGAAATGTTTTTCCATTTGTTTGTGTTTTCTCTGATTTCTTTGAGCAGTGTTTGTAAATCTGATTGTACAGATCCTTCACCTCCTGGTTAGCTGTATTCCTAGGTATTTTATTCTTTTTGTGGCAATTATGAATGGGATTGCCTTTCTGATTTGGCTCTTGGCTTGGCTGTTGTTGGTGTATAGGAATGTTAGTGATTTTTGTACACTGATTTTTTTATCCTGAAACTTTGTTGAAGTTGTTTATCAGCTGAAGGAGCTTTTTGATCAAGACTATGGAATTTTCTAGATACAGAATCATGTTGTCTGCAAACAGAGATAGTTTGACTTCCCTTTTCCTATTTAAGTGGACTTTATTTCATTCTCTTGCCTGATTGCTCTAGCTAGGACTTTCAATACTATGTTGAATAGGAGTGGTGAGAGAGAGCATCCTTGTCTTGTGCTGGTTTTTAAGGGGAATGATTCCAGCTTTTGCCCCTTCAATATAATGTTGGTTGTGGGTCTGTTGATTGATTTTCAAATGTTAATAACCTTGAATTCCTGATCATTTTTGCTTGGTTATGATGTATTTCTAGATTGTATGTTTTAATAATTTTTAGTGGTTTTTGCATCCATGTTCTTGAGTTAATTTTCTTTTTTCTAATGTGCTTGTCAGTGTTTGATGTCAGAGTTATGCTGGCCTCAAAATAAATTTTGAAATGCCCCCACCTTTATTATCAGAAAGAATTTGTGGAAAATTTGTATTATTTATTTCACAAATGTTGGGCAGAATTTGCCATCTGGCCCCAGAGCTTCCTTTGCAGAAAAGGTTTTTAATTACAAATTCAATTTAAATATTAGATATAGGGTTACTCAGCACTTCTATTTCCTCTTCTGTTAGTTTTGGCACATATTTTAAGAAATTTCTTGAGTTTGCCTGAGTTATTGAATTTGTTGGCAAAAAGTTGTTCATAACATTCCTTTATTATCATTTTAATGTAAATACAAATTCTTGGTATTGGTGATTCATGCTTTCTTTCATTTTTTTATGTTGTCTTAGTCAGCTCAGGCTGCCATAAAATACCACAGACTGGGTAACTTAAACAGCAGAAATGTATTTCTTCTAATTCTGGAGACTACGATGTATAAGATTAAAGTGCCAGTTAATTTGTTTTCTTGCAAGGGCTCTGTTTCTGGTTTGAAGATGGCTGCCTTCTAGCTGCATCCTCACATGATAGAGAAATACAGGGAAGGGGTTAAGGGAAAGGAAAGAGCACATGCAAGTTCTCCAGTGTCACTCCCAATAAAGATACTAATCCTATCAAATCAGGGATTCACCTGTATTGACCTCATTTATAGGTCCTATGTCCAAATATATTCACACCAGGGGATGGGACTTCAACATATGAATTTGAAGTTGGGGGACACAATTTCATCTATAGCATGTCCACTTAATAAATTGACCATTTGATATGTTCCTCTTTGTCTCTTTTATGCTCTTTGCCTTGAAGTCTACTTTCTCTGGTATTATTATAGCCATACCAGCTTTCTTATGCTTATTATATATATTTTCATCTTTTTTGTTCTCAGTCTGTCTGTGTCTTTATGTTTGAAGTGTATGTTTTGTAAACATAACATATTTGGGTCTTTTAAACTAAGATTTCTGACTTATTTCAAGTATTGTATCTATGTTCTCTTTATTATCTTTGTTTTCTACTTGCCCATTTGTTCTTTGTTTCTTCTTTCCTGTCCTCTTTTTGGATAAACTGAGTATGTTTTAGGATTCCAATATAGCTCTTTTACTCATTTTTTACTTATCTTTCTTTGTGTTATTTGTTCTAATGCTTACATGTTGTTTTCCCATTGAGCTCATTGAGGTCTTGCTTACACTTGCCAGTTCAGTGGTCAATATGAATCCTTAACTTGTCTCAGTTTAACTTAAATTAATATTATACCAGTTTATTTGTAAAAAGGTCTTATAGCAATGCAATTTTATTTACATTCACTCTCACTTGTATTATTGTCATATATTTTATTTCTGCCTATGTTGTAATCTCGATAATACATTGCTATTGTTTATTCTCTAAGTCATTAACTTTTATAGAACTGAAAAAATGTATTTTTTATATTTACCATTTCCAATGTTTATCCTTATATTCTGTAGATCTGAAATTTCATCCTATACTGTTTGTCTTTAAACTGAATAATTTCCTTTAGGATATTTTGTAGTGTGCATCTACTGACCAATTTTCTCACCTTTCATTTCTCTGAAAATGTTTTTAATTCACCTTACTTTAAAATAATTTTTTTGCTGGATCAAAAAGATACTAGATTAAAAGTTGTTTATCTTGAGGCCTCCATTTCTCTCATATAAAATCACCTTTCATTACTATCCTTGTTCCTCTGTATTAACATGTTTCATGTCCTCCCCTCTGCCCCTGATTTTTCTTAATCTTTAGATTGCAGCAGTTTACTATGATGTGTCCAGATGTGATTTTCTTTAGATCCGATTTTCTTTAGAATTATCCTACTTGGAAGTCACTGAGCTTCCTGAATCTATGTATTTCTGTCTTTTATCAACTTTTGATGTTATTTCTCTAATATTTCCTCAAATGTTTGCTCTTCTCTTTCATTCTTTCTCTCCTCTCACAAGTCACTGAGGCTCTGTTTGTTGGGTTTCTTTTCTTCTGTGAGCTTTAATCTGAAGGATATCTAATGACCTGTATTCAGGCTCACTGATGATTTCTTGTGCTTTTTCCAACCTATTGCTAGTCCCATTTATAAATTTGTTTTTACATTTTTATTAAGAGGGCTTATTTTTTATAACAGATTTAGATATACAGAAAAATTAAACAGATAATACAGAGTTTGCCTATTATCTGCCATGCACACACAGTTTTCCCCACATTAATATCTTACATTAATGTAGTAGATTTGTTACAATTCATGAACTAATACTGATACACAGCAATTAACCAAAGTCCATAGTTTACTCAGATTTCTTTAGTTTTTACATAATGTTCTTTTTCTTTCCAGGATCCCAGCCAGAATACCACATGCATTTAGCTGTTCTGTCTCCTTAGGCTCCTCTTGACTGTAACAGTTTCTTTGATCACCTTGACAGTTTTGAGGACTGCTTGTCAAGTACATAGTTGGATGGCCCTCTTGGAGTTTTTCTGATGTTTTTCTCATCAGTTAGACTGGAGGCTAGGTTTGAAGGAAGAAGATCACGGATGTAAAGTTCCACTCACATCATATCAAGGCTACAGACTATCAACATGATTGATGATTATTGATGCTGACCTTAGTCTCCTGGCTGAAGTCATGTTTCTCAGGTTTCTCCACTGTAAAGTTACTCTTTTGCTCCTCTTTTCCATACTGTAGTCTCTGGAAGGAAGTCATTATGAGTAGTCCACATTTAAGGAGTGGGGAGTTATGCTCCATCGTTGAGGGGAAGAGTATCTACATAAATTATTGGGAATTCTTCTTTACAATAAATTTGCCTCTTCTCCACAATTTAGTAATTTATTCAATCATTTATATCAGCATGGACTTATGGATATTTATTTTATTTTGGTGGTTATAATCCAATATGATTATTTATTTTGTTGCTCAATTTGTTCAAGTTTTGGCCATCTTTTGCTGTAGATTAGCATATTTATTATAGTTATTTCAAAGTCATTGTCTGCTAATTTCAACATCTTTGTCATCTGTGGCTCTTTTTCACTGGCTGATTTTTTTCTTGACTATAGGTCACATTTTCCTGTTTCTTCACCTGTCTAGCCATTTTTTATTGTATGCTGGACTTTTTTTTTTAATTTTGAGATGGAGTTTCACTCTTGTTGCCCAGGCTGGAGTACAATGGCACGATCTCGGCTCACCACAACCTCCACCTCCCAGGTTCAAGTGATTCTCCTATCTCAACCTCCCAAGTAGCTGGGATTACAGGCACCTGCCACAACGCCTGGCTAATTTTTTGTATTTTTAGTAGAGAGGGGGTTTCAATGTGTTGACCAGGTGGGTCTCGAACTCCTGACCTCAGGTGATCCACCTGCCTTGGCCTTCCAAAGTGCTGGGATTACAGGCGTGAGCCACCATGCCCAGCCCAACATTTTGATGATACTCTCTAGAGACTTGGTTTTATTATCTCCCTGAAGAGTAATAACAATTTTTTTGGCCAGTGGTTAAATTATTATTAGATAACCTTTAACTTTTGGATTCCTGACTTTATGCTTTGTTTGGTGGAAAGCTCTATTTCAGGTTTATTCCTGATCTAAAAATGAATAATTCTATTATAAGATGTAGTCTTTACTTCTAATGTGTTGCCATTCTGGGGATTTATTGCCATGCCCTCACACTTTGTAGAATTCTGAATCCACATTCTGTCTCCCTGGATTGGGTGGATTCTGAAATCTTTGCTCAGCAATTCCATCTTTCCAGCTGTTGCTCTCCCTTTGGGTTCTTTAAAGTCTTGCCTGCACATGTCAGTTCAAGAGGTATCCAAATATCTGAAGGGAGTTTATATACAGAATTTGGAGATGTCTCTCTGTGGCCCTCCTTTCTGGAATTGTCCTTAATCTCCAGCCATTTAGCAGTCCCATACTCTGTCCTCTGACTCTTCAAACCACTCAGAATGCAGCTTTCTTTATGAACAGTAGAGGGACTCACCCTCAGAGGAAAAAATAACTAAGGTAGTTCTCACCCAGTGTGGTTCTCTTCTTTCCAAGGCCATAGCCCCTAAATTTCTGCTGAGTTTGGGTTGCTCTCCACTTTCTTCAAAAAAATAGTCTTATAAGTGTTTTAAAAATATTTTGTCTAGAGTTTATAATTAGTCCAATATAAACTACTCTGCCAATATCAACATTCATAAGCTATTTATTTATTTTTATTTATTCACTTTAGAAACAAAGTCTTATTTTGTCATCCAGGCTAGAGTGCAGTGGTGCAATCTGGGCTCCAGTGATCTTTTGCCTCATCCTCCTAAGTAGCTAGGATAACAGCCACACACCACAATGTCTGACTTTTCTTTTTCTTTCCTTCTTTTTTACTATTTTATTTTATTTTTTATTTATTTATTTTTTCTTGGTAGAGGTGAGGTTTCCCTGTGTTTCCCAGGGTGGTCTCAAACTCCTGGCCTCAAGTGATCCCTCTCACCTCAGCCTCTCAAACTGCTGGGATTACAGGTATGAGCCACTGCACTTAACCTGCTTAATATGTAGTTTTGACAGCCAACTTAAATCTATCTGAATTAAGACAAGGTAAAAGTCAAATCAATGTGGTGGCATCAGCCAGGAGGTTGCCTGAAGAGTTGCTGTCCTTCTCTGAGCTTCCATTTACTGTAGAAGGGCTAATAATTCTCCCTGTATTGGCTAGTGATGAAAGCTAAGGAACCTGGCATGCAGTAGGTGCTCTCTGAATGAGGCACCGTTGGGACTCCCTTCCCTTTCCACTCAGTAGAGCCACCCAGCTGTCATGGCCTGCACATCAACTCCTGCAGCAAAAATGCAGCACTTCCCTCATCTCTCTCCTGTCTGTCTCTTCTAGCAGTGTCTGGCTCTTAAGAGCTTCTGGCCTATTCCATCCCAAGGGCCACTTGTAGGTGCATTTACAAAACTGTGAGTTCTACAAGGGTAGGGGTCTTGTCTTTCTCAGCTCTATATGTCCAGCTCCTTGAAAAAGAAAATAAATATAATAAGCATTCATCCATTCATTCATTTATCTAATACTATTGAGCACCTATTATATTCTGGTCACTGTCCTAAGTGCTGGGATTCAGCACTGAACAAGAGGGACAATATCACTGCTCTTCTTGACATATTTGGTGGAGGAGCTGGGCAATATACTAATAGGTCAAATACATAGTATGCCAAGATGGTAATAAGAGCAATTTAGGATATAAACACAGGAGAGGGGAAGACAGAAGGCAAAAATGAGGAGAGCGTAGTATTAAATAATGGAGCCAGGAAAGGTGACATTGTGATCAAAGACTGAAACAAGGTGAATGAATGAATGAATCATGCAGATATTTGGGGGACGAATATTCTAGTCAGAGAGAACAGTCCATGCCAAGGCCCTGTGGTGGGGGTATGCCTGGCCTACGTGAGGAACAGTGAGAAGGACAGTGGGGTGGAACTTTGCGACTCATTTTAAAACCCTCTCTCTCTTTCTCCTGCCTCACACTTAGAGACTGGTGAGAAGAAGAGGAATCAGCAGACAGAAGCAGAGGCCAGTAAGGTTGGAGGAAAACAGAAAGGGCAGGTTGCTCCGGAAGGCAAGGAGGAAAGAGTGATCACATGTGTGCCAGATGAGGATTGAGACTTCTCTGTTGGATTTAGCAACAAGGAGGTCATTGGTGACCACAGCAAGGGCCATTTTGGTGAGCAGATGGGGACACCAACCTAATAGGGTGAATTCAAGAGAGAAGAAGGAAGACAGCAGTTGAATGAGCAAGCTTAGGCAACATTTTGAGGGGTTTTGCTTAGGAGAGGAGCAGAGAAATGCGGCAGGACTTGGAAGGGAATAAGGAGTCAAGAGGTTTAATTCTTTTTTTTTTTAATTTTTTTAGACAGAGTCTTGCTCTGTTGCCCAGGCTAGAGTGCAGTGGTGTGATCTCTGCTTACTGCAACCTCCACCTCCCAGTTCAAGTGATTCTCCTGCCTCAGCCTCCCAAGTAGCTGAGACTACAGGCGTGTGCCACCGCGCCCAGCTAATTTTTGTGGTTTTAGTCAAGACAGGGTTTCACGATATTGGCCAGGCTGGTCTTGAACTCCTGACCTCAAATGATCCACCCAACTCAGCCTCCCAAAGTGTTGGGATTACAGGCATGAGCCACTGCGCCCGGCCGCTTCTCTTTTAAATGGGAAAAATATTTGCATGCTGTTTGTCTGCTAATGGGAGGGATTGAATAAAAGGGAAAAATTTGAGGATACAGGAGAGAGAGAAGCGATATTCTTAAGTAGGCCATGTGTCTTTGCCTATTCTGGTCCCAGCACATTAATTTTTGATTAGGGAGTGACCCTTCTCCACCCCCTTCAGTTCAAATGGCCCAAGTGAGGCTGCCTGAGTCCCTGGCTTCAGGAGTGGGCATTTGACCAGGCCTGATCAATAAGAGCACTGCAGTCCCAGGCCAATGGCCCAAGCTGCCCCACTCTGAGCTAAAGAGCAACAGCCCTAGGAGTTTTGCTGGAGCACCTAGGAATGGGAGACTCTCTTTCCACTGGGTGGCTGAACTGACAGGGTGTGGACTCAGCTGTGCCTGCACCCAGAGCCTGCCCCAGCATAGAGCCTGCACCAGCATAAAGCCTGCCATGGAGCAGGCTAATGCCTGTGTAATACAACTGGATTCCTGGAGCCTGGCTGCCCTCCTCCCAGGCTGGTCTTTCTTTGCTCCATCACTCTGTTTTAGCTCCTCTGTAGTCATCATCACTACTTGCCTTATTACTTAATTTGTTTATTCATTTATTGTCTCCCTCATAGGAACCTTTGTCTACCTTTTCCATTGCTGTATCCCCAGGATCTCTTTCTAGCACAGAGTAGGGCTTCAAATAAATATTAGTTGACCGAATAAGTGAATATGTAAGAATGTGCTACAGCTGTATATTCATCTTGAACCATATCTCACTTATCCAGGCATCTGGCAGCTTCAGCTATCTAGAATGGAACACAAATACCCAAAAAGCCCTAGAATTACCAAAATGCAAGTCACATGGACCATGTCTACAAGCACAAGTTTTTTGTTTTTGTAAACAGAGGTGCTCCCTCACTCAGAGATGAGAGGCTTCTACTGCAGGCGTGGTTCTCATATGCCCGGTGAGTTGGTTGTCCAACCACAACAGGTTAGTGGCAGGGCGCTAGGAGGAGTGGGTCCTGCTGGAAGGTACTACATGAATACCAGCGAGAAGAGACATCTGGGGCCCAGAAGACCAGAAAACACCAGAAGGCAGGTGAGAGAACTCCAGGAGAAGGCGGGCTACAGGCTGGGCTCCAGTCCTCTGGGGATCCTCCGGGGCTAGAGGACATAGGGGTGACAGTGAGACTCAGAGGGCACAGAGCAAAGCTTAAATTATGCTCCACAGTGCCCTTTCCAGAAACGGGAATGCAAGGTACATTTTATCATCCATTTTTAAAGAGATTGATTCAATGCAGAAGAAGAAGCAGAAGAAATAAAAATCGCCTGTCATCTTAGAGATGCCTCCATGATGAGCATGTGATACGGCAGGTATTGGTTCTGCTCGTCCATTCCAGTGTCATTAAATGTGCTTCACAAACATGACTCTTATTGGCTGCATAATATTCCATCACACGGACATCAAATATTCCCCTACTGGACAATTTGCTTCCAAATATTTGCTGTTAACCGTAACACAGTAGTGAGATTCTTGTACGTAATCATGGAGGCTCAGACCTCTCTCTTGATAGTAGAATTGCTAGGTCAAAAGTATGGGCATTCTAGGATGTTTTACACATGCAGTGAAATTTATCCACTCTCAAGCTGGGTATCAGTGCCTCTTAGATGCTAAATTAATTAGATCTTGGTGGATAAAGAAATAAAGCTCAATGCAGAAAAACCCCTGTGTAACACCTCTCATCCCTGGATAGTAACTGACTGGTGTCTCCTGGGTGCACAATCATGTGTGTTCATGTGTGTGTGCGTGTGTGTATGCACGTGTGTGTGTGTTCGTGCACCCATATTTCACTGGTACTATCCAACTACTCTGTGAGCTGTTTGTGGTAGGTATTGTCACCCCATTGTACAGATGAAGAAGCTGGGGCTCAGAGGGCATGAATATTACAGTAAAAGGAGCATAAGCAGACATACCTGGGTTTGAATCCCAACTCTGCTCCTCTTGAGCCTCATCCTCTTACACAGGAGGTTAGGATAGAGACACCTGCCTCCCAGGAGGGGGTGAAATGAGAGAGCAGATCGAAAGTGTCTGGTACAAACTGGACACAGAAGGTGTTCAAGCAATGATATTTGTGGTCATTGCCAAGCTCACAGAGGCTGAATTGAACCCATGTCTCCTAACCACAAGCTAAGTGCATATTCTTGGCACCGCCTGCCTTTGAACCAAATGCAAAAACTGAGACAGGACTTGGAACAGTCTCTACATCGGGTTATCATTGCTGCATCCCCAGAGCCCTTCTATCAATCCAAAGGGACAAGGGACCAACATCTGAGTCAACTTTAAAAATAATATAGCCCACAGAAGTGAATGGCTGTCAGCCTGTGGCCCACTGGGACTGGGAGATCTTTCTCATGTTGAGCTGAATCCCAGCCTGCATCAGTGTTCTCCCAGCTTGGTATCCGGGCATCCATGCTCACCTCCCAAATCTTGGACCATGGGGACAGGGAAAACTTGCTGATGACAAGGATGAGAAGACCCCTCCTCCACCCAGGTCTTTGGGAAAGTTAATCCAGCTTCTAGGCCAGGCCATTCTGGGTAATGGATGCCTCTTTTTAATGCTCTCTGGGAGGTGGGTCCCGCCTTCATCTGCTACAGTGTCATTAAGACAGAAAACATTAGCTCCATGGGGCTCCCGATGGCCTTCAGAAACTGCAAGTTAAACACTAACCAGAAGGGCTTCTCAAGCCTTAACCCTCTCCTTCCCAGCACAGGCCAAGGCCTCAGCCAGACGGCTCTGCAGATCACTGGCCTGGGCTCCCAGGGACCCTGGCTTTTCACAGCCTTGGGAGCAAGTGAATGTGAGGAAAGAGGGAAGATAGAGGGCAGAGAAGAATCCTTGAGGCTCTTGATCCAGGTGTTTGGAGGTGCCCCCACCACCTACCCCAGAGCTGGTTAGAGAGCAGAGCACTTAGAGGCTGGGTTGGGGCTGGTGACTTTGGGCCACTCCCTTGACCTCTCTGTTTGCTGGATTCCTACAGGGTGGGGGCTGGATGGGCTCCATTCCTCCAGGTAGAGCCTGGTGGTCTTCTCCAAGAGGGGTGGCGTGTCCTCAACCCCCCAGGTCCCTGCACCAAAGCCTGTTCCCTGCTCAGACCACACGTGACCTGGTGGGGAGGCCACCTGTAGGGCAGAGGGGGAGCAGCTGACCTGGATGAGTTGGCAGAGGTGGGGAGCCCCTGGTATCAAGCGTCTCTGGATGCCCAGCACTGTGCTGGGGCTCCACACATACAAAATGCCTGTGCCAGCCTCACAACCACCCTGTGGGGAAGGGGTGATGTTCCCCCCACTTCATAGCTGACAGCACGGAGGCTCCGCATACAGAGGGACCTGTCCAGGTCGAACTGAGATCTGTCTGATTCCAAACCCAAACTCTTTCCCATCAGCCATTGGCAGAGAGCACAAGAGAGGACGTGGCCTCACCTTGGCCCCTCTCCTCTTTGCACAGGCTGTCTCTCCTCCTCACCTGTTTTCCCCTCCTCTATTCAATTCCTGCCCAGCCCAAGGCAAGCCTCCTCCAGGAATTCCTCCTTGATGTCTGACAGCCAAACCCCAAGCGTGTTACCCAGCGAGACTGCTGGTTGTTCAATTTGCCAACACAGCTTTAGAGTTTGCTGCAGTGAGTGCAGACGCAAACATGAGCTCATTTCATTCTCTCACCAGGCTCACGAGTATTTGCTGGGCACTGACTTGGAGCCAGGTGCTGCAGGGCTGCAGAGGGTACAGGAACAAACATGCACTGAGCGCCTGCAGATGCCCCTCCCGTGCTCAGGGGAGCCCACATGTCACCCTAGGCAGGATCCTTGCCCCATTTGACAGATGAAGAAACTGAGGCCCAGAGAAGAGGAGGAAGCTGCTCAGGGTCACTCAGTGAGCCAATGGCTGGGATTCAACACTAGGCCAGTCCCCAGATCCACACCCACCGCCCCCCGACACTCCCTGCCCCAGAACCTTTTAAGCTCCCACTGCTGGGGCAGGACTGGCCCTTTGCCCTGGAGCCTCTGGTCATGCAGGTGGGCTCTGTAGCCACAGCCACGCAGGGAGGGGAGGGACAACGTGCAGCCGGCAGGATCCTATGTCACCCCTCGGTGACATGCCCACCTGCTCAGCCCATCCTCCAGCCTGTTCCTCCACCTGGGGGCTCAAAGCCCCTGACCAGCCCCCTGACCACTCACTTCCCCAAACTGTCCAGCTCTGGCTGGAGAAGCAACAGAACATAAATTAATGCATCTTCAGCTCTGGCTCCAAATGATTTTTCTCTCACCTTCCTGGACTGATCCCTCATCAGCTCCATCCTCAGAGAAATATGAGAGGACCCAGAGGGTGGAGGCTGGTCCTAGCCTTGCGGGGACATGGGCCTGGCCCTGGGACTGGTACAGGTTGATAAACCCCATTCCTTGGAGGTGGTGGCAACATGGCTCAGCATGAAAGGTGGGGTCCAGGTGTGTGTGCATGTGCATGTGAGGTCAGCAAAGCCCTCTCTGCTCCCCCAGGCCCTGGACCCAGGCCCTGGGGCTAAGCTAGGGCTGCTGCATGAGTCCCCAGTTTGCTAATGGAGGGGAGGCCTCCCTTGATAATGAGAATCACCTTATGAACTCCCCTGGGCTGCCGCCTCCCAGACTTTATTTTTTCTGACTCAGTCTCAATTTGAAATAAGGAGAGAGAGGCTGAGAGAGAGAAAAATTCCAAGCTGTCACCTTTGGTAGATGCTCCAGAAAAGGAGTCTAAGTCTCACTTGTCACAGGCAGGGAAACCGAGGCTCTAAGAGGGAGCTCAGTGTTTGTACAACCAGTTGGTGGCAGAGCTGGGACAGGCATCGGGACTCAGCAGAGCTCCTGACTGTCAGTGCATGCATGTGAAATGGTGTGTGTGACAGTTAAGGACACAAATGCAGAGTGCGTGAGAACATGTGCCTTAGTCTCAGAGTGTGAGTGTGAGAAACACTTGAGGGCCGTGGCGGTGGCTCTCCCCTCGGGCAACGCCCAGATCCTGTGGGTGACTCCTAGCAGATCTTCTGTGTCCCCAGCCTGTCCTTGCTGGACTCTGAGCTGATGTCCCATTCTAGAAAATTTTCAGCTGCTGGCCAGGAACAGTAGGGAACCCAATTGTTTCTATTTGGTCTTTATTGAATAAAAATGAAATTTAAATTCTTTGCAGGGAGGTAATTTTTCCTAATCACTCACCCTGCTGCACGGATTCCCCACAACTTGATTATGTCTAACTAGATTAATTGTATGGAGAGTGATTTCTTTTCTCTGAGAAAATTAACCACAGAGCAGGGGGGTCATCTGAGCCCCAATGACTCCCTACCCCCAAGAAAGTCCCCAGGGCCCAGGTTCTGGGTGGGGGGGGCTGCCTTGTCCCAAGGCCTCCCTCTGCCTCTCTCCCATCACTGGCTCCTTCTGTCACCAAGTCCCTGTCACCATCTGTCTCTGTCTCCCACTGTCCCTGACCCTCTCCTGGTTTGGGCTTCTGCGGTCCTGACTGCGGGGGAGGCCACCGCCCTGCGCCCCTGCATTAAAGAGGCTGATGTTCTCCATGAGGGGAGGGGAAAGGCACAGTGTGAAGTGCTCAAGTTCACCTTCTGAAGCAGCTTGGGCTGAGGTGAGGGGGTCACATGGACAGCCCCCCAGAGCCCCAGCCAGTGTACCACCAATATCCTGGTTTCCAAAGCCTTTAAACTACATAGAGTTTTACAGTTTGCGTGGGCTGGATGCAGCCTGAGTGCCCACAGAGGGGGCTGCAGGGCCAGGCTGGGCCAGACCAGCTGTGGGGCTCAGGGAGGGCCTGGCTGGAAGAAGGGGGTCTGGGCAGCCCCTCTCTCAGCCTGAGGGAGGCTGAAGGGTCTGCAGTCCCAGTCGCTCCCCCATGGCCAAGCTGGCACTTCCCTCCAACAGGCACAGAATCCCCAGCCCCAGACACCTGCTCCTTCCTGGAGCTCAGCACCACCTTCCTTTCGGAACGCTGGGCCTGGGCCTGTCCTCAGCTGCTGCTGCCCTGCCGCCCCTGCTGGGGGTCTCCTAGCCCTGCCCCCTTGGGGTCTCCCTCCATACCCCTGTCTACACTGTTCTCACCCAGTCCAGGGCACCATCTTCTCTCCCCAGACACTGCACAGCTGCTCCAGTCTCCTGGACCCAGACCCTCCCCCTGCAGTTCACAGGCTGCAGCCAACATGAACAGGCCATGCCCCCTCTCAAAGCCCTTCCATGGCTCCGCTGCTCTGAGGACTAAAATCCCAACAACAGTGTGGACTGCAGGGCCCTTGTGAAACAGCCACATGGACCTCTGCAGCCCCATCTTTCCCACTCTCGTCTTACACTCGCCACACAGAGTCAGCTGTGTGCAGGCCTCTGTGTGTGCTGGGCCATCTTCCCGAAACACCCTCTCCCAGGCCTGCCTGATGCCAGCTTTCTGCACAGCCCTGCTCGATGGTCAACAGCAGCTGGTGTGTACTGAGAGCTGACTGTGTGCCAGGCACTGTGCTAAGGGCTTTACGTGGTTATCCCATTTAACACTCCCAGCAACCCTGCAGGGATAGCTATTATCCATCCCCATTTTACAGAAGAAAAACTGAGGTTCACACATGAAGCATCTGGCCAAGGGCTCTCATCTGGGAAGTAAATGGTGGAGCTGGGATTTGAGTCAGGTCATTTGCATGAGGTCGCTTCTGCCCATCCCAGGCACCTCTTCCCAGGTTCAGGGCCCCTCCTCCACACTCCTGTTTCCCCTGCACGAGCATTCGCCTGACTGTTCTGAAACTACTCATTTCCCAGTCTCCCCATGGGGCCTGGGCTGTGAGCTCCCCAGGACCACGTGGGTCTCTCCTGTCTCTGGGCCCCAGAGCCCAGCATGGGACCCGATACATGGTGGACGCTTGGCCAGGGTCTGCTGACTGAGGAGTAGGGGGCAGCCCTACTGGCAGCTGGCCCCTCCCTCCCACACCCATCCCTTCTACCACTCGATACCTCAGTAAGCAAAGCCTTTAAACCAAAAACAATTTTACAGTTCATTTGAGTTAATCACGGCTGCTCTTTCTGGAAACAATCTTCCCCAAATTGTCTGCAGAGAGGCGAGCACCCTGCCTGGCAGCCCCCACCCCACCCTCCATCACAGACCCTTGGAATCACAGGAGATGGTGGGAAGTGGGAGTGGTGGAGACCCCAGGAATTCAAGTCAGCTGTCAAGCTGCATGTCGGCTGTGATAGGCATTGGAGTACCACAGTCAAGAGATGGACCCCACCCCCACCCTCATGGGGCTCACTGTATAAAGGAAGAGAAAAACATCAAACAAACCATCACACAAGTGATTCTGTAGTTAGTACTGAGCTGCAATAAGTTAATCATGCAGAAATCTAACAGTACTAACTATACAAACCTGGCAATTTGTTAAACCTCTTGGAGCCTCTGTTTCCTCATTTGTAAAATGGGGATCTTATTGGCATCTTCTTCATGGGGTGTTGAGAACACAACGAGATGGGTAAAGCTCTTAACCTGGCACCTAGTTGGTGTTTAACATACATTAAGAGCTCTGTCAGTCAGTTCCAGCTGCCATAACAAGACACACGACTGGGAGGCTTAAATAAAAGAAATTCATGGTCTCTCAGTTCTTGAGCCCAGAAATCTGGGACCAAGGTGTTGGCAGAGTGAGTTTCTTCTGTCTCTTCTCTTGGCTTGTAGGTGGTCATGTTCTCTCTGTGTCCTTTTGTTGGACAAGGCCCCATCCTGTGACCTCATTTTAGCTTAATCCCTCTTTGAAGGCCATCTCTCCAAATATGGAGATCGTAACCTTCTCAGGTATTGGAGGTTAGGACTTCAACATTCAAATTTGTGGGGAAACACAATTCACCCTGTAACGGGATATGTCCAAGAAAATTGAGTATATATATCCACAAATCACTTATATGTAAATTTTCATAGAAGCTTTATTTATAATAGTTTAAAAAGAAAATAACCCAAATGTCCATCTATGAGAGAATGGATAAATATATTGTGAAGAGTGATAAAATTGAAATACACAGAATTTTTCAAAAATAAACAAACTACATATATATGTAGATATATATATAAAACATCATATATTAGACATATATAGAACATATATGAATATCACAGACAGGGTCAACAAAAAACATCTGCCACAAAAGACACATCCTTTACATTCCCATTAATATGAACAAGTCTATAGTGATATTATAGAACAATGAACATCTCTCAGGGTTGGGAGATTGACTGGAAAAGGAAACAAAGACTTTATTGGATGCTAGAAATGTTCTTTGTCTTGATTTGGCTGGTGGTTACATGGGTGTACATCTGTGTAGAAGTTCATAGAGCTATCTCCATCAGCTTTTGCTCAAAATACAAATTGGGTGGTAAATAGCCATTTATTTAGCTCACAATTCTAATGGCTGTCTGTGCAATTGATCGGGTCTAGTCTAGCTCAGGTCATCTCTCCTGAGTCTAGGGTCCACTAGTATTGCAGATTACAGCTGGATGATTTAAGGATGGTTTCACTCACACATTTGATATTCGGCAAGCTATCAGCTGGAGCACCTTCATTCTTTTCCATATGGTCTCTGACCTTCCATCAAGCCAGCTCAGACTCATTCCATGTCTCCAAGTTCAGCAAAAAAGAGAAAGACCTTATGGGCAAGCAATTCAAAAGCCTCTGTGTGTCTACTCTTTGTTAGTGTTTCGATTGGCCAGAGCAAGTCCATTGGCCAACCCAGATTGAAGAGGTGGAGAAATAAACTTCCATTCCTGATGGAAGGATTTGAAATGCCAAATCACAAAAGTACGAATGCAGAAGGGAAAGAATTTATGGTTATTTTACAACCTACCACATGTACACTTAATATTTATATATTTTACCATATGCAAGTTATATATTAATACAACAAATAGAAAAATATGGGGTTTGAGTCACATGATGACAACAGGTACTCTTGGTGTCAGTATGCTTGTAGGTTTCCTTGTTAGGGTCCCTGTTTTCTACATGGCCCCTAATTCTGCAGAGACAGTGTTGTTACAAGATGCATGTGAGTATATGTGTGTGGATGGGGAGTTGTAGCTTCACAACTTTCAGCCTCAGTCAGATTTCTCTCAAGTGGGATGGAGTGAGAGATGGGACTATCAATGGACTATATTGTGAAGAGCTGAACACAGGTACATCTGATGTTTACACAGGTAAACTTGAGGAAGTGGTAAACCTGATTTCTCAGCTGTAGAAGTCAGGCTGAGAGGCCAGGCACGGTGGCTCACACCTGTAATCCCAGTACTTTGGGAGGCTGAGGCAGGCAGATCATGAGGTCAGGAGATCGAGACCATCCTGGCCAACACGGTGAAACCCCGTCTCTACTAAAAATACAAAAATTAGTTGGATATGGTGGCGTGCGCCTGTAATCCCAGCTACTCAGTAAGCTGAGGCAGGAGAATCACTTGAACCTGGGAGGCAGGGGTTGCTGTGAGCCAAGACTGAGCCACATGCACTCCAGCCTGGCCACAGAGGGAGACTCTGTCGAAAAGAAAGGGGAGGAGAGTGGAGGGAAGGGAAGAGGGGAGGGGAGGGGAGGGGAGGGGAGGGGAGGGGAGGGGAGGGAAGGGAAGGGAAGGGAAGGGAAGGGAAGGGAAGGGAAGGGAAGGGAAGGGAAGGGAAGGGACAGGCTGAGAAATGAGCCAGGGAAGTGCGATGTCCTGGGTCAGTTGTTTCAGCACCATGGAGTGCTCTGATGGACCTTAAAGGACCTTTCTCTTCATAGTCCCAGGATCGCTCATTTCCCTCTGTCTTCTAGGTAAAATTATCTGGTTAAGAGAAATTTACTCTTGCAAACTTTACATTGTTAGCAGGAGTGATGGCATGGGCTCTGGAGCCAAACTGCCTGTGTTCCCGTCTTGGTTGCACCACACAAGCTGTGACTTTGGGAGAAGTTACTTAACCTCTGTGCAATGTGCCTTATCTGTCATGAGAAAAATAATGGTAGCTACTTCATAGGATTGTGGTGAGGACAAATTCAAATTAAAGAAAGTAAAGAGCTTAACATAGTGGCTGGCACATGGTAAGTACTAAAAAGTTAGCTATTATTATGGTGGTCAGTATTATTATCTCCCAAGAGCTATTTTGCATAAGATGGAAAAGATTAAGAAGACCTCCTTCACCCCAGATGCCGGAAAAATTTGTTATATAACCTCATGTGAACTATATGAACTACCCAGACCCCATTCCCATTCTGTAAAATGATGCGATTTGCTTTTTCCACATTATTAGATTTTATCTTTTTACCAAGAGAAAGTGTCCATGTATTATTTGATAAAATAAATAAAACAATAAAAGAAAATAATAAAATAAAACAAAAATGATATAATAAAATAAAAATGAAATTTAAAAAGATTTTACACTAAATGGCCTTTATGGCCCCAATAAGCCCTATCTGTTCCCGGTCTTGGATGCAGGACTCGGGGGTGGATAGAGTCAAGATGGGGGTTTGGTAAGAAGTGAGGACTTTGGGGCAGCCTGGAAGAGGACTCAAAAAGAGCACATTGAGCATGTCAAGGCTTTTAGTTCTTACATTATCTCCCCCACTCCCACTCTCACTTGCCCAATTTATTGTGCTTAGACTCTGGGCACCTCTGAGTCCAGATACAAAGGCACTCCCCGTCCTCTCCCTTGCTTTGGCCACACTGGCATGATTTTAGCTTCTTGACAACACTGCAGTGCTTCTCTCCCTATAGGCTGTGCCCTCTCTCAGGAACGTGCAATATCCTTCAGAGTCTTACAATTGAAGGGACAAAAACCAAATGAATCCTGTTTAAACAAAAGAAATAAAAAGGGAAGATTATTTTGTTCATTCACCTGAAAAATCCAGGTGTGCATAGCTTCAGGCATGGCTGGATCCGGGGATTCAAAGAATATTTCAGACTGTGGTCTTCCTGTCTCTTCGGGGTTGGCATCTTTCACAGTCACGCTCTCCCTGCAGGTGAGAAATGGCTACACTGGTAGTGTCAGGCTTACATCACTCTGGCTACATGCCCCTCCTCTGCGGTAGTTAACAGCAAAGTCTCTGGGATGTTTCTCATTGGCTGAGATGGGGTCATCTGCCCACTCCTGAAAGAATCACATAGCCAATGGGTGAAGTTTAGTGAAGGGCCAGGCCTGGATGGCAGGAGCCAGAGGATAGGCAGCCCTATCTGCTGAACTAAGTGGACATGGAGTTGTTTTCACAGGAAAAATCGAGAGTGGTCCCTGCAGAAGGGGAGAAGTGGTTCAGGAACAAGCAAACGATTAAACAGAAGCCCACTACACATTCACCTGGACTCATCCTGCAGGTCTCAGCAAAAGTGCCACTTCTTCAGAGTGATCTCAGTCAAGGCCCACCAGTCCCTTTCCTCTGCTTTTTAGCTCCCATTTTTCTCACAGCTAAAATGTACTGAATGCTAAATATGTACAGACATCGTCCTAAGAGCTTTACATACATTAATAACTGTAATTATTTCAATATCCCTCTAAGGGATGAGGAAACTGAGGTGCAGAGAGGTTGAGTATTGAGTAACTTGCCCAAGGGCGCACAGCCAGGAAGTGGCAGAGTTGGTATTCCAGCCCAGGTGGTCACCCTTCAGCCCACACTTTCCCGAAACCACTAGATTTCTCTTTCTAAATATCACATGGGTAATCATGAATTTGCATATACACACGCACAAACACACGCGCTCACATAAACACACATTCACACACATCTATTCTCACATAAACACTCTCAAAATACATACGCATGCATTTACACACAAATATATTTTGCACGCATACACAAACACAAATATGCATACACTCACCAAAAACATTTTCACACACACATACTCATACATGCATTTGCTCACAGATACACACTACACACACACTCACATAGATACCTTCACATACTCCCATTTATACACACAATCACAAACATGCACTCATATAAACACTCCCATGTCACACACTCATACCTGCATACATACACACAGTCACACTGTCATGCACTTTTGCACATACACGTGCACTCACACATGTACACTCAAATACATATTTTCTTACACTCACAAAACATTCACGTGCACTCATAAATGTATTCACTCGCACATCTGCACACATATGCACTCAAATAGACATTCATATGCACATTCAAAAACATACATGCATTCACACACACATACACATCCATTTGCATGCACTCACGCAAATATTCTCAAAAACATACACATTCATGCACATTTTCACTCATACACACACATACATATGCACTCATATAAACATTCTGACATTCTCATCTGCTCGAATTCACACACTCTCACATGCACACACACATGAGCCCAGGAGTTCAAGCCTGCAATGAGCTGTGATTGCTCCACTGCACTCCACACACATGCACAGACACACATATATGAAGTCACATTTGTGCACACACTCAAACACTCACGCACACAAATTTGAGTGGTTAATTGTTCAATGCCTGCCTCTGCACTCTGCATAAACCCCTTGAAGACAGGACCCTATCTCTCTCATTCGTCGTGTCCCCAGAACCTGTCACAGTGCAGAGTAGGAGTTGGTGCCCTCATTTTTCCAATGGGAATAACGAGTCCAGCTCAACCAGCTCTCTCTATAAGGGGGATTTGGAGAGCTTACAAAAAGACCCGTTTCTCCTCTTCCCCTTCTCCCTCTTCACATCCCACTCTACCTTCCTAAGCTAATTAAATGATACCATGGAACATATTTCATTTACATTTGGCTCAAAGGGCCAGGGAGTGCCAGTGTGTGCTCATTAGACAGCTCTGCGTAGAGGGATGTAATGAGCCGGTTTTATTATAGTCGTCATCTCAGCCCATCCTGTGAGACGATCTTGTAGTCACTGGGGAGAAAGAGAACCACAAACCTGAGAGCCTGGGTTTCAGGGCTGAGGAGTGGGAGGAGGACCCAACTTGGGGAAAGCCTTAGGCTGCCCTGGGCCCTGGGCTCTGGCTGGGGCAGGAGGGAGGAGGAGGTGAGCCTGGGCCCAGGTGGCCCCTGTTACTGTCTCCCTAAATGTAAGTCTCAGAACTCCACACTGGCTTTGACTAGAGCCACAGCTGAGGGTCCCAACCTAGGGGCCCAGAACTCCTGGGGGTGCTAACCTCAGGGGTCCCCAGATTTAATTGTGTATCATATGCTGTTTGCAGCTGGAAGAATTGACCTGGTACATAGCAAAGCACCACTTTATGATCTGCATGTACTACAGAAACAGAAACAACACTGAGAAGCATTTCTGCATCCCTGGTGGCATTTGTCCATTGGGTATTTCCTCTGTCGTTGGGATCTAATAGCAGCGATTAGAGCAATGATATAATAATAGCAGCCATCATTCCTTGAGTATCTACTGTGTGCTGGGGACCTGGGCTTAGCGATTTACCTGGATTATTTCATTCAATCCTCAAACCACCCCTCAAGGGTAGGTATTATGTTATCATCCCTACTTTATGGATGAGGAAATTGTGGCTCAGAGAATTAAGTGACGTGTTCAGAGACATGCAGCTGGATTGTGGTGAACTGGGGATTTGATCTTAGGTCTGCCCAACACCACAGTCCTCTCCACTGCTCTCTGCTACCTCCAGTTTACAAGGACAGTTCATAGCATGGGGTTCCAACACTTTTAGTAATGTTAAATTGAAAAAATCTGGCCTCGCACTCCAAATGTTCTGAGTTTAATTAAGGGCTTTCTGTGTGCCCAGCTCTGTTCCAGAACTTTACAAATATTACCTCACTTAATCCACACAAAGACTCCGTGAGGGAGGTAGTATTTATTACCCCCATTTTACAGATGAGGAAACCAAGGCACAGAAATCTTTGGTTAATTCCTCAAGTCACAGAGCTGGTGTTGAATTGATTGGGCTGGAATTGGGTCTGGCGGCTGGGTGCACAAGTCCACACCTTACCCAACTCTACCCTCATGGAGCTGGGCTATGGTTCCACAAATCAGTTTCCTACTGCAAAAAATTACCAAAAACTTAGTGGCTTCAACATTACAAACTGGCAGTGCACAGTGGCTCACACCCATAATCCTAGCACTTTGTGGGGTTCAGGTGGGAGGATTTCTTGAGGCCCGGAGTTCAAGACCAGCCTCGGCAACATAGTGAAACTCCTGTCTCTACAAAAAAATTTAAAACAATTAGCCGGTGTGGTGGCATGTGCTCGTAGTCCCAGCTACTCAGGAAGCTAAGGTGGGAGGATCCCTTGAGCCCAGGAGTTCAAGGCTTCAGTGACCTGTGATTGTGCCATTGCACTCCAGCCGGGTGACAGAGTGAGATCTTGTCTTAAAAATAATAATAGGCTGGGGACAGTGGCTCATACCTGTAATCTCAGAACTTTGAGAGGCCAAGGCGGGCAGATCACTTGAGGTCAGGAGTTCAAGACCAGCTTGGCCAACATGGCGAAATTCCGTCTCTACGAAAAATACAAAAATTAGCTGGGCATGGTGGTGCTACCCTGGAGGCTGAGGCATGAGAATCACTTGAACCTGGGAGACGGAGGTTGCAGTGAGCCAAGATCGCACCACTGCACTCCAGCCTGGGCAACAGAGTGAGACTCCGTCTCGATAATAATAATGATGATAATGATAATCAAAGTGTCTGCAAGGTTGTGTCCCTTCTGGAGGCCTCCTGGGGAGAACACACTTCCTCGCCTGCTCCAGCTCCTAGAGGCCACCTGGATTCTTAGGCTTGTGGTCCCTTCCTCCACCTCAAAGCCAGCCAGCATCGGCAGCTCAAGTCCTTCTCACACCACATCACTCCAACCTCCTCCTCTGCCTTCTTCCACTTTAAGGACCCTCGTGATTACATGGGGCCCACCTGGATAATCCAAGGTAATTCCTCTATTTTTAAGATCTGCTAAATAGCAACCTTAATTCCATGTGCAGCTTTATTTTCATTTGCCATGTAATGTAAAGTAACATTCCAGGAATTAGGAAGTGGACCTCTTTAGGTGCCACTATTCTGCCCACCTTAATTGAATAACAACTATTTTGGGGGAGCACTTGCTCCATTTCAGGCACCACTTGCAGAGGCTTTACTCATATCACTCATTTAACCCCACAAAAAACAAATGAGGGAGTGTTGACCACTCCCACTTTACAGATAGGAAGACTGAGGCTCAGGAGACAGAGGGGCTGCCAGGATTCTCCCAGGGCCAGCCCAGGTCTGGTGTTCCTCTGGGGGCTGACAGTTCTGACTCCAGAGCCCACTCTCCTCCCTGCAATGTGTTTGAGAATGGAGTACGGCTTTAATTCATTTCTGATCAGATTTGAGATCTCACCTACATCAGACCTGGGGATGCCAGAGATACCTTCAGGAGAGAGTGGAGCAGGCTGGGTCATCCCTGGGCACAGTCATAATACCTCTTGCTCACTCCCACCATGGTGGTCAGCGCCAGCCCCCACCCAGTCATCTGTGCTAACGAGGCCAGCACCTCTGCCAGTCCCGCCTCAATTTATTAGAAATCAGGCACATCGCAGCCTTCTGCTGACCCCTTAGATCGCAGCAGAGCTTTGGGCCCCAGAGACCCCTTACTCTGCCAAGGGGCTTTTCCAACTGCTGGAATTGTTAACCCATTGTTAGTGGATTTATTAACCCATTAGCAGGGAAGCGGCTGCCTTCTAACACCCCCTGGATGTATGAACTACCTGTGCTGATGTCCTGGCACACGATGGCCAGGCCAGCCCTGGCGGTGGAGCCTTTGTTTCTCTTTCCTGACCCACATTGAAAGTGGAATCTTTGAGACCAACAGCGTCAGCTCTCCCTGAGGGCAGAGAGACATGTGCAGGGAGGGGACTTGGAGGAAAGCTAGGGGGACACAGAAAAGGTGGTCTGGGCAGGGAAAGGGAGACCTCAAATGGAATAGAGGGGAGAACTCAACTCTCCTGAGCCCTGCTATGTGCCAGAAATTTATATACATTCCTCGTCCAAGCCTCATCACCTCGGTAGAAAGCTGTCACTCATCCTATTATGGGACTTTGCCAAGTGAGCAGATGAGGAAGTGGAGGCCTGGAGAGGTCAAGTGACCTGCCCAAGGTCACACAGCGTGGCTATCACAAAGCAGGGATTCAAATCCAGGCCCCTGATGAGCCCTAAGTCCATCTTCTTCCTCCCAACCACCCTGTCTAGACACTTTTCACTTCATGGGAGTCCTCATGGCTCCTTCCACTTTGGCTGACCTCACCCCAAAACTCCCACAAAGCCACCAGGCAGTTCCCTGGTAAAGAGAAGCCTCAAGAAGTCCCTGCCTTCAAGGGGGAGGGCCTGGAAGATCCCTCCTGAGAAGCAAACGTTTTCCAGCAGAGCAAATCACTGAGACCTCTTAGTAATCGCAGGTGCTGACGGCTGCCCTCCTTCCCCTGGAGGTTTGTAAATCAAACCTTACACCTGGATTCACATAACTCTGTCAGGGGATAAGTAAGGCAGGAAGCAGGGGAGACACGCAGGGAGAGGAGCAGCTGCCCAAGCTGGGCCCTGGGGGGCTTCAGGGATGAAGGTGAGGGCACAGTGTGGCTGCTGAGGGACCACTGCTTCCACTTGCTGCCCCAGGGGATTGAGCCAGGGGCTTCCTGGGGGTCCCTGCCAGCACCAATATCTGCCAGTCCCAATTGACCAGCCCAATCAATTTCACCCTGGCCCAGTGCCTAGGGACAGTTGGGGCAAAGGGTCTGGGCTCAGGGGTGGAGCTGGAGAAGAGGCTTGGAGTCTTCAGCAGCTCTGAGCTAAGCCCTGGGTAGAGCATTTGGTGGGGCAGAGGGAGCTGACAGTAGCAGAGGACAGGACAAGATGCGGGTGCCCAGCATGGGCCCTGGGCTCAGCACCCTGGGCTAGGAGTCCAGGCCTGGTCAGTTCTGGGTCTGCTGTGGACTTGCTGTGTGACGTTGGGCAAGTCACATGGCCTCTCTGGGCCTCAGCTGCCTCATCTGCAAAGTGAGGCACTCTTTTGCAGGGACATCAAAGAGGCAAGACCTGGTTGGGAAGAGCAGCCAGGAACACAGGGGCAGAACCTGGCCCTGCTTCACCTTCCTCCTCTGCCCCCATCCTCCTGGTGACTGGCCAGATCCTGGTGTCCCCACCCATGAAAGCCCAGTTGATTGGCAGAGGTGAGGCCTTTGTGCAAATGAAGCTGCTTCCTTCCCTCCTCCTCTTTCTCCCCAAGGCCACCATCACCAGGGCTTCCCACAGGCTGACTGGAGTTTCCCGGGTCGGGGCTGAGCCTTGTAAAACATTTGACTTCTCATCTGCACGCACAGCAGCTCAGCTGTTTCCCCAGGGATCCATGCTGTCCCCCAGCCCTGTTTTGGTCCTCGTGCCCCCTGGAAGAGCAGCCCTCGGCTTCCTCTTTCTGGCCAGTTATGTGACTTTGGGTGGGTCCCTTCACCTCTGAGCCTCAGTCTCCTCCCGTGTTAAATGGGAATAAAAGCGCCTACCTCATGGATGTGTCCTGTTTACTTACACATTCTTGTAATCCTCCAAGAAATATTGAATATTTCCTGCGCATCTCCTGTGTGCCAGGCCCTGGTCTGTGTGTGAGGACGGTTATGGAGGTGGGCAGTGGAGACGGGGCCCTGCCCTGGTGGGGCTCCCTCGGGGTGAGTGGCAGGTGCCTGTAGCAGGGAGCTGGCTGGGAAGTTGTTTGTCAGTGGCCAAGAGCCACACCGGTGCAGATTGCGTGGGTGACACACCCAAGGTCACACGGTGGGTCAGTGGCAGAACCCAGGCTAGGCTGGCCCTGGAGCAAACACTGGCCACAGCCTGGGAGGGGACTCACCGTGTGGATTCCTAGACCCACAGCCCAGCGAGGTCACCCCCTCCCATAGGGACATCAGGTACCGACACCCAGCACCAGCTCACGGGTGAGGCTGAGCCCACCTGGTTCCTCTTGTCTTCTCGGGCCCAGCGAAGAGCTCTTGGGCCGTATGAGTGAGGATCACCTGATCACATACCTTCCCTTAACAGATAGCCCTCAGCGTCCTCTTCTGAGTTCACTGTCCTCCCCGTTCAGTCCACTCGGGGAGGTAAGGAGACACACCTCGTAATCAGAATGCTGCCTCCGCTCTGTCCCCTCAAGGAGGTCTGAAGAGCTGAGGTCCAGTGAGAAGCTCATCCACCATCTTCAGGGAGGCCTCAGGTCGGGGGGACAGTCCTGATTTTGGGAGCCCCCAGTCTGGAGAAGACACACGCCTGCTCTCAGGAGCCTCTAGGGGGTGAAGTCAGAGACCTGCCCAAGGAGGCCCCTCTGACTAGGGCGGGCAGGCAGCCCCGCCAGTAGAGTCCAGTCTGCTGGGGAGACCTAGACCTCATCAGGACCAGGAGACGTCGGGGGAGGCCAGACACTGCCGGGGAGACCCCAGTCCCTGCAGACTCAGAGACCTGAGCTCACATTGTCCAGACAGACTCAAGGTGGCCCCTCTCCCGCGTGGCCAGCCCCCTCCCTGAGGCAGAGGGGCAGCTTGGGGAGGTGGGGCTCCCAGATGGTGGAGCCTGGGGCTGAACTGCCAAGAGCATCCATCTCCATGGAGGCCCAGACCCCGTCAGTGTCCTTCTTGGCCTGGTGGTGGAAGGAGGGAGCCCGGATCCCAGCCTCGCGGTGCCCACAGCCTCCCGTGGTGCCATGGACGGGTCCCTGCCTACTCTGAGCCCATCTCCTTGACTGTGGCTCTGATGCTGCCTCCACACTGGGATCTCTCTGCTCTCTTCACCTCATACCTCCTTCCCCCCACCTCACCCCATCGCCCCCGTTCTTGATCCTGCAATTGTAGAAACAGAAAGTTGGCTGATTTCTTGGGCCCGCAAATTGCCCAACAGGGAGACTGGGTGGGCGGCCCCCGCTTCCACTCCATCGCCCACCCTGATGCATCGTCTGACACTTTCAATTTATTTTTCAATTCCTCTACCATCAGAAATGACGATTAGATTTCCAGCATAAATACCGCCTTACCAAACTGAATTAATCACGGCAAGGAGGGGCACACACAGGCTCCAGCAGCCTGGGCAGAACATCCCCAGCATTAACCCTTCCGTCCTCACCCAGGCCCCCACCAGCAGGACGGAGGCTCCAGGCCTCACAGAAGACGCCACTCAAAATATCACTGGGGTCACCTAATCCCATCCCCCTTACCCTTTGCAGCCTCCCTCCTGTGGGAGTTCCTAGGAAGTGTCTTGCCCAAAGCCATCCACTCCATCAGGGCAGAGTCAGAGACACTGGCCCCTCATCTCCAGCCCCATCAGGGAAGGAGGCTCCATCCACATCCAGGACAAGATGTGGGAGTATCCGGGGTTTGGCGTTGTCCAGGACACATACGGGACGGGACTCCTGCAGACCCGAGGGTGGGGGCACCCAGTGATCACAGGGCCTGAACTGAAAGGGGTCTTGGAGAGACCTGGAGGTAGGTTCCAACCCTTGCCCCACAAACAAGACCATCGCCCCTCTTTGCTGAGACTGTTCATTGGTCAGTCCAACAACCACAGCTCAGGTTGACCTCCAGCCTCCCCACTTCTCCACCTCCCTGACTCCAACCACAGCTCAGGGTGACCTCCAGCCTCCCCACTTCTCCACCTCCCTGACTCCAACCACAGCTCAGGGTGACCTCCAGCCTCCCCAACTTCTCCACCTCCCTGACTCCAACCACAGCTCAGGGTGACCTCCAGCCTCCCCACTTCTCCACCTCCCTGACTCCAACCACAGCTCAGGGTGACCTCCAGCCTCCCCAACTTCACCTCCCTGACTCCAACCACAGCTCAGGGTGACCTCCAGCCTCCCCACTTCTCCACCTCCCTGACTCCAACCACAGCTCAGGGTGACCTCCAGCCTCCCCAACTTCTCCACCTCCCTGACTCCAACCACAGCTCAGGGTGACCTCCAGCCTCCCCAACTTCTCCACCTCCCTGACTCCAACCACAGCTCAGGGTGACCTCCAGCCTCCCCACTTCTCCACCTCCCTGACTCCAACCACAGCTCAGGGTGACATCCAGCCTCCCCACTTCTCCACCTCCCTGACTCCAGCCACAGCTCAGGCTCCCTCCTATGAGACCCCCATGGCCTCTCACAGCCTCTCCACTTCTATGCCTGTTCTCACCCAATCCCCATCCCTCAGCAGTCATCGCCTCAAAATGCAAACACTGTCCTATGGTTTCCTGGCTCAGAACCCATCGGGCCCTCCTCTGCTCTCAAATCAGGCCCCCACCCTTCAAGGCCATGAGGACTGGGCTGGCCTGGCCCCTACCGGTCAGTGCACTCCCCCATCCTGGCTGGGTTGTCTCCTCTTTCTCCTTCAAGTTTTTCTATTTAAAATTCCCCTCCTCAGAGAACCTTCTCTGGCCACCATCCCCCAATCTAAATTAGGTTCTCCCTCCTAAGGTTCTTTCTCAAATCCATTTCCTTTCCTTCTGAGCACTTAAGCGAGCGATAATTACACACTAACTTGTGTAATTTGTTTAATAGGATCTTTGGGACAGAGACTTTATCTGACTCGCTTGATGCTGCAGCTGCTAGAACCCAGACCGTAATGTAGTGGGAGCTCAGTGCAGACTTTTGAAGGAGTAAGTGAGTAAAAGAACAACAAGCCCCTCTTGGTGCCCACCAAGTGCCAAGCTGAGACTGGGCCCTGGAGCTGGAGTCAAGATGTGGACCTGGCCTTGGTGTGCTGGGCCCTAACAGATGAGTAGGAGTTTGCCGAGCACTGAAGGTGGGGTTGACATGACCAACTTCTGAGAGGCACTCTTTGCCTCTGGATGGCCCCTTCCCAGTCACCCCAAAAGGAAGCCCTTGCCCTTTCAAAAGTGGTGAATGTGGTGGTTCAGATCGGTAGGTGTTCCTATGAATAGGTGAGGGGCCAGGCTTCAGGTCAGTTGAACCTGGGTTTGAATCCTGATTTTGCTCTTGGTACTAGGGCAGGTCACTGAGACGCTCTGAGCCTCTCTGCCTCCTGCTCCAGGATGAGGATCCCTTCATCCATGCTCACTCAAAGTCCTGCCCACCAGGATGGAGGCAGACAGGCTGCAATGCCCTCCCCTCTCAGTGGGGGAAAAATACCAGGTCAGGCAGCCAGCAGCCGAGAATGCCAGGCAGAGCAAAGGTGTCCTAAGGGATGGACAGAATAAGGGCTTGAGAGCCTAGCCAAGGGTGAGGCTAGGAGAGGCTTCCCGGAGGACGAGGCAAGTCAGAGCTCTTTGCCTCTTACTCCCATGACTGTGGGTGCCTTTCTCCTCCTCCTCTCATTCTCTCTCCTTTCCAGCTCCTGCTCTGCTCATTTCTTCACCTCAGTCTCTCTGCCCCGACAGGAGCCCTGAGGGACACAACCCCGTCCCGAGGAATGTATCTGCCCACTTCCAGCAGGTTCCTGGAGGCCCTCTAAATTCCCCTTCCCCCCAAAGTCATCTCCCAGCACTGCTGCTCCCAGGGTGGGACGCCTGCTGCTGCACCTCCACACATGTGCACACACCCAGCCAGGTGCAGACAGCGTGGGCAGTGCAGAGGGGACACCAGGGCTGGGGATTAAGGAGTTCGTGTTCTTGAGCAGCCTGGAAAGCAGCAGGGCTTCCGCAGGAGCCGCCCCTGCCCTCACCCCTGCCCAGTAGGGTTAAGGGGCTGGCTTAGATGTCACCCCAAGCCAAGGCTGTCCTTCTCAGAGGCTCCTTCCCAGCTCCCCTGAGTGGGTCAGTCCCTTCCCCTCTCTGAGCCCCTCTTTCCTCTTCTGTAAAGCAGACTCAGTGATGTTGCTCAGAGGATTGAAGGACAAAGAAAAGCAACACAATGGACAGCAGGGATTTGCAAACAGCCGGGTGCTGTACCCAAGACAGGGTATTGCTGGTGATGTCTGATGGATGGGGAGTTGAAAGACTCAGCTGTCACTGGGCAGCTGGGTCTGGTTCCCCTGAGTCATTCGTAATTCACCAACCCAGTCTATAGAAGCTTATTAAGCACTTATTGTGTGCCATGCTCCATGCAAGGGCCAAAGACACCATGAGCAGCGCCAGACCCCACTCTCAGGTTCCCCCATGGGATGGGGTTAGCCAGATGACCTGAAGGCCTCTCCAGCCAGCTCAACCCCCTTAATCCAGAATTACTCCCTGTGCCAGGCTGACGGTGTGGCCAGAGAGGCCAGGGCCTGGGAGGGGGCCTGGCAGTGGGTGGTGGGAAGAGATGGAGTGGCTGTGTCGGGGGAAGGAGAGAGCAGGTTGTTCCTGTACAGGTTTCGCTCCTCGGATAGGGGGCTGCAATGACAGCTTCCAGGAAAGACCAGGCATGTGCCTCACCCCATCCATTCTTGCTCACCCCTGCGGCCTCTTGACCAATGGCTGCTGTGACCCTGTCCTCCTCTGGGAATCTGGTCTCGGGGAGGAGCCCTGGACCCTGACATTGACTAGAAACCTGACCCCATGTCTGAGCAGAGAGCTCCCATCTCTCTGTCAGCAGATGGGGAAACTGAGGACAGGGCGGAGAGCGGCTTGCCTGTGGCCACACAGTGACTGATGATGATTGGTTCCTGCTCATCTCGTGCTTCTGATGAAGAAACTTGAAATCATAATCCTAATAATAATCAGCACATGGGCATGTGCTGTGTGCCAGGCACGCACTGAGCACTTTACAGGTGAGATTTCATATCACCCTCACAACCCCCCTATGGGGTGGATGCCACGCTTGGCCCCATTTTACAGATGAGGAAACTGAGGTGCAGAGGGAGAAGGGGCTCATTCAAGGTTCCCCCCAAGGACAGTTCCTCTAACTCCCCTTAGAGCACTTTCCCCAGTGGGTATTTGTATGTTTTGGAATTTTTTAAATTAATATTTGTCCTTCCTGCTGGACACTGGGCTCCAGGTGGTCAGTGGAGGTGTCTGTTTCCCTCCCGATGCCCCGACGTAAACCCAGCCCCAGCACAGTGCTCACTGTGTAATAGGCACTCGATAAGGATTTATGAGAAAGGGTCAAATGAGGTTCAGAGAACTCTAAGGGAAACCAAGTCTCCCGCGGGAATTATGCCCACAACCACATCCTGACTCCCAGCCCCGGCAGCAAGGCAGCTCTGACTCTCGGCCCCTGCAGGCACTGCCTCCCCATCCTCATGTGTGCACATCTGCTAAGTGACTCACGGGCTGGCTCAGAAGGAGTTAACAGCCCAAGTCGCTGGGTTCTGCAAGGCCTGCCAGGCTGGCTGAGCCCCATAATCAAGTCCTGCACAGGGGATAAACAGGCTGCTGGAGGATGGGCAGGCAGGGGTGGGGACCATCTCAAGAACCCTCTCAGGAGGCCTGTGCACTCCGAGGAGAGTCAAATGGACTCCCTCCCCTCCCATGCGCTGGTTCAAAGCGCCGCCGCATTCTTCACCCGCCTTCATCTTTGAAGCAGCCCGGGGGCAGGCTGCTGTCTCCCACATGAGGAAGAGGCCCAGGGAGGGGAGGCGACAGGCTCAAGGCCACGCAGCTGTTTGGTGGTGGAGCTGGACCAAGCTCTGCCGGGGTGGTTGTCAGGACACCGGCCCCGATGTCTCAGCAAGGGTTCCAGCAGGACACAGAAGCCATACAGGGAAAGTTTAATACAAAGAATTATTAACTGCTACAGTGGGTTGGAGTAACAAGGGGTTCGTTAGTGAGGGTGGCGGGGGCACTATGGAATACAGAAACAGCCAATCTGAAGAGCAGCCACTGCTCAGGGGCTAGAGAGGGCCACCAAGGGGGAGGCCCCACGGCTGAAACCCAGGCCCTGTTGGAGAGGGCAGAGTTGTGGCTACTGAATGGACAGGAAGTTGCCATACTGCCACGTGAGTGGAACTTGCTGGAATCTGCCCTCCAGAACTTGTCAGGAATCTACTCTCTAGGATGCCAGAGAAACACCATTTACGGGGAGGTGAATCACGGAAGGCACGTGGCTACAGAACCACCTGAGGGGGTTGCTGGGAGTTGCTGCTGGCCACTGGGAGTTGCTGACCACTGTGCACAGCAGGAGCTGGGCACTGGAGGGGCTGCCTACACTGCAGGAGCTAGGCATGAGAAAGGCCGTGCACTGCAGGAGTTGGACACTAGAGGAGCCACCCGGGCTGCAGGAGCTGGGCACAGGGAAAGACCCTGCACTGCAGGAGCTGTGCACTGGAGGAGCCGCCCACACTGCAGGAGCTGTGCACTGAAGGAGCCACCCGCACTGCGGGAGCTGGGCACTGGAGGAGCCACCCGCACTGCAGGAGCTGGGCACTGGAGGAGCCATCTGAACTGCAGGAGCTGGGCACTGAGGAAGGACTGGCATTGCAGGAGCTGGGAGCTGGTGGGGCTGCCTGTACTACAGGAGCTGGGCCTGGGAATGCTGTCTGCACAGGACCAAGGGAATGCTAGAGAGGCCACATGTGCCAGAAGGCTGGGTGCTGGGGAAGCCACCTGTGCTACAGGACCTGGGACCTAAGGAAGCCAGTCCTGCGGCCATAGCCTGCCTAACCCAGGAAGAAACCAGAACTAGGAAGGAAAGCTCCCTCCTCTTGCAATGTCTCTCTGCTGCCCTCTACTGACCACATTTAATGTCATGCCAACCGGGAAATGAAAAATATTCAGAGTGGTACCCATTTCCACTTTCACAGATCAGGCAACGAGGCGTGAATTGGAGCTGAGAGGCAATAAATTTGTAACTGGCACGGTCCACACCTGCTCACCTTTCATAGACACACTCTACACACATTTGGATTCCCATATAACAGCAACAGAACTCTATCATTTCCATCTCATAAGAGACAGCTATCTGTCTTACAAGGGAACAAGATCCTTCTCCAAAATGAGGAGGCACATGATCCCAAGACTCATTGCATCCACTGCTGGCTATAAATTACTCCTCAAATTCAGTCACAGTTCACTGACTATTCTGTTACTGAAGACTAAATTGTTAAGTTAACTTCCAACCACTTGTATATAGAATAAAAATGGGAAAAAGGAAAAAGAAGAAGAAAGTAGCTAGCATATGTAAGTGAACACAGACATAGAGTAAGCAAATTGAAAACATGCAAATTTTCCTACTTGGTCATGAGGTCATCATTGATATGTATGGCTACCTTTCTCCACCCTTCCTTCCATATTCCCCCCGCCAGCTTCCCCGCCCCCAGTCTCAACCCAAAGCTCAGATGGAGATGTCAGTATTCTCCGCTTGGTGGAGTCACCCAAACTTCCATTACTGAAGGCTCTGCTATCCAGCCTTCATTTGGGCAGGGAGTAGGTTTCTGTGGTTTTCCATTAATCTTTACTATGGGACGTGGGAGCACTAAGAGGCACCTCAGAGAATCCCCTGATTTCAAGACGGGGTCTTCTTCCCGACACTGCAGCAGCATCCCAGTCTCCCACTGGTAATTGGGAGCAATCATTCCAGACAGCAGATTAACCTCTTTCTTCCCTGTTGGTTCAGTGGCACAGGCCCAAAATGGCCAGGTGGCAGTCTCGTTTTCTGATTCAGTGGAACCATTGCTGTGTCCCTGGGAGCTAAGCCCTCTAAGCCAGCAGAGAACACAGTTGCCACAATGTGACCAGGAACAAAGTCCTTGTGGGTGGGTTATTAGGTGTCATTGTGGCAGGAGCCACGCCACCTTCTACCCCTTGTCCCTGAGCCTGGGTGTTCTGACTATGCAGAGACAGCACCGTATTATGGCCTCTGGTTCAAAACACACTCTGTGTCTTGCAAGAAAGAACATTATCTTTTCAGGGTGTGGTCTCCCAATTGGCATCACAACTGAGACTTCAGGAAGCCATTCCACCTTTCAGTCAGGCCAGCCACTTCCAGATGTGTTGTAAGACCAGCTAACCCCACGGACTAGAGCCTGTGACCACGCCTCCTCTGCTGTGGCATGAGCTCCCGGATCAGAGGCAGTGCCATGAGGATGCCATGATGGCAGAAGACATTCTGGGAGTTCACGGAAAATGATGCCAGAGGAGGAAGCATGGGCAGGGAAGGCAAGTTCACACCCAGAACATGGAGGATGACACTCCATGCCCTCCATGATGAAAAGGTCTGATGTCCTCAACCTGCCCCAGATGGCAGGCAGGTCCTTGCAGGACAGGGTGCCACACCAGGGCCTCAGTGTTGGTCTCTGCTGCTGGTGGACTAGGCACTGATCAATAGCATTAGCCAGATCGGCTTTGACAAGGGGCAGCCCATGCTGCTGAGCCTATGCCCAGCCTCCATCACTGCCACCACAGCCCCTTCGTCCATGGACCCATTGAGCAAACACTAGGGTGGCTGTGTGGAAAGTCATTTTGTCCATCTGATTATTAGGGTTCTCACCTGCAGTGGATGCCCTTTAGTGAGCATTCACTTGGAACACAAATATTGTCACCACTTGTGGCCATTCTGAGGTCCAGCTACACACCTCTTCCCCACACTTCCTCACCACCAGGCTCCAGCCCTGTTCCTTCCGAGTCCCCGATCACCAGCCAAACATTTGTCCATGCACATGAGTCCATGTAGACCCTATCCTCTGGCCTTCTCTCACTTTGGACTCAGTGGAAAACCAAATGTGCTATTCAAAATCTTGAGAGGATTTCCCTTCACCAGGGTCCTTCAAGGTCACCCCAGTGTGGGGCCATAGTGGGACAGCTGTCCACTTTAGGGTGATACCAGCCCACTGTGCAGACTCATATGTCAACCAGACTCAAGTTCCTTATTCCTCAGTCAGCACCTCAGGAGGAGAAGGAGGAACGCCCTCCTCCCAGTCCTGAGGAACACCCAGGAGCATCTGCTGGGGCGGGGAGATGCAGCAGGGGCTAGTTTTGAAAGACTCTGAACCACCTGCCCATGCCTCTTACTCATACTTTCCCAATCTCCTTGAACCTATCTCTTACCTCTTCTATTTGCTAGGTTGTGCTCACCTGACCTTATGGTTAGACAATACCAAGTTCAAGATGGGAAGCTCAGGTTGCATAGTCACCTGATGTACCATATTTAGATGTTCAGTCTCTACCAAAGCCCAGTAGCAAGCCAGGAGCTATTTCTCAAAAGGAACGCTGTTATCTGCAAAAGAGGGCGTAGACTGCTCCAAAATCTCCTATAAGTCTGAACTGGGTTTCCCCTATTGGTGCTGGCCAGGGGTTCTATACAGCACCCTGTTTGCCATAGATGCTTTGAGTATGGTGAAATCTGCTGGGTCATAAGCTCCAAGTGGTGGAGCAGCTTGTGCCGCAGTCTGAATGAACTTGCTGCAGAGCCTTCTCCTGATCTGGTTTCCACTCAAAGCTAACAGCCCCTCCCTGGGGCAGCAGGCCCCTGCGTTATCGTGGGACTGGTTTCCCACACTCTACTTGGCATCTGTTTTACCAGGGAATCTGATGTGCTTGCTACATCCTGTTCCTGGGATCCAATCCACATGTGATTAATGTAGGAGACCAGTGTGCATTTTGTAAAATGTACAGACAAGCAAGTTCGCTGCAGACTATCACTGACACATCAGGGGACTCGCTCAGACTCAGACTGTGCGGCTCGGCCCCAGGCCCAGCTCCCGTCCTCCCAGGCCTGCACAGTGACTCAGGGTTACAGAAGATTCTCCAGGAGAGCAGACACCCCAGCGAAGTCTTAGAAAGGAGAAGTGCACACTTATCCCGGTTCCTGTATTTCAGGACTTTTCGTTAATTCATTCACCCATCTATCATCACAGGATGAGTAGCTACCGTGGCCCAGGCACTGGCTGAGGCCCTGGGACACCACAGTGGACAGAAGAGGCCCCATCCCTCCCCTCGGGGAGCCCACATGGTAATGGGGAGAGATGACAGACACATAAAGGACTGACCAGCTGTGGGGCATGTGGGTGGCGATGAGGTCAGGGACACAGGACAGGTGAAGGGGCAGTGCATGATGGGAGGGAGTGGGACAGTGACACGTGAGACGCAGTCAGGAGGAGCGCGCAGATGAGGACGTCTGAGCTGAGACCTGAAGTAGGGGAGCCAGGCTGTCCAGGGGCCGGGGTGGGTGTCATTACTCCCAGTGCCATCTTCCAGTCTCCCAAGCATCCCAGTCGGAGGATGAATTCTGTGGTCACCATGGATAATGGGGTCAAATGAGCTCATGGGCATAACATCTTAACTCAGGGCCTGGCATACAGTAGGTGCTCAGTATGTGAGAGCTGCTATTGTCATTACTATTTTATTATCCTTATTATTCCACATGATGATGATGATCCTGAATGCACACGTGTTCCCACTCACCTCCTGCTTCCAAGTCTCAGAAACTTCACCGTGGAGTGTGCAGGGTGAGCACCACCTCCACTAATGGAGCTGCCCCACCTGGGCTGTCGGGAGGGATGGAGCACCCTGAACCCCCACTGGGGGTGGGGAGGGGGAAGGTGCCAGGCGGGGTGGTGTGGGCCAATCCCTCTCCTCCCACAATCCTTGCTGACTCACAGGCAGCTCTGGCTGGACTCGGCTGCTCCTGCTGACAGATCATTGTGTCAGGAGTCTGGGGAAGGTCTCATTAATTATGATAATTGATACCTTTGAAGATGCCGGCTGTGTGATGCCTGCTCTGGTGACACAGGATTCTGGTAATTCTGTTTGAACTGCATTTTACAAGCAATATGGTTTACATTTTGGCCACTAGGAAAATGGTTTATCTTTGAGGATGCTGCCTGGGGTGGACTGGCAGGAGCCAGCCTCCTGGAGGGTCTTGATGATGCCAGAGCTGGGGGAGAGCCCTGTGGTTCCTGGGCTGACCTCAGGGCAGGGGGCATGGCTGCCAAGGGATAGGGAGGGTGTTTGTCAACATCAGGAAGAACACAGACTCTGGAGGGGCCCCAGGGCAGCACCAGCCTGCACTGATTCAAGCCTGGCACCGCCCCCTGGAGGGGTGCTGGTACCACCCCTGATTTCTCAGACCAGCGGTCTGAAGTGCAGAGAGGGGCAATGATGTGCCCGGTCACAGCCCACCCCCTTCACCTGTCATCTGCCAGGACCTTGGCTCACTCTGCGTCCTCCAATTCCAGCCTCCACTGACTGGTTCCCCTGCTCTGCTCTACCTGCTGAGGGCCTGAGAGGGCCCCCAAATTGTGGCCAGCTGCGGCCAGCCCCCGAGGGAGGAGAGCTTGTTCTCAGGCAGGTTCCCAGGACCCCCTCATTCCTGGGAACCAAAACCTCTGGAGAGGGCCAGGGAATCTGTATTTTACCACCTCCCTGGGTGAGTCTGACCTGCTCCAATGTCTGGGCACCACTGTTGGTTCCCTCCTTTCCCATCTCCTACAGACCGCCCTGGCCCAGGCCCTCCCGCAGACCCTCTCTGTCTGTGCTGAGCCAGGGCTGACTCCGCCTCCAATGCTCCTGCGATCCTCACAGCAATGCCACAGCAATGCCACAACTCTGAGCTGCTGCCACCCGTCAATGGGGAAGTCCAGCGAGGCTCCCAACGGGAAGGACACGTCCAAGCTCTGAGCTGGGCTCCTGCCCTGTCCCTCCTTGTATCTCCCCTGGACTCCCCTCCAGGGCCCCCTGAGTTCACAATGGGCACAGCCTCTGAGGGACCCTGGGTGGGGGGCCTGCTGAATCTCTCACACAGACTGTGCAGGAAGGACTGAGCTGCTGGCTTGCGAGCCCCCAACCTTGGATCTATGGTTTCCATGTTCTTCAGTGGCAGGAAGAAATCCAGAACACCCCGCCCCCCACCTCCCCCAGTGTTTATAACTCTGCTGGCTCCAGCATGGATTCACCGCCCCATCCACAGCCCCTCACTCCACTCACACTAGGCCTCGATCCAGCCACAGGACCCGCGTCCCTTACTAGATGAGGCCGGTCGGGGCCAGACAGATGGCTCTATTTTGCTTTACATTTGCCAGGATCTCACTGCAGGGCTCCAGATGATTCCGTGAGAGACAGAAAATTAACTGCCAATTTCTGCCTCATAACTTTCCATTCCCAGGAGACTGGGCTCTGATGGAAAGCTCTGGAATCCCTGGGTTCAAGAAACCTGAATAATAATCATGTTTATTGAAAGCTGACTGTGTCAGGCATACACTTCACCTGCATCACCTCATTTCACCCTCGAAGCAGTCACACGGGGTATGTTACTCTCTCCCCATGTTGTCAGTGAGGAAACTGAGGCAGGGAGAGGTTTGGCTCTTGGCCTGCAAGGCAGGTGGTGGGCTGTAGGCCCCCCCACCCTGCGGCACTGCCCTGGGGCACCTCACACTCTGTCAAGGCCCTGCAGCCACCTCGGGGCTCTTTGGCGGTGATCACGGCCGGTACTTCACCAAGAGCAAACCTGGAAGAGAAATCAGTCCAGCAGCCCATGCGGCCGTGTCTGCCACGTGGGTCCTGGCTCTGGGAGGCTCAGGGGGGTCATCCCAGGTGGAGCCACCAAATCAGCCCCACGCATCCTGTTTTGAACTCTGTGACTTACGCTAAAGAGAGAGTTGTACTTGCTCTTTGCTCTGTAAATCCCAGAGTGGCCTTTGGCCAAAAGCAATACAATTCTGCCCTAGAAAAGTTAAAAGGACTTTGAAATTATGAGTCTCAAGCCCTGGCCTGATCCATGGATGAGGATGAGATGACTGAGGCAGCAGAAAGGAAAAGAAAGAGGAACACTTAACAGCAATTTCCCTTCCGGCTCACCTCCTCCAGGTTTTCATTAACCTCATAGTGCCCAGAGCCCTGGCCTGCAATGTGCAGAACAAGGAAGATGGGGGAGGCTGGGCAGGGCCCAGGGAAGGCGCCCAGTGCGGGGCACACACAGGGCTGCCTCGTCCTTGCTGATCCCTTGCTGCCTCCAGCCCTGGGCACTGCAGTCCAGAGTACGGGAGTGGAGGGTGGCTGCCAACCCTGCCAAAGTCAGGGATTCTGGGCGGTGCTTCTCAGCCTGCCAGGGTTCAGCAGCATTGAAGACTCAAAGCACGCTGGAATGTGTCCAAAGATTTGAAGGACACCAAATCTTCCCCACAACCACAAAGCCATGTGGTAACAATATCTTGTTGATGGTGGCATGCTTTGCCACATCCTCGAAAGACACCAGTCCTCATTAGCATGTCACCTTCTGCTATGTCTCTTAATCTGCGACACTTCCCCCTGCCCTGACTATGGCCCTTCCCCATGTGTGATGTAAGCACATAAGGCAGCCTCGGAGCTTACCTTGCTCCAGTGTCACTCCCGGGTGGCTGACTATAAAGGAAGGACATTCAAAGATGGGGGCCAGTAGGGCCATGTTTGTGTGGCAGCCTCTGGCCTTGTTTACCCCCAACTGGTTGGCTGGAGGAGGCAGAAACGATGAGGGGTGTCATAGGGCCTGCCCACCACATGGCAGTGACAGGAGTGGGACAAGAAAGGCTTTGGGGAAGGGGCGTGTGCCCAGCCCCTAGTGCCTGTGGCCCACTCAGTGACTTAGGCCCTGATGACCTGAGAGCAGCATCTCCTCCATCATGGGGTGGAGGTTGGCAGGGCAGTGGTAGGCAGAGGTGGGTCTGGACATTTTTGGAGGAGGTTGCTTTGTGCCTCTCCCATCTCCCTGGACTCTCTCCACCAAAGGACACACTGAGGGGCCTTATGTAGGCGCTGGTGGCTTTCCACTTGAGGGGGCCTTCCCTCAGCCTGCCAGCCAGCTCTGTGACCACCACTCCCCTGCGAGTCTTTAGGGATCTTTAAGCCAAAGGTGTTTGGATAAGCCCTTCACATCTGGAGAGATGTTGAATGACCACTATTCAAAGCTCAAGGAAGTTTTTGTGGGTCTCAGTTTCTGTATTTGCCCTGGTCTAGGTTTCACAGGTCCTGGCAGAAAGGCTTCAGAGTTTATGGATGGAGTGAGTCGTAGCCAATTTCTGGTTTAAATGATGAAACCTCTTCCCTCTTTTCATCTTGTGCTGTCTTCGGTTGGTTTTGAGAGAAGCAAGTTGTGTTTAAATGACTCTCCATCCTTTTCACCTGGACATCAAGGGCCTTCTCATCCATCACCTCTTTCAATCTTAACAACAACCCAGGGAAGTAGGCAAGGCTGGGTCCCCTGGGAGCAGAACAAAGAATTGGAGAACCAGCACCTGAAAGTAGAACCAGACTGCATGGCCATCCACCGTAGGGAAGAGCAAGCAGTGATCAGATGTACCCTGCCCCTGATGTGGGACCCAGCATACTGTCAAACACTGGGGTTTCGGCTTGCCAGACTTCAGCTCAAATAGCATCTGTGTGACACTCCTGTCCTACTCTGCACTCCTGTGGCAGACATCACCAATCATTCACAGCACTCCTTCTTCCTGACCCTGAATTCAGTTCCAAATTCCTTGTCAAGACAATTTGTCAATCAAGAAGACACAACCAACCAACCAACATTAGCTTGTGAAATGGAACCTGCTTGCCAGACCAGCATTAGAGTCTCTCCAGCTGCTCCCAATGTTGCTGGTGAAGTCAGGCAGTCCTGGGTTTCAGCTTCAGCTCTGTGAATGGCTAACAAGGTGGACTTGGGCTAGCATTTGTGTCACTCTCAGCCTCAGCTTTCCCATCTGTAAAATGGAGATGATTGGTATCAAGTGGGGCTGGTAAGGGGATTCCAAGAGAAAGCCCCATCACGTGACACATAGCAGATGTTCAATGACAGGTTTGTACTGGAGAAAAGGCTCTTCTTTTGCTACCGCAGATGTTTCCTGATCACCTGATGACCAGGATTTATTGGCATGTTGGTAAAGCCACTGTGTCCGAGTCCCAGGTCGCCCAAGAGCCAGCTGTGTCCTCTGGGGCAAATCACCTCTTCCCTGAGGGTGGGAGGAAGTGGTCAAGGTAGAGCAATGTTGTTCAATCAGGAAAGTGGGATTTTTCTCAATTTCAAACATTCCTTTCAGTGCAGACATTTAACAAATTAATTTTTCAAAGACAGTCAGGCATCAACTCACAACACCTGACACCTCCTACCCCCTTCCCACTCTTCCCAGTTTCCTAAGCAAACCCTAGAAGGTCACTGTTCCCATGCAGTTAATGGGCCTGGACCCACCTTCTAATTTAATGCAAATCCCAGCCCGCCTTACTGTGCAGGAGTTTGAACTCTCAGTTCGTCTGAACTCTCTCGGCGACACAATCTGTCCTCGTTTCCAGTAGAGTTTCTAATCCCTGCAACTTCCATGGTGCTAGTAATTATGGAAAAAAGTCTGAAGCACAGAGATTCTGCATCTTGTCTGTGAGATTACACACTTTAATGGAGTTTATTAAATTTATTTTGCAATTACTGAGGAGATGAAATTCACTGTGCAGTTCCAGAGGGCAAAACAAGGACTGGTTGGTGGAATCCACCAGGAGACAGCTTGGAATTCAAAGGGAAGAAGAACTTTCTGATGGTCAGAGCCACTCAGCATGGAGTGAGCCATCCCAGGGCAGGGTGAGGCCAGCAGGGCTCAGGCCTGAGGTCACTGTTGGGGGAGCCAGTGAAATATAAGAGCTTTGAGTCAAGCTTGGGTCCATTTTCTGACTCCCCACTTCCAGGGGGATCGGGCAACTGAGTTCACTTTTGTAAGCCTCTAGGCTCCCTGGGTAAGATGGTAACAGCTGTGCTGGCACAGAGCGATGCTCCATGAGGGGTTATGCTGTTATTTCATTACTCAGAGGTAGGCGGAAACTTCCCTCACTCATAGTTTCCCTGGGGAGAGATTTCCCCCAGACACCACTGCCCTCCACCTCCCACCAAAAGGTCGTGAGTTTGAGGAAGAGCAGGACAAGCTCACTGCTCATTCTCTGGAGCCCAGCTGCCCAGAGAGCTCACGTCTGCTCTGCTCTTCCACCACCAGAGGTTTTGTAGCAACAGCCCCAATATCCTGACCACAGGGGAGCCTGGAGGGAGGTCAACACACATCTGATGGTGAGTTCCTCCCTGTCTGGTCCTAGGGTCTGCAGGGGAGGTCCACATGCCCTCAAGGGTGAGCCCCTTTCTCCAACGTCAGCTCTATCTCCATTGGCCACATCCTACCTCCTCTGGGTTTGTCTAGAATAAGGGCCCCCAGTGCTTTTCCAGGCCTAAAGCCCCAGCATGCATTATTGTCACAGGGGCTGTGAGCTTGGGACACCCACTTATGACACAGCCAACATCAGGTCTCTATTCCTAGAACATCCTCTCCACTAAAGCAAGAACCACAAGATGAATCTTCCTCACTGTTTCTCCAGCCACCACAAAGTGCCAGGCACACTCATAGATGTTCAATAAATACTGCTGAGCATGTTAATTTTACCACCATCACAGGGATATGAGTAAAGGCTCTGGGAGCACAGACTAGGGGCACATAACACATGTGGCAGGGAGAGGGAGCATTGGGGAGGACTTCCTGGGACAGTGACTCCTGAGCTGAAGCTTCAAGGGGAAGCAGAGAGAAACTGGTCAAGGCAGAGGTGACAGTGAGACCAAGTGTGTCAGGAACTAGAGGGCATCTCAGAGTCAAGTGTAATACAGGAAATAACCAGAGATGAGGTTGAAGAGTCAGCAGGGGCCACATGGTAAAGAACCTTGAAAGCCAAACCACAGTTTGGCACATCCTTGGGGCCACTAGAGCATCATTTCCCTCCTAACATTCATGGAATGTCTACTATGCACCAGGCACTGTCAAAGGCGCTTACCTGCATTAACTCATTCATACCTAACAAGAAGCCTGGGAGGTAGAAGTCAGTATCCCCTCCACTAGCAGATGTAGAAACTGAGGCAGAGGGAGATGAAGTAAATCACTAATGTCCATGCAGCCTACCGAGTGGTAGAACTGTATTTATGTGTGAACCCAGGTGTGCACATTCTGGAACCCAAGCTGTTGGCCACTATGCTGTTCTTCAGCAGGAGTAATACAAGAGTCAGGCTTTATTTCAGAAATGGTGCTCTGGGGGCCAGTGTGGGAACCTGATTTGAGGTCAAAAGAGTTGAGCTCAGTGAGACATTCAGAAGTGAGTGATTATCATCCAAAGAAGGGTGACAAGTGGATCAGCCCTAACTGCAGAACATCATTGTGGCAGCCTCTCTTACACCACAGCAATGAGATTCCCAACATTTCAATGAGTCAAAACCTCAGGTCAAGCCTCTTAGTCCCATGGGTTCAAGATTCTCTTGGTTGTTCATACAGCAAAATGACCAGGATACAATTGCAAATCACCTGTCATACCAATACCTTCACAATTTAAATGAGCAAAGACAATCAACTGATGGCAAACTCCGAGGTGAGTCAGATCCTGAAATTATCCGACAATAATTTTACAGCAGCCACCATAAAATGCTTCCACAATCAATTACACGTTGTCCTGAAATGAATGGAAAAACAGGAGGTCTCAGCAAAGAAATAAAAGTTACAAAAATAATCCAGAAGGAAATTATAGAACTGAAAAATGCAGTTACAGAAATTTTACAAACTTGCTGGATAGTAGAGTGGAGATGATAGAATAGAATTAGTGAACTTGAGGATAAAACAATAGAATTTTCCCAACCTGAACAACAAAGAGAATATAGAAGGAAGAGCCTCAGGAACCTATGGGACAATAAGAAAAGATCCAACATTCATACAATCAGAAGCCAAGAAAAGGAGAAAGAGAATAAAGGGCTGAAACTATTAGAAGACATATGACTGACAATTTTTCAAACCAGGTGAAAGAAACAAATCTATAGATCCAAGAAACTAATCAAATACCACAGAAGATAAACAGAAAAAAATCATGCCAAGACACATGATAGTAAAACTTTAAAACTCAGGACAAAGAAAAAAGTCTTGGAAGCAGCCAAAGAGAAACCACAAATTACCAAATTACCTAAAGGGGAACACCTATTTAAATAACAGGAGGTTTCTCATTTGAAAACTATAGAAGCCAGAAAGAAGTGGCACAATATTTTTCAAGTGCTGAAAAAAATCAATCACAAATTCTGTATCTGATGAAACCATCCTTAGGAAATGGGAAGGGAATAAAAACATTCTCAAACAAAGGGAAATTTTAAAGTTTGCCACTAGCAGTTTTATATTTAAAAATTGGCTATGAGGAAGTTCTTCAAACAGAAAGGAAATAGTAAAAGAAGAAGTCTTGGAGCATTATTAAGGAAGAAGAAACAACAGAAAAAGCAGAAATATGGGTACATAAATAGACTATTATTTTTGTCTATTTATGTAGACAAAATATGACATATTTTATTATTGAAAGAAAAATTATGACACCATCTGATACCCAAGACAATATTTGAGAGTGGAGAAGGTAAAGAATCTTTGGTTAAGAATCTAAATACAAGGAAGGCAGGTATCCATACTTCACTTGAAGAGGTAAAATGTTGATACCAGTAGAAAACTATAAGTCTCATAAGTATATATTGTCACAACCAGAACAACCACTACAAAAACTCTACCAATAGATATATTTAAAAATATTATAAATAAATCAATATAGAATCCTAACAAATGTTCATGCAATCTTCGGAAAGACAATAAAGTAAAAACAGAGGAATGAAAACTAAATATATAGCAGGAAGCAAATAATAAAGGGGTAAATTTAAGTATTAACATCAAAAATTACATTAAATGTTAAAGGTATAAATACAGCAATCAAAAGACAGAGATTGGAAGAGTGGATAAAAAAACACAACCAAATTATAGACTGCTTATAATAAACCCACCTCAAATTCAATGACATAGACAGTTTGAAAGATATACTATGTAAAAATTATCTTTTTAAAAAAACCTGATAAAGTAGACTTCAGCACAAAGACTATTACTAGAGACAAAACAGAACATTACACAATGATAAAAGGACCAGTCCACCAGGAAGATATAAAATCCCCTCAATATGTGCACACCAAACAACAGAGTTTTAAAATCCATAAAACAAAATTGATAAAGCTGACAGAACAGACAAATCCACAATTGTAGCTGGACACTTCAAACCATACATCTCTCAGCAACTGAAAGAACTACTAGACAGAAAATTAGCAAAGATATAGAAGATCTGAACAACAAAATCAACCAGCAAAATCTAATTGACACATATGGGAGAAAAATGTGGTTTTTTTATCCACTCTTCCAATCTCTGCCAACAACACCAGAATACATACTCTTTCAAGCAACCACAGACCATTCATTAAGATAAATTATATACTGGGCTATGAGACAAACATCAAAAAATATAAATGAATTGAAATTATACAGGATATTCTCTGATTATAACAGAACCAAAGTAGAAATCAATAATGGAAAGACAACTGGAAGACCCCTAAACATGTAGAAATTAAACAACACATCTCTTTAAAAATCCATGGGTCAAAAAGAAGGTCTTAAAGGGAATGTTTAAAAAATACATAAAACTGAATGGAAACAAAAATACATCGTATCAAAAATGTATACGATGCAGCCAAAATAGTGCTGAAAGAAAAAAAATTATAGTATTAAATGCCTATGTTAGAAACAAGGAAAGATCTCAGATCAATAATCTAAGTTCTTACCTCAAGACACTAGAAAAAGAAGAGTAAAATAAAGCCAATGCAAGCAGAATTAAGGAAATAACGAAAAGAGCAAAAAATCAATGAAATTGAAAATAGGAAAACAATAAGTAAAATCAATGAAACAAAAAAAGCTGGCTCTTTAAAAAAAATGATAAGATTGATAAACCTTCAGCAAATAAGAAGATACAAGAAAAAAAAACAGGAGACACAAATCACTAATATTGGGGATGAAATAGGGAATATCACTATAGACCATGCAGCTATTAAAAGGATAATAAGAGATTGTATGAACAACCTTATGCTCATAAAATAGAAGAATTGGACCAAATTCTCAAAAACCATAAACTACTAAAGGCAAGCCAAGATAAAATGGGTAATCTGAATAACCCTATAGCCATCAAACAAATTAAATTCATAATGTTTAAAATTTCTGAAAAAGAAATTTTTCAGCCTAAGTGGTTTCACTGGAGACTTCTACCAAATTTTTGAAGAGGAATAAACACCAATATTATACAATTTCTTCAGGAAAATAAATAACATCTATACAAAACCACAGGTGACAAATTATTTAGTGGTCAAATGCTGTATGATTAGCAACAAAAAATACAAAAGATTAGGAAAAATGCAAGGATATGCCTGCTCTCATTTATCTTATTTGACATTGTACTAGAATTTATAGCCACTGCATTAAGGTAAGAAAAACAGATAAAAGGTATATAGTTTGTAAAAGAAGAAATAAAACTATCTCTATTTGCAGATGACACAGTTATCTACATAGAAAATCTCAAAGAATCTAGAAAATATCTCCCAGAGCTAGTAAATGTGTTCAGTAAGTTCTCAGGTTGCGGAGTTAACACACAAAAATTAAGCGTATTTCTCCAAGCTAACAAAATATGCAGAAATCAAATTTTAAAACACAATACCATTTACAGTCACACTAAAGAAAATAATATACTTAGCTATACACTTAACGAAATACATATGGAATCTATATACTGAAAAATATAAAATATTTACAAGAGAAATTTTAAAAGACCGTGTTCATGGTTTTGAGTATTCAACTTAGTAAAGATGTCAGTTCTTACCAAATTGATATACTGGTTTAATGCAATTTGTATCAAAATCCCAGCAGACCTTTTAGTAAACATAGGCGAATTATTCATCAACTTACATGGAAAAATACATGTTCTAGAAAGTTAAATCAATTTTGACAAAGAATATGGAAGGAATCACTCTAGCTGGCATTAAGGCTTACTATTCAACGACATTAATCAAGACACCGTGGTACTAAAAGAGGGATACATACATCCATAGAAAACGAAGAAATAGACCCACACAAACATGTTCAATTGATTTTTGACAAAGGTACAAAGGCCATTCTATGGGGGAAGTTAATCTTATTCACCAAATGGTGCTAGAGCAATTACACATCCATAAGCAAAAGAGGAATCTCAGCACACTTTCTATATAACTAAAAATGAATAACATACATAAATGATAAATGTAAAGCACAAAACCATAAAACTTTTTAGAAGAAAATGTAGGAAAAATCTTCATGACCTAGGGCAAAGAGTCCTTTTTGTTTGTTTTTGTTTCTGAGATGGAGTCTCACTCTCTCTCCCAGGCTGGAGTGCAGTGGTTCGATCTCAGCTCACAGAAACCTTTGCCTCCCAGGTTCAAGTCGTTCCCCTGCCTCAGCCTCCAGAGTAGCTGGAATTACAGGCACCTGCCACCACACCTGGCTAATTTTTGTATATTTAGTAGAGACGGGGTTTCACCATGTTGGCCAGGCTGGTCTCAAACTCCTGACCTCAAGTGAGCCACTCGCCTCAGCCTCCCAAAGTGCTGGGATTACAGGCATGAGCCACAGCACCCAGCTAGAATTCTTAAACACCAAAAGTGTGACCCATAGCAGAAAATAAATTGATAAAGTAGACCTCATTGGAATTTAAAACTGCTTTTGTGAAAGCCTATGTGAGGAGGATTCCTCTGACCATGTAAAAACAGACTTTGTCATGAGGAAGCAGACTTGAGAGACACAAAGTGTCTCCCAAGCAGGGACAGCAGGACTCTCCAGGAAAGGATTCATGGAACTTGATCCAAGCAAGAAGGAAGAGGAAGAATGAAACCTTCTCCCAAGCCACACCTGGACAAGGGTTTTCTTTCAGTTGCTTAACGGAGAAACATTGGAGATGTATGTAGAAACTTCATTATCTCATTCATTAATTAATTCATTCACTCATCTGTTCATGCATCATGTATTTATTGGATACCTCTATATGCCTCATACTTTCCTATGTGCTGGGACCAGAAATGGACAAGATAGACAAAGCCTGTTTGTTCCATATGGGATATGTGGTCCCTTTATTCCCCATTGCAGTGGAAGAGAAGAATGGAGTTGTCACATCTACTCGTAACTGCCTCAGGCCAGAAATAATTCATGTTACTTCTGCTCACAGTCCATTGACCATTACTAGTCACATGAGGACAACTTATCTGCAAAGAATGCTGGGAATTATAGGGACATTTGGTGTCTACTGTTTTGGGGCACAAGTTCCATTGAATATCATTCAAACTGAATCGCCCTTATGGGAAATTGTCTAATTGTCTACAATTTTCCTCTCACAGATTGACTTCATCTTTCTCAAAAAATTCTTCAAACAAGTTCATAAATCTATGAGTCAAGAAGCCACTGCAGGTAACACTACATACAGATATATGGATGGGGGAAGGACCACATGATACAGTCAAGATTTTCTCAGCAAGAGTCAAATCAGAAAAACAACTCCTTGGAGATTTTTGCCTCACATGGTTTAACTTTTCCTCTGGGTGACAGATAACTTGAACACCACCTTCTCCTGGATGTGACAGGAAGGGAAAGGAGAAACAAGATTGGGGTAAAGGCCAGAGTCTCCAAATAGAGCCTCATTAATGGGAAAGAGCGGGTGTTAGCTCTGAGTGAAGTGTTGGATGACAGTGACTGAGTGGCCAGGCTTGGAGCCTGCATTAAATGTGACAGCAAGCAAACCAGAAGACACGGCCAATCCATCACATCGCCTTACCTGAGGGGTGTTTACGTCTCTGGGTTACCAGGATCAACTTCCCAGGAGGCTTCAAGAGCCAGGAAATCAAAGGTCACAGAGTCATGGGCCTGGAAAAGACCCCAGAGCAGTTTCCATAATTTAACACTGGCGCGTGCTCCTGCAAAGCTCCCTTTGATTGCATTACTGCACTTCAGCCTGGGTGCAGTGAGACGGAGACCCTGTCTCAAAAGGAAAAAGAAAAATCCAAGTGGGGAGTAAAATGGGTTGTACTGAAAAACACAGGCTCTGGAATAGTTAAACCAATCTTGACAAGGAAAAAAATGGGAGGAATCACTCTATCTGATGTGAAGGCCTACTGCGCAGCTACATTAGTCAAGATACTGTGGTATTGGTGGGTACCCTCCAAAAAGATACGTTGAAGCTCTAATCCCTGGGATTTGTGAATGTGACCTTATTTGGAAATTGGGTCTTTGCAGATATAATCAAGTTTAGACAAGGTTACTAGTGTGGGCCCTAATCCAATAAGGCAGGTGTCCTTGTAACAAAAGGGAAATTTTGACAAAGGGACACACAGGGAGAATGCCGTGTGAAGAAGGAAGCAGAAAGAGGAATGATGCATCTGCAAAGCTGAGGAACGCCCAGGAGAGCCAGAAGCTGGAAGAGGCAAGAAAGGATCCTCCCCTGGAGGATTCGGAGGGAGCATGGCCCTACCAATGCCTTGGTTTTGGACTTCTGACCTCCAGAACTGTGAGACAATGCATTGCTTGGTTTTAAGCCACTCAGTTTGTGGTACGTTGCTACCTCAGCCCTTGGAAACTATTACAGGGGTTTTTGTCCCCAGTCGTTAGAAGGGTAAACTGAGCCCCAGATGGGAAATGTCTGCCCAAGTCTACGCAGCCGTAAGTGGAGGAGCGGGCTGAGTTACCAGGCCTCTGGCTTCCAGGTGGCCACCATCCCTCTCAGAGTGAATCAGTAGAACTGTGGGCTCCTCCAAGACCCCGGAGGAGAAATGATCCCTGCCAGAGCTTTCTTCACCGTGAGGAAGGGACCTGTTTTCCCCTTCCAGATGTAAAGAGGAATTTTAGGCCAGTTTTGAGGCTGACACCTCGTTGGCTCCTGAAGGCAGTTGGGCGAATTCAAGGCTGAGAGAGGTGGAGGCCCCTCCACGGTCCTCACCAGGACCATGCTCAGGGACCTCAGCTCTCCTGCCAAATGTGTCTCATGTTGGGCCCCTTCATCTTCCCCATATCCACTGCCCCATTTAGGCCATTATCCCCTGCCTTCTGGACAGGCGTCAGAGCCTCCGCACCGGCCACCCACCAACCCCTCCTTCAGCAGGCACTTGCCAAGCACCTACTGTGTACCAGGGCCCATGCCTGGTGCTGAGGCCAGGGTGGACAGCACAGAAGTTACTGCTGTGGATTTCACTTCATTTACTGTGAAATGAGACACAGCAAATGAACCCATGACACAAGACAACACATTCCAGGCAGAAGGTGAGGGGAACTCAGAGCTGGGATATCTGTAGTTGGAAAGTCCTGGGCATGGTCACGAAACACCCAGAAGCTTGGTCAGGCTGCAGCAGGATGAGGAGGGCGTAGGAGGTCCGAGAGATGGTGGACAGATCAGGTAAAGGCCTTGGAGGCCTCAGGAGGGCCCTTAGATTCCATGTGGGTGTGAGGGTGAGAAGAAAGCAAGGTGACCTGAGGGTTGAGGAGGAGTGAGGTGACCTGAGGATGGAGGGGGAGTGAGGTGACCCTGGGGTTGAGGGGGAGTGAGGTGACATGGGGATTGAAGGAGACTGAGGTGACCTGGGGATGGAGGGGGAGTGAGGTGACCTGGGGGTGGAGGGGCGTGAGGTGACCTGGGGATTGAAGGAGAGTGAAGTGACCTGGGGATTGAAGGAGAGTGAGGTGACCTAGGGGTGGAGGGGGAGTGAGGTGACCTGGGGGTGGAGGGGGAGTGAGGTGACCTGGGGTTGGAGGGGGCTGAGGTGACCTGGGGATTGAAGGAGAGTGAGGTGACCTGGGGGTGGAGGGGGAGTGAGGTGACCTGGGGGTTGGGGGTAGTGAGGTGGCCTGAGAATTGAGTGGAGAGTGAGTTAATCTGAGGGTGGTGGGAGAGTGAGGTGACCTGTAGCTTTGTCTTGGGAGTAAGGAGTCCTAAAGTTTGAGGTGTAAAGGACAGGACAGCTATTGGGACCACCTCTCAAGACCCCATTACAGGTTCTCACAGTTGCACCCAAGAGGTGTATTCGCTGTTCCTGACCACATTTTCTATCCTCCTGTCTTCAGAACGCCCTCCCTATGTGTCAGGGTTGGTGACTTTCTTCCTATGGGGACCTTCTTGGGTTGTCTTCCCTCTCCCACGCGCCACCTTTTGCAGTGGGCCCCACAGTCATTCTGAGCATCTCTGTGCATCGCAGCCACAGGTTGGAGTTTGGAATTCGAACTTTAACAGGTAAACTTTAACAGGTGCTCATGATAGAGCTCGCTTTTGTGCCTGGACATGAGGAGAAATCGGGTCTGCAGAGAGAGATGGGGGTGGGAGGGGGAAGTGGGAGAGTCAAGGAAAGAGAGAGGAATCCTGATGTGAGAGGACCCCAGTGCTGCTCACACCATAGCCTTCTCTGTTCTGGGCTCCACTTGCAGTCCTGCCTTTGGATTTGGTGAGGCCACCCGGGTCCGGAGTCCCACTCTGGTATAGGTTAGCTGGAGTGGATCTCTAAGGCCTGGCACAAAGGGAACTCCACTGACCGTGACTTCCCACCCCATCTTTCAGGTCCCATCGCAGCTGCTGCAGCCTCCTGGGGCCCACCTCGACCTTTCACCCATTGGGCCTCTCCAGCCACCTCTGAACTCAACACCTCGAACCTTTCCTACCATCCTGGTGTGAAATCATGGTTATTTGTCCACGTATCTCCTCATTCCCAGCAGATTGTGTCCTCCCGAGGGTAATGAATTCTGCTTGCTCATTTCTGCATCAAACCCCAGCCCCTTGCAGTACAGCAGGCCCTCAGTGAGGGTTCAGTGCACCCACAGTTAATCCTAATTAACTGAGCACTGGACCCTGCCAGGCATTTGCATTCCACTCCCTTGTTGTCTCTTGATCCTCTTCAGCACTCTATTGTTGGAACACTCACTCTCAAGTCCAAGGCCCCAGGTTCAAATCTCAGGCCAGCCACTGACAAGCTTGAGAAAGGTATCAAACCTCTCTGGCCTCAGTTTCCTGATCCATAAAATGGAGGCAATAATACTGCCTACCTGATCACATTGTTGGAGGATTAGATGGATTACATAGACCAAGGGTATTAGCACCATACCTGGAGCGCTATGATGATCATATAAATGCAACCTCCACTTGCTCCCTCTTCCACTGGTAACAGCTCCTCTCGTTTTTATGAGGACCCACTACCATCCTTTCCCAGAACAACTGTTATTTCAGTGTTATTGGTCCCACCCTCAGTTTCAAGAGTGGGCATATAACCTGGCCTGGCCAGTGAGACTTTATTCTGGGATTCTCATGGAATTATGGGGCACGCAAAGTGCTCTTCTTCTGCTGAAGCTACTGGGGCCTCCAGGAGGAGAGGAGCTGCCTGGAAGTAATGTCCAGTCAGAGGAAAACAGAACCAAGAGATAGGATGTGATGGATGCCTGACAACCTCACCTGAGCACTTGAATCCAGCCATACCTGAATTCCCTTGAACTTCTCAGTAACATGATTCTATAAATTTTCTGTTCTGGCTTAAGCCAATTTGAGTTTCTGTCCTTCGTCAGAGAAATGGGCCCAATTAAAACAATTATTGTACACATTTCCTCTACACTACCGAGAAATAACTTGCCTGTAGTCACACACCATTCAGTTACTGCCCAGGGATTCAAGCCCAGATCCGGCTGCCTCTAATGATAATGGTCTCGGGGAGTGCTTTAGGAGTTGGAGGCCGAGAGAGGTGAAGTGACAGACCCCGTTGAGGGTCAGGGAAAGAGGAGCTCAAGATGCAATTTGCAGGGTCTGAAACCACTCGCTGTGGCAACCTAATTTGAGGTGGCCCATGTTATAGGCAATCTCCACAATTTCCTGGAATCCTCCCTGCTCACCTCCTAGAGCCAGTCTGACCATGACAGCTCCATTATCAGGCCTCGCAGGACTGACATATTGCTGCACCCAACTGCTAGAGCAGTCAAAGAGGCGGGGGGAGAAGCAATTTCCCATCACTTCCTGGGGAACAGCCTGTCAGCTGCCACCAGGGCTGTCTGGTGGGGAGCAGGGGGTCTGTGGGAGGCTAACGGCTCCACATAAGCCTTGACAAGTATCATTCCCCAGAGCAGCAGGTGAGTCATGAATAGAGCTCCCAGCTGGAGAAGTGGCCTCATCTCCACCAACTTCCTCGGAGTTTGGTCTGAAATTTGTTTGAACCAGTGCAAGTGTGGGGAGACCTCCGGGTGCTATGGGATCCTCCTGCTGTAACAGCCAGAATCCACCAACAAAAGGCCCTTCTAGACCAATCTTTGCTCATGGACTGAGGCTTAAAGGTCAAGAGAAAACAGATGTCTCTCCTTCCACACAGAGTGGAGGGCAGGGATCAAGTCCAGCTCATTGTCAGGTCCCATGGCCAAGTGCAGTACTGGCACATTGTAGGGGTCTATTATTTTATATATATATTTAATCAATGAGGCCCTTAGAAATCATGGCCTCATTTTATGGTTAGGAAAAGTGAGTTTTACTGAAAATGTGTTGCTCTTTTGCAGTCTGATCTTGGAGTAGCCACCAGTGAGTTGGTTCAATCTGAGGTTCCCTGAGGCTTCTTTCAACCCTGAATTGCTTTGATGATCACCTGCCCAAGACACATGGCTGAGGATGGGCAGAGTCAGGAGAGAAATCTGAGTCTTCTGACCACAGACTGCCTGTTTGCCCTCCCACGCCAAGCAGCGCCTGGTCACTCACTGCCTTCACAGAGCTTATAATTTACCCAAGAATTGTGCACACACAGTGTGATAGCCAGGACTTTTAGACTGCAAGTGACAGAAACATGATGTAAGCCAGGTAAGAAATGCATTGTCTCTTATAACCAATCCTGGGAAGGGCTGTGTATTAGTCTGTCCTCACACTGCTGATAAAGACATACCTGAGACTGAGTAATTTACAAAGAAAAAGAGGTTTAATGGACTCACAGTTCCACATGGCTGGGGAGGCCTCACAATCATGGGGGAAGACAAAGGAGGAGAAAGGCGTGTCTTACATGGTGGCAGGCAAAAGGGCTTGTGCAGGGGAACTCCCATTTATAAAACCACCAGATCTCATGAGACTTAATCACTACCACAAGAACAGTATTGGGGAAACCATCACATGATTGAATTATCTCCACCTGGCCCTGCCCTTGACATGTGGGGATTATTACAATTCAAGGTGAGATTTGGGTGGGGACGTAGCCAAGCCATATCAGGCTGGAACACTGGGTCTCTCTCTCTCTCTCTGTCTCTCTCTCTGTCTCTCTCTCTCTCTCTCTCTCTTTCTCTCCCCCTCCTTCCCTCCATCCCTTCCTCCCTCCCTCAAGTTTGCTTGCTTCCTCCTTCAGAAACAAATTGCCTCCTTAGTGTCCACTGCCTCCTCCTCTACCACAAATGGCATCTTCCACAGCTCAAGCTGAGAGCCACAGGTCATGAGCCATGGGTCATACCTCAGGGTCCTCCTTCCTGGAGTCACATCAGAGAGGTGGGAGCTGCCCACCCTGGGTTCTGATGTGGAAGCTCCCAGGGAAGGTCTCTCATGACCCTGTCCTGGAAGGTGAATGGCAGCTACCGCTAGGATCACATAGATGGAGTTTGGGGGGTCAGGAGAGGGGTTGGCATTGCCTCAAACAAGAGGCTTTTCCCAGAACTGATGGACTGCCTGGACGGACAGAGCAATAGGCATCCTCTGTGTTGGGGGAGACAATTGAAGAGTGGCCCTTGGCGATGCAATCTGAATGTGTGATGCAGCCCATGGATTTGGAAGGAGGAGAGACATCTGGAGTCGTCCTCACTCCTTTGTTCCCTCCCAGGAGTCCCATTTAATTCATCCTGTGAATCTCTTTCTGCCTCTGCCCTGGCTGGCCCCTGTGTAAGGGCAGGATAAGGTCTCTCCATGAAGGGGACCACAGTCCAGAGGGCAAAAGACCTGTCAGTCAATGGTGGGACAAGGTGACCCACGGGTCATGAAGGTCCATTAGAGACCTGCAGAGTGTAGCAGGGGGAGAGGTGGGGTGCTCCGAGGAGCTGATGCTCTAGCGAATCCTGGGGATGCTGCCTGGAGGAGGAGGTTCTGAGGGGCACCCCTGAAGGAAGGGGAAATTTGTGAATCAGAGAGAAGCAAGAAAAGCAAAAACATTCTAGGGGTGAGTGTGGCTGTATGTGCACATATGATTGCATGCAGTGTGTGTGTGTGTGTGTGTGTGTGTGTGTGTGTGTGTGTGTGTGTGTTTCAGGAACTGGTACTGTTGACCTTGTGGAGACAGAAATGAGACTGGGTGATTTCCAGGGACCCATTAGGTTCTCATGACAATCCTGAGAGGGAGGCGCAACTAGATCCACCACTGTACAGATGAGGGAACCGAGGCCCAGAGAGGTGGGGCCATCTGCCCAAAGTCACACAGTGGCAGAGCAGGATCTCACCCAGGTCTATCCAGCTCTTTCCAGTCCCTACACTGCCCACCCTCACCCCAGCTGGTCCAGGGAAGTCTGGTGCCCGCTCTGCAGAGAGGCCTGGAGTAGGCAGCTACTGTATGGGGCTGGAGGCTCTGCAGATAGGGACCTCTCCCAGGGGCCTCAGTTGAACTGTCGTAAAGGGCCAAGGAAGATGACCTAAGGACCAGCTCCCAGCAGAGAAGCACAAGGCTGGAGTTAGTACAGCATGCCCGCATGTAAGCCCTGATCGCAGACTCTACCCTGGAGAGGTATAAGGCACCACTGATGATCAAGTCCCAAGGTCAGCAGGCAGCCTGTGGGGAATCCCCATGCAGTCACCATGGGCCATCAGTGCGGAGATGGGAGCGGGTGAATGGAGGAGCTGGAGTCTGTGCTGAGGTCTGGACGAGACAGGGCAACCGTAAGTCCCACTTGGCCTGAGACAGTCCCAGTTTCTGCCTGTAGCCTCAGTGTAGTTAACAGCAGTGTCGCCTTGCACTCTCAGATGTCCTGGTTTGGACAGTAATTATAGGGTCATCCTAAGGTGAGGATATTCTCTAAAGAAGAGGGGAACTAACACTGACTGCATTCCTACCAATGCCCAGGGGCCTTGACACAATTTCCCTCATTTAAGCCTCACAACAACCCTAAATCCTAGATGCCTCTTCCTGCACATCCAAGGTCAGAGGGCAGGGAATAGACATTCAAAGAAAGATCTGTGGCTTTGTCCAAGTCCACCTTTCAGGTGCTAACATGTGCAGCGGGATGAAAGAGAACTCTCCACAGTGCCTGGGGCCAGCTCCAGCAGGAGGAGCCGGCAGGAGAGAAATCTTTAGAGTGTTCTCTTTAGCTTACCAGCCAGATAGGGAAAGAATTTTATCATGTATGGGGAAAAAATAACAAGTCATAATCATAATCATCCACTTTCAACAGTGTTTTATAATACTAAAGGGTAGAAACTCAAAATAGATGGCCCTTTGTTCAGCCAGACAGAGGAAAGGCCTGGATCTGCAAGCTCAGGCCCTGAGCTTAGTGTGGAGAGACAGCAGCCCAAGGAAACAGGGGGATAAAATTGAGCAGCATCAAGAAACCACAGGGAGGAGAATCCGACAATCTGAAGCCCCAGGGAACTGCAGACTCTAGGGAGACCTCCGGCCACCCCACAGCACACAGGGCAGGGGCTCAGGCTGGTTTAAATGCTGTTAAAGGTAAGGAGTTTGGAGGACTTGGGGGCCCTCGCTGGTGACACTGGGGCCTGGGTGCCTGGTGAATCTGCAAGAGGGGGCTCAGCCTGCGATGTTAAGGTGGCAGGTGGGATTTTACTCCCAGCTCCTTCCCCACTCCCCCTGTCATGTGACCTTGCAGAGCACCGGGTGGAGCAAAACGCATTTCCCTGTCCCTCTGATGTTGGGTGCTGTGACGTGTCTCTTGCTGACCCATGGGACACAAGCAACAGCTCCCAGTTGTCCGCTGGGGCCTGAGGAGGCTTCCCCTGCTTCCCCATGTGCCCCCTTTACATTTTGGCTGGGAGAGATCATGAGAAGAACATGGAGCCGCTGGCTCAGAACAGGCCTAAGGAGCAGCCCCAGAACCCACGGAAGCCTGAAGCAGAGCCCCCCACCCTAGGCCATGGGCCATGGACTCATGAGACAGAAAGAGAAGCATTTGCTTCTAAAAGCCCCGAGACATTCAGCTTGTTACAGAGAACAAGTCAAAAAGAAAGATGAAAATCTAATACAGTCACCCAAGCAGATTTCAGCATGGAATCCTTTTTTGGGAAGCACCTGTCAGCATCTTTTAGAACGCAGCATCCCTCAGAGCCTGCTGCTCTGGGCAGCACAGATTATCCTCCTTCCCAGCCTGCAAAAAATAAAGGGACCACATTGGCAACAGGGGAGAGACCTCTGCCCACCCAGATGCTGCAGATCCTCATCTCTTGCTCCACCTCCCTAGTTACTCCAAGCACACATAGTGGGCACCCACATGCTCAGGTGTCATCCTCAGCCATCCTCTCTGCCCTCTTTGTGGACTGCCCACCCCAACAGGCCATCAGTAGGGCCTCCTGCCTCTGCCACCGGTGCTGGTGTCCTGGATCCTGCACCTCTGCTGAGGGCTGGGCATGGAATTTCTGCACTGTGCTCATCCTAAAACCCTAGAAGGCCCAGGCTATGCTGGATCCGTGGCCTGCTCTGGGGAGAATGTCCCACCTCTTGACCCTGGGTTATACCTGGCCCCCTAAGCAGCACTGCCTGAGTCCTGAGCCTCACACAGAGCCTCCTGAATATGGCAATGCTTCGGGCCTGCACACTTCTCCCCTGGAAACTGGAAACCCCGCCCTGAGGTAGGGGATGGAAGGAGCCTGGTGCATGCGTCCCCTTCCTCAGAATCATTTTTGTTTTTATCCCCAGGTGCCTGTTTTCTAAAATAAAGCCCTCTCTTCTCCTGTAACCCATTGCATTTAACTCACGCCAATAGACACTTATGGGAGGAATGACACCTTATGCTGCATACCACAAGAACCTAAGCCACCCTCCAAACCACAGGGGTCATTCTGGAAACCAAGGCATATCTGTGAACAGGCAGGGTGTTCAGCATCAGAGAGGGGAGCAGGGGCTTCTCCGTGAGCCAGGAGGCAGGAAGAGACCTGCCCGAAGCTCAGCAGGACAGGGCCAGGCACAGCCGGGTAGCTGCTGGAAACACAGACAGGACCCGCTACTGGCCCAGCTCCCGATATGGCAGACCACGATCTCATCCACTGCTCACAGCAGCCCCGTGAGGCAAGCATCATGACCCAAGGTGTACATGGGGAAACTGAGGTTCAGAGGTTTCTCTGTATGAGAAACAAAGGCTCAGAGAGGTTAGGCAGCCTGCCCAAGGACACACAGCATCAGCAGGTACTCCTGACTGGGGAGCACTGAGTTCACCTCTCCTTCGACAGACAGGGGAGCTTCCCCCCACTCCCTACCTGGAGCCCATAGACCTTTGATAATGCCAGGGCTGCCTCTGAGTCTCAACTCACCCCTTGATTTCTTGCACCCCACACTGTACACTAGGCTTCCTGTTTTACACCTATCATCTCATCTCATTTTTACAATGGCCCCATCTTATTAATTGTTCAGAGAGGTTTGGTGACTTGGCCAAGGTCCCACAAGAAGTGGAAAGTACAGGACTTGTGCTTTGATTTTTTTTCCCATTGCACCAGACAAGGTGACTCACCCCCCGCCCCCCTTGGGTTGGCAAGGTGTTCTTTCCAGAATAACTGCCAAGATCCCCCTCCCTGCCTGCCCCAAACCATGACCAACTCTCCTTTGGAACTGGCCATCCAATCAGAGGTTCCCAGGCTTCCCTGTTTATATCAGCAGTAAATATGAGGCTGGGGAGAGAGAAAAGCCAGCCCACCATGGAGAGAGGGAGCAAACACAAGAGGGATGGGGTAAGAGAGGCCAGCTGCAGAGAGAGAAGAGTGGAGAGAGGAGAGAGTCACACAGAGAGGGGGGAACAAAACCAAGGAGAACAAGACACCAAGAGGATAACAGAGGCAGCAAAATACATTAAAAAAAACACAAAACACATACACGTGTGTGCACACGAACACACATGGACGAGAAAGAGAACCTTTGGGAAAGGCTCTAAAAATGAGTGTGATGGAGGCACCCACCCAGGGAGTGAGAAACACACACACACACACACACACACACACACACACACACCACGCAGAGCCCCGACGCAAACCCTGACAGAGATGGAGGGAGACAGATACAATTCAGACAGACGGTGGGGAAAAATGGAGTGTAGAGCAGAGAGGGAAAAAAGACACAGATAGCAAGACAGAAAAAAGATAGGGAGAGATTAATATACACACAAATTGCGATGGGGAGAGGAAGCAGAGAAGCCATAGACGCTGGAGCATCAGGGCTGGGAGCTCGCACCTTCCCCTCCCCACCTCCCGCTCCGCTTCATCACCAACTGCCTCTGCTCACAGCAGCCTGAAATGTAAGCCCTGAGTGGAGAAGTTAATTCTCCCAAGTCCAGCCGCCAAGACGCACTCTGCATTCCACCCGCGTGCCCTTAGTGACACAGAGGCGGAGGGGGATCCATCTGCACCTAGCACAGGTTACTTCTCTTTTCTTAGCTTTGAACCAGATGCACTGATGGAAGGAGAGAGACCTGCCCAGCATTTGATCATCAAGCCTACGCCCAGAGCCACTTAGGCAGCTAATCGCTGAGCCATGAGCGGCCGGAGGTGGGCACAACCCAAAGCCTCTCAAGCACCCCCAGGGTGCCCACCAGGGACAAGATGCAGCCTCTGCACTAGGGACCCCCACATGGGGGGGCGACAGTCCTGGGTCCACATGACCCTTACTTGCTCCTGCCTCTGGTGAGTCTCCTGTCCTGACACCTCTAAGCCTCCACATCCATCTCTATGAAATGGGATCGTATTCCTGCAGCCGGGTCAGCTGAGTTGGAGGAGAGTTGCTGACTCCTCTTCAGTGGTGAAAGGAAATGAAGAAAAGAAATTTGTCTCATCCTGGGGAAGGCCCCAAACCTCATCCCCAGGAGGTCTGCCTGCCTGGCATTTTACAAGGCAGTGGGCCTCTTGGAGGCAGGGAGCCGAGATCAAAAGTACATCAGACATTGCACCAGACAAGGTGACTTGCCCCCCACCCCCCTTGGATTGGCAAGGTGTTCTTTCCAGAATAACTGCCAAGATCCCCCTCCCCAGTTCTCTCTTTGCCACTATTGTGGCTCTGGAGAAAAGATTAGAAAGGCAGTGCTAATTTAATTTGCCAGAATGAATAAAGATAAGACAGTGACTCAGGGTGATGAAGTGCTGGGAGCCCATAATTCACATGCCTGATAGCCCACGTTGGAGCTGATTCAGCCAGGACAGCCTCGGTTTACTGTCTCTGTCGCTGAGGAAGGCTGGCTTCCCCGCCTAGGCAGTGGGTGTGAGAGGCTTATAAATGGGCAAATGAGTTTAAGGGGAGGAAGGAGCGGAGATCTGTGGGTCCTTCTAGTGCCCATGGCTGCCACCAGGATGTGGGGAGGGAGCACTCAGATCATTCATTCATGATCACGCAGCACTCATTCACTCATTCATGATCATTTTACCAAGCAGCCCCCTGGGCCTGGAGTGGGGCATAAGTGGAGGGTGTTTTGGGATCCATCATTAAATCCAAAGGCCATCTGGCCAGGCTGCATCAGGGATACCTGGGCACCGGGATTACCTGTGTCCACGAGGGCACATGCATCACTGCACATGGGAATTTGTGTCATCAGTGAAACAGGAGTGCATTCTCAATGCCCATGGGCAGGGCTTGTTGGTGTGGGGACACCTAGATATACACAGGGCTCGCTCATCAGCATATGCAGGGCTCTGACATGCTCTGCTGCTTACTAGCTGTGTGAACTGGGGGGAGCTTTTTTTTTTTTTTTTGAGACAGAGTCTTGCTCTGTCGCTCAGGCTGGAGTGCAGTGGCACAATCTCGGCTCACTGCAAGCTCCGCCTCCCGGGTTCACGCCATTCTCCTGCCTCAGCCTCCCGAGTAGCTGGGACTACAGGCGCCCACCACCATGCCCGGCTAATTTTTTGTATTTTTAGTAGAGACGGGGTTTCACAGTGTTAGCCAGGATGGTCTCAATCTCCTGACCTCGTGATCCGCCCACCTCGGCCTCCCAAAGTGTTGAGATTACAGGCGTGAGCCACCACACCCGACCACTGGGGGGAGCTTATTACTTCTCTAAGCCTCAATGTCTGTAGAGTAAGGATAGTCATAGCACCCACTTTACAGAGTTCTGGTGAGGACTAAGAGAGTGCCTGAAAGAACCCAGCTCGGCATCCGGCCCACAGGAAGGGCTCCATGATCATGAGTTATGACCCATGTTATTTCATGATGATCATGTGAATTCTTCTTCCTGGGTGCGCGTGGAAGGTGGGCCCACTGGGCTGGTTCATGCACTTCATGGAGAGTTGCTCTTATGGCCACAGGGGAGACCTTCCTGTCACGTCCCAGGTGCTCTTTCTTCCTCCTTTGTGGCTGAGACAATGAGGGCTTGGTGCCTGGCTGGGAGGGAAGGAAAGAAGGTGGAGAGCCAGCCTCTCCTTCAGGGCCAGGAAATTTGGACTTTATGGAAAGCTGGCAGTCTGCTTTGATGGAACTGAAGGCAATTTGCAGCAACACAAAAGGGTGCATTAGAGAGGGAGGGCTGGGAGCCCCAGAAATGAGAGGCTGGAGGCTGGAAAAGAAGGGGATGAAAATGGCCCAGAGAACAGCAATTTAAATGCAACCAAAGCATGAATACTTCTGCCAGGGACCGGGGTTTCCATTCACATGGAATGAAGGACCCACGATGCAGGTGCCTTGTCTGGCTGATGGAGCAGGGGAAGGAAATCCCCACAGGGGCCAAGCCTCGGTGGGCTGGGTTTTCATTTCTTTTGTTGTGTAGTCTAAAGTAGGAACCACTGGACCTTCTTGTAATGCCTTGTGCTTGGAGCTGGGGTGCAGATTGGTGTGAAGACTCTTGGGGTTGAGGATGGAGTGGAGAGGGCAGATCTGAGTCACAGTCAATGACAGGAGGGCTCTAGTGGGAAGGAGGGAGAGGGCAGAGCTGAGTCACAGTCAATGACAGGAGGTCTCTAGTGGGAAGGAGGGGGGATTGGCAGCTCCAAAGCATGGTAGCCTGGACCTCAGGCCTCTCTCGGGCTCTCTTGTGAGCTCCCTGAACTTCCAGCGGCCCAGGCCGTCCTGGATTACAGAAATGTAGTGGAACCCCTCATCCAGGGCTCAGGTGCTCCCAGAGAATTGAGGCTAGGAATGGCCCTTGAGTTAACCCACCATATAACCTTATAGTCAGAGAGGTCTGGGGCAGCAAGGGAAGAGGGGCTGGGGGAGTTACTGTCCAAGATCACACAGTAAGTCAAGGCCTAAGCTGGACACAACCCCAGGCAGCCCACAAAGAATAAATAACTCTTTCTCTCCCATCACCTCTGTCCCCTGACCAGGGCATCATGCCTCTGGACAACATGGTACCCCAGGTCCAACTCTTAAGCTGTGTGTGGCCACTGCAGTGGAGTGCGCTGTCTCTGGGAGCACCTGTTAAAGCTCACACTGCCTGGAAGGAGTGAACCAGCCTCTCTCCCATCAGCCCAGCAGCAGGGACTCCTCTCAGACCAGGCAGAGATGCTGCAGTAATGGTGGGTGAGCCCAGCAAGGGGCCTGGAAGCAGAGCAAGCCCAGGAGGGGGCTGGACAGCAGCACCAGGGTGAGGGGTGGGTGGGAGCCTGAGTGCTGGCAGGCACAGGAAGGAGAGAGGGGCAGGGTGCTCGGGAAATGCTGTGTCCCAGGGGCCACTCTGCAGGGAAGAGCCCCTGGGTGTCGCGTGAGTGGAGGGAATTGGACCCTCCTCCAAGCACAGGATTCCATGGCCCTGGGCGGCCAGTGACCTCACTGCTCTGAGCCAGGGGTGGGGATAAGAATGCCCCCTCCCAGGACTGCAGTAGGGAGTGAGATAACCTTTACCAGGTAACATGCTCAGCCCAGCGCCTGATAGACGGGCTCCCTCCCCAGTCCCCAGTCAGGACACCCCAGGGGTCAGGACTGTGGGCTCCACAGTCCCACATCTGGGATTGGTGTCCCGCTTCACTGCCTGCTGGATGTGTGACCCCGGGCAGGTTCCTCCCCCTCCCTTAGCCTCAATTTCCTCTTTCATGAAATGATGCATTGCCCTCCAACTCTTGGTTATTCTTTGTGAAGTGTCTAACACCGGCACAGAAGACTCACCTGATCAAAGGCAGCAGGCATCACCCTGAGCTGGGGGTCTAGAGTGACCTTTTAGACAGTGAAGTCTGGACCCATGGAGGGGTTATCATTTCCACAGCTCTCATTCGCTCTGCCTGTCCCTTCCAGAATCCCAAATGTTTCAGCCATTTTCTGTGGCTGAAACAGAACATTGTAGGCTGAGTAATTTATCCACAATAGAGGTTTATTCGGTTCATGGTTCTGGAGGCTGGGGAGTCCAAGACTGAGGGGCTGCACTAGGTGAGGGCCTTTTTGCTGTGTCATAATGTGGCATAGGGCATCACATGGTGAGAGAGTGCGTGAGAGAGGGTAAGAAGGGGCTTACTTTGTTTTTATAGTAGACCCACTCCCACCATAATGACATGAATTCATTTCACATTCATCCATTAATCACTGAAAGATCACACATCTCCACACTGTTGCATGAGGGATTACGTTTCCAACACAAGGAACTTTGGGAAACACACTCAAGCCATAGCACGGTCCTCCGCTGTCCCTCTCCCGCCCTCACCATCTCGGGTCTCTCTGTCGGGCTTTGACAGAGCAGGTCTGGCCTGAACTCAGTCTGCAGAAGTAGATTCTCCATGTGCATGAAAATTGCCCATTTACTTTGAGAATCCCATAGAAATCGTTCTCCTCCTCCGCCTGCTCTTCTCCTCCACCCGTTAACGATGGGACACTGGCATGCTAGCATTCTTCCTTTCTGCCTTTATGAGCAAATATGTGATAAGAGGCTCATCGCTGACTCTTTGACAAAATGCAGCATTTTCTTTTAAGCTACATTATGTTAAGAGCAGAATTTCCTCTCTACTAGCTGATAACCTTTTCTGTTTCTTTTCTTTTAAATGAGAGCATCTCTTGTTCATTCTTGTGGAAGATCTGTTAAGGGAGATAAATTGAGAAAAGTCGTGAACTCCTGAAAAGATACAGCTTTTTAAAAAGAATTCATTTGCAGCATGAAATCTACCGAGTGAGTGTGTAAACCATGGAGTCATTACAATGTGGTGGAATTGCTTTGCTTTGAATTGAGTTGTGGCTCTGTCTGTAAGTACCTGCTCCTTTCACTGTTTCAAGCTGGGATACTCAGAGAAGCGTGCAGACCTGGCTGGGTCTGTCAGCCCTGCCTTGGCCCCGTGTGGTAATCAGGTAAACTCCCACCTGTGCCCTCTCACCTGGACGGTGGAGGAGTCTGAGGGAGGCCTCAATTCTGAATGCTCCCTGAATTCCCCATCTGCTTGAGCCCAGACCCTACTCTGGTCAACTCTGTCCCTTAGTAAAGTAACCAACCATTTCCAGTTGGCAGGGACCGAGTGCATTCTTGGTATGAGGCACTTCCAGCGCTGAAACCAGAGAAGTCCCAGGCCACGAGGATGACTTGGTCACCCTGTTCTTTGTGGCTCCTTACATTACTACCAGTGAGCCAAGACCTGTGAGGAGAGGCAGGCGAGGCCTCCATGCCCTGCCCTGAGGGACCAGCCGTGGTGCTGGTGTTCGCTGATGTGCACAGAAGAGCAGGGCTCCTTAGGGAGGCGTGGCTGGAGAAGGTGACAGAGCCTCACAGCTGGGTTCATGGGGTTCTGTCCTCTTTCTGCACTGTCTCATTTACTCCTCACAGTCAGTGTCAGGTGACAACACTGAGGCTCAGCTCGGAGGCATCACAGTGACTCATACCAGTCATCACAGTGCAGTGGCATTGTTTTGCTTTGAATGGAACTGTAGCTCTGTCTCCAAGCACCGCTTCTGCTTGTGCACCCCATCTCTGTCTCCCAGACCAGGGCACCTCCAGAGCTCAGCGGAACTGCAGGAGCCCATGCCACGTGCAGGAGTGGAGGCAGAAGCTGGCAGGGGCTGGGTGAGTGGGGCAAGGTCCTAGTCACTTCACTCAGACCTCTAGTGTCCAGCACAGACCTTGGCACAGACATGGGTGCCTTGCAGTGTGCCCTGGTGAAGGGGCCTAGGTGGGGAAGGGGAGGCCCCTCCTCCTTGGCCAGTCTCTCTAGGTCCCAGACTCCCTCACTGCCTCCAACCACACAGAGGCTTCAGCTCCCCACCTGGGCCTGCTTGGGGTTTGACAAGCACCAAAAGTTCCACTTCAAAATTCATAGAATCACAGCATCCAAGGCAGAGGGGCCTTTATCTTGGCTCTGACCGCGAGCCTGCTGTGGCAGGGCCCGGTTTGTGGGCGTGCATGTCTGCAGCCAGCCCTGTGTGCTACCCCAGGAGAATTTTATCTCAGCCCACCTCGCTTCTTCCCTTCTCCTGCCCTCAAAGGGGAACATTATCTTTGTGAGATGGCTCCAAAGTCGTGGGGACTGCGGAATCAGGAGAGGCGAGAGTGGAGAGGATCTGGAAAGATAAACTAATCTGTATAATGAAGAAGATTGGGGAGGGAGCAGGAGAAGCTGGCGAAGAGGGGAGGAGGCAGAGGAAAGAGCCAGCAAGCTCCTCATCAGGGAATAGTTTGCAGATGTGGCTTCGTGAAGGGCTCTGCAGCTTTCCCTTCTGAGAAGTGGGGACTTCAGGAAATGCTACAGGGGCTATAAGCCAGATATTAAGGGCTATAAACCCTTAATTTTCCTTGAAAGAGGGAAATAAAAGCAGAAATTCCTCTCCAGGTTATTTTTGGCTGCTGGACTGTTTCTTCCCATTGTCTACCATGTTGAGACGGAGCCTCCTGAGGCCCCAGTGGCAACCGGGTTGTCCTGTTCTGTGTGGCTTCAAAAGGGCTGGGGTAGGTTCACACATGACCGCATGCCAGAAATATCGTGGGCACCCAAGTAACACATAAGCAACGGTCCTCGGGGACGATCAGTTTCACACTGATTGAGCACCTTAGTGAGGGTCAGGCAACCGTCGGGTCAGTGGGCATCACCACCCTCATCCCACAGATGAGGAGACAGACTCAGAGATGGGAGGAGACTGGCCCCAGGCCACGCAGCCAGGCAGTGTGAGGCCAGGTGCAAACCCTGTCCGCCTGGCTTCACCTCCACACTCTTTCCACTCCTGCAGAGACCCCCTCACTGCCTCCAACCACATAGAGCCTTCAGCTCCCTACACGGGCCTGCTTGGGGTTTGACAAGCACTATGCGTTCCACTTCAAAATTCATAGAATCACAGCTTCCAAGGCAGAGGGGCCTTTATCTTGGCTCTGACCGCGAGCCTGCTGTGGCAGGGCCCGGTTTGTGGGCGTGCATGTCTGCAGCCAGCCCTGTGTGCTACCCCAGGAGAATTTTATCTCTGTCCTCTGTGTGGTTGGAGCATAGGAGGCAGAGGCGACATGTGGCTGCGGGACCTGGGCAGGGGTCAGGGAAAGGTCTGTTGTGAGCAGGACTTTCCATATACGTGGTGTTTCAACAGACAGCAGTGTGGGGACATGGGTTGTAGGTCGTCCTACGGGCATTCCAGATGGAGGGAAGGGCATTCCAAATGGAGGAGGCAGCAGGAAGAACAGCCAGGAAGTGGGGCCCAGGACACCTTTGGGAAGCAGAGAGGAGTGGCCTTTGGTAGGATCATCAAGGGAAGATGTGGCTGGAAGTGCAGGGAGTGACTCCATCAGAAAGCAGGAAGCCTCTCCAAGGGCGTGGCTTTGCACAGCTCCCCAAGTCAACAGGAGTCCAGTTATGGAACTCATTTGCATATTAAGACTCAGGTCGGTTTTGTGTCCCCCACCTCAGCCCTGCAAGCCCAAGTTCAATAGCTGTTGGCTCCTATCTTGTTCAGGCCCCGTTCTGTCTTCTAAGCTCCGCATCTGCCTGTCCAGGGACCTCAGCCCAAATCTCCCACCTCATAGCCTGGAGCCAACCCTGCAGCCTCCACAGAGACTCTACAGGCTGGGACCTGGGAGGCCACACATCCAGTCATGAACGGCTGGGTCTGCTCTAGGTCTTGTGATGGCCAATATTGTGGGAGAAGGGCTGATGAGGCTGGGGGTATGGAGTGTCTTAGAGAGAGTCAAGACTCAGGGAGGGTCATGGGCCTGCCCCAGTCATACAGGAGTCAGTGATGGAGTCTCTGGGCTGGAAGCCCGCTGCCCTGGACCCCTGGCCGACCTCTCTGACCTCAGGTCTTTCTCTGCATCCTGAGCCAGCTCGACTTACATCAAGATGATCCCTTTTCCTTCTTCTCCAGCAATTCCTCATTCACCTTCCACCTCAGTGGCTAAGATCATTTCTCAAAGTCCAGCCAAAGGAGCAATAATTACTGGATATGACTTAAGTAATGAAACAATCGCTGCTGAGCCATCTGGGTACTGGAGAGCTGGGAGCAGCAGGCATGGCTGCAGACATGTGTGTCCACCTTGCTGCCTTGCCCCGGATGAGAGCTCAGAGGGGCTGGCTTGGGGCTCTGGGCCCAGGCAGCCCTACCATGACTCTGCTCTTCCCCAGCTGAGTGAGCTTGGGCCTCTCTTCACCTCTGAGAGCCTCTGCGGAGTAAAGTGGAGCCCACTGTGCACCCCACAGGGGCAGTAGTGAGGCCTGAAGAGACCATGCAGCTCCAGCTCCCCGTGAGAACCAGCATCCTCCCGGGGGCTCTGGGTTACCCTGGGCTGCAGTTAGCCAGGTGCTGGTGTGTGGTCATGAGGCTGCCTCAGCAGACAAGGCTGGAGTCCCCTCAATAACACCTAAGACCCTTCGCCAAGGGTGATGTCATCTGATTTGTAATTACGAAAGACTCCCTGTAAGCTCAACCTTTCCCAACAGCCAGCCCTGACCAAGGGGATCAGGGTGGAATCAGGGCTGGAGGAGGCTCAGCCTCTACTGGATGAGGTGGGGGTTGGGCCTGGATTCAAAACTGCAGCTCTGAGGTCAGAAGCATGGAGTGTTAGGGTCCCAGCTCCCTCCTTCCTTGCTGGCTGGCCTTGGGTGAGCTCCTGGACCTCCCAGCCTCAGCTCCCTCCTCAGGGAGACTTTCTGCTTCACAGAGCTTGGTCAGGTGACGTATCCTCCCTGGAACTCAGTTGCCTCATCTCTAAAATGGGCTTTGCACCTTCCTGCCCTGTGGGGTGGGAGGACTGGATGAGATGGTGTGGGTGAGGGGTTGTGCCATGCCTGACACCCTCTATTTGATCCTCACTCAGTGGTATCTGTGGTGACAGGATCTGGGACTTCCCTCAGCCTAGCAGAGGGTTCAGAGTGAGCGAGGCCACGCTTATGTTTATTGGGGTGAAAGCTGCATTAATAAGCTGGCAAAAAGGGAAAGCATTGGGGAGAGTTGGCAAGGACAGTGCCTGGGCAGGAATCACTCTCTCCTCTTGGGGAGCAGCTCCTCTGAGCCCCCTACACTTGAGTTTTCTGTCTCCCATTTGGCCCTTGGCTCTCAGTGGGATCTGCTGTCATTTCTGTAGATATAACAATAACAATAATTGCAATAGCCTCAATCCTTGAATCCTTCCTCTCAGCCGAGCTTTGCCCCACAGAGTGCCCCAAAGGAGGCAACAGAAGGACCTGTGGGCAGAAAGTCCAGTCCCACCTCTGCCTCCTACTCCAGCCTTGGGCTGATCCTTCCCTGCCCTGGGCCTCAGTTTCCCACATGCCAAATATGGGTGTTGAATTTGACACTTGGAGGCACTTTGAGCTGTTAAATTCTACCGGATGTTCAAAGACTGTGGGGAAGATGGGGAGCAGGAGGGGACAGGGGCCACACTCGAGCCTCGGTTCACAGTGGTTGAGTGGTCACAGTATGCCAGGCACTGTCCTGAGTGCTCCATGTGGATCAACCTAGTGGGTCCCCACATCATCAACTGGAGGAGGGGGGCACGATTATTATTCCCATTTTATAATTGAGGAAACTGAGGCACAGAGCAGTTTGTCATGGCCAGAGCGCTGCTCTGGGAGACAGGGACAGATCCAGACCCCTTGACTTCCTGGGTCACCTGAGGGAAGGAGCTTCCCTTCTTATCTTCCAGGAAGGAGGTAGCAGAACAGGAACCAAAGTGAGTGCAAAGTCTGCTGGGGGCCAGGAGCTGCCAGGAGCCCCCGTATGTGAGGTTGCATCCTCAGGACCTCTCCTGGAGTAGGTATTGTTCTCTCCATTTTACAGACAAGGAAACTGCTACCTAGAAAGGTTTAGACTTAACTAACATCACACCGCAAGTGTGTGGCAGGGCCAGATTCAAACACAGGCTCTGAATCTTTCCACCCCTCACAGGCTACTTCAGGGCCGGGCACCCCCGCGTAGTTGGGGCAGAGATTGGAGGATAGATCTGGCCGGTGGCTATGGGTTCTTAGGCCCACAGGCAAATAAGAGGCTCCAGAAAGCTGGGTATTGGGGGTGGCCTCAGGAGCCCTGTGACTGTGGTCAGGAAAGGAGAACCCAGGACTGGGCAGCAAGAAGATAAGGCAGACACGAGGTTCTGGAGAGTCGGCTCACGGCTGGGGAGGATGTAGGGGCCTGGCCAGAGTGGGCTCAGGAGTAGGGGCTGAATCCTGTGAGGTGGGTCAACAGAATGAGGAAGGTCCCCATACCTGGAGGAGGTGAGGTCAGGGGCCCACAGGCAGAAACAGCTAAGTCCAGGCTCCTGACCATCCTCCAGCTTCCACGTGGACCTGCCCTCCCCAGTCATGGGCCTCCCAGAGGCCTGAGGAAACCTGTAAACAGGTAAAGCACATCCCATTCCTCTCAGCTCCCAGCCCTCCCCAGCTTCCGGTCTTACTCAAAGGAAAATCCAAATCTGCTGGCATGGCCCACAAGCCCCTCCCATGTCTGTCCCCTCTGACCTTGTCCCCCTTCCTCTTCGCTACTCACCAACCTACAGCCATACTGACTTCCTGCTGTTCCTCAAGCAAGTGAAGCCCGCTATAGCCTCAGGGCCTTTGCACATGCTCTTCCCTCTGGTGGCTGGTTTGCACCTGGCTGATGTCTGTGCCTCTGCACGGGCTGTGAGCTGAGGGCACTGGGAGCCTGGGAAGGGTTTCCAGCTGGGAGGGAACCAGCCAGCTTTGTGCTGCTGAGGGGCATTCTGGGGTGGACCGGAGGGTGGGCTGGAGGGGATGAGCTTGAGGGCAGAGAGAGTGCTCAGTGTGCAGAGCTGGGGCATGAGGTGGGCTCAGCTGAAGGGCCAGGGAGGTCACAAATGGTCAGGATGGGCCCCAGGTCAGGTGGGGAGAAGCAGCCAGGCCAGTGGTTTTGATGTGGAAATGTCTGAACTGCAGAACAAGCCTCCTTTCAACTCCCAATTAACATGGGAGCCTCCCCAGCCAGGCAGAGCTGGGTTGGCAGGTGGGGCCCAGAGGCTGTGGGGTCAGGGAGTGGGGATGGAGGGAGAGCCAGCCAAGACATTACCATGGGCATGTGAGAAAGGAACGTTCTGTCAACTGGAACCAGCGCAGGGAAATCCAACAGGGCTAAGAATTTTCCTCCCACCAGCAAGCTGAAGGGGAAACGCATTTGTTTCCGCCGCACATTAGTGTTTTTCAGGAGATAATGTGACTGTTTTTGCGCTAGAAAGTCATGAATGGAAAATTCCACCTGCCAAGACAGCCAGTTCCTCCCCCAGGCACTAAAGAATGGAGAAAGCTTCTGTCTCTAGCTTACTGGTGCCTGGAGTTCCACCACTGGAGCTCCGGTCCTATGGCTTGGGGCCTTGTCATTTGTTAAAATGCAAACAACTTCACTGAAGTCATGTTTCAACACAAACATTTTCATTAATTCAACAAATATTTATTGAGCTCTTGCTCTAAACCAGGCAGTACCTGGAGGCTGAGAACAGAGAAATTAATTAAGACTTGTCCAGACGAAGCCTTCAAGGAACTGGCAAACTCTGTGTGTTTTGCGGGTGGAGGGGGTGCAATAAGAAAACCTGACCATATGGTGCTGCAAAATGGTGGTGGGAATAAGGTGCCAGGGGGACCCCCAGAAGAAGCAACTCATTTCACATTTGCAGAAGGCGAGGCTTCAGCTGGGATCTGGAGGATGAGGGGTGGGGAGCAGGGTGGGGATGAGAATCCCAGATGAAGGGCACAATAAGAATGAATGAACAGAGTCATGAAGCAGCATAGGGGTGCATGGCCTGGGCCAGAGCCTGAAGCCCTGGGCCAAATGAAGCCTGGGCAGACCTACCTCTGCAGGCCTAGGCCAGCTGAGCCAGTTAATTCCTACCTTTCTTTAAGCCAATCTGTTGTCAGCTTTCACCTGAAAGTTCCTAACGGGTACAGGGCGTTTCTAGAGGGCAGAGTTTGATAGAGCTGGAAAAGGAGCAGTGAGTAGGTGCCTGGCACCTCCATGTGCAGGGGTTGGTCAAGTCCTTTTCCTTTTGATTCTGTCTCCACCTACACTTCTTATCAGGAGAAAAGATCTCGCCCTAGAAAATGTCCCCTGATCCGTGATGTTGGCCTGGCACCTTGGATAGTAAGTCCCGATTGGGCAGCCTGGGTGTCAGGAGCCCTGGGTTCTGTCCCAACCCCACCCACTGCCTGGCTGTGGGGCCTGGGCTGCGTTACACCCATTCTCTGAGCCTAGATTTGGGATTCATCCATCAGCCCATAGAGCTCTCTGAAGGAAGAGGCAATCTCCAACCCATTCATGTGGCCTCCAAACCTGGGACAGTCCCGCCACAGAGCAGGTGTGAATGGAGCTGTTGACCAATCCATGGGGGAGCTGCACCTTCCTGCTCTAACCTTCTAGGATCAGGGCCATGTGTGATATGACAGGGACAACTGCAGTTCCCTCTGTCCACCCTGAGAGCCTCCTGGAGGCCTCAACCCCAGGTTGCAGCAGCAGGAAATCTTGCAAGATGAAATTTCCTATGCAGGCTGCACTGCAGAGGCCTCAGTTTACACACACTGTCTATCTCTGTTGAAGGCTCGCTGAGCCACAATCAGACTGTAGGGTGAGAAAAAGTCCCCCCAAAAGCTTAACGCTTTACTCTCCAGCTGCAGCAGACCTGGGCAGCCAACGTCAGGGACTCTCCTCAGTTTTCTCATTGCTGACAATGATGAGGGGGCCACGCACGGGGAAAAGACTCAAAGAATAAAATAAACCCATGGGGTTCAGCCCAGTCGATTCCTTAAAACCAGTAAGCCAGTGCCCTGCCCTGCAGTGTAGTGTGGGCTGCACGTCTCAGTGCTCAGAGGGTAGGGACATGTGTCTGTATTCACAGGCAGGAGCAGGGAAGGCAGAGGTGGGAGCACCCACCTTCTCCTCTAGGGAGAACACTGGAGTGAGTGAGGGGCCAGAGGTCTGGGCTGGTGATCCCAGGTCCATGCTTGATTCTTCTAGAACTCAGATGTCTTTCTTGGAGGCAGGTAGCATGCAGAAGTCAAGAGCCTGGAGCAGAGTACAGTAGCCTTGGGAGGGTTTAAGGTTAGGAAGAGAGATTCTATCACTCATCCCTTCATTTATTCCCTCCCTAGGTTCACAAGCCAGGGGGCTTACAGATGTTCTTGGGGAAGGTTGACAATAAACAGGGAATTACACAAAATATTTTATGGCCCATTTGTAATAAGGGCCATGAAGGGAAGCCAATTTCCGATGATTAAAAGATGTTAGACAGAAAGAGAGAGAGTAACTGACCCTTACTTTACATACATCTGAACCCTTGAAACAAGTCAGCAAGGCAGGTGCTATCAGAGGAAGCTGAGGCTCAGAGAAGGTCGGCAACTGGCCCAAAGCCACGCAGCTTACAAGTAGTGGTGTTGAGATCCTGGACAAGCTAGGTCTGTCTCCAGAGTCAGTGCTCCTGGAACCATGCAGGAGTTCCTCCCAAGGAGAAGGCAAGGCAAGGCTACCGTGGAGCACTCAGCACCACTTCCCAACAGGATCAGACCTGGGGAAACTGACCAGCTTGGTCCGGGAGTGTTATTCTGCCCAAGGACCAGTCTGGAGCTGGATTTAGTTTCTAGAAGAATCTTTCTAGCTCAGCAGCCCCGCAGCTTCAGAAGATGGGCATGTCAGGGCAAGCTCTGCTTTCTGCCTCTTCGAGGAGTCTTGCTGCCACTCAGAGACCTGCTCACAGAGGCAGGAAAGTCAAGGATCTGCTTCCCCAAAGAACAGGCTGAGCCTCACACGGCCAAATCCCAGAATGGCTTTCAAGGAAGAGAACCCAGGTGTGTTTGTGTCCTGCCTCCATCTCTTACTGGCTGTGTGATCTCAGGCAAATGACTCTGTGAGCCTCTATTTTTCATGTGTGAAATAGATTTATTCGTAATAACATACGAAGCCTATACTCAACACATGTGGATTTCCTTTCTCTTCTACTGTCAGCTAGATCCCACAGAGCATGGTTTTCCCATCTCTGCCCCTCCATTGTGACCTCCTGGAAGTCCCCACCCATGCCTAGTCAAAGCAATGAGCTGAATCCAGACTGAAATGAAGCTAATTGGAGAGTGGTGAGGGTTTCTGTGGCGATGAGCATTTAACTGGTTGTCCTGGGAGTCCTCATGATACTTTAAGAGAGATGATAGGCTCACTCTCAGTGTGGACCAGAGGATTCAAATGACCTCCTTGGTGTGGGACTCACCACAGGAGGTTTATTTTATTCTTTGAGCCTACAGCAGAGGTGAGGAGACAGGACAAGGGCCAGACGAGAAAGGGATCAAACTGGGGTGATGGTTGACGCTTGTGTTCAGAGAGTCAGAGGAGACAGGCCTTCCATTCCAGCTCAATGCCTACCTTAAAGATGGGGACACTGAGGCTCACTAGGGGAAAGGGACCTTACCCCAATCAACTCCCTGTCAGGGCAGAACTGACACCAGAGGCTGGGTTTCCTTCCTGACCACCGCACCCTCCTAGGGGTGGACCGGCACCCTAGCTGATGATAATAAGCTGCCATTTCTGAGTGCTTTCTAGGTGCCCAGCCTTGCACTGAGCATTTTGTGAGCATTTGCTCATGTGCCTCTAATAAGCCCACGGGAAGATTGTATTATTATCATCAGGTGAAACTGGAGACAATTGGATGTTTGTGAGTGACAGGTAGATAATGAGTCATTGGCATAGAAGTAGGGGCTGGAGACAAAGCTTACAGTCCCACCATGTGTCTTAATGGTCAGGGTGCCAGGAGCTCAGGTACTTTACAGGTCTCATCTCATCAATATTCACACCAGTCTCCAAAGGGGGACATTGTTCTCTCTGTTTTGCAGTTGAGGAAACTGAGGCTCAAGGCATTTAGGCATGAGTAGCTAAGGTTACACCACACTAATAACCATACCCAAGACTGCTTGGGTGTTTACCTGTGGCCAGGCTCTCTTCCAAGTGTGATTTGTGTGTGTTAACTCACACCTCACAAACCTCCTAATGAAGGAGGGACAACAGTGATTCCCACGTTATAGAGGAGGGAACACAAGCACGGAGAGGTTAATCGACTTGTCAAGGTCACAGAGCTTGTCTTGGCAGAGCCAAGAATCGACCCCAGGCCATCTGATGTCAGGGCCCATGCTCTAACCCCCAGGTTGCAGCTGCCTCACAAGCTGATAAATGACAGAGCAGGATCCAAGCCCCAGGCAGCCTGGTTCCAGAGCTCATGCCCTCTCCAGTACCCAAGGCCAGGGACTGAGGAGAGAGGCTCAGGCCAGGGCACCACCTAGGGCTTCATGGGCTGTGGTTGTCATATTCTTCAAGCTCCACTCAGACCTCAGAGGAGGATCTGCAGCCGAGGAGGCCCAAAGGGGAGGCCTGCACCCAGAACTGGTCCTGCAGTGCCCTCAGGGCAGGGATCATGCCTGCATCTGCAGAGAGTGTGAGCTTACACAGACATGTGGGCTGCAGTCAGCAAGACCAGAATCCTCCTAGTGCCTTGTTAAAATACAGATTCAGGCCGGGTGCAGGGGCTCACACCTGTAATTCCAGCACTTTGGGAGGCCGAGGTGGGTGGATCATGAGGTCAGGAGTTCAAGACCAGCCTGGCCAAGATGGTGAAACCCCATCTCTACTAAAACTACAAAAATTAGCCGGGCATAGTGGCAGACACCTGTAATTCCAGCTACTCGGGAGACTGAGGCAGGAGAATAGCTTGAACCTGGGTGGCAGAGGTTGCAGTGAGCCGAGATCATGCCACTGCACTCCAGCCTGGGCAACAGAGCAAGTGAGACTCCGTCTCAACAACAACAACAACAACAACAAAATACAGATTCCCCAGACTCATACCAGAGCGAGGAATCAGATTCTCCTGAGGTAGGGATCAGGAATTTGCATTTGGAAAGCCCTGCAGGTAATTCTGAAGAAAGAATCAGACTCCAGCTCATATGGTTTGGCTGTGTCCCCACCCAAATCTCATCTTGAATTATACATCCCATAATTCCCTCATGTCATGGAAGGGACTGGGTGGGAGATCATTGAATCATGAGGTCAGTTTCCCCCATACTGTTCTCGTGGTAGTGAGGAAGTCTCACGAGAGATGATGGTTTTATAAGGGGTTTCCCCTTTCTCTTGGCTCTCACTCTTCTCTTGTCTGCCACCATGTGAGACATGCCTTTCATCTTCTGCCATGATTGTGAGGTCTCATGTGGAACTGTGAGACCAGTAAACCTCTTTTTCCTTGTAAATTACCCAGCCTTAGGTATGTCTTTATCAGCAGCGTGAAAATGCACTAATACACAAGCTGTCATCTGGGAAGCAGTATCCAAAGTCCGACTTGGACAGTCTGAGGTGTCAGACACTAAAGGTAATGGAAACCATGACCATAACAACATAGTTCCCGTGTCCAGAATTTGGCCTGTCCTCCCATGTCCCTTCTCTTCTCAGTCCTCACAGTGACCCTTAAATGAAGGGACTCTTACAATCCCATTTTATAGATGAAGAAACTGAGACTCAGGGTCACCCAGCTGGGGAGTGCGGCCACTGGGATTCATACTAAGCCTGGCCCAGGTTTCTCTCTCCGTCCCTCTCTGCAGGAGGCCCAGAAGGCAGAGGATGAGGAAGGCAGTGGGGCTGGGTGGGGGGACTCCTGCAGGGGCTTCCACCCAGATAATTGCCTCTGCCAAAACTCAGGAAACAGCCTCTGCCTCAGCTTTTCTGTTCATTCCCAAGTGGTATTTTAAGTTTCAGAAAGACCTAATAGCCTAGAAGAAGATTTGTACATGAAGAAGCATCTTTTCCTCAAGGTTATTGTAAGCACAGTTGAGGGAGCAGGAGAGATTTATGAGAAATTCTGCTGGGTCTGAAATAAACACAAACAGCTCGGGCTAAAAAAAAGGCACACTCACAGGAGATGCTGGCCAGATATCCTCTGGGCACAGGACCTTGGAAGGTGCCCAGGCCTCCCCTCTCCATCCAGCAGGGACCTAGACCCCCTCCAATTACACACCTCGAGCAGTGAAATCATCATTACCCAATGGGCAGTTCACTCCATTAGTCCAAACTAATAAAGAGAAGGTGCTGATCCTCTGATAATTTCTCTTCATCAAGGAAATGGGGTGGGGCAAGGAACAAGCCACAGAATTTGGAACCATCCATCCCAGCACCCCATGAATTGTGTGACAAGTGACTTGAAGCAAGGTACCTTGCTGGGCCTCAGGTTCACTTCTTTGTAAAGTAAACAAGGACCGGGCGCGGTGGCTCATGCCTGTAATCCCAGCACTTTGGGAGGCCGAGGCAGGCAGATCACGAGGTCAGGAGTTTGAGACCAGCCTGGCCAACATGGTGAAACCCCGTCTCTACTAAAGATAAAAAAAATTAGCAGGGCATTGTGGCGGGCACCTGGAATCCCAGCTACTCGGGAGGCTGAGGCAGGAGAATCGCTTGAAACCGGAAGGCAGATGTTGCAGTGAGCCGGGATCGCACCATTGCCCTCCAGCCTGGGTGACAGGGAGAGACTCTGTCTCAAAAAAAATAAATAAGGTAAGTAAACAAGGATTGGTGAGAAGATGAAGGGAGGCAGCACATATAAAGGGTGCAGGATGGTGTCTGGCACATAGTAGGTGCTCAATTAATGTTAGTCCCTTTCCACCAGCCTGAGGGGACTGTGTAGATATTTATGCCCTGTCCGTGGAATGGTGACTGATGTAGGGTTGATTGACCAGGGGTGTATAATGTGTATGTGAGCTCATGTGAGCGTGCATGAGTGTGTATGTGTGTGAGTGTATATAAATGTGTGTGTGTGAGAGAGATAGTGTGTGTAGGGGGTGGAAAGGTATAATACAGCTATACCCCTATAACAAAAGACAGGTTAACAAGAGAAAAGCATAGCATATTTATTTAATCAAAGTTTTACATAACATAGGAGCCTTTGGAAATGAAGACCCCACCACCCAGGGGAAATGGTCTATTTTTATGCCTAGGATAGTTGAAGACGGGCAGTTGTGTAGAAACATGATTGAACAAAAGGATGTGATGCAATGGGAATAGACTGAGTGGGGGAAACCCAGCAAGTCCTGTCTGTTCAGATTCCTCTCGGGGCCGGGTGTGGTGGCTCAGGCCTATAATCCCAACACTTTGGGAAGCCAAGGATCACCTGAGGTCAGGAGTTCGAGACCAGCCTGGTCAACATGGTGAAACCCCTGTATCTACTAAAAAAAAAAAAAAAAAATTAGCCAGGCCTATAATCTCAGCTACTCAGGAGGCTGAGGTAGGAGAATTGCTTGAACCCAGGAGGTGGAGGTTTCAGTGAGCCGAGATTGTGCCACTGCACTCCAGCCTGGGAGACAGAGCAAAACTGCATCTCAAAAAGAGAGAGAGAGAGAGAGAGGGATTCCTCTCAGCTTCTCTGTGTAGGTTGGCTTCCCCTATACCCTGGGTATGAGCAGGGCCCCTCTGGAAGGAAGGTCTTCAAGAGAGAAGACCTATGTTTTATGTCTTGCTTTGTGGGAGAGGAGTTCTAGGTTTTATGACCCACCTTGGGGAAGAAGAATTCTGGTTCCTATGACTCAGACTCACTCTGCAGGAGAAAGAAGGGCAGGAGACAGGCAGATAGGAGAAGGTCAGAAAGAATCTGCTTTCAAGACCTTCTGATCTCCTTTAATTCAAAGTACCTAGCATGCCAAAGCACCATACTTTGGAGTGTCATGTTCTGAGCCCCAGAGTGTACTGTGTGTGGGGTGGGTGTGTGCATGACTGTTTATGTTGTGTATGCATAAGCTGTATTTGAGATCTGAGGATGAGGCTTGGAGCAAAGAGATGAAGTGGTGGATGGTGATATGGGGAAGTTAGTCAGAGGTCTGCTCAGAGAAGACTGGGTGCTGTGCAATCCCTGGGGAAATCTTTTTCATGACTGTTTTAGTAAGTAATAAAGGGCATTTTTTCCTGAACTTATAGTAAAGTTAACATCCAAGAAGGTGTCCCCATCTGACACTTTAATTCCTTGTCTCCTTGGGGAATACACAGCAGCGAGCCATGGAGCAGGCACGGAGCATCTTCCCAGAGTGTCATCTTTCTCCAAGATCAGAGAAATGCCCATTACTTAATATTTAAAACACCATGGATAAATCATAGAGAGGAAAATGTGCATAGATTTGAAGTACTAAATTAGAAAGCTCCAAGAAGAAGTGTGCCAGTGGCTGGTTGCTTCAGCTCCTGCCTCTAGGCACCCTGGGGATATAGAAGCCCTACCTTGATATAAGGGGTGCATAGTGGATGCCTTTTGGAATCCTTGAATTTCAGGAAATGAGTGTCAGAGAAGGACACAGAGCAGGGCCACCACTTGCTCTTATTGGGGTTTTAGAAAACTGTCTCTGCAGAGCAGCTAGAGGTGGGGGAGCATAGAGGCCTGTGAGGAACGTTTGAAATAATACAGGTGAGGGGTGAGCGGAGGCTTGGAGCAGGACAGGGCAAAGGGAAAAGAGAAGAGGAAACTGGAAAGATATGTGGGAAAATTGCTCTTCGACTCTGGACTTGGGAGTGGAAAAATGTAGGACATGGGGAGGGAAGAATCCAGTCTGACTGGGGATTTAACCCTGGGTTCTCACTTGAGTGGTCTCAGAATCACAGGAAGAGAGGCAAGTGTCCATTCTGCAGGTAGGGGTAACAAAAGGGTGGAAGGCCCCAATTGTTGTAAGCCACCAATCCTTTATTCAACTAGGACAACTACATTGTTCAAATAGAAAGGGAAACACTATCCAATTCATTCTGTGGGGCCAGTATTTTTCTAATACAAAAACTAGAAAAAGAGCTAATATGTAAATAAAACTGTAGAATAATATTCTTTACAAATATAAATGCAAAAATCCTCACCAAAACACTAATAAGCTGAATGTGAATAAGATTACACACCATAAGCAAGTAGGATTTATCCAGAATGCAAATTCGGCTTAATATATGAAAAGCAGGGTGATGTCACCAAAATGGCAGAGTAGAAGCAATCTGGCTTCATTCTCCTCCACAGAAAACCAAATATATATATATATCCAGTGCAAAGATTGCAACCAGCAATGTCCCAAAACTCAAATATGAGACTGAGACAATCCCTGGGACCACAGAAAGATTAAAAATTCTGAGCAGATGGTAAAAGAAATGGACTTCTGTATCCACAACACCTCTCCCTCAATCTGCCAGGCATCGTGTATGGAAAATTCCTCCTGTACTCACAGTTTTTACACTGGAAAAAGTGAGATCAAGATAAACAGCCAGCTTTCCTGCCATCTTGGCTTCCCTTTCAGAAAAGCCATTCTTGCCACAACCCATGGGAAGCATCACAAGTGCCTGTAGGGAGAAAAACCACTGGGGGCAGCCAGAAACAAAGGCAGGAGGCAAAACCAGCAACCCCACCTGAAAAACTCTGCTCTTTATCTCAGCCAAAGGAAAAGTCAAATCATAGTGGCTGTTCAGCAGCACCACATTGTAGGAGACAGGCTTCATGGGTCTTCTGGGCATGAACCAGCTTTCCCATCTAGCTGGGGCATCCCCTTTTGGATCATCCTTCCCAAACAACTGGATATCCCCTCTGGGACACCCTTCCCCCAATTTAGGATAGGTTGCGCTCTGAATATTTGCAAGAGCTGAGGCAATTCTGAGTGTAAGGCACCATCTAGTGCCAAAAAGGAGGAAGAGATAAAAGATTAAGGGACGTTGGGAGGCAATTGCAGAGAACATCTAAGCAAACATACTCTATACCCCACAAAGACAAAAACAAACCAAACAGCAAAGACTGGAATAAATAACTAATCCTTCAATGCAGTCATAGGTGTAGTCCACAAGAAACAACACAGCAAACAGGTCATAGTTATGACCTCCCCAAGTGGACAAAGCAAGGAGCCAGTAACCAACCCTAACAAGATAGTAATGTGTGAGGTCTCAGATGGAGAATTCAAAATACAGTTCTAAGGAAACTCAGTGAACTTCAAGATAACACAGAAAAGTAGTTGAGGAATTTTATCAGAGAAATTTAACAAAGAGATTGAAATAATATATATATATAAAAACAGAAATCCTAGAACTGAGAAATACACTTGCTGACCTGAAAAATTCATTAAAGGCTCTCAACAGCAGAATTGATCAAGCAGAAGAAAGAATCAGTGAGCTCAAAGACAGGTTATTTGAAAATACAGTGTAAGAAGAGGAAAAAGAAAAATAAATTTAAATAGAACTAAGGAAGCCTACAAAATAGAGAAAATAACCTCAAAAGAGCAAATTTAAGAGTAATTAGCACGGAAGAGGGAGTTGAAGAAGAGCAACAGGTAGAAAACTTATTCAAAGAAATAATTTTAAAAACTTTCCAAACCTAGAGAAAGATATAAATATCCAGGTATATGGAGGTCAGAGATTACCAAATTGATTTAATCCAAATAAGACCACCCCCAAGGCATATAACAATCAAACTCTCAAAGGTCACGGACAAAGAGAGGATTCTAAAAGCAGCAAGGTAAAAGAATCAAATAACGTAAAGGAGAGGAGCTCCGTTGTGTCTGGCAACAGACTTTTCGGCAGAAACCATACAGGTCAGAAAGGAGTGGTATGATATATTTAAGGCACTGAAGGAAAAAAAACCTGTCAACTGAAAATGTTGTGCCCAGCAAAGCTTTCCCTTATACATGAAAGAGAAATAAAGTATTTTTCAGATAAACAAAAGTTGAGGGAATTCATTACCACTAGACTCATCTTACAAGAATTCTAAAGCGAGTTCTTCAAACTGAAAGAAAAAGACACTAATGAGCAAGAAGAAAATATTTGAAGGTATAAAATTCACTGGGAAAAGTAAATACACAGACAAATTCAGAATAATCTAATACTGTAGTTGTGGTGTATAATTTCCTCACATCTCTAGTATAAAGACTAAAAGACAAATTTATCAAAAGTAATTACAACTATGGCAACTTAAGAGGCAATATGAAAAGATGTAAATTGAAACAAGAAAAAGCCAAAATGTGGGGAGATACAGTTAACATGTAGAGTTTTTTAGTTTTTCCTTTGTTTCTTTTCTTCTCTTTGTGATCAAAGCTAAGTTATCTTCTGTTTAAAGTAACTTGTTTTATTTATAAGATTTTTTTGTAAGCCCCATGGTAACCACAAAAGCATAAACCTATAATAGATACACTAAAAATAAAAAGCAATGAATTAAAACATACAACCAGGAACAAAAATCACCTAACCACAAAGGAAGACAGGAGTTATTATACAAAACAACCAAAAAACAAGTAACAAAAGGGCAATAGCAAGTCCTTACCTATCAATAATAACAATCAATGCAAATAGACTAAAATCTTCAATTAAAAGACATAGAACAGCTGAACGAATAAAAAAAATAAGACCCAACCATATGTTGCCTACAAAAAACTCACTTCACCTGTAAAGACACATGTAGACTGAAAGTAAAGGGATGGAAAAGATATTCTTTGCAACAGAAACCAAGAAAGACTAGATATAGCTACACTTACATCAGATGAAACAGACTTCAAGTCAATGGCTATAAAAAGACACAAAGTCACTATGAAATTATAAATACATCAATTTACAAAGAGGATATAACAATTGTAAATATAAATGTACCCAATCCCAAAGCACTTCAATATATAAAGTAAACATTAATAAATCTAAAGGGAGAGATAGACTTCAATATAATAATAGTAGAGGACTTCAACACCCCATTCTCAATAATGGACAGATCATCCAAACAGAAAATCAACAAAGAAACATCAGTTAAACTACACTCTAGACCAAATGGACCTAACTGACATTTACACAACATTTCATCTGACTGCTGTAGAATAGACAATCTTCTCATCAACATATGGCACATTTTCCAGGACAGACCATACATCAGACCACAAAACAAGTCTGAACATTCACAAAAGTAGAAATCATATCAAGTATCTTTTCTGACTATAGTGAAATAAACTAGAAATCAAGAACTAAAGAAATTTGGAAACTACACAAATACATGAAAATTAAACAACATGGTCCTGAATGATAAATGGGCCAATGAAGAAATAAAGAAGAAAATTTAAAAATTTTTGAAACAAATGAAAATGGAAACACAACATCTCAAAATCTATGGGATATAGCAAGAGCAGTACTAAGAGGGAAGTTTATAGCAATAAAAAAAGAAATAAAAAGTAGGATGATTTCAAATAAACACCCTAATGATGAACTTCAACAAACTAGAAAAGTGAGAACAAACCAAACCCAAAATTAATAGAAGGAAAGAAATAATAAAGATCCAAACAGAAATAAATTAAATTGAGACTAAACAAATACCAAAAGTTGGTTTTTTGAAAAGATAAACAAAATGTTTTTGAAAAGAAAAACATTTAGCTAGACTAAAAAAAGAGAAGACACAAATAAAACCAGAAATGAAAAGGGAAATTAACTGATACTATAGAAATACAAAGGATCACTGGAGACTAACATGAACAACTACAAGTTAAAAAATTGGAAAATCTGGAAGAAATGAATAAATTCCCAGATGCATACAACCTACCAAGATTAAACCTGAACAGACCAATAATGAGTAACAAGATCAAAGTAGTAATAAAATGTCTCTCATCAAAGAAAGCCCAGGACCTGATGGCTCCACTGCTGAACTCTACCAAATGTTTGAAGAAGAGCTAATACCAATTCTACTCAAACCATTCCAAAAAATTGAAGATGGAATATTTCCAAACCCATTCTACAAGGCTAACATTATCCTGATCCCAAAACTGGACAAGGATACAACAATAAAGAAAGCAGCAGACAAAAACATCTGATGAACAGAGATGCAAAAGTCCTCAAAAAATATTAGCAAACTGAGTTCAACAACTCATTAAAAAGATTATTTACCATGCTTAAGGGGATTCATCCTAGGGATGCAAGTATGGTTCAACATACACAAATCAACAAATGTGATACATCAGCTTAATAGAACAAAGGACACAAACGATACAATTATTTCAATAGATGCTGAAAAAGCAATTGACAAAATTCAACATCGCTTTATGACAAAAACTCTCAACAAACTGAATACAGAAGGAACATGCCTCAAAATAATAACTGCTGTATATGACATACCCACAGCTAACGTCATATGGAACAGGGAAAAATTGAAAGCCTTCCCTCTAAGTCTGGAACAAGACAATGATGCACACTTTCACTACTTTTACTCAACGTAGTAGTGGAAGTCCTAGGCAGATCAGCTAGGCAAGAGAAAGAAATAAAGGGCATCCAAATTGGAAAGGAAGAAGTCAACTTATTCTTGTTCACAGATGACATGATATTATATTTAGTAAAATCCTAAAGATTCCACCAAAAAACTGTTAGAAGTGATAAATCAAGTAAAGTTACAAGATAAAAAATTGACATACAAAAATTAGTAGCATTTATGTATGCCAACAGTGAAAAATCTGAAAAAAAAATCATGAAAGCAATTCCATCTACAATAGCTACAAAAAATGTAAAATACCTAGAACTAAATTTAACAAAGAAGTGAAAGATCTTTACAAGGAAAACTAAAAAACACTGATGAAAGAAATTCATTATTGAGGATGAAAAACATGAAAAGTTATCCCATGCTCATGGATTGAAAGAATTAATTGTTAAAATGTCAATACTATTCAAAGTGATCTACAAACTCATTGCAATCACTACCAAAATACCAATAACATTCTTCACAGAAATAGAAAAAAATTACTAAAATTTGTAAAGGACCACAAAAGACTCCAAATAACCAAAGCAATCGTAAGAAAAAGAACAAAGCTGGAGGCATCACCTACCTGACTTCCAAATATACTACAAAGCCATAGTAACCTAAACAGCATGGTACTGGCAGGAAATCAGACACATAAGACTGATGGAACAGAATAGAGAACCCAGATATAAGTCCATGAATTTATAGCCAACTCATTTCTGACAAAGGGATCAAGAACATACTAGAGGAAAGGACAGTCTTTTCAATAAATGGTGCTAGGAAAACTAGATAAGCAGAATGAATCTAGACCCCTACCTCTCACCACATACAAAAATCAGATCAAAATGGATTAAAGACTTAAATCTAAGACCTGAAACTATGAAATTATGAGAGGAAAACACTGGGGAAATACTTTAGGAAAATTTGGGCAAGTTTTTTTGGGTAAGACCTTAAAAACACAGGCAACAAAAGCAAAAATAAACAAATGGGATTCCTTCAGGCTAAAAAGCTTATATACAGCAAAGGGAACAATTGACAAAGTGAAGAGACAACCTACAGAGTAGGAGAAGATATTTGCAAACTGTCCATCCAACAAGGGGCTAATAACCAGAATACATAAGGAACTCAAACAACTCAACAGAAAAAATAAACGCGATTTTAAAATGGGCAAAAGATGTAAATAGAGATTTCTCAAAAAAAGACATACAAATGGCCAACAGACATATGAAAAAGAAATGGTCAACATTGCTAATCGTCAGGGAAATGCAAATCAAAACCACAGTGAAATATCATCTCACCCCAGTTAAAATGATTTTTATCAAAAAGACAACAAATAACAGATGCTGGTGAGGATTCAGAGAAAGGGGAATGTTTGTACACTATTGCTGGGAATGTAAATTAGTATAGCCACTATGGAAAACAGTATAGAGGTTCCTTTAAAAACTAAAAATAGAACTACCATGTAATACACATAATCCCACTGCTGGGTGTTTATCCAAAAGAAAGGAAATGGATATATCAAACAGATACCTGCACTCTTGTGTTTATTGAAGTACTATTCACAGTAGTCAAGATATGAAATAAACCTAAATATCTATCACTGGATGAACAGATAAGGAAAATGTCTTACATATACACAAAGGAATATTATTCAGCCATAAAAAGAATGAAATCCTGTCATTTTCAGCAACATGGATGGAATTGAAGGCCATTAATGTTAAGTGAAGTTAGCCAGGTGCAAAGACAAATACAGCTTGTTCTAACTCACATGCAGTGAGAGCAAATAAGTGGTTCTCATGGAGATAAAGAGTTGATTGGTGGTTACCAGTGGCTGGGGAGAGTAAGTGGGGTGGAGAGAAAAAACAGAGGATCGGTTAATGGGTATGAAAATGGAGTTCAATAGAAGGAATAAGATCTGGTGTTCTATAGCACAGTGGGGCAACTATAGTTAACAATAATTTGTTGTATAGTTCAAAATTGCTGAAGAAGAGAAATTAGAATGTTCCTAACATAAAGAAGGGGTGAATGTTTGGGGTGATGAATGTCCCCATTGCCCTGGCTCAATCATTACACATTGTAGGTGTGTATCAAAATACCACATATATCCCCAAAATATGTACAACTATTATGTATCACCAAAATGTATGTGTGTGTGTGTGTGTGTGTCCAAGAGAAACCTAAGTATAGATCACCACTAATTTTAATGTGGCATCCTGAATGAGATCCAAGGACATTAGGTAAAAACTAAGGAAATCTGAATAAAGTATGAATTGGTTAGCAATAATGTATCAATCGTGGTCTATTAAGTGTAAGAAATGTATCGTACTATTCTAAAATATTAATAACAGGAGAAAGTGGGTATAGGGTTTAATGGGAACTCTCTATACTACCTTTGAAATTTTTTCCTATAAGTCTAAAACTGTTCCAACAATAAAATTCATTAAAATTTTTTAAATGAAAAAATAAATTAAAATGGACAGATAACATTGTAAAAGAAAATCAATCAATGGGATATATCAATTAGTAGAATAAAGGGCAAAAGCTGCATTAACATCTCAATAAATGCACAAAAAGCATTTGTCAAAATCTACCACACTTTCATAACCAAAAAAATCAATAAGCAAGGAAATGATGGAAATTTTCTCAATCTGACAAAGGTCATCTACAAAAACCTCAGTTAACATAATATGTAGTGGTGAAAGACTGAATGCTTTCCCTTGAGATCAGAAGCAAGCCTAGATATCTACCCTCGCTACTTCTGTTCAACATTGTACTGGAGGTTCTAGGCAGGGAAATTAGGCAAGAAAAAGAAATAAAAAGCATCCAAATGGAAATGGAAAAAATTAAAACTATCTCTATCTGCAGATTAGATAATTTTTATATAGAAAACCCTAAGGAATCTATCAAAAATCATTGGCTCTAACAAGCGAGTTCAGCAAAGTTGAAGGAATACAAGATCAATACACAACAATCAAGTGTGTTTCTATATGCTAGCAATGAACAATCTGAAATGAAATTAGAAAACAATTCTATTTGCAGTAGCATCAAACAGAATAAAATACTTAAGAATAAATTTAACAAAAGCAGTGCAAAATCTATACTCTGAAACCTACAAAACATTTTGAAATAAATTGAGGAAAATCTAAATAAAGGGAAAGTTTATGGATCAGAAGACTTAATATTGTTAAGATGGCAATATACTGCAAGTTGATTTACAGATTCAGTGGAATCCTTATCACAATCCAGCTGCGATTTTTTGCAGAAATTGACAAGCTTATTCTAAAATTCATAAGGAAACTCAAAAGATCCAGAATACCCAAAACAATGTCAAAAAAAGAAGACCAAAGTTGAAAGACTCATACTACAAAGCTACAGAAATCAAAATACTGTGGTTATTTGCACAAGGATAAAGATAGATCAATGGAATAGAATTGACAGTCAAAATATAAACCATTACCCTTATGTCCAGTGAATTTTCAACAAGGATGCCAAGACAATACAATGAGACACAGAATACTCTTTTCAACAAATAGTGCTGGAACAATTAGGTATCCATACACAAAAGAATGAAGTTGTACCCCTATTTCACACCATACACAAAAAAATACTCAAAATATATCATAGGCCTCCATGTAAAAGTTAAAGCTATAAAACTCTTATAAGTAAACATAGGCATAAATCATCATGACCCTGGATTAGGCAGTAGTTTTTAGATATGACCCTAAAGCACAGCAAAAAAAGAAAAAGTAGATAAATTGGGATTCATCAAAATTAAGAACATTTGTGCCTCAAAGGACATCATCAAGAAAGTGAAAATACAACCCACAGAATAGGATAAAATTTGTGCAAATCATATATCTGATAGGTAACTGAAATAAATATAGAATATATAAAGAAATCTCACAACTCAACAATAAGTAGACAAGCCACCCAATCTATAAAAGGGCAAAGGATATGAATAGGCATTTCTCCAAAGAATATACACAAATGGCCAATAAGCACATGAAAAGATGCTCAACATCATTACTCATTAAAGCTATGCAAATCAAAACCACAGTGAGATACTACTTCATCCCTACTAGGATGGCTATAGCAAAAAGCTAGACAGCAACAGTAGTTGGTGAGGATGTGGAGAAATTGAAACTCTCATACACTGTTGGCCAGAATACAAAACGGTGCAGCCACTGTGGAAAACAGTTTAGCAGTTCCTCAAAAAGTTAAGCATAGAGTTACCACATGACCCAACAGCTCACTCCTCAGTGTATGCCCAGGAGAAATGGAAACTTCCCTTCCATTCAGGAGCCGCAGTCCACAGGACAAGCTGGGCTGGAGGGAGAGGAGAGCTGGAAGAACAAGAATGGGACAATTATTCCTGTGTGGGTCTCAAGGTGCCACGAAAAGGATTTTTCATGACTTTCGGACTTTAATACCCTGAGAGGCCTCTTATGGTTTCTGTGTGTGTGTGTGTGTGTGTGTGTGTGTGTGTGTGTGTGTGTGTCTGCTTCCTTGTGCGTGTGAGTCACTAATTATGTACAAAATAAGCCGTGACATGTGATGATACAGCCCTCATATAAAAGTATCTTCTCATAGCTCAGTAACTTAGGAGGCAAAGTCTAAAACAAATATTCAGCAGGCATTTTTTTCCAATTAAAAAATAAAAAATTATTAAAAACACCTCTGAGTCCCCTGTCTTCCCATAGTCCTTTAGCTACTTCAAGGAGGAGTAAGCTAAGAGGGGCAAGCTCTGGCAGTTTGGGGTGAGAGGACCTGTCTCGGTGGAGAAATGACAGTCATTTGCTCACGGCTTTTGATATGGTTTAGCTGTTTCCCCACTGAAATCTCAACTTGAATTATATTTCCCAGAATTCTCTTGTGTTGTGGGAGGGACCAATGGGGAGGTAGTTGAATCATGGGGGCCAGTCTTTTCCATGCTATTCTCATAATAGTGAATAAATCTCACGAGATCTGATGGGTTTATCAGGGATTTCCACTTTTGCTTCTTCCTCATTTTCTCTTGCCACCACCATGTAAGAAGTGCTTTTTGCCTTCCACCATGATTCTGAGGCCTCTCCAGCCCTGTGGAACTGTGAGTCCAATTAAACCTTTTTTTCTTCCCAGTCTCCAGTATGTCTTTATCAGAAGTGTGAAAACAGACAAATACAGTAAATTGGTACCAGTAGAGTGCAGCGTTGCTGAAGACATATTCAAAAATATGGAAGCGACTTTGGAACTGGGTAACAGGCAGAGGTTGGAAGAGTTGGAAGGGTTCAGAAGAAGACAGGAAAATATGGGAAAGTTTGGAACTTCCTAGAGACTTGTCAAATGTCTTTTCCCAAAATGCTGATAGTGATATGGACAATAAAATTCAGGCTGAAGTGGTCTCAGAAGGAGATGAAAAAGTTGTTGGGAACTGAAGCAAAGGTGACTCTTGTTATGTTTTAACAAAGAGACTGGCTGCATTTTGCCCCTGCCCTAGAGATTTGTGGAACTTTGAACCAGACAGAGATGATTTAGGGTATCTGACAGAAGAAATTTCTAAGCAGCAAAGTATTCAAGAGGTAACTTAGGTGCTGTTAAAGGCATTCAGTCTTATAAGGGAAGCAGAGCAAAAAAGTTTGGAATATTTGTAGCCTGACTATGAGATAGAAAAGAAAATTCCATTTTCTGGGGAGAAATTCAAGCCAGCTGCAGAAATTAGTATAAGTAGCAAGGAGCCTAATGTTAATCCCCCAAGACCATGGGGAAAATGTCTCCAGGCCATGTCAGAGAACTTCCCAGCAGCCCCTCCCATCACAGGCTTGGAGGCCCAGGAGGAAAAAGTGTTTTCGTGGGCCAGGTGCAGAGTCCCCGAGCTGTGTGTAACCTAGGAACTTGGTACCATGTGTCCCAGTGGCTCCAGCCGTGGCTGAAAGGGGCCAATGTACAGCTCAGGCTATGGCTTCAGAGAGTGAGAGCCCCAAGCCTTGGAAGCTTCTATATGGTGCTGAGCCTGTGGATGCATAGCAGCCAAGAATTGAGGTGTGGGAAACTCCGCCTAGATTTCAGAAGATACATGGAAACACCTCGAAGCCCAGGCAAAATTTTGTTACAGGGGTGGGACCCTCATGAAGAACCTCTGCTAGGGCAGTACAGAAAGGAAATGTGGGGTCAGAGCCCCCAAACAGAGTCCCTACTGGGGCACCACCTAGTGGAACTGTGAGAAGAGGGCCACCATCCTCCAGACCCCAGAATAGTAGATCCACCAACAGCTTGCACCATGCACCTGGAAAAGCCACAGACACTCAATGCCAGCCTGTGAAAGCAGCCAGGAGGGAGTAAGTCACAGGGGTGGAGCTGCCCAAGACTGTGGGAACCCACCTCTTGCATCAGCATAACCTGGGTGTGAAACATGGAGTCAAAGGAGATCATTTTGGAGCTTTAAAGTTTGACTGCCCCACTAGGTTTTGGATTTGCATGGGCCCTGTAACCCCTTTATTTTGGCCAATTTCTTCCATTTGGAAGAGCTGTATTTACCCAATACCTGTACCCCCATTGTATCTAGGAAGTAACTAGCTTGCTTTTGATTTTACAGGCTCATAGGTGGAAGGGACTTGCTTGTCTCAGATGAGACTTTGGGCTGTGGACTTTTGGGTTAATGCTAAAATGAGTTAAGACTTTGGGGGACTGTTGGGAAGACATGATTGGTTTTGAAATGTGAGGACATGAGATTTGGAGGGGCCAGGGCAGGAATGATATGGTTTGGTTGTGTCTCCATCCAAATCTCAACTTGAGTTGTATCTCCCAGAATTCCCACATGTTGTAGGAGGGACCCAGGGGGAGGTAATTGAATCATGGGGGCCAGTCTTTCCTGTGCTATTCTCGTGATAGTGAATAAGACTCACAAGATCAGATGAGTTTATCAGGGGTTTCCACTTTTGCTTCTTTCTCATTTTCTCTTGCCACCACCATGTAAGAAGTGCTTTTCGCTGAGAGGAGCCAAGATGGCCGAATAGGAACAGCTCCGGTCTACAGCTCCCAGCATGAGCGACGCAGAAGACGGGTGATTTCTGCATTTCCATCTGAGGTACCGGGTTCATCTCACTAGGGAGTCTGAGATCAAACTGCAAGGCAGCAGCGAGGCTGGGGGAGGGGTGCCTGCCACTGCCCAGGCTTGATTAGGCAAACAAAGCAGCCGGGAAGCTCAAACTGGGTGGAGCCCACCACAGCTCAAGGAGGCCTGCCTGCCTCTGTAGGCTCCACCTCTGGGGGCAGGGCACAGACAAACAAAAAGACAGCAGTAACCTCTGCAGACTTAAATGTCCCTGTCTGACAGCTTTGAAGAGAGCAGTGGTTCTCCCAGCACGCAGCTGGAGATCTGAGAACGGGCAGACTGCCTCCTCAAGTGGGTCCCTGACCCCTGACCCCCGAGCAGCCTAACTGGGAGGCACCCCCCAGCAGGGGCACACTGACACCTCACACAGCAGGGTACTCCAACAGACCTGCAGCTGAGGGTCCTCTCTGTTAGAAGGAAAACTAACACAGAAAGGACATCCACACCAAAAACCCATCTGTACATCACCATCATCAAAGACCAAAAGTAGATAAACCCACAAAGATGTGGAAAAAACAGAACAGAAAAACTGGAAACTCTAAAAAGCAGAGCGCCTCTCCTCCTCCAAAGGAACACAGTTCCTCACCAGCAACGGAACAAAGCTGGATGGAGAATGACTTTGATGAGCTGAGAGAAGAAGGCTTCAGACAATCAAATTACTCTGAGCTACGGGAGGACATTCAAACCAAAGGCAAAGAAGTTGAAAACTTTGAAAAAAATTTAGAAGAATGTATAACTAGAATAACCAATACAGAGAAGTGCTTAAAGGAGCTGATGGAGCTGAAAACCAAGGCTCGAGAACTACGTGAAGAATGCAGAAGCCTCAGGAGCCGATGCGATCAACTGGAAGAAAGGGTATCAGCGATGGAAGATGAAATGAATGAAATGAAGCGAGAAGGGAAGTCTAGAGAAAAAAGAATAAAAAGAAATGAGCAAAGCCTCCAAGAAATATGGGACTATGTGAAAAGACCAAATCTACGTCTGATTGGTGTACCTGAAAGTGATGGGGAGAATGGAACCAAGTTGGAAAACACTCTGCAGGATATTATCCAGGAGAACTTCCCCAATCTAGCAAGGCAGGCCAACGTTCAGATTCAGGAAATACAGAGAACGCCACAAAGATACTCCTCGAGAAGAGCAACTCCAAGACACATAATTGTCAGATTCACCAAAGTTGAAATGAAGGAAAAAATGTTAAGGGCAGCCAGAGAGAAAGGTCGGGTTACCCTCAAAGGGAAGCCCATCAGACCAACAGCGGATCTCTCGGCAGAAACCCTACAAGCCAGAAGAGAGTGGGGGTCAATATTCAACATTCTTAAAAAAAAGAATTTTCAACCCAGAATTTCATATCCAGCCAAACTAAGCTTCATAAGTGAAGGAGAAATAAAATACTTTACAGACAAGCAAATGCTGAGAGATTTTGTCACCACCAGGCCTGCCTTACAAGAGCTCCTGAAGGAAGAACTAAACATGGAAAGGAACAACCGGTACCAGCCACTGCAAAATCATGCCAAAATGTAAAGACCATCAAGGCTAGGAAGAAACTGCATCAACTAACGAGCAAAATAACCAGCTAACATCATAATGACAGGATCGAATTCACACATAACAATATTAACTTTAAATGTAAATGGACTAAATGCTCCAATTAAAAGACACAGACTAGCAAATTGGATAAAGAGTCAAGACCCATCAGTGTGCTGTATTCAGGAAACCCATCTCACATGCAGAGACACACATAGGCTCAAAATAAAGGGATGGAGGAAGATCTACCAAGCAAACGGAAAACAAAAAAAGGCAGGGGTTGCAATCCTAGTCTCTGATAAAACAGACTTTAAACCAACAAAGATCAAAAGAGACAAAGAAGGCCATTACATAATGGTAAAGGGATCAATTCAACAAGAAGAGCTAACTATCCTAAATATATATGCACCCAATACAGGAGCACCAAGATTCATAAAGCAAGTCCTGAGTGACCTACAAAGAGACTTAGACTCCCACACATTAATAATGGGAGACTTTAACACCCCACTGTCAACATTAGACAGATCAACGAGACAGAAAGTCAACAAGGATACCCAGGAATTGAACTCAGCTCTGCAGCAAGCGGACCTAATAGACATCTACAGAACTCTCCACCCCAAATCAACAGAATATACATTTTTTTCAGCACCACACCACACCTACTCCAAAATTGACCACATACTGGGAAGTAAAGCACTCCTCAGCAAATGTAAAAGAACAGAAATTATAACAAACTATCTCTCAGACCACAGTGCAATCAAACTAGAACTCAGGATTAAGAATCTCACTCAAAACCGCTCAACTACATGGAAACTGAACAACCTGCTCCTGAATGACTACTGGGTACATAACGAAATGAAGGCAGAAATAAAGTTGTTCTTTGAAACCAATGAGAACAAAGACACAACATACCAGAATCTCTGGGATGCATTCAAAGCAGTGTGCAGAGGGAAATTTATAGCACTGAATGCCCACAAGAGAAAGCAGGAAAGATCCAAAATTGACACCCTAACATCACAATTAAAAGAACTAGAAAAGCAAGAGCAAACACATTCAAAAGCTAGCAGAAGGGAAGAAATAACTAAAATCAGAGCAGAACTGAAGGAAATAGAGACACAAAAAACCCTTCAAAAAATTAATGAATCCAGGAGCTGGTTTTTTGAAAGGATAAACAAAATTGATAGACCGCTAGCAAGACTAATAAAGAAAAAAAGAGAGAAGAATCAAATAGATGCAATAAAAAAATGATAAAGGGGATATCACCACCAATCCCACAGAAATACAAACTACCATCAGAGAATACTACAAACACCTCTACGCAAATAAACTAGAAAATCTAGAAGAAATGGATAAATTCCTGGACACATACACTCTCCCAAGACTAAACCAGGAAGAAGTTGAATCTCTGAATAGACCAATAACAGGAGCTGAAATTGTGGCAATAATCAATAGCTTACCAACCAAAAAGAGTCCAGGACCAGATGGATTCACAGCCGAATTCTACCAGAGGTACAAGGAGGAACTGGTACCATTCCTTCTGAAACTATTCCAATCAATAGAAAAAGAGGGAATCCTCCCTAACTCATTTTATGACGCCAGCATCATTCTGATACCAAAGCCAGGCAGAGACACAACAAAAAAAGAGAATTTTAGACCAATATCCTTGATGAACATTGAGGCAAAAATCCTCAATAAAACACTGGCAAAATGAATCCAGCAGCACATCAAAAAGCTTATCCACCATGATCAAGTGGGCTTCATCCCTGGGATGCAAGGCTGGTTCAATATACGCAAATCAATAAATGTAATCCAGCATAAAAACAGAGCCAAAGACAAAAACCACATGATTATCTCAATAGATGCAGAAAAAGCCTTTGACAAAATTCAACAACCCTTCATGCTAAAAACTCTCAATAAATTAGGTATTGATGGGACGTATTTCAAAATAATAAGAGCTATCTATGACAAACCCACAGCCAATATCATACTGAATGGGCAAAAACTGGAAGCATTCTCTTTGAAAACTGGCACAAGACAGGGATGCCCTCTCTCACCACTCCTATTCAACATAGTGTTGGAAGTTCTGGCCAGGGCAATTAGGCAGGAGAAGGAAATAAAGGGTATTCAATTAGGAAAAGAGGAAGTCAAATTGTCCCTGTTTGCAGACGACATGATTGTATATCTAGAAAACCCCATTGTCTCAGCCCAAAATCTCCTTAAGCTGATAAGCAACTTCAGCAAAGTCTCAGGATACAAAATCAATGTACAAAAATCACAAGCATTCTTATACACCAACAACAGACAAACAGAGAGCCAAATCATGAGTGAACTCCCATTCACAATTGCTTCAAAGAGAATAAAATACCTAGGAATCCAACTTACAAGGGATGTGAAGGGCCTCTTCAAGGAGAACTACAAACCTCTGCTCAAGGAAATAAAAGAGGATACAAACAAATGGAAGAACATTCCATGCTCATGGGTAGGAAGAATCAATATCGTGAAAATGGCCATACTCCTCAAGGTAATTTACAGATTCAATGCCATCCCCATCAAGCTACCAATGACTTTCTTCACAGAACTGGAAAAAACTACTTTAAAGTTCATATGGAACCAAAAGAGAGCCCACATCGCCAAGTCAATCCTAAGCCAAAAGAACAAAGCTGGAGGCATCACACTACCTGACTTCAAACTATACTACAAGGCTACAGTAACCAAAACAGCATGGTACTGGTACCAAAACAGAGATATTGATCAATGGAACAGAACAGGGCCCTCAGAAATAACGCCGCATATCTACAACTATCTGATCTTTGACAAACCTGACAAAAACAAGCAATGGGGAAAGGATTCCCTATTTAATAAATGGTGCTGGGAAAACTGGCTAGCCATATGTAGAAAGCTGAAACTGGATCCCTTCCTTACACCTTATACAAAAATCAATTCAAGATGGATTAAAGAGTTAAACGTTAGACCTAAAACCATAAAAACCCTAGAAGAAAACGTAGGCATTACCATTCAGGACATAGGCATGGGCAAGGACTTCATGTCTAAAACACCAAAAGCAATGGCAACAAAAGACAAAATTGACAAATGGGATCTAATTAAACTAAAGAGCTTCTGCACAGCAAAAGAAACTACCATCAGAGTGAACAGGCAACCTACAAAATGGGAGAAAATTTTTGCAACCTACTCATCTGACAAAGGGCTAATATCCAGAATCTACAATGAACTCAAACAAATTTACAAGAAAAAAACAAACAACCCCATCAAAAAGTGGGTGAAGGACATGAACAGACACTTCTCAAAAGAAGACATTTATGCAGCCAACAGACACATGAAAAAATGCTCATCATCACTGGCCATCAGAGAAATGCAAATCAAAACCACAATGAGATACCATCTCACACCAGTTAGAATGGCGATCATTAAAAAGTCAGGAAACAACAGGTGCTGGAGAGGATGTGGAGAAATAGGAACATTTTTACACTGTTGGTGGGACTGTAAACTAGTTCAACCATTGTGGAAGTCAGTGTGGCGATTCCTCAGGGATCTAGAACTGGAAATACCATTTGACCCAGCCATCCCATTACTGGGTATATACCCAAAGGACTATAAATCATGCTGCTATAAAGACACATGCACACGTATGTTTATTGCGGCATTATTCACAATAGCAAAGACTTGGAACCAACCCAAATGTCTAACAATGATAGACTGGATTAAGAAAATGTGGCACATATACACCATGGAATACTATGCAGCCATAAAAAATGATGAGTTCATGTCCTTTGTAGGGACATGGATGAAATTGGAAATCATCATTCTCAGTAAACTATCGCAAGAACAAAAAACCAAACACCGCATATTCTCACTCATAGGTGGGAATTGAACAATGAGATCACATGGACACAGGAAGGGGAATATCACACTCTGGGGACTGTTGTGGGGTGGGGGGAGGGGGGAGGGATAGCATTGGGAGATATACCTAATGCTAGATGACGAGTTAGTGGGTGCAGCGCACCAGCATGGCACATGTATACATATGTAACTAACCTGCACAATGTGCACATGTACCCTAAAACTTAAAGTATAATAAAAAATAAAAATAATAATAATAATAAAAATAAAAAAGAAAAAAAAAAAAAAGAAGTGCTTTTCACCTCCTGCCACGATTCTGAGGCCTCCCCAGCCATGTTGAACTGTGAGTCCAATTAAACCTCTTTTTCTTCCCAGTCTTGGGTATGTCTTTATCAGCAGTGTGAAAACAGTCTAATACAGCTCTCCATTCACATTTCTTCCTGATCGATCTACTGGCATACCTTCAGCTTCTCACTACAATAATTATTATAATCACCACTAGTCAATGAACTCATGACTGTAGTCTCCACTAATATAATTGCAGTTAGACAGATATAAATAATTCCTAGCCCCATTAACATGACAAAAAGTAGGTAAATGCAATCTGTCACCTGTGTGGTCTGGGAATCTATCCTTCAGGTCTTTGTCAGCTTGGGCGAGCCCTTCTGCTCCTCTCCATGAACAAGCTTGTTCATTCTCCTGTCCCCATGGTCAGCAGGGTGGAGTGGGTAGCCCCACCCTGAGGAACACATCACTGTAGATCTGCAGTGACTACTCTGGCTTTGCCACTGCACTGCTTGTGAAGCAGGCTCACTGTGTGCCCTTATCAATCTCAGAGGAAGACTCTAAACATTTGCCCAATACTATGCACCAGTATCAATCCATTTTATGAGTCTGGTGAGACAGGACACTCACACAAGTTAAGTGAAGCAACTTTATTATTCATAGAAAGTCAGCAAAGGACAAAAGAAGTCTTTGATTAATGGAGAGTCCTCCAAGGCTCAGGAAAACTGCCCAAGGTAGGCAGAGTCTTGCCTGCATGTGCTCCACTTGCACGGCAACCAAGAGATCCTGAAAGCAGTCTGCTCTGGGTTCTGTACCCCAGGGAGAATATGACTCACTGGGCCACAGCATTGTAGGATATCCTGCTCTAGGAGGGACAGGAACAGAGCCTGGGCTATTCCTGCCAGTTCCTCCTAATCTTTGGAATGTGTTGCATTCTCACCACACTGTACAGTTATTCTGAGAACTTCAAGTGAGAAAAGGGGGAAGAGCTGGGTCACCAAGGCCATCCAGGGACTCGTCCTGCACTGCTGGCTGCCAAGTTTTGAGAACTTAAACTGAACCCAGTATGGTGCTAAGTGCCTTGCCAACCTGACTCTCAGAAAAAGGTGCCATTCTCATCCCCATTTTACAGATGTGAAAACCAGGGTTAGCAGTGTTAAGTGACTTGACCAAAGTCCTGCAAATACTGAGTGATAAGCCAGCTGAGCACACATTTTTCTACTAACACATGGAACCAGAACTCCTCCTCTCTATCCCCTTTTTTCCTCCTTTTCTTCATCTTCCTCCCTAGTCTTTTCCCCACAGCCCAGCACCACAAAGTTTCTGTGGACAGGCAGCCTGAGATCTGAGATTCCATATCACCTTCTGCAACAGCAAGGGGGATATGGCTTCAGAGACACCCTTGCATTATTGGAGGATGGCCGAGGCTTCCAAACTTACAACCCACTCGAGGCCCCTCCCCTGGCTCGGAGCTGCGTGCCTGGAAGAAGACGCGTTGATTTCTCCTTCACTTCTAGCAGCTCACCCGAGGGACCATCCCCATCCTCAGCATCCCGTCGCTGCAGGTGTGTGGGTGATGATTACACTGTTCCCAGGTTTACTTTCACACAGTGTGCCAAGGAGTTTCTCCTGGACCTCATGTGATCCCACATCATCCTGGGAAGCGGAGCATTATGCCCTTTGAATGGGGGGGAAACAGGTCACACAGGAAGGTAGGGGCAGAACCAGCATCAGATCCCAGAGTCTCTCATTCCCAGGTCAGCATCTGTAGCAAAAGGGCAGGCCAAACCTGTGAGTTGGTCACGATGTCGGTTGTTTTAGTTTTTATTTCAGCACGAGTCTCACCTGCCTGCTCTTCAGAGCCATAGGGGAGGGCAGGGCCAGAGCTGTCTGGATTCAGCTCAGGGCCCTGCCTGCCCCTGACTGGCCCAGAGCCCCTCACCCTGCCGTTGACCCCTGTCCTACCCCCTATGATGCAGTCTGCCTCGTACAGCCCAGGAGAAGTTCCCAGACAGGGACTACCACTGACTCATGGTGTGTGACATTGGGCAAGCGCTCCTTTGCCTCCACTGGCCTCAGTTTTCTCATTTGTAAAATGGTCTTTCACGGGACCAGGGCACTGAGTTTGACTCCTCGGCTACCTGTGCTCGGAGCATCCTGTTCCCCAGGGGCTTCGGGGCTGGACGTGGCCTGCACGGCCGCTTGGCTCCACAGCAGCTGTTTCACTTCCTCAGCAAGGATTGTAATTCCTCCTGCTGGAAACTGGGTCCATGCGTTTGGCCTGAATAAGTTGATTTGTCAAAATTACCATTTCCTGGGGCTGCTCACATCAGAAGCAGCAGGTGGTTCTTCCATGTGCTTCAGAAGGCGCCCCAGAGTCCAGCTGGGACAAATCCATCCCTCCAAAGCGACATCTGCTGGAAGGCAGCACTGAATTATGTCGCATTATAACAGCATTTCACTCGGTTCCTGTGACCTTTGTTTAGCCAGAGCCAGAATCTCCTGCCGAGGGGCCTGCTCCCCTGTCTGGGGACTTTTCCTGGGCTGCACCAGGCAGACTGCATCATAGCGGGTAGGACAGGGGTCCACGACAGGGTGAAGGGTTCTGGGCCAGGCGGGGGTGGGCAGAGATAGGCCCCCTGATGGAGAGGAGAAGTCGGGGTTGAGAGGACCACATCCATGGGACAATTTGCTTCACAGGGCTGGTCACCCAGTGTGGGTGGTCCTGGAGGCTCCTGTCCCCTTCACCCATTCCCTTTCTCACTCAGCAAACATTTCTTGGCCACTGATGTACTGGGGTGACGTGCCAGGTTAAGGAGACACAGAGATGGGGAAGAGCTTGCCTTTACCTCGGGGACTCACAGTCTGGAACAAAAGGCAGAAACTCTCCATCAAGAAACAAAAACAGACATCAGGGAACAGGAGGAGGGAGCAGTTAACTCCCTCCAGAGTTAGAGGGGCAGGCGTGTGTCTTAGGGCAGCTGCCTTAAAAGCAGGGCCTGAGTCAAGGGCCCCGGTGCTGGCAGTTTATCTGAGAGGGGACCCTAGGAGCACACATGAGGAAATGGGGCAACTGAGGCAAGGCAGGGAGAAAAGTCAAGGAAGCGTGTATTAGGAATGGGTTACAGTGACAGCAACTGCGGGGCTCAGTCCCGCTGGGGAGCCTCTGAGGCCTGAGTGGAAGATGCCCCAGAGCCACCTTCCTGTGTGGGCACTAACCATCACCTCTTGAGGCATTAACTCTTCCTGTCCCTGCACCTGCCCTTGCACTTCCAGGAACAGTGTGTGGAAGGGAGGGGAGAAAACGGAAATGGTCCCAGGGACCAAGGAGATTACATGGGGGAAAGTTGAGCAGGTTGGATGCAGAGAAGCCTTGGTTGGCGGAGTTGGGTGAGCTAACGCAGTAGGAGAGAGCTGAGCACGTATATATATATATATATTTTTTTTTTTTTACCAGTACATGGAGCCAGAACTCCAGAGATGTGGATGTGGATGGAACCCTACAGAGGCAGAGGGAATGGATCCAGGTGGGAAGGTGCCTTCCACTGGGAGAGGGTGGACTTTGCTACGAAATGGCTGAGAACAGGTAGATGGGCTGTTCCATAGAAGGAAGAGAAGGATGTGTGTGCCTCATGGCCTCTACTTCCCAACAGGAAGAAAGTCAGACCATTTGCTGGGAGCAAATGCTGACTGGTGACTGGACAGGGGCCATGAAGAGGGCTTAGGCCTGAAGCAGCATTTGAAGTGTAGGGCAGTGGGTATGGACCACAGGAAGGTCAGGGGAGGGATGGACAGTGCTGGTGCCAGACTCAGCATACAGCTTGGCAGCATTGTGGTCATTACGGGCAGCCCCTCCACATCTCAGGATCAGAGTAGTGGAAGTAAACGGTCACTTTGGTCCTTTGCTGAGTTTGGCAGGACATGGGTGGCACAAAGAGGACACCAGCCAGTGTGCGTGCCATGGTCCTGGGGCAGAACCTCACCGGCTCCCCATCTCCTCCCCTCCTACATTTGGTCCTGGGAAAAGTAGAGAGTAGGAAGCATGGAAAAGATCCCACTGGGTGTTAGGGGGCTGGGTCTTAAAATAGCCCTGCAGCTCTCTTGCTGAATAACCTTGGATAAGTCACTTTCCCTTTCTGGGCCTGTTTCCATACCCATTCATTGGAATAATGATAAGACCTACCCAGCCAATTACACAAGGGGTTCCCGTGAAAGTTACATAAAATAACTAAGGTGTTTGTGGATGGAGAGGTCCTTTGGAGGCTGGTTCGAGCAGGGCAGAGGTGAGCAGCTATTTATCACAAATTCTCCTCCTCTTCAGTTTTCCCATCTGTAAAATGTGTAGGTTGGAAGCTGAGCTGAGTGTGGACCACAGTCACCCTGATCCTGAGGCCCAGGAAAGACCCTGGTTCTTTCCATGCCAGCAGCCTTGTGACATTTTGCCGTTTTGCGAGATTCTCTCAGAGAATGTGGTTAAATGAGAAGTTCCATGATTCCTCAATACTCAACCTCATCCTCATCTCTACACAAGGATGCAAATTCACTGGATGGGTCCAAAAGAGGTGGAGGTGAGGAGAGAGGCCAAGATGACAGGAGCATGAGGGGACCTGGATCTTTAAAGGACTTTGATGGGGAGAGGTACTCAGAGTTGACCGGAGGACGCGGTGTGGGTTTGGGAGGGAGGGGAAGGGGAAGGGATCCCAGAGCTCAGCAAGGAAAGAGACCCAGGGAGGGGACTCTGTCTCCAGCTCTTTTCAAACAGAGAATGCATCAAATCAAGAGAATAAACACAGCCCAAGAGAGCCACATTATTCACTTTGAAATGAGCAGAAAATGACATTTCTGGTCAAGGTTCCTCTTCCCACCCCAGGGAGAGAGTAGGAGGCGAACTTAGACTAGTTTCCTTTTTCTTGAAAGGAGTTCTTAGCTCCCGAGCTCCCGCTAACTCAGGCCACCCTCACAGTGAGAATTCACAGACTAGGATGATTGGGCAGTGTTTCATGCCGGCCTGCTGCCTGCCAGCCCTGGGCCTGGAGAGGCTGTTGATGGTGAGGCTCGATGGAGGTAAGCCCAGCTATAGCAGGGTTGGGAGAGCAGCCTGGCTGAGGGTTGAGAGCAGCCTCAAGCAGCTGGTGTGGTGCAGGCATAGACTGGCTGTTGTTGCTGAGTTTGCATGAGCACTGGCTTTGGAGTCAGTCCCAAGTTCTAGTTCAGAGACTGATTCTTATCTAGCTCTGACACTGAGAGCTCTTCCCTGAGCCTTGACTTTCTTGTCTGTCAAATGGGCTTGGTGATACCCACCTCTGGGGGTGCTGAGAATATTAGAAAAAATGTATTAGGGACAATGCACAGCAGTCACTATTGTGATCACCAGGACCAGCCAGGGTGGGGGTGCAGGCCCTCAGACTAAAGTCAGCGCAAAGCCACCAGGCTCAGAAACTAGATGCTTAGGCCAATGGCCTGGGCCCCACTGAGCAATGTCAGCCCCATTGTCTGAGGGATGTTGAACCCAGTGCTGTCCAATTTAGAATACACTCATAGAAAGCACCTAGGTCCACGTCCTTATGGACAGTTCAGGAGACTGAGCCCCAGGTGTTTGCTCAACGCCACATAGCATGGTGGTGGCCGAGCCAGCATTGGAAACCATCCTCATGACATCAAGCCATGTGGTCCATCCAAGGACTAAAAATGATGTGCTTAAAAGTATAGGCTTTGGAGCCAGACAGACCTGAGCTCCAGTCCCAGCTCTGCAACTTTCATTATTCAACAAATACTCATTGAATTCCTGTCAAATGCCAGGCACATGTCCAGTGCAAGGGACACAAGAGGACAAGACCTACATGGCCCTGGCCTCTCACTGCTCACAGTCTGGTGGGAACAAATATCCAGTGAATGAACAAGCTCATCAACCACTGTGAGAAAGCAGTGAGGGACAGACACAGGATGGGCCCTGAAAGAGACAGGGACAGTGGGTGCTGGAGGGCCACTCAGGGCATTCAGGGAGGGCATCTCAGGAAGGGGATATCGGATCTGGGGACTGGACACCAGGCAGGAGCCAAGTATGTGGGACTGGAGAAGGGTATCCAGGCAAAGAGCTCGGAGTGATGGGGGAAGAGAAAAAGCTGGAGCATGCAGGAGCATGCAGGAGGGATGTGGCCAGAGACGGCAGAGCGAGGGCAGGCAGGCCTCAGAGGTCATGGTCAGGAGCACAGTGCTCATGGGCAGAGCAGTAGGAGGCCCTTGAGGGTTTGAGCAGGGGAATGATGGGGTCTGGCCTGTTTTTTCAAAGGATCACACTGGTTGCTGCTGTTTATATGACCTTGTTGGCTCTCTGACCTGGGGCAAGTTGTTTAAGCTCTCAAAGCCTCAGTCTCTTCGTCTGTAAAATGGGGATGATCACAGTACCCACCTCACAGGCATCATTGGAGGCTGATGTGTGAAAATCTGGAGAGCACTTAGCAATGTGACCCATGCATTTCAGTGCAAATAAACTTTGCTTTCTCACATCCCCTCGTCCAAAGCCCTCATCCTCCATCATCTGACTTGAACCTGTTGATCCTGCCTATGCAATGACTTCATTATTTCTGCGTTGCCCTTAGCCATGGGGATGTTGAGGCCAAAGCTCATTAAGCTCCTGTCCATCAGAGGTCAGCAGGGAGAGGTCCATGGAGCCCAGGGAGAGAGAGTGGCCAGGCCCCGCTCCCAGTGAGGGCCTTGCAAGTGGCCTTGGCATCCATCAATGTCTCGGCTCCATCTCCTGGCTGCCTGGGATATATGATGTGTCCCAATCAGGGGCAAGCAGAGAGGTCGTAAAAGTAATCATTGCCTTCACTGGCTCCTACTGCCAGATTTATTGTGGCATAAAGAAACAACTTAGCTCCTGGCAGTAACAGGCAGCCGGCCCATCCATGCTTGTAGAAATCCTATTTGCTGGGGCCTGGATGGGTGGAGGTTTCTACCCATACCTGATTGGCCAGAGGCCCTGGGCAGAACTCAGCTGGACCATTCATCTTCCTGTGCTCCAGGCCACCTTGTCTGAGAGGCTGCCACCTCTGACACATTTCGCAGCATTTGGGAGGCAGTGGTTAGGCCACAAATTACGCATCTGCCATTGCACTGAGGGGATTCTTGGGCTATTGACCCCAGGGAGGCCACAGAGCAGAGCAGTTAAAGGCCCAGGTGTTGGAGTCAGCCTAAACATGGGTTCAAGCCCCTGCTCTGCCATATATTGGCCAGGTGACCTTGGCTGAGTAAACTCACTTCCCTGAGCCTCCATGTCTTGTCTCCAAAATGGAGGGGTAGGAATCCCCGCTTTAAAGAGCTGCTGTATGGAGTAAGAAAGAGCCAAAGGGTGTAGGACACATAACACAGGAATAGGCACTAAACGAAAAGTGACTGTCACCATTTTCATTATCCAGGGGCTTCAGTATTATGGCGTGAGATGCCCTTTATTGAGGGCCAGTTACGTCACCAGGGACTATGCTGGCTCTTTTAAAATATTTTGTCCCTAGACCTCACAACCAATCCTGCAGATAGGTTCAGTTATGTTTATTGTGGGGTGGTTAGGGGACTGCAAGGTCGCTTGGCTGGTGGGGGGGGGAGCTGGGGGCGGGACCTTGGCCTGTGGGTTCTGGAGCTGGTGCTCCTCCTAATACACAGCCCACCTCCCCAGCTCCTCCGATAGGCCACGCAAGTCCCCTGGTCTGTCGGGCACGTAGGTCCAGCCTCCCTCCGTTCCTCTCTCCCTCTTGCCGATATTGCCCGACCGCATCACCCAGCCCTTCACTGGGTGATGGACACATAAGGACAAAACAGATGAGCTTCCCGCCCTCAAGGAGCTCAACATCCAAGAGGGTGAAGAGCAAAGCTGCTGGCCACTGTGCAGAGTGTGTGGCTGGCTCTTGTCTTGACATTGCCACCCTTTCTGCCATATTCTGTAACACTTCCCCAAGAAAATGCTTCCAAGGAGCTGTCTGCTATCCCTGGCTCCAATTCCTCTCCCCTTGAGCTCTCACTCCTACCACTCCACCAATGGCTGTATGCCACATATGACCCCCGTATCACTTATGACCTCTGCATCATCTATGACCCCCATATCACTTATGACCTCTGGATCACCTATAACCTCCACATCATCTGTGACCTCTGCATCACTTATGACCTCCACATCATCTATGGCCTCCAAGTCACCTATGACCTACACATCACCTGTGACCTCCACATCACCTATGACCTCTACATCACCTATGACCTACACATCATCTATGGCCTCCACATCATCTATGGCCTCCACATCACCTATGATCTTCATGTCACCTATGACCTCCACGTTGCTGAATGCAGTATCAACCCTAAGTCCTCAGCAGACTTGGCATGTTCATTCCCTTGACACAGCTGGCCATTTCCCGTCCCTGAACTATGTCCTTCATTGGCTTCTGGGAAACCTCCCTGGCTGTCTCAGTCTCTAACCTCTTAATGTTGAGGATTGGACTTTATTCATCTACTGTCTACACTTGTGCCCTTGGGGATGCCATCCAGTCTTGTGGTTTCGAAAACCGTCTATACACTGACAACTCTCAAATTTACATCTCCTCCGACTCTGGGTGCCTGGATTCCTATTCCTCTCTCTAGCTGGATGTCTATCAAACATCAGAGATCCACCATGGCCCAAAGTGAACTCCACATCTTCCTCCCCAGGAGTGTCCCCAGCTCAGCTAAAGCCAACTCTTTCTCTTGGCTGCCCAGACCACACTTTGAGGCCACCTTTACTTCTCTCCTTCTTTCACCCCCCATGTCAAATCCTGGAGCAGACTATGCTAACTCTGTCTTCAAAATACACCCAGAATCTGACTGCCTCTCCGCACTGCCATTGCATACAGCTCAGTCCAGGCACCGTCATCTCTCCCTGGGTGACTGCAGTGCCCATTAGGGCACACATCTCAGCCTTGCATCCCATTGGCCAGGCAGGGGCACATGACTACTCCAGCCATCCAGTGGGGAAGGAGAAGTGTTCTCCCTGTTCTGCATGGTTATGGCCTCAGTGACACCCATGCCTGCTGTTTCTATGGAAAAAGAGGACAAATGGGGGCAACTGGTGCCTCTGACACAGGGTCCTCTTGGGGAGGGAGATTACAGGGTCAAAATGAGGCATTTAAGCTCAAATCAGAAGAATAAGAAGTAAAGACGCATCCAAAGGGCATGGAAACAGCCTTCTGGGCAGAGGGATGAACAAAGCACAATGCCCCTGAGGTGAGAAGAAGCTGGGCATGTGTGAGGAATGGGGCAAGGGCCACTGTGGCTGGGGGTTGAGTGGGTGCACAGGATAGGGAGGAGGTGAGATGGCAAATTCAATCAAGGCCTCAGGGCCATGGTATGGATTTGGGATCACGCTAAAAAAATAGTGGCAAGGCACAGGAGGTTTTTTTTTTTTTTACTTTTTTTATACTTTAAGTTCTAGGGTACATGTGCACAATGTGCAGGTTTGTTACATATGTATACATGTGCCATGTTGGTGTGCTGCACCCATTAACTCATCATTTACATTAGGTATATTTCCTAATGCTATCCCTCCCCACTCCTCCCACCCCACGACAGGCCCCAGTGTGTGATGTTCCCCTTCCTGTGTCCAAGTGTTCTCATTGTTCAATTTCCACCTATGAGTGAGAACATGCAGTGTTTGGTTTTTTGTCCCTGTGATAATTTGCTGAGAATGATGGTTTCCAGCTTCATCCATGTCCCTGCAATGGACATGAACTCATCATTTTTTATGGCTGCATAGTATTCCATGGTGTATATGTGCCACATTTTCTTAATCCAGTCTATCATTGATGGACATTTGGGTTGGTTCCAAGTCTTTGCTATTGTGAATAGTGCCACAATAAATATACATGTGCATGTGTCTTTATAGCAGCATGATTTATAATCCTTTGGGTATATACCCAGTAATGGGATGGCTGGGTCAAATGGTATTTCTAGTTCTAGATCCTTGAGGAATTGCCACATTGTCTTCCACAATGGTTGAACTATTTTACAGTCCCACCAACAGTGTAAAAGTGTTCCTATTTCTCCACATCCTCTCCAGCACCTGTTGTTTCCTGACTTTTTAATGATCACCATTCTAACTGGTGTGAGATGGTATCTCATTGTGGTTTTGATTTCCTTTTCTCTGATGGCCAGTGATGATGAGCATTTTTTCATGTGTCTGTTGGCTGCATAAAGGTCTTCTTTTGAGAAGTGTCTGTTCATATCCTTCACCTACTTTTTGATGGGGTTGTTTGTTTTTTTCTTGTAAATTTGTTTGAGTTCTTTGTAGATTCTGGATATTAGCCCTTTGTCAGATGAGTAGATTGCAAAAATTTTCTCCCATTCTGTAGGTTGCCTGTTCACTCTGATGGTAATTTCTTTTGCTGTGCAGAAGCTCTTTAGTTTAATTAGATCCCATTTGTCAATTTTGCCTTTTGTTGCCATTGCTTTTGGTGTTTTAGCCATGAAGTCCTTGCCCATGCCTATGTCCTGAATGGTATTGCCTAGGTTTTCTTCTAGGGTTTTTATGGTTTTAGGTCTAACATTTAAGTCTTTAATCCATCTTGAATTAATTTTAGTAGAAGGTGTGAGGAAGGGATCCAGTTTCAGCTTTCTACATTATGGCTAGCCAGTTTTCCCAGCACTATTCATTAAATAGGGAATCTTTCCCCATTTCTTATTTTTGATAGGTTTGTCAAAGATCAGATGGTTGTAGATGTGTGGTATTATTTCTGAGGGCTCTGTTCTGTTCCATTGGTCTATATCTCTGTTTTGGTACCAGTACCAAGCTGTTTTAGTTACTCTAGCCTTGTAGTATTGTTTGAAGTCAGGTAGCATGATGCCTCCAGCTTTGTTCTTTTGGCTTAGGATTGACTTGGCAATGTGGGCTCTTTTTAGGCTCCATATGAACTTTAAAGTAGTTTTTTCCAATTCTGTGAAGAAAGTCATTGGTAGCTTGATGGGGATGGCATTGAATCTATAAATTACCTTGGGCAGTATGGCCATTTTCACAATATTGATTCTTCCTATCCATGAGCATGGAATGTTCTTCCATTTGTTTGTGTCCTCTTTCATTTCGCCGAGCAGTGGTTTGTAGTTCTCCTTGAAGAGGTCCTTCACATCCCTTGTAAGTTGGATTCCTAGGTATTTTATTCTCTTTGAAGCAATTGTGAATGGGACTTCACTCATGATTTGGCTGTTTGTCTGTTACTGGTGTATAAGAATGCTTGTGATTTTTGCACATTGATTTTGTATCCTGAGACTTTGCTGAAGTTGCTTATCAGCTTAAGGAGATTTTGGGCAGAGATGATGGGGTTTTCTAGATATACAATCATGTCATCTGCAAACAGGGACAATTTGACTTCCTCTTTTCCTAATTGAATATCCTTTATTTCCTTCTCCTGCCTGATTGCCCTGGCCAGAACTTCCAACACTATGTTGAATAGGAGTGGTGAGAGAGAGCATCCCTGTCTTGTGCCAGTTTTCAAAGAGAATGCTTCCAGTTTTTGCCCATTCAGTATGATATTGGCTGTGGGTTTGTCATAAATAGCTCTTATTATTTTGAGATACATCCTGTCAATACCCAATTTATTGAGAGTTTTTAGCATGAAGGGCTGTTGAATTTTGTCAAAGGCCTTTTCTGCATCTATTGAGATAATCATGTGGTTTTTGTCTTTGATTCTGTTTATATGCTGGATTACTTTTATTGATTTGTGTATGTTGAACCAGCCTTGCATCCCAGGAATGAAGCCCACTTGATCATTGTGTACAAGCTTTTTGATGTGCTGCTGGATTCGGTTTTCCAGTATTTTATTGAGGATTTTTGCATCGATATTCATCAAGGATATTGGTCTAAAATCATCTTTTTGTGTGTATCTGCCAGGCTTTGGAATCAGGATGATGCTGGCCTCATAAAATGAGTTAGGGAGGATTCCCTCTTTTTCTATTGATTGGAATAGTTTCAGAAGGAATGGTACCAGCTCCTCCTTGTACCTCTGGTAGAATTCGGCTGTGAATCCATCTGGTCGTGGACTTTTTTTGGTTGGTAAGCTATTGATTATTGCCACAATTTCAGAGCCTGTTATTTGTCTATTCAGGGATTCAACTTCTTCCTGGTTTAGTCTTGGGAGAGTGTATGTGTCCAGGAATTTATCCATTTCTTCTAGATTTTTCTAGTTTATTTGCATGGAGGTGTTTATAGTATTCTCTGATGGTAGTTTGTATTTCTGTGCGATCAGTGGTGATATCCCCTTTATCATTTTTTATTGTATCTATTTGATTCTTCTCTCTTTCTTCTTTATTAGTCTTGCTAGTGGTCTATCAATTTTGTTGATCTTTTCAAAAAACCAGCTCCTGGATTCATTGATTTTTTTGAAGGGTTTTTTGTGTCTCTATCTCCTTCAGTTCTGCTCGGATCTCGTTATTTTTTGCCTTCTGCTAGCTTTTGAATGTGTTTGCTCTTGCTTCTCTAGTTCTTTCAACTGTGATGTTAGGGCGTCAATTTTAGATCTTTCCTGCTTTCTCTTGTGGGCATTTAGTGCTATAAATTTCCCTGTAAACACTGCTTTAAATGTGTCCCAGAGATTCTGGTATGTTGAGTCTTTGTTCTCATTGGTTTCAAAGAACATCTTTATTTCTGCCTTCATTTCGTTATGTACCCAGTATTCATTCAGGAGCAGGTTGTTCAGTTTCCATGTAGTTGAGCGGTTTGGAGTGAGTTTCTTAATCCTGAGTTCTAGTTTGATTGCACTGTAGTCTGAGAGACAGTTTGTTATAATTTCCGTTCTTTTACATTTGCTGAGGAGTGCTTTACTACCAATTATGTGGTCAGTTTTGGAACATGTGTGATGTGGTGCTGAGAAGAATGTATATTCTGTTGGTTTGGGGTGGAGAGTTCTGTAGATGTCTATTAGGTCTGCTTGGTGCAGAGCTGAGTTCAATTCCTGGGTATCCTTGTTAACTTTCTGTCTCATTGATCTGTCTAATGTTGACAGTGGGGTGTTAAAGTCTGCCATTATTATTGTGTGGGAGTCTAAGTCTCTTTGTAGGTCTCTAAGGACTTGCTTTATGAATCTGGATGCTCCTGTATTGGGTGCATATATATTTAGGATAGTTAGCTCTTCTTGTTGAATTGATCCCTTTACCATTATGTGATGGCCTTCTTTGTCTCTTTTGATCTTTGTTGGTTTAAAATCTGTTTTATCAGAGACTAGGATTGCAACCTCTGCCTTTTTTTGTTTTCCATTTTCTTGGTAGATCTTCCTCCATCCCTTTATTTTGAGCCTATGTGTGTCTCTGCAAGTGAGATGGGTCTCCTGAATACAGCACACTGATGAATCTTGACTCTTTATCCAATTTGCCAGTCTGTGTCTTTTAATTGGAGCATTTAGCCCATTTACATCTAAGGTTTTATTGTTACATGTGAATTTGGTCCTGTCATTACGATGTTTGCTGGTTGTTTTGCTCATTAGTTGATGCAGTTTCTTCCTAGCATTGACGGTCTTTACAATTTGGTATGTTTTTGCAGTGGCTTGTACCGGCTCCTCCTTTCCATGTTTAGTGCTTCCTTCAGGAGCTCTTTTAGGGCAGGTCTGGTGGTGATAAAATCTCTCAACATTTGCTTGTCTGTAAAGGATTTTATTTCTCCTTCACTTATGAAGCTTAGTTTGGCTGGATATGAAATCCTGGGTTGAAAATTCTTTTCTTTAAGAATGTTGAATATTGGCCCCCACTCTCTTCTGGCTTGTAGAGTTTCTGCTGAGAGATCCACTGTTAGTCTGATGGGCTTCCCTTTGTGGGTAACCCAACCTTTCTCTCTGGCTGCCCTTAACATTTTTTCCTTCATTTCAACGTTGGTGAATCTGACAGTTACGTGTCTTGAAGTTGCTCTTCTCAAGGAGTATCTTTGTGGCATTCTCTGTATTTCCTGAATCTGCATGTTTGCCTGCCTTGCTAGATTGGGGAAGTTCTCCTGGATAATATCCTGCAGAGTGTTTTCCAACTTGGTTCCATTCTCCCCATCACTTTCAGGTACACCAATCAGACGTAGATTTGGTCTTTTCACATAGTCCCATATTTCTTGGAGGCTTTGTTCATTTCTTTTTACTCTTTTTTCTCTAAACTTCTCTTCTTGCTTCATTTCATTCATTTGATCTTCAATCACTGATACCCTTTCTTCCAGTTGATCAAATTGGCTACTGAAGCTTGTGCATTTGTCATGTAGTTCTTTTGCCATGGTTTTCAGCTCCATCCAGTCATTTAAGGACTTCTCTACACTGGTTATTCTAGTTAGCCATTCGTCTAATCTTTTTTCAAGGTTTTTAACTTCTTTGCGATGGGTTCAAACTTCCTCCTTTAGCTCGGAGAAGTTTGATTGTCTGAAGCCTTCTTCTCTCAACTCATCAAAGTCATTCTCCATCCAACTTTGTTCAGTTGCTGGCGAGGAGCTGCATTCCTTTGGAGGGGGAGAGGCGCTCTGATTTTTAGAATTTTCAGCTTTTCTGCTCTGTTTTTTTCCCCATCTTTGTGGTTTTATCTACCTTTGGTCTTTGATGATGGTGATGTACAGATGGGGTTTTGGTGTGGATGTCCTTTCTGTTTGTTAGTTTTCCTTCTAATAGTCAGGACCTCAGCTGCAGGTCTGTTGGAGTTTGCTGGAGGTCCACTCCAGACCATTTGCCTTGGTATCAGCAGCGGAGGCTGCAGAACAGCGGATATTGCTGAGCCGCAAATGTTGCTGCCTGATCGTTCCTCTGGAAGCTTCGTCTCAGAGGGGTACCTGGCTGTGTGAGGTGTCAGTCTGCCCCTACTGGGGGGTACCTCCCAGTTAGGCTATTCAGGAGTCAGGGACCCACTTGAGGAGGCAGTCTGCCCGTTCTCAGATCTCAAACTCCATGCTGGGAGAACCACAACTCTCTTCAAAGCTGTCAGACAGGGACATTTAAGTCTGCAGAGGTTTCTGCTGCCTTTTATTCAGTTATGCCCTGCCCCCAGAAGTGGAGTCCACAGAGGCAGGCAGGCCTCCTTGAGCTGCGGTAGGCTCCACCCAGTTTGAGCTTCCTGGCCACTTTGTTTACCTACTCAAGCCTTAGCAATGTTGGGCGCCCCTCCCCCAGCCTGGCTGCCAACTTGCAGTTCGATCTCAGACTGCTGTGCTAGCAATGAGCAAGGCTCCATGGGCATGGGACCCTCCGAGGCATGCGTGGGATATAATCTCCTGGTGTGCCCTTTGCTAAGACCATTGGAAAAGCGCAGTATTAGGGTAGGAGTGACCCGATTTTCCAGGTGCCTTCTGTTACAGCTTCCCTTGGCTAGGAAAGGGAATTCCCTTACCCCTTGGGCTTCCCGGGTGAGGCAATGCCTCGCCCTGCTTCGGCTCATGCTCAGTGGGCTGCACCCACTATCCTGCATCCGCTGTCTGACAAGCCCCAGTGAGATGAACCCAGTACCTCAGTTGGAAATGCAGAAATCACCCGTCTTCTGCGTTGCTCACACTAGGAGCTGTAGACTGGAGCTGTTCCTATTCGGCCATCTTTGGCACAGGAGGTTTTAAGGAGAGAAATGGGATCCAATTTCCAGGTTCAGAGCCAGAGAGTAGGCAGACAGGGGCCAGTTAGGTGGCCACTGTAGGGAGAACTGGAGATGACTGGGAATAGGAGGTGGCAGTGGGGATGGGAGATGCATGTGACTCAGGAGCTGTGGTGCAGGGAGAATCCACCAGACCTCCTGAAGAGTGAAATGAGAGGGGAGAGGCGGTTTCAGGAGGCCTCAGGTCTGGGTAGTCACGGTGCCCTTTGCTGAGATGGGGAAGACCAATATCAGAAAGCAGACCCCCCAAGAAGGCCCCTTATACTAGAGTGGTGCAGAATTGGGGAATTCTAGCTGAGAAAAGGACCGGAGCAGTTCCTCCAGGCACCCCAGCAACATGGGCCAAGCTCACCCCTGAGAGATGTCCATGGTGCCAGGCCCTGGCTCCAGCCTTCTGGAGAAGCCCAGGCCCTAGGGACTGATGGAATGGTTTGCTCTGGAGTAAAAGTGACAAATCTGCACACCCAGCTGGGAGAAGGAGGCCTCAGGGTAGGAGAATCTGGCTCTTCTGTTTGGTTCTTGGAAAGGCAGCTAGGCTTGTCCAGAGCCGCCTCACTCCACACAGGTGAGGACTTTCCCATTCAAGTTCAGCCTGGGGTCGGACAGACCTGGGTTGAAGTCCTCGGCCTCTGTGGCAGATTATACCCTCCAAACACTGACCCGACAGTAACTTCCATGTGCATGCTCTTCTTGCAATGTGACTTTGACACCCCTACCATGCAGCAGTTGAGTCTATGCAACCTCCCCTTGAATCTAGGCAGGCTCATGACCACAGTGGCAATGATGCTATATGACTTCTGAGGCTACATCATAAAAGACAATATACCTTTCACCTTGCTCTCCTGGGGTGTTGCTGCTTAGCATTCACCTCCATGCTATGAGGAAGCCCAAGCAGCCCACATAAAGGCCCAGGTGAAGAGGAAGCAAAGCCCATCCAAAGCCCACAGAACTCACAGCTAACAGCAGCACCAACTTGTTAGCCATGTGAGTGAGCTACCTAGAAAATGATCTGCCATCCCCAGGGAAGTCCACCCTGCTGATGCTGCAGGGAACATAGTTGAGCCATGCCTGCCAGGCCCTGACAAATTGCAGGGTGTTGTTTTGTAAGCTATACATTCTGGGATGACTTCTTACACAGTCATAGGCAAAAAAGGAAGCCCTTGACTGGCTGTGGGGCCTCAGACAAGTAACAGCCTTGCTGACCTTCTGTTTTCCCACTGCTACGAGGCAGGAAGCAGCAGTGGTCCTGGGGTGCCTGGAGAACTGGGGAGGGAGGTGTGGAAGGCCCTCTGCGGGGCCTGCATGTGGTGCATGCTCAGAAAATACTGGTGGGTGGGAGGCTTTCATGACACTCTTCTGTGTGTGCCTTATCCTCCAACTGCCCCTGCTTTGTCCAAGCACCTCCAGCGCAGGGACTATATCCACTCACCTCCTTGTCCTCAGAGACCAGGACAAGCTGGGCAGGGAGCTGGGATTAGCAAATGTTTACTGAGTGGATGCATGAAGAAGGGGTTAAGGTGTGTGTCGGGGGACCAGAGATGGCCTCTGAGGCCAGGGGATGGCCCCAGTCCCATCCCTCACACCCAGAGGCAGATAGGGGTCACCCATCAGCCAGCTAATATGATTTGTTCCCTTATAGATGGAAGAAAATCTTGAAGCTCCTCACATGGGAGAGGAGGGAGTCACCACCATTTCATCCTCAGCCCAACCCCTGCCTCCGAACACAGTTCATTTACCTGGGTAACAAGGCAGTGCTCATTTACCTGGGACATAGGGCAGTGCTGACTTACCTGAGACATAGGCCAGTGCTCATTTACCTGGAACACAGCAGTGCTGATTTACCTGGGCCACAGGGCAGTGCTGATTTACCTGGGATACAGGGCACTGACAATTCACCTGGACCACAGGGCAGTGCTCATTTACCTGGAACACAGCAGTGCTGATTTACCTGGGCCACAGGGCAGTGCTGATTTACCTGGGATACAGGGCACTGATGATTCACCTGGACCACAGGGCAGTGCTCATTTACCTGGGACACAGGCCAGTGCTTATTTACCTGGGTCATGGGGCAGTGCTCATTTACCTGGGACACAGGTCTGTATTGATTTACCTGGGCCACAGGGACATGCTGACTTACCTGGGGCACAGGGCACTGCTGATTTCCCTGGGACACAGGTTTGTGTGTGTGTGTGTGTGTGTGTGTGTGTGTGTTTTTAACCTGAGACATAGGGCAGTGCTGATTTACCTGAGCCACAGGGCACTGCTCTTTTACTTGGGCCACATGGCAGTGCCAACTAACCTGGATCACAGGTCAGTGCTGATTTACCTGGGTTGCTGTTCGGTGTAGATCTGGCCCCCATGGGGTCTCCCTGCCCATGCGCTCCACAGGATCCCCTGGGCTGTGCCAGTCTCACACCTTCTAGTGCCCTCTGTGTCTTCTTGGGGAGAGGACCTTGTTTTTCAAAATGCCCTTGGACACTCCAGCCCCACAAAAGCAGCTCATTTCCTCACTCACCATGTCCTCACATGTGAGTCTGTGCACATTCTCCCCTCTCTCTGTGTCTGTTTCTCCCTTCCCCCGATCCAATATGTCAGACCAATCTGTCCCCTCACAGAGGGACCATCAAGCAATATTTCAACACATATAACAAGATTGCCTGGCCCTCTGGTCTCTGCTCCCAGCAAGGGTGATCATAAAAGCTGCATGTAATCGGCCTTGGTCTGGTTCAATGCTTGTCCAAAAGCTCTGCTTTCTACTATGCCAGTACCAGCTCCCTTCACAGCGGGCACGTTGTTTTGTCTTTGCAGGACTGGGCTGCGGGAGGGGGAAGGGGGTAGGCACACAGGCAGTGGATGGATGCACAGGACTGCTGGAGCTTGGCGGTGTGTCTTGGCCTTGCCACTCATAGCTGGGGACCTGGGTGTGGAACTGACATGGCAGAGTCTCCGTTTCCCCATTGGCAAAGTGGGACAGTGACAGTGTCCAGCTCATTTAGGGGATTCTGAGAAAGGGCACGAGGATCATCAGCACCATGGTCAAGAAATGATGGCTCTGGAAACGGAAAAATGACACCTTCTTTTCTGGTCCTCACGGCAGCCTGGGAGGCGGGTGTCCTTAGCTCCAGTTTGGCATATGGGAAACCTGATTGTCAGCAAGATAAACTGTGGAACCCAGAGCACGATTTGTAGTGAGACGAGGTGCCGGGACTTTAGCGGGGGTGTGCAGCCCAAAGCCTAGCTGAATGGCCTGGTGCATCCCTGGGGGGCACCTGGCTTCTTGGGTCAGCTGCTGGGAGCTCCCGGCTGCAGTGACATGAGCTCAACTGCTCACTCAGAGAAAGCTGAAACCGTGGCAGAGAGTGGCTCCCTCCCAGGTCATCAATGGCACCTCAAGGGCTGTCAGGGGCCTGGCTCCTGGTCCTGGAGCTGCTCCCACCTCCCCAAACACCTTGTGGGAGGGCTGCCCAATCCTGGCACCTCCATGTACCTAGATGAACTGACCTTCTGGATTCTGCATGGTGGGTTCACCTCCAAAGCTGCACTTTCCAGGTCTGGGAATCCCTGAGTTTATCTGTCCTGGATCTGTTCTGGGTTTCAGGGGGTGGCTGCATCTCTGCTCTGCCATCTGCTTCTGGATAGGCCCTGACCCTCGGGCCTGGACCCTCAAATCTGACTATCCCGTGGCTTCTTGACCACACCACCACTTGCTGGATGTTTCTCTGTGACAGCTCGTTCCACAGCAAGCCTGGAGCCTGGATCAATGAGCTTGTGAGTGGTCACCTCTGGACAGTAAAAACTTTGTGGGTAATCTAGGTTGGGTCCCTCATCACACCCTTTTCATGGTGCCCAGCCCAGCACAGGCATCCCATGTCCATAAGACTTTGTGAAATAAGTAGAATATTTACAGGGATCAGAAGTAATTTTGTTAGCAATGTGGGAGAGAAGGGAAGAGAGAGAAGACAGATCTGGTTTCTGTGCTCAGCTCTGCCTCTGGTTCAAAACATAGCTTTTGGCAAGTTCCTTCCCTTCCCTGGCCTCAGTTTCCCCATATGGGCCATGATAGGATTGGAGAGTATGGTCAGTGATGTTGATGGGTCCAAGAGTCTCCTGAGATCTGACTCAATTCATACAGACAGGGGCAGGTATCATGTGACCGTTAAACTATGAACTCTTGGCTCATTTAGCCCTTGTTCCCGTCTCTGCCTATTTGCCCCCTTCAAGTCACTGGTTTCTCTGAGCCTCCATTTTCTTAGCTATAAGTTGAGTATGATGACAGTGGAGATTCAGTGAGCAAAGCAAGTAAATCTCCTCAAGTTGTGCCTAATAGATAGGAAGCACCCAGTAGGTCGCTCTACCTAGTGATGATGATGGTGATGATGATGATGGTGAGGATGATGGTGGTGATGACAGTGAACATAGTGGTGACAATGGTGATATTGATAGTGAAGATGGTGATGATGATGGTGATGGTGAAGATGATGGTGATAATGATGGTGATGGTGGTGAAGATGATAATGATGATGATGGTGAGCATGGTGGTGATAATGATAGTGAACATGATGGTGATGGTGTTAGTGACAATGGTGATGATATTGAAGATGGTGATGATGATGGTGATGGTGATGATGGTGAACATGGTGGTGATGGTGTTAGTGAAGATGGTGTTGATGGTGATGATGATAGTGAAGATAGTGATGATATGGTGATGGTGATGGTGATGGTGAAGACGGTAATGGAGATCATGGTGATGGTGGTGAAGATGATGATGGTGATGGTGATGATGGTGAACATGGTGAAGATGATGGTGATTATGATGGTGAACATGGTGGTAATGATGGTGATGTTAATAGTGAAGATGGTAATGTTTATAGTGATGACAATGGTGATAATGCTGAAGATTGCAGTGGCGATGAAAGTGAAGATGGGCCGGGTGTGGTGGCTCACGCCTGTAATCCCAGCACTTTGGGAGGCTGAGGCGGGTGGATGACCTGAGGTTGGGAGTTCGAGACCAGCCTGACCAACATGAAGAAACCCCGTCTCTACTAAAAATACAAAAAAATTGGCCAGGCTTGGTGGCACATGCCTGTAATCCTAGGTACTCGGGAGGCTGAGGCAGGAGAATCGCTTGAACACGGGAAGCAGAGGTTGTGGTGAGTCGAGATTCTGCCATTGCACTCTAGCCCGGGCAACAAGAGTGAAACTCCGTCAAAAAAAAAAAAAAAAAAAAAAAGAAAGAAGAAAGAAAGAAAAAAAAAAGAAAAGAAAGAAGATGATGATGATAGTGATGATAATGAGATTGATGATGATGATGATGATGATGATGATGGAAATCTCTGCTCCCAAAGTCTTACCTCCTGCCAGATTCCACAGTTGATATGGACACAGAGCTGGGCAGGACCACAGGGATTATCTGTTTAACCCCTTCATTTTAAAGCTGGGGATACAGCCTTGGAGAGGTACAGAGGTATGTCCAAGGTCACACATCCGAGTTGGGGCAGAGTCAGGGTCCTGCCCTAGCCCCGTCCTGGTCTCTGCCCCACTTGGGCTGCCAGGCCTCCTCTTGCTGCCACAGATTCTTCTCTTTCCTCCCAGTCCACTGCAGCAGGACCTGGTTCTTGGCTTCTCACCTGTCCCAGCAGACTTTAACTATGAATGTTCATCACTGGGTTTTAATTATCCTGCAAGTTCTGCAAGCACTTTCCAGGAGACATTTTTCTCTATTATTTTCCTCCAGATGAATGAGTTTGGACTCATCTGTCTCTGATAACCAGGAATAGCCACCTCCTGACAGCACCAACACCTGCTTGCTTCTCAGGGGCTCCTGACCCATTGTTTCCAGAAACAAAGATCTCCCCTGGGTGCATCCCCCTGTACAGGATGGGGAAACCGAGGCCCAAAGCAGAGGGACCAGCTCGAGGTCACACAGCAGGTCAGCAGCTGAGGCAGAGCCTGAATGGTCTCTGGACTCCTCGCCCATGGTGTCACTACGGCACCACTGCATCTGCCCAGCCTCAAGGAGCCTGTGACACTATTTCCCAGTGAAGCCATAAGGTCAAGTTCACCCGTTTCTCACCCATTCTCCCCTTGAGGGTGGAGACATCTCAGCATTTCAGTATGGCTCCTCAGTGTCCTTTATTCTCATTATTTAAAATAAATAAATAACTTTATTGTTTTAAAGTGGCTTATATGCTTGTTGTGAAAATTAAAATGACACCAAAATACAAAGACCCTAAAATCCCAAACACAACAGAGTTAACACCCTTAACACTATTAGGAATATTCTATGGCGGGGGTTCCCTCCACCACTCCCTGCCTGCTCCATCTTCCTCGCCTCTGCCCTGACTGGGCCCCAGACCAGCCTGTGTGGACTATATCAGGGGGCTTCTTGCATTCTGGCTTTCACTAATGTGACCCAGGGGAGGCTCCAGTAGGAGATCCAAGAGCGAGGGTTGGTGGAGGGGAGGGCTGGGGTCTTCCTTCCTTGCTCCTTCCTGCCTCAACTCCAGGTCTCAGGCAGCTGCTGTTCCCTAGCTGGGACCACGGCTCCTAGGGTGGCCCCTCCCACATGGCTCCAGCTCTCACCTGGCTCCAGAAATGCTGTTCCCTCTCCACATCCCTCCAGCCAAAAGGGCTGGCAACAGCTTCCTGCTATTGCTGCTCTCTGGGTGCCTCACATCCCCTCATGGTCTTTTGGCCCTACTGTCACCTCCACAAGCAGTCCCTGCTTTAGCATCTCTGTCTGAATCACCCAGGGTGAATTTTATTTCCTACCAAGGTTCTGACTGATACCTCAGCCCTCTTTGCATAAATATTCATCGCTGCAGTTTACCCAAATGGGATTGCACTGAACCTCTTTCCAGGCTAATAAACAGCACCATTCACTCTCTGTTAGTGGCATTTAAGCATTTAAACATGGTGACCATGTAAAGTACTTAGAACAGAGCCTGGAGCATGGGGAGGACTTAATCAGTGTTAGCCACATGGGCCTTGCATGGAGCCAGAGGGCAGCATCAGCTTCTCTGCGGCCACGTGACTGACTGTGGGGCAAGAGTGATTCCCCAGGAGAAACCAAGGTCCTGTTGCTACAAAAGGAAGGGATGCTACAAGCTGAAAAAACGGTTCCATTAGAGGAGGGGGTAGCTCTGTTCTGAAGGGTGTACAGGAGTTCACTAGACAAGAGGGTGATCAAAAGAAGAAAATGAGCAAAAGAGCCTCAGCATGAATGAGCTCAGAGTAAACGGTTCAGTATCATCCTCAGGACAGGCCCATGAGGGAAGTGAAATTATTACCCACACATTACAGATGGACAAACGGAGGCTCAGGTGGAGCATCTAATCTCAGGGTCACACAGTAAGTGGCCAGGCCAGGATTTGAAGCCCAATCTGAGTGACCCCCAAACCCGTGCTTGCTCTGTGTCCTGCCCCATTTTGCCTCTGTTGTTGTCACCAATGGGGCTGATGACTCCCTGGCCTGGTTGATTCCATGTGACGGACTCAGGCCTGTCTGCAACCTGACCATGTTTGTCCTCAGGGTGATCTGGATTGGCGGGGTGCAATGCCAACATGCCCCACATGGTGACTAGTTAATTAATTGTCCTGCGGCGGACTAGCGGGCCGACCGACTGCAACCTGGGCCTGCAGGCTGCTCCCTGGGCATGGGGACCGTGTTTTTCTGTGCTCCCTTCCCCTACTCCAAGTCAGAATTTACCAATCCCACCATTCATTCGTTTGTTTTTTCACTGAATTATAGTTCAATTATAACCAGAATGATTAAACCCCAGTGATATGGTTTGGCTGTGTCTCCACCCAAATCTCATCTTGAATTGTAGCTCCCATAATCCCCACGTGTCATGGAAGGGACCCGGTGGAAGGTAATTCAATCATAAAGACTGGTTTTTCCATGTTGTTCTCTTGATAGTGAATAAGTCTCATGAGATCTGATAGTTTTATAAAGGGCAGTTCCCCTGCACAGACTATCTTGCCTGCCGCCATGTAAGACGTGACTCTGCTCCTCCTTCACCTTTTGCCATGATGTGAGGTCTTCCCAGCCATGCTGAACTGTGAGCCAATTAAGCACCCCCCCCCTTTTTTTTTAATAAATTACCCAGTCTCAAGTATGTCTTTATTAGCAGTGTGAAAACAGACCAATATACGAGGCTTCTACTGACATGATTAAGAAGACAGGAAGGGCCCCCGCTTTCCTGGGACTGCTCTCATTTGGGTTCACCATCACTTATTGACAGACCCCAAGGTCTCGAAATCTATGGCAGAGGATGGGGGAGTCAGGGAATGTGGAGCAACTTGGGAACTCAAGCAGGGTAGGATCTGGTGGGAATGAGGACTGGGCTTTTCCTGCTGGCAGGGCCAGGTAAAGTCCCTCTATCCCCCTAAGTCAGCCCTTCCACGCTCTGCTTCTGCCACTGCTCTGCATCCTCTGCCTGGACCACTTGGACCCCATTACAGGACATCATGGCTGCCTCCTCCCAAGCTGCCTGGCAGTGTCTGGCTCAGAGCTGGCAGTGAATATCTGGAAAAGAAAAAAAAAAAGAATAGACTCTCCAAGGCCTTCCCTTTGGGCTCTCTGCAGGCTGTGGGATCCCACAGTGAAACCTCCTGGACACTGAGGTTCAGAGACAGGTGTAGGGATCAGACCAGTTCCCAAGAAGCCTGGGCTACTTGGCTGCCAGCCTGGATGTCGCCTGGACCCTGGATGTTGCCTGGGCCCTGCCTGCAACATAGACTGCATGGACTGGGCTCCTGCTTCCTCATTCTTACACCCTGGCCCTGCCTACCTGGGCCCCAGCTGTAAGAGTGGGGTGCTGCTCTCTCCCCAGCTCTTCTGCCCTCACCTCCACTTCCCTTGGAGCTCTACTTCCCACTGCCAGGCCTCCCAATGCAGTCTGTGCAGGGGGCAGGGGTCCACGGTGAGGGAAGCAATGACAGAGATGGGGTCTCTGTCACAGGCCAGCTCTTCACGACCAACCACCCTCTCTCCCCTTCCCCTGTTGGAACTATATTATTTGCATTCCTCAGCACCAGCCTCTCAGGCTAGTCTCTTTCCTTGTTTCTCATCCACTTGCCCCTCTAGGCTGTAAGTGCAGAAGGCAGGGCAGGGGCTGGGGCAATTTTGTTCGCTTCATTATCCACAGTGCTTTGACCAGAGCCTGGGACATCGTAGGCACACATTAAATGTCTGTGATGTAACCCATGAATGAATGCAAGGATCTCCCAGTCACCAGAGGGGCATGAGGGGGAGGAAGGGCAGCGCATACTGAGCTTTGGTCACAGGGTGGCCATGGTCAGGATGCAGGAGGTAGCAGGGAAGATGGGAACAGAGGAGGATATGGTGGAAGAGGACTCGGATACACACGGTCTCACTCACCCTCCTCTGTGCATCAGACACCTCCTGAGCAATCCCCGTGTCTCAGGCCCTGAGACTGAGACCCTGCCCCTGCCCCAGAACCTCCTCCCAACTCCTGGAAGTGGGGTGATAAGCTCCACAGTAGGACATGCAGTGACTACCCCTGAGTCCCACGTGGTTTGCACATTTTATTTCATTGAATGATTTCATGGGGGAAGTGTTACTGTTTCTTTCTGACAGGTGGAGAAACGAAGGCTCATGCCTTCTGAAGCCAGACTCCACGACTCCGCTCCAAACTTGGCTCCCATTTGGGTTCTTTTATTTATTTTACTTATTTTATTTATTTATTTATGGAGCTGGGGTTTTGCCATGTTGCCCAGGCTGGTCTCAAACTCCTGACCTCAAGTGATCCGCCTGCCTTGGCCTCCCAAAGTGCTAGGACTACAGGCGTGAGCGACCGCACCCAGCCCCATTTGAGTTCTGGATCATTATTGCTTGTTGGCAGCTGAGTCCTGGGCAGAGCCTTGGGGACACAAACGGATGACAGATGATGTGGGCATGGTCAGAAGGAGCTCCCAGCCAGGTGAGGAGACAGCCATATGAGATCCCACAGAAGCACAGAAAGCAGTGGGGCCCAAGGACCAGCCAGGAGCCCCAGGAGAGCAGGGCCCTTTCTGTCTTTTATCCACCTCAGGAGAAGCTGGGATTTCATCATCCTGTTTGTAAGTTAGCGAATGAACAAATGAAGAACGAATGAATGGATGGTGGCATTGATAAATTCTGACAAGACAAGAGAAGGAAGCACAGAAAAGCTAACACCTTAAATATTAGTATCCTTGTATTATTATTGTGTGACGTTGGACAAGCCCCTTGCCCTCTCTGGGCCTCCGTTTCCCCCTCTGTAAAACAAGTGATCCTGAAGCGTCACGGCAACTCACCCATTCTAAGCTCTTCCATATTGGACAGGAAGAGGGGCTGAGACACCCCTGTTGGGCCCTGCACAGGTGCAGCCATTGGCCTGGGCTGCATCCAGGATTTGAGGGGGGACATGCACCTGCACCAGGATGGGACAGGAGTGAGGGTGCACGACGTAAGCAGCAGATCACCCACGGAGGCCAGGCTGACAAATTATCAGTACAGTTCTCACACTCACCCCCTCCACTCCAGGAGGAAACAGATACTCCTGTCTCCTTCAGAAGAAGCTTGCTTAGGACGTGGGGGATCTGACGGGCCCCTCAGGCAGGGAGGCAGAGGGACAGTGGCTCCAAGTGCCTGGAAGTCTGTCTCTGCTTACCCACGGCCACCCTTTGCTCAGGCTGGTCCCCTCTCCTGATGTGTCTTCTGCCTTCCTAGGCAATGGGTGTGAGGAACTGGGACCACAAAGGTGAGTGGAACCCAACCTGTGTTCGAGACATACACACAGAGACTGTGACAGGAGCAATAAGAAAAGCCAGTGTCTACTGAGCTCAATCCTCCAAGCCCTTCACTTCAATTACCTCTTTTATTCCCCCCAGCCCCCTAGAGAAGTAGATGAGTTAGTTGGGACTCTTTTGTTGGAGACTAAATTAAAGTGGTCAAACTAAAGAAGGAGTTAGTTCAGTGTTTCCAAAAACTGGGAAGGACAGAGATAAACCTGCTTCAGGCGGGGCCAGGCGCAGTGGCTCACGCCCGTAATCCCAGCACTTTGGGAGGCTGAGGCGGGCAGATCGCGAGGTCAGGAGATTGAGACCATCCTGGCTAACATGGTGAAACCCCGTCTCTACTAAAAATACAAAAAAATTAGCCAGGCGTGGTGGCGGGCGCCTGAGGCCCCAGCTACTCGGGAGGCTGAGGCAGGAGAATGGCGTGAACCCAGGAGGTGGAGCTTGCAGTGAGCCAAGATTGCGCCACTGCACTCCAGCCTGGGCATCAGAGCAAGACTCCATCTCAAAAAAAAAAAAAAAACAAAACAAGCAAACAACAACAAAAAAAAACTGCTTCAGGCATGACTGGATCCAGGGATTCAAATTAGATAATCAGATCTCCTTCTTTCTTAACGTCTCTTATTGTGCCACGAGCGATCCAGCCCTGTCTACCTTTCTGGCTCATCCTCTCCACGGCCCCGCCCACTCTCGCTGGCCTCCTCTTCCTCAGAAACTCCCCAGTCACTCCCATCACAGGCCCTGTCCCTGCTCCTTTTTACCACCTTATGGGACAGGCAAAAGAGGGGAGGCAGGAGTTGCAAGCTTGCATCATCCCAACTGGGACTCCATAGAGAAGAAAGAGTTGCAGTCTCCCAATAGCTGGAGACCAAACCCCAGACAGGGATTCCGATTGGCCTGATTAGGTCACATGCCCATTTCTTGGACCAGTCAGTTTCCAGAGATCTATGGATCTGTGATCGATGGATCTGTCATCTATGATTGGCCTGGCTGGGCCTTTAACTGTCTCTAAGGAGGGGAGGCAGGATGTGGGCTGTGATTAGTAATCCTTTCTGAACCTCATGGCCTGGGGAGTGCAAAGAGCTCAGTTTCCTAAATGAAGGGTAAAGGTGGTACTATACACAGAGGAGGAAGGGATGACTAGGGAATAAAAACAGCATGTGTTGATCACAGTAGATATTATTAATCCTACCTTACAAAGGAAGAAACTAAGTGTCAGAGAGAATCTAAACAACCCTAGCAGATTAGCATGTGGCAGACTGGGCACTCAACAGCCCTTCACCATGACCACTAAGCTACAACGCTTCCCAGGGACGCAGGCCTCTGCAAGCACCTCCGGCAACCCCAGGCCTCAAATCCAACAGGTTTAAACTCATAATTCCATCCCAAACAGGACAATTCTCAAAGCTCAGGCACTGAGGCCCCTGGAAGGCCCCAGAGCTTACAAACCTAATCATAATGATAGATTTAATTTGAAGGTCCCTTTTTCCCAGACCACAGTGAACTGAGCATGCTGTCCGTGGCAATTTCTTGTCAATTGAGCCAGGCTGAGCATGAGTGCATCAAAGGGAACAGAGTCCAGGTAGGTGTTGCCAGGGGAGACAGCAGCCTGGAGGTGGCTGAAGTGTGAGCTGTCTGGCATGTGGGCACGTTCCCTGGTGAGGCACACAGCTCAGAGCGCTCAAAGCAGCCAGAGCCTCCCTGGTCTCCACTTCCAGTCCCAGTCAGTCTTTAAGGGATGTTGCACAGCACGTCACTACTAAGCCTCAGGCCAAACCCCTTCATTTTGCTGATGAGAAAACAGAGCCCTGAGAGGTCCAGGTGCTTGTTCAAGGTCAGAGAGTAAGTCAGAGGTGAAGCAAGACGCGCGGAGGGAAGGCAGATTCGCTGCCAGGCACTGCGATGGGCGCTGTTACAAACTTCACTTAATTGAATCCTTGGGCAATGATGAGTCCCTTTTCATTCATGGGAAAAGTGATACTGCTTCTGAGTGTCACACATCTAGGAAGCGACAGAGCAGGTTTGGAACTGATTGGTACAGAAGCCAAGGCCTGGCCCCTGCGCTGCTCATGTGTCCAGTCGTCTCTTTGCTCCCTCCCCACTGGAGAGCGTGCCTCTGTGCCAGGCTGAAGCCCTGCCCGCTGCAATCCCACACTCCCTGGAGCACCAGTTCCATCTAGCTTCAGACAATGGGAGGTGCTGGCAGAAGGTTGCAAGCCCAGAGAAGTGGGGAGAAGCTGCTATTCTCCTTTCTCTTCACTCCTGGTGATGGAGGCTGCCGTGGCTCGTGGTTCTGGCAGCTGCAAGAACTTCTGTGATCTTGGCAACAGCCATGGCAGCCCCCTTTCAACCAGAGTCAACAGCAGTGTCCTGCCAGCCCTGGATGTCAGCTGTCCCTGAGTTGCTCATCCCTGGGCTGCCATCCCTTCCCTTTCTGCTCCTTCAGCCCTTTCCACCCTTCTACGGCCAGTGTCTACATTAGCCCTCCTCCTCTGGATGTGATCATGTTGTGGTTTAGCTTCCTACATGGACCCTGAATGGTGCAGCACGGAGCACCACCAGGATTGTTCCTGGAAGATAAACCCTCAAAGGTGGGATTCGGGATGGGCTAAACAGCTGATTCACAGCAATGACCTAACTGACGGGGAACTGAGACACTGGTGGTCCATGGTAAGCAGGGGCATCAAAGTTACCTAAATTACCACCTGTGTTCGCCTGGAAAGAGATGTCAGTTGAAGGCAAGACTTTAGCAGACCAAGCAGCCACTGCACTTTGCCACTAGAATCAATGCCTATGACATGGAACGTGGGGTGGGATGCGATTTCTGACTGTGCTGGAGAGATTTTAGGAAAAAAGCGACAAGCTCTGAGCTTTAAACTTTCAGATCAAAGTGTCCTCAGAGAACCAGAGACATAGAAAGGCCCTAAAGAAATGTCTTGCCTTTTGTAGCCAGAGAAGATACAGCTAAAAATCAAGCCCCAAATTTAATCCACATTGCAATCCAGTTTCATGGATGGAAGAATTACAACATAAATTGAACTCACACCCTTGCCACATCCCTTATGTGAAATCAATAAGGCATTGATTGAAAAAGAGAGGGACCCCCAGATGGGAATAAGAGTTCCGATTAATCTGAGAACCTCAAACTCCCAGCTCCCCTCAAGCCTCCTTTGCCTCTGTGTCCCTATTTGAAGCAACCAACCTCCCTTTGCTTGAAGATTCTATAATATTAAAAGATATTGAGGTGGTGAGTCTGTGAGTTCTATCACACTTTGTATGTTTCCGTTTAATTTGCCTGTGTCCTGTGCAGAAAGGAGGATTGATCTTGGAGAGAGATCATGAGTTATTATAAACTTGCTCAGGTGGTGGCACCTGCTATTCCAGATGTCACATCTCTCCTGGAGGAGAAAATCAGCACAGCTCCTGGAACTACATGCAGCTATTGTTCTGGCAACTACCAGAAGGAGTTCACTGTAACTCACAGCAGGGACAACAGGATATCCTGTCGTGCTTCAGAGCTGTGTCAACTCTCCTGCTAGGACAAAATCTAGACTGAAGGGACTTGGTGACTTATGACATCATGGACATCATGCTGATTCACCAGACTGTTGACATCATGCAGAATGCACTTGCCGTGCAGGAAGTAGACAGTACCTAAGAAGCTGTAACAAGACATATGCATGCCAGATGGTGGGAGTAAACCCCATTAAAGTCCAGGAGGCTGACACCTACATGAAGGTTCTGGGGTCCAACATTCTGGGGCACACTTGGATATTGTTTCTATAGTGACGGACAACTGGCACTGCCTTCCAAGGGGCAGACACAGCAACAGACCTGCAAGGATTGGGCTTTTCTCCTCCGTATGTGTCATCCTCTGGACAAGGATGCCACAAGGTCACTTGCATTCCACAAACCTAGAATAGACTCACAGGCCCAGGCCACCGCCTGCAAAGAAAGAAGTACAACATTTAGTGGGCTTCTCTGGATTTTGGAAGCAACACACCTGCCTCCTCCTCACCTTAGTGTGTGATGCTCTGAGCATTTTTACTGACTCATCTGTAAAGCTGCTGATTTTGAGTGGGCCCCAGGCAAGAAATGCTCCGCAGAAAGTCTAGGTTGCTGTGCTAGCTGCTCTGCCACTGGGGCATCTAATGATCCTCAAAGTGACCGTGACAGATGGAGCTGCTGTGGAATGTGTAGCAAGTCCCCATAGCATGGACCCTCAGGATACCGGAGTTGATCTTTGCACTCTTCTGAAGATAGGTGTTCTCCACGGGCATCAAGTCTCCATGACACATTAGCTGCCCATCCTAAGCCGGGTGTTATCTGATCCACTGAGCCATAAAGCTGACTGTGTGTGGCAGTAATTTGTCATCGAGTGGAAGTGATATATACAAATCTGTACTCCAGCAGGCCCTGAAAGCACGCATGCAGTGCACGTGCAAGTGGCTCGCATCACCCGAGCACCTGCCCCTTCATCGCTGCTGTCCTCTTCACTCACACTAATGGCCTCCCTATGTGTGAGGCTCCCTATGATCAGTCAAATGAGCAAGAGAAACTAAGTCTTGACTTCTAGGTAGCCCTAGATATTCTGGCACCATCTGGAAGTGGACTTCTGCAGTGTTTCAGCCCTACTCAGGAGTGTCGCTGAAAAATTGCGAGGAAGGGAAATCCTCCCAGCGGCCAGAACTTAGAATAGCCCATGCTTGCCTGCTCTGCCCGCTGGGCAGATGGATGGCGAGAGGTGAAGATCTACATTGATTCACAGGCAGCATCTAACAGATTGAACAGATGATCAGGTAAATGGAAAGAACAGGATTAGAAATTTGGGAAGTAAAGATGCACTCAAATACAGCTCAGTCCCTGCCCCAAGGGGCCCGCTGGGATCGGCTGAGAATGCTGGACCCATTGATTTGGTCAGTAAATGCTCTAAGGGGAACAATACAGCAGTGAATACGTGGACCCAGTCCCCACCTTCCAGGAGCACCACACGGTAAATATCAAATCATGGCTGCACTCAGATTTTCACGCTTCAGCTCATTTAATCTTTGCATGCGCCATCTATCAGGATGAACTACTCTGATGCCACGTTGTACACAGGTGAGAAACTGAGGCTCGGGGAGGCTGAGTGGCCTGCCCAAGGTGCAGGTGGGATTTGCATTCATTTCTGTCTCACTCCAGATCACGTGTTCTCAACCACTATGACAAAGGAAATCAAGCCTCATGTTTCTCAGGGCTGCCGAAAGAACCTTTTCATGGGTGCCTGGTGATTGCGAGCTTTCTGGTACCTCTCAGTTAATATGCAGCTGACCATGGAGGAATCGGCACTTGCTGAGTCCTGATTATGAGTCAGGGGCTTTCTGGTGCACTCTCCCATTCACCCACCCAACATCATCTCCATTTTACAGAGAGAAAATAGAGGCCCAAACAGTGCCTGGGGTTAGACAGCAACCAAGGGGAAGAGGCAGCAACAGAGCTCCAAGGATTGGGCTTTTCTCCTCCGTGTGTGTCATCCTTTGGACAAGGATGCCACGAGGTCACTTGCATTCCACAAACCTAGAATAGACTTGCAGGACCGGGCCACCACCTGAAAGCCCTCCAGTACTGCGCCCCTGCTCATGGCCATCACCCTTGCTCTTGCCCACAGCGCTCTGGTCACTTGTCTCTTTGCTGATCCTCCTGTCCTTCCTTCAGAATGCTCCCCTTGCCTCCCACCCCACACCTCCACGTGTCTCATTTCTCACTTCATTCAGATCTCTATTCAGACAGCACATCCCCTAAAAGACCTTCCCTCTACAAGATCTAAAACCCACTCACACTCCCTTTATGTTTTATTATTCTTCACAGCTCCTATCAATAATTAATCATCAATAAATAACCATTTATGTGCTCATTGAATATGTTTTCCTTCTTTTATGTTGGGTTCCCCCAAGAGCAGAACTTGAGAGAAAGATATAGGAGTATTTGTTCGGGAGATGCAGGCAGGTCTAGAGGGGGAGGAAGGAAGTGAGCGAGAGAAGAGGAGGATGCACAGTTAAGCCAGCCACCACAGTGGGCAGCTGGAGTCCGTCCCACTGGGGACCCTGAGGACGATCCTGCCTGAAGGGTGAAGGGGCTGCGGCATGCACGCACCAACTCTTGAGAGGCATTGGTCAGGAGCTGCTCCCAGCAGCTGTCAATTCCCTGGGACTCTGGCCAACTGGCCATCCAAGGTTCTGGAAGGAGCCTTCCCTCAAGGATTCCAGAAGCTGACCATCCTGCTCCAGCCCTTCTCAGGATTCTTGGGCATAATCAAGTACAATGGGATGAAGCCACAGGGAGTACCTGAGTGTGAGGTGCCTGGAGTCTGAGGATTAGGAGAGGAGAGATGCTGGCAGAAGTCAAACCTACACCCGCAAGTGGTTCTGGGGGTCCCTGTCCAGCAGTGGAGCCGGCAACAGCCAAAGTTCTCTCCACCTGTCACCCAGAGGCCAGTTGTGGACTTGTGTGGGGTCTCCATCAAATCAGGGGAGTTGAAGTAGATGACCCCTACGGCCTCCTTCCCCACCTTCCCCAGTATGTATTGTGGCCTCTGGACACAATCCGAGCTCCCCTGGGAGCTGGCACCTTGTGTCCCCGCCAGACCATGGGCTCCTCCTGGGCAGGCCAGAGTCTCTGCTGTTCTCATTTCTGTTCCTTCCAAACCACCCTGCAGTGTAGGCCTGACCAACCTGGAGTGAGGCCTGGTTATCGCAGGTCCCCACGGCCTCTTCCAACGTGGCCTCTTGAGGATAGTGACAGCCATGCTCCCAGGACTGTGGGGGGGGGGGAGGTGTGTGCATGAGCACATGTGTGTGTCTGTGTGTTTGTGTGTGTCTGCATGTTTGTTTGTGTGTGTGTCTGTATGTCTCTGTGTGTCTGTGTATGTGTGTGTCTGTGTCTGTATGTGTGTCTATGTGTGACTGTGTCTGCATGTGTATCTGTGTCTGTGTGTATGTGCCTGTGTGTGTCTGTGTGTGTGTGTGTGTGTGTCAGTGTGCATGTGTCTGTGTGTGTGTGTGTGTGTGTGTGTGTGTATGTAACAGAGCAAGAAGGATCTGAAGGCACAGCCACAGCATCCAGCAGGGGCATCCAGACGGCCCCTCCCAGACCCCTGGTCCTGTGTCCTCCTGATTCTGAGCTCTGGAGATGAAAAGGCACATACGAGAGGGGAGCTCCCCCAGGCCACAGACCAGGCAGCACCAGAGCTGGGACGGGACCCCAGGGCCCCAGACTCCCCTCCCAAAAGGCCACCATGGCGATGCTCTGGCCCCGCGTGCCCAGCAGCCCTCCCACCACTTCAGACACAGGCCAGGGCGTCATCTCTAAGTGTGCGCCCCCTCTGTGCTGGGGCAGCTGCATTCTTTTAAATAACTATCAAGGGGAGGATGGAATTAGGACACCCAAGAGAAGCCCACGCCTTGTGAGATGAGGCGCTCCACCCTCCTACCTTCCCTGTCGGCACTCAGACTAATTCAAAGTAATTAAATATTCCATAGTTTTCTTTTAAACATTTCAATAAATGTTTATGAAAACCAATTGACATTTTCTATATTTAATGCATAATAACTAGTCTTATAAATCTAAATTATCCCCATAAATCTAAATTAAATGCCCAGGTTTACATGTATTCAAGACACCTAATTAATAAAGTACTGGCAATAACCATTACTAACCTGTTAACTTCGAGCTGACCTTCGTTTTCATAGGATGTTTTTGTGCCATGTGTGGTGGGAAGGAGGGAGCACGGGCTTCCTGGGCAGTTTGCTTGCAGCTGTCGGCATTTTCCAATTTCATGGCGCCCTCCAGAGCTGCCTGGGCCTCTTTGTGCCTGGCTTCCTCCAGCCTTTGGATCACCTCCCTGCCCAGGTTGGAGAAGGAGGTGACCGGAGCGGCCTGCAAGTGAGGACATAGGCAGGAATCTAGAGGCCTGGCTTGGCCACTAATGTGCTGTGTGATCTCGGACAATTGGCTTGCCCTCTCTGGACCTCACTTTCCTCTTCTTCATAATCAGGCAAGGACAAGTTCATCACAAGGGCCTTTTCACCAATTATGGGGAGAGTCTTGGGTGTGGGTAGGTTGGTCCATGACATATGAGCAGTGTGAACTTAGGCAAGTGATTTAACTTCTTTGTGCCTCAGTTTCCTCATCTGTACAATGGGGACAGTAACAGCACCTTCCTCACAGGGCTGTGTAACGTGCTTAGTTCAAGGCCTGATAGTTGAGTCCCTGTGGGGGCAGCTGTGGTTATTCTCCCAGGGTGGCTGGTCCTCTGCCATTGTAAAGGTTGTCAGATCCGATGGAGGATTTGTGGGGAGGGATGGGACAGCAGGGACAACGTGGGATGGGAACACCGGCAGCCAGAGCTGGAGGGAAGCTGTCAGGGGATGGAGGGGCTTCTCTGGGCTGTGTCCTCCAGAGGACAGAAGGCCCTGCCCCTGCCCGGCCCCCAGGGTTGGTCCTCTGGTGTCAGACCTGTTAGGACACGAGCTGGGTCGATTGAGAGAGAACAGTATCGGGGAAGCTCAGCCTCTAAGTGACGCCCCCATTCCTACATGTCACTGAGCGCCCACCCGAGTGCTGAGCCCCAAGGTCTGCACCATGTCACCCTCCACCTCCCCACCCTCCACCACCCACAGCCAAATGATCACCAGCTTGGTGCCAGGCCCTTCCCTCATCCTGGCTGCCCCCACCTTGGTCCCTGGAACCCTCAGTCACACAAGCCATGGTGAACACCAAGACCGCCTCACAGCCCAGGCTCCACCTCCCCACAGCTGACCCCTCACCCAACTCTCCCTACAGCTCTCCTTCCTCTCAACCTCTCCCGCTACAGCAACCCCTACATTCTACCTCTGCCCCAGCCCACCTGACACTCCACCCCTTCCCAAGTCCACCCTTCCCTCCACCCCTCCCCCAGCCCACCCCTCCGTCCACCTCTCCCCTAGCCCACCCTTCCTCACCCCTCCCCCAGCCCACTCTTCCCTCCACCCCTCCCCCAGCTCACCCCTCCCTCCACCTCTCCCCTAGCCCACCCTTCCCTCCACCCCTTCCCCAGCCCACCCTTCCCTCCACTCCTTCCCCAGCCCTCCCTTCCCTCCACCCCTCCCCCAGCCCTCCCTTCCCTCCACTCCTCCCCCAGCGCACCTGATACTCCACCCCTCCCCTACACCAGCTCCCTACAGGCCACCCCATGCAGCCGTGTCCCTGGGCTTGGTGCATCTCACACCTCAGCCGCCTTCTTGGCCCCTGCTGTGATTGAGATGATGCATTTCCTCTCATGTTAACTTTTATTACTTATTGATTTTTCTCTGATCTGGCTCGGCTGTGTCCATTTTTATTTGATCGAACAAGTAGAAGCCATTCAGTGGGAAAAGCAGAGTTTAAAATTCCGTGACCACAAACGAGGATCCATATTAATGGGCTCATCCCCTTCGAGGGGGCAGGAGAAGGCACCAGCCTGTCACTCAGCTGTCACTGCTGGGCTGGGAGAGCCTGAGGAGGGGACTTTTTTCCAACATCCCATTGAAGGGGCTTCGAGAGAACCGGGCTCTGGAGGCTGCTTGGTGAGGGCCCTGGATCTGGGTCTAGGATGGGAATGCTCCCTTGTGTGACCAGAGGACCTTGGACAGTCCTGGAGGCACTGACAGGGCTATGTCTGAGGTGGAGGCTGAGGGGGATCTTGGAGGGAGGCTCAGCAGGGGTCAGACAGGACAGGATGGGGGTTACAGGGAAGGAAACAAGTGAAGCCAAGGCCAGGACCCAATGGAGGCAGAGACTCTGAGCTGAGCATTCATGTGTGCTGGGAGCTCCCTGGGTGTCCTCTCACCCACCCCCCACAAACCCCAAGGGATGTGTCCAGGGTCCCAGCTGCCAGGCAGGGCAATAGAGCTGGGAGGGGAGCCCTGAGCTGAGTCCCCAGCCCCAAGCATCCTGCTTTCTCCTCCTGAGGTCAGGCCATCATGGTGGCCAACCTCTGTGCAACCACAGAGAGAGGTCCTGGGGTGGAGGGACCTCTCCACCATGTCCACCCCTCCACCATGTCGTGGTGGAGGGAGTGCTGTGTTGGGGTGTGGAGATCTGGAGCCACCTCTGGGCCCTCCACCTACTAAACAGGGACCTGGGCAAGTCCTTCACCTCCCTGTGCTGGGTTTCCTCTCCTTTGATGGGGGAATGGTAGGACCTGCCTCTTGGAGTTGTTGGAGGAGGACTGGTAATGATGTCTTGTCAAACAGCCCTTCACTGCACAGTGCCTGGGCCATGTGGGTTCAATGGGGGATTCAGGGGGAGCTGTGATGACGATGATGATGATGATGATGATGATGATGACAATGATGGAGGTGGTGATGATGGTTGTGTTAAAGTTCTCCAGAGAAACAGAACCCTTTAAATATATGTGTGTGTGTGTGTGTGTGTGTGTGTGTGTGTGTGTGTGCGTGTGTCTGTGAGAGAGAGAGAGAAGAGGAGAAAGACAGAGTTTTCTTTTAAAGAACTGGCTAATGTGATCATGGAGGCTGGCAAGTCCAAAATCTGCAGTGCAGGCTGGCAGGCTGGAGACCCAGGAAGAGTTGATGTTGTGGCTCAGGTTTCAAGGTCACCTGCCAGCAGAATTCCTTCTTATTCAGGGAAGGTTGTCTTTTTCCTCTTACATCCTCCAACTAATTGGATAAGGTTCAGTCACATTATTCAGATTTAAATTTTAATCATATCCAAAAAAATTCCTTCGCAGCAACGTCCAGATTCGTGTTTGACCAAAAATCTGGGCTCCATGGCCTAACCAAGTTGGCACATTAACCATCACAATGGTGATAATGGTGATTGAGGGAGAAGAAGAGGATACAGGCAGAAAACCACCACTGACATCTGACCCTTCCCCCTAATTATCCATCCCCATAATGCAATAGCCTCCTCCTCCAGGGCCCTGCTCCCAGCTGCAAGTCCCCTGTGTTGGGGAAAAGCTGAGTGTTGGGAAAAAAGCTGAGGCAGGGCTTGCATGTCTGACATAATGTAAAAGAGTCTTGGAACATGTCCGGGGTCCAGGGTCTAAAACCCTTTGTGGCCTTTGGAACACCAAGCTCTGTGCCAAAGGGTGGAAGGCTGCCCTGCCGCACCACAATCTAAGCCCAGGATATAAAACCCCTCATGGCTTGGATGGAATCCAGGGCTCAGGGCATAAAACCCCTCGTGGCCTCTGGAATGTGTCTAGACTTGCTGGCTTCTTGCTTCTAGCACTCCCAGTCTCATAGATAGATTGTATCTTAAACTAGAAGAACATGTTTCCTATTATCTCAAGTAGCAGAACATACATGTTTCATATGCTTCAAAGAAAATACTAAACTGTCACAGCTGTAGATCATGCACTTGATACATCGCTTTCTTTCAACCCCCACATCCTCACCACCTGCTTCTTTGTTTGATCATCAATAAATAGTGTGGGATACCAGAGCTCGGGGCATTCTCAGCCTCCATACTAGCGTTGGCCCCCTGGTGCCACTTTATGCGCTCTTAACTTGTCTTGTCTCATTCCTTTGACTCCACCAGACTTCATAGCCCCCCGGCCTGGTGTTGGGTCTGATCACCCCAACACCCTGCTTCTGTGCTGTGTCGGGGTCATGTTGGGCCTTCCCTGGACTATCATTTCCACAGCTGCAGGGCCTGGATCTGTCTCAGTCCCAGGTCTATCCCCAGCAGAAGGCTCAGGGCAGGACAGTTCTCTGGGTGTTCTTGGACCAACCTGTCCTCCTTGCTTTCTAATTTGTAGTTCTCAAGAATAACTGTAGAATGTGCTGAGAATACAACATCCTGAGATCCAGAGGGACTGGCCAGAACAGCCAGCTCTGTTCCAGCTCCTCCAAAAACAGGATGTCCTTCACTGCTGGGGCTCAGCAAGTCCTGTTACTCCAAGCAGCTTTCCAGGGTCCCTCAGCAGCAGTTCTAGTGAGGCCTGCACAGATGAGATTCCACCCACCGTGGGCAGCTTTCCTGAGCCTGTGAGGAGCAGCTCACAACAAATCCTAGGCTTCTATTGTCCCTTGCAGCCTATCTGTAAGTAAACACCTGCTTTGTGTAATTTGTGTGTGGGTTTGTTCTATCTCACCAAACTCAAAAAATTTGGTAACCAGCACATAGTAAACCTGCTTCACACTGAGTACCTGGAACATGACAAGCGCACACTAACACATGTGTCCAGTGACTTGGCAGGAGGCAGAGAAGCAGGAACCAGCCCTTCTGTGGTCCCTGATCCCAGATCCTCAGGCTGCTCTCCCCCTGCTGCTCCTCCATGTGTCTTTCCCATTCCTGGGTCTCAGAGGACACCAAGAAGCTTGGAAACCCCCATGACTCAGGAGCCTCCTTCTCAGGGTTTTGGCCTTCCAGACCCCTGCCTGCCCTGAGTTGGTGATAACTCACGTACCTGAGCAGTCAGAGGCCATTTGCTTCATGGTGATGTTGACTTTTACTGGTGAAGAGGCAAAATTTCCCCTACTTTCTGCACTGCACAGTAATGGGGCATAAATTCACGGGGCTTGAGAGACCTCAAGGCCCAGGAGGATCCCTCCAGGGGACACCCAGCATGGGCGTTCTGTGGGTGCCCTCCAGGACCCCTCAGAGAGTGGTGGACTCTGTCATCGCCAATCTTCTGGGTGACAGGCTTGCCCAAGGGTGGCCAGGAGGAGACAGAGCTAAGAGTTCCCCTCCACCCTCCATCTAGGACTAGGGCTCAGTCCACTCCTCTCCTGACCTCTCCAGGATGGGTTTGCCTCTGAGTGCCCCCATCCATGCTCTCTGCACTTGATTTCCAATAGAGGCTCAAAGTGTGCCCTTTGCAAGGGTCAATACACTCACTGGGGGAGGCCACAGTCTCTGCAGGGTCTGCCCATTCTCCCTAAGCCTGCAGTCATGGAGCAGCAATAAAGCCAACAGTTTCAGTTTCAGGCAGGAAATAGGAGGGAATCTTGCTCGGCCAAATACCAGAGTGACTTAAGTGTTAGTTTCACCTATTGTAATGGATGGTTGTAAGTTAAGGTGAGAACAGTGGTCACACATGGCTGGCTCCCTTCTGCAGGATAGAGTGAAGTCAATCAGCAATGGAGGTTTGAGGGGTGCAGGCTCAGAGAGGCAAGAAGGTGTTTCTCAACTTATTGGTGAGAAAACTCAGATCCAGAGAGGTAAAGACACTTGCCTAAGGTCACACAGCACAGTGACAACAGAGCAGGGGTTGGAACTCAGCTCTTTCCAGGAGAGGACACTGCCCCAATACCAACATTACAGGTGGGGGTGGAGAGAGAGAGGCCACACAGTGGGGACTGGGCAGTAGGAGAGGGCAGAGAATGTCCAGCCACGTGCACTCCATAAGGACAGGGCCTACTGTGTCCCTTGTTTTCTGCTGCATCTGCAGGGCCTGGCACACAATAGGTGCTCCATAAATGTCCATTCCCTGCAGAATCCCCAGGCCCTCCTCACTGGGTTGCCAAGGCTGCATGGGCTGGTGGAGGCCCAGCATTTGCTGCTGCACTTCCCCATCTCCTCCCCACAGCTGTGCAGTCACATGCCCCAAGCTCCTGACTTCACTCCACCCCTTCGCTCCTGACTCCAGAAGTCTCGGCAAAGACTCGAAAATCCATCTGAGTTCAAATAAATAAACACACACCTAAAAATGCTGCTTGTACTTCCCCTACTTCTCTGTCGTCCATCCAAGTTCTGTCTTTACTTGCCCATCCCCTCAAATCTCCAGCCCTCTGTGTCCTCCCTCTGCCCTTCCTACAGGACAGAAAGGCCCCACCTGTTTTGGAAAATGAAGGAATGAAGGAAGAGCCAATAATTACAGAACACTGTCCTCCTGCCTCTGAGGTGACAGAGCAGCTCAGCAGAGCCTTGCCCAGCTGAGTTGCAGGACGAGGACTGAGCTTAGGCAGATAGTGTGCACACATGTCACTGAGAGCCATTGAGGCCTGCAGCTGGTGACCGGGTCACGTCCGTGGCCTGAGTGCTGAGCTCACCCACAGCCATGGAGTCCATATGCATTGAGGGCTTGCTCAGAGCTGCTATCCATCACTCAGTCAATGGTGCTTGAGTGCCTGCTCTGTGCCCTGCACTGTTCCAGGACTTGGGGACACAGCTCTTCATGGAGCCAATCTTCTAGCATGTCAGACAGGCTCCAAGGTCACACCTCTTGGCCACCTTTGTCCTGCTTTGCAGAATCCTGATGCAGGACCCTCAGGGCCATGTCACTGGCAGAATCTTGCTGGCCCCAGTCCCATGGCCTGTGATGGGGCTGTGACTACTTTCACAGGTGAGAACCAAAGGGGGCCACTGAGGCTCTGCAGACCTCCTGGGCCTATGGTCTGGGTCTCCAGGATTCCACTCAGGGCCTCCTTCCTGGTCCCATTGGGTGTTCCTATTTAGCAGCTGCCCCGACCACTCAGCTTTCTAGCCAGAGATAAAGAGTCAGGGGAGTGGCCAGCTCTCCAGATGGACATAGATGGGGCAGGTGTGCACTCAGTGGTCATTCCTCCATTATTGCCTCTGCAGCCAGAGCTCTCTGTGGCCAGCTGGGAGGGCACGGAGGTGACCCTTTCATTCCCCAGTTCCCTGGGACAGATGTGTGAATCAACAGTTTCTATGTCCAGGTTAAGAATCGCCCAGCCCGCTTGGCTGCTCACCGGTTGTGTGAACTTAACCATGTCTGTTCACCTTTCTGGGCCTCAGTTTTCTCCATCCGTGAAGTGGGCACATTGGTGGTATCTGCCTTCCAGAGCTCTTGAGAAGACCCAGGCAATGATGCTGGGCATAGTACCTGGCGGTGATGAGCCTTCATGAGCAGTTACTGTGTGTTAGGAGATGCCCCAGACCTCTTCCTTATTCTGAGCTGCAGCCCTTCCAAGTTTCTCAAACCCATCTCCTCTCCCTGTGCCTACTGTCCCAGCCAGAGTGTGGCCATCCTCCTTGTCTCAGCCGACCCACCATGTCAAGGGGGAGAAGGACACATGGGCAAATGGTACAGATACAGAAGATTTTTACACTCACAGAGGGACTCTGCACAGGGATGGGGCTACTTTAGAGGAGAGATCGAGGAAGGCCGTTCGGTGGAGGCGTCCCTTGATTTGGCTCTCGACAGTGTATTTTCTCAACAGTGTATTTTTTCCAGATGGAAACAGCTGCAGGGTGGGATGGAGGCCCCCCAGGCAGAGGAAGCATCAGGGTTAGGAGCGTGAGACTTCAGAGTGAGGCAGGCAGAGGTTTAAACCTGATGGGCAGCACTGGGGAATCCCTGGCCTGGACCCTGGCTCTGCTGCTTGCTGGTTGTACGACCTCAGATCTGAAGTCTCCCACTCTGGGCCCCAGTTTCCCATCTGTGATAAACCAGGATAAACCAGCAGGTGCACAGGTGATCACTGCAGGAGGTCCGGCTGCAGGGGGAGCTCCTGGGGTGTGAGGGCTTTGGGAATTACCAACAGAAAGGTGATAATTGAAATTGCAGATGTGAAGGGGACCCTCCAGGGAGGGTGTGGGAGGAGAAGAGATGAAGGGAAAGCAGTGGAGAGAGCCCTGGAACCTTTCCCTTGATTCTGCCCATGGACTCCTCTGATGTCAGAATAAGGAATCAGACTCTGGCCACAGCAGGAGAGTGAAAAGTTAGACACTGGGAAGTACTTTCTCACCATGACAGAGACAGAGTGTAGTGGTTAAGAGGGTGCACATGAAGCCCAGCTCCCCGCTTACCTGTGACCCTGGGCAAGTGACTTGACCTCTCAGTGCCTCAGTTTCCTGATGTGTAAAATGAGGACAACAGGTATACCTGCCTCACCGTTGTCAAGAGGGTTAAATGAGATAATCCACGTATAGCGCTGTGCTCAGCACTAAGCAAGTGTTTAATGTCAGTTAGATGCAACGATGATGATGTTTATGGTGATGAGGATTCTGATGATATTAATGGTGACAATGATGGTGATAACAATGACGATAATGAAGATGACAGTAGTGGTGGTGGTGAAGATGATGAAGATGATCGTTACAGACTGAATTGTGTCCCCCCCAAATTCATATGTTGAAGCCCTAACCCCCAGTGTTACTGTATTTGGAGATGGCTCCTTTAAAGAGGTAAAGTTGCATGAGGTCATCGGGATGGTGACCCTAATCCAAGAAAATTCTTGTCCTTATAAGAAGAGGAAGAGGGCTGGGAGCGGTGGCTCACACCTGTAATCCCAGCACTTTGGGAGGCTGAAGCAGGCAGATCACCTGAGGTCAGGAGTTTGAGACCAGCCTGGCCAACATGCCAAAATCCCGTCTCTACTAAAAATACAAAAATTAGCCGGGCATGGTGGTTCATGCCTGTAATCCCAGCTACTTGGGAGGCTGAGGCATGATAATTGCTTGAACCCAGGAGGTGGAGGTTGCAGTGAGCCGAGATCTTGCCACTGCACTCCAGCCTGGGCAACAGAGTAAGACCTTGCCAAAAAAAAAAAAAAAAGGAACAGACACCTTCCCCTGTGTACACAGGAGAAAGCCACGTGAGGACACAGCAGGAAGACCGACAGCATCCGCAAGCCAAGGCAAGGGGCCTCAGGGGAAACCAAACCTGCTGACACCTTGGTCTTGAACTTTTAGCCTTCAGAACTGTGAGAAAATAAACATCTGTTATTGAAACCTCCCAGTCTGTGGCTTATCTTGTTGTGGCAGCCCAAGCAGACTAAGACAGGAGTGAAGATGGGTCCCAGGCCAGGCTCTTCTCAGCTCTCTGCCCCACTGTTGCCAGAGATGCCTCGTGTTCTATCCTCCCATCCTGTCCTGCCCCAGGGTTTATTGGGTGAACCTTAGTCTCCATCACTCTAGCATCAGTATTACTTAGTAAAAACTGTAGGTTGAGAGCTGGAGAGATAGAAGTATTGAAAAATGATAAAGCCTGAGGATGGAGAGCACATTTTTTTCTCAAATCACAAAATTTGGAGCAGGGGGAAAGCCCAAGAGAGGCTGAAAACAAGGCAGGCATAAACCTCTTTGACCCTGAGGACAGAAACCTTATGGGACTGAGGGATGCAGTGGGCAGTGTCAGAAAGGCTTCCAGGACGGCCCTCAGGTTGTCTTGGGTCACTAAGGGGGCAGGAGTGTGGATGGAGGGCCCTCTATCCTTTGAAGTTCATGTCGAGAAAGTAGCCACATCCTCCCAGCTTATTTTGATAGTTTCTGTCTTAAGGAATGATGTGGATACAAATTGCAGAGCCTGTGGCAACCAAATCACAAGTTTTCATACTGTGTTAGTCCATTTTCACACTGCTATAAAGAACTCCCCTGAGACTGGGTAATTTATGAAGGAAAGAGGTTTAATTGACTCACAGTTCTGCGTGGCTGGGGAGGCCTCAGGAAACTTACAATCAAGGCAAAAAGGGAAACAGTCACCTTCTTTACAAGGTGGCAGGAGAGAGAAGAGTGAGCACAGGATAACTTCCCTTTATAAATCCATCAGATATCATGGGATTTACTCACTATCAAGAGAACAGCCTGGGGAAAACTGCCCCCACGATCCAGTCACCTCCCACCAGGTTCCTCCCTCTCCCTCAAATGTGGGGATTATGGGTATTACAATTTGAGATGAGATTTGGATGGGAACACAGAGCCAAATCACCTCACATACTCACATCTTCCTTTCAAGCCATCTTACATCAGGATGAGCAATTGTGTGTATAAAGTGGCTGTAACATGGAACTAGCTAAGTTGGTGCTGAGGATGATGGTAACGATGGTAATGGTAATGTTAGATGATAGTAATGATAGTAATGGTGGTAATGGTAATAAGTGATGATAGTAAGAGTAATGGTAATGTTAGTGATAATGGTACTAGTGATTATAGTGATGGTGTTGATAGTGGTGATGGTAATGGGTGATGATGGTAATAGTAATGGTAATAGTAATGGTAATGAGAGTGATGATGGTGATGGTAGTAATGATGATGATGGTGATGATGATGTAGTGGTGTTGGTAATGGTAATGAGTAACAGTAATAGTAATGGTAATGGTAATGTTACTGATTGTGATGGCAATGAAAGTGATGATGGTGATGGTGATAATAATGGTGATGATGATAGTGGTGGTGTGATCATGATGCAGGTGTGATGGTGATAATGAGGATGATGATGATGGCTGTGGTGGTGATGGTAATGAGTGATGATGATGATGTTGATAGTAATGATGATGATGGTGATGGTAATGGTGGTAATGGTAATGTAATGTTAGTGATGATGATGATAACAATAGTGATGATGGTGATGGCAATAATAATAATGGTGGTGATGGTCATTGTAATGAGTGATGGTGGTAATGGTGATGATGGTGATGATGGTGATGGTGATAACAGTGATGATGATAGTGGTGGTGATGCAGGTGGTGATGATGATGAGGAGGATGATGATGGTGGTGATGGTAATGGTAATGAGTGATGGGGATGGTGATAGTGATGGTGATGATAGTGGTGATGGTGATAATAATTGTGATGATATGATGGTGGTGCTGGTGGTGGTGATACAGATGGTGGTAATGGTGATAGTGGTGATGGTAATGGTCATGGTAATGAGAATGGTAATGAAAATAACACACACTGGTTGAATTGAACAGCTTTAATGGGGAGAGCTGTTATCTCTGATGGGGATTTGACAATCTAGAGATGCCCCAACCAGCCCTTCACATTCCCTACTGCTGTCCCTACTGCTGCTACCTGCTCTGCAGGAGAGGATCCAGGAAGCCTCGCTTTTCAGAATTCCCTTGAAGAGGACTTGGGGATAAAGCTGGCTAATTCCATCTCTAGATGTTGGCCACATCTCTTACCCCTAGGGAAAGTCTGAGGTGGAGACCGGGGAGATGCAGGTAGGCCGGGGGCAGTGGCTGTGGACAGAGGGACAGCAGGTAATTCTCAGTCCCCCTGGCTTGTTAGTGGGAGACCATTAGCACAACAGCCCTGCCCTGAGATCAGCTCACTTTCCTGATCTAACCAGCAGTTTGGGTCATTAAACTGTACACCCAACCTGAGTCCATGCCCCTGAGAGGTTTCAGCTCAGATAGGAAATGATTCCTGTCACTAAGGCAAGAGTCTAGACACAAACCAGAGACAGAAACTATAATTTTCAATTCTAATTATGCAGTGTGAGTTAATTTTTGAAAGTAAAATAAATAACAATCAAATAAAATATCCCACCTCCAAAATAAAAAATAATTAACATCCTGAGTTATTTCTGTTCATTTAAAGGAATGGGGCATTTTTATTCTTTGCTCCCTTCCTGTTCTTATGGTTTGACTTATCCATCAAGATCATTTGCTGAGCACCTACTTGTGCCAGGCACATGCTGGAGGCAAGAATGAGAAGTAAACAAGTCAGACAAGGTGCTCACCCTCCTAGGGCACATAGCCAGGAGGAAGACATAGTCCTTAAAGGAAAAGTCACAAAGACTGAAGTATGCCTTGAAATAGAGCCAAACATGCCATGTACAAGAGGCTATGTGGGAGGATAGTCAGGGGGACTAACCTGGATGGGCGGGTGATGTTAGGAGCTGATATCTAACCTGAGACTGAATAAGCCAGTTACCTGAAGAGTAGGGGCTAGAGTGATCTAGGGAGCAGGAACATCATGTGCAAAGGCCCTGGGGCAGGAAGGAGTGTGCTGGAGGGACTAAAGAAGGCCCTGGGACAGTGTGTGGTGAGGAAAGAATGTGCGAAGGTGGAGGAGGCAGCAGCCGACCTGCAGGGCTTTGTGATCTTGGCAGCAGGGCTGGGTTTACTCAAAGTTTCCCAGCTGGCATGGAAGAGTTCTAAGTAAAGGGGCAGCTTGATTAATTTGGGGGTACTACTAACTACACTTGACATTGTGTGGGGGGCCTGACTGCCTCTTCATGAGCCCCATCATCAGAGAGGCCTGCAGTCCTGTGGGTGCTGGTGTGGAACAGATGGGGACATCAGAAGAGGTTGAGGACACAACTGGGTTGGTGTGTCTAGGGGCCAAGGCAGAAGCTAGAGTAGAATTACTTTAACCACCAAGGATCCAGGGAAATCGTGGCAGGAAATGGACTTCCCCAGGTTTCCACCCAAGAGGATTTAGGTCATAAGGGCTTCCTGGGTGTTTAGGCCAAGACACCAGCTCAGCAGCACCCAACATGGGCTCATGTGTTTGGATGGCCTGACCCTCTGTGGGGAGCATCATGGCCCGATTTGACATGACAGATGTGCCTTAGCCCTGAGCAAATCATCTGTCCCAGGGGGCCCAGCGAGGGCAAACTGCTCCACAAGCCAAACCAGGCACAGCAAGGGCAGGACCACAGAGGGGGTAACAATGCCAGACTGACCTGGGCTGGGTCCCAACACAGACAAGTCCTGACCCTGCAAAGGTGGGCAAAGCTCTCCCCTCCCCTGGGCCTCAGTTTCTACATCTGCAAAATGGACACTGTCTTACCACCACCTGGGGCATTGCCCAATTTAAACACACACACACACACACACACACACACACACACACACACACACACACATAAACAGAACAAAACTGAACCAGCCCTTACAGTCCTCTAGAGGCCCCTACCCAACCTTTTTGGCACCATGGATTGCTTTTATGGAAGACAATTTTTCCACAGATAGGCATGGAGGGGGAATGGTTTTGAGATGATTCAAGTGATTACATTTATTGTGCACATTATTTCTGTTATTATTACATTGTAATTATTGTTATTATTACATTATATATTACAATGTAATAAATAATGAAATAATTATATAACTCACCATAATGTAGAATCAGTGGGATGTCTGAGCTTGTTTTTCTGCAACTAGATGGTCCCATCTGGGGGTGATGGGAGACAGTGACAGATCATCAGGCATTAGATTCTCATAAGGAGTGTGCAACCTAGATCCCTTGCATACGCAGTTCACAATTCTCCTATGAGAATCTAATGCCGCCATTAATCTGACAGGAGGTGGATCTCAGGCAGTAATACAAGCAACGGGGAGTGGCTGTAAATACAGCAGAAGCTTCGCTTGCCCCACTGCTCACCTCCTTTTTTGTGGCCCAGTTCCTAACAGGCCACAGATCAGTGCCAGTTCATAGCCCAGGGGTCACGGACCCCTGCTCTAGGTTGTGCGGCCCTGTTTTCTGAGTGTCCAGGAAAGGGGCTGGAGTTGGGGCGGAAGGAGTGGGGGAAGCTGGAATCATGGGCTGCACTGTTTTCAGCCTGGAGAAGAGGCTGTCCACAGAAGGGAAAAGGGATTTCTCACCCTTGAAAATATCTCAGTTGCAGCCTGGATGTCTAACACCCGGGAACATCCCTGGCTGCTCTGACCTTAGATCTGGAACTAAGGCTTCGTGCAATGCCTCCCCAGCTTCCTTCCCCAGACCCAGCTCTTGCTGACAGCAACTAGAAACACAGCCCAATTCCACATTCAAGGAGCATGGGAGCTATGGGCCCACGTGCATCAGGATGGGTGAACAGAAGTGGGTGGGGCTGTGGAGATGAGGTGGGAGAGGGGCGTGGGCAGATCATGGAAGGAACTGTCAGCCTGGGGAACATGTGGATTTTACAAACAGCAGGCAGTGGAGAGCCCTTGACAGGTAGAGAGAGAGAGAGAAAGAGAGAGAGAGAAAAGAGAGAGAGAGAAAGAGGATCAATTATTTGCTTCAGATGGTAGCACACAGTCCCCTTCTGCGTGGTCCAGCACATAGTAGGTGCTCAGCAGATGCTTCCCAAGACACTGAACAGCACCTCCTGCCTGGAGCAGTGGGGCAGATTCAACAATGAGGTCCTAGCAGAGCCCCTGAGTCCACGGAGACATGGATGGGAGGGGATACTGGTGACCCCTCTGCCCCTGGCCTCTGGGTTACACAGCCCAAACCCTGGCATTAGAGCATCGTCCACACCTGGCTGCACACTCAGATCACCTGGGAGCTTTGAGACGGCACTGTGCAGGCCCAGCCCAGCCCTATCACTGCACTGGAGACAGGGCCATTGTGAGGTGTCATGGTCAGAGGGAAGGAGGGGCAGTGGACCCAGGGCCTGCTTCTCCTGCTCTGAAGGCCTCGCTTCCTAGACGGGGCAGGCCTAGGCACTCACCTGGGGCTGGCGGTGGTGGGTCCGGATGCCTGCCTGCTCCTGGCACCCCTTCGTGGGTCTGTTTAGGAGACACTGATGGTCCACATGGGATCTCTAAGCCTCTCATAACCCCACAGATGGCTTCTACTGCACCCTACTTTCTCTGTCCAGTGCCCATAGGTTCCTCAGGATGTTTTCCTCCTGCCCTGACCTCAGGGATGGGCCCCACAGCCTCTGGGGCTGTGACAGAATGAGCAGGTCTCGTCACCCATTGGTCCTTCTTTCTTATCACAGCTAAATACAGTCATGTGTTGCCTAATGGCAAGGATAGTTCTGAGAAACGCATTAGCCGATTTCATTGCGGGAACATCATAGAGTGTCCTTATAAAAACCTAGATGGTGGAGCCTACTCCACACCTAGGCTAGATAAAATAGCCTATTGCTCCTAGGGTACAAACCTTACAGTGTATTGCTGTACTGAATACTGTAAGCAACTGTAATGCAATGGTAAGTATTTGTGTATCTAAACAGAAAAGGTACAGTAAAAATACAGAATAAAATATAAAAATGGTACATGTGTGTAAGGCACTTACCATGAATGGAGCTTGCAGGACAAGAAGCTTCTCTGGGTGAGTCTGTGAGTGAGTGGTAAGTGAACGTGACGCCCCAGGGCATTAGTGTATGGTACTGTAGACCTTATAAACCCCATACACTTAGGTTACTCTAGGTTTATAAAATAATATTTTCTTTCTTCAAAAACAACCAGAGGGTGGAGCCAAGATGGCCGAATAGGAACAGCTCCGATCTACAGCTCCCAGCGTGAGTGACGCAGAAGACGGGTGACTTCTGCATTTCCATCTGAGGTACCGGGTTCATCTCACTAGGGAGTGCCAGACAGTGGGTGCAGGACAGTGGGTGCAGCGCACCGTGCACGAGCCAAAGCAGGGTGAGGCATTGCCTCACTCGGGAAGCACAAGGGGTCAAGGAGTTCCCTTTCCTAGTCAAAGAAAGGGGTGATAGACGGCACCTGGAAAATCAGATCACTCCCACCCTAATACTGTGCTTTTCCAGCGGGCTTAAAAAACGGCACACCAGGAGATTATATCCCACACATGGCTCGGAGGGTCCTACGCCCATGGAGTCTCCCTGATTGCTAGCACAGCGGTCTGAGATCAAACTGCAAGGTGGCAGCGAGGCTGGGAGAGGGGTGCCTGCCACTGCCCAGGCTTGATTAGGCAAACAAAGCAGCCGGGAAGCTCAAACTGGGTGGAGCCCACCACAACTCAAGGAGGCCTGCCTGCCTCTATAGGCTCCACCTCTGGGAGCAGGGCACAGACAAACAAAAAGACAGCAATAACCTCTGCAGACTTAAATGTCCCTGTCTGACAGCTTTGAAGAGAGTAGTGGTTCTCCCAGCACGCAGCTGGAGATCTGAGAATGGGTAGACTGCCTCCTCAAGTGGGTCCTTGACCCCTGAGCAGCCTAACTGGGAGGCACCGCCCAGTAGGGGCAGACTGACACCTCACACGGCCGGGTACTCCTCTGAGACAAAACTTCCAGAGGAACCATCAGGCAGCAGCATTTGCGGTTCACCAAGATCCGCTGTTATACAGCGACCACTGTTCTGCAGCCACCGCTGCTGATACCCAGGCAAACAGGGTCTAGAGTGGACCTCTAGCAAACTCCAACAGACCTGCAGCTGAGGGTCCTGTCTGTTAGAAGGAAAACTAACAAACAGAAAGGACATCCACACCAAAAACCCTTCTGTATGTCACCATCATCAAAGACCAAAAGTAGATAAAGCCACAAAGATGGGAAAAAAACAGAGCAGAAAAACTGGAAACTCTAAAAAGCAGAGCGCCTCTCCTCCTCCAAAGGAACGAAGCTCCTCACCAGCAACGGAACAAACCTGGACGGAGAATGACTTTAATGAGCTGAGAGAATAAGGCTCCAGATGATCAAACTACTCCGAGCTACAGGAGGAAATTCAAACCAATGGCAAAGAAGTTAAAAACTTTGAAAAAAAATTAGACGAATGGATAACTAGAATAACCAACGCAGAGAAGTCCCTAAAGCAGCTGACGGAGCTGAAAGCCAAGGCTCAAGAACTACATGAAGAATGCAGAAGCCTCAGGAGCCGATGTGATCAACTGGAAGAAAGGGTATCAGTGATGGAAGACGAAATGAATGAAATGAAGCGAGAAGAGAAGTTTAGAGAAAAAAAGAATAAAAAGAAACAAACAAAACCTCCAAGAAATATGGGACTATGTGAAAAGACCAAATCTACGTCTGATTGGTGTACCTGAAAGTGACGGGGAGAATGGAACCAAGTTGGAAAACACTCTGCAGGATATAATCCAGGAGAACTTCCCCAATCTAGCAAGGCAGGCAAACATTCAGATTTGAGAAACACACAGAACACCACAAAGATACTCCTCAAGAAGAGCAACTCCAAGACACATAATTGTCAGATTCACCAAAGTTGAAATGAGGGAAAAAATGTTAAGGGCAGCCAGAGAGAAAGGTCAGGACACCCACAAAGGGAAGGCCATCAGACTAACAGCGGATCTCTCAGCAGAAATTCTACAAGCCAGAAGAGAGTGGGGGCCAATATTCAACATTCTTAAAGAAAAGAATTTTCAACCCAGAATTTCATATCCAGCCAAACTAGCTTCATAAGTGAAGGAGAAATAAAATCCTTTACAGACAAGCAAATGCTGAGAGATTTTGTCACCACCAGGCCTGCCCTAAAAGAGCTCCTGAAGGAAGCACTAAACATGGAAAGGAACAACCGGTACCAGCCACTGCAAAAACATGCCAAAATGTAAAGACCATCAAGGCTAGGAAGAAAACTGCCTCAACTAATGAGCAAAATAACCAGCTAACATCATAATGACAGGACCAAATACACACATAACAATATTAACTTTAAATGTAAATGGACTAAATGCTCCAATTAAAAGACACAGACTGGCAAATTGGATAAAGAGTCAAGACCCATCAGTGTGCTGTATTCAGGAAACCCATCTCACGTGCAGAGACACACATAGGCTCAAAATAAAGGGATGGAGGAAGATCTACCAAGCAAACGGAAAACAAAAAAAGGCAGGGGTTGCAATCCTAGTCTCTGATAAAACAGACTTTAAACCAACAAAGATCAAAAGAGACAAAGAAGGCCATTACATAATGGTAAAGGGATCAATTCAACAAGAAGAGCTAACTATCCTAAATATATATGCACCCAATACAGGAGCACCAAGATTCATAAAGCAAGTCCTGAGTGACCTACAAAGAGACTTAGACTCCCACACATTAATAATGGGAGACTTTAACATCCCACTGTCAACATTAGACAGATCAATGAGACAGAAAGTTAACAAGGATACCCAGGAATTGAACTCAGCTCTGCAGCAAGCGGACCTAATAGACATCTACAGAACTCTCCACCCCAAATCAACAGAATATACATTTTTTTCAGCACCACACCACACCTATTCCAAAATTGACCACATAGTTGGAAGTAAAGCACTCCTCAGCAAATGTAAAAGAACAGAAATTATAACAAACTGTCTCTCAGACTACAGTGCAATCAAACTAGAACTCAGGACTAAGAAACTCACTCCAAACCGCTCAACTACATGGAAACTGAACAACCTGCTCCTGAATGACTACTGGGTACATAACGAAATGAAGGCAGAAATAAAGATGTTCTTTGAAACCAATGAGAACAAAGACACAACATACCAGAATCTCTGGGACACGTTCAAAGCAGTGTGTAGAGGGAAATTTATAGCACTAAATGTCCACAAGAGAAAGCAGGAAAGATCCAAAATCGACACCATAATGTCACAATCAAAAGAACTAGAAAAGCAAGAGCAAACACATTTAAAAGCTAGCAGATAGCAAGAAATAACTAAAATCAGAGCTGAACTGAAGTAAATAGAGACACAAAAAACCTTTGAAAAAATTAAGGAATCCAGGAGCTGGTTTTTTGAAAAGACCAACAAAATCAATAGACCGCTAGCAAGACTAATAAAGAAGAAAAGTGAGAAGTATCAAATAGACGCAACAAAAAATGATAAAGGGGATATCACCACCGATCCCACAGAAATACAAACTACCATCACAGAATACTACAAACACCTCTACACAAATAAACTAGAAAATCTAGAAGAAATGGATACATTCCTCAACACATACACCCTCCCAAGAGTAAAGCAGGAAGAAGTTGAATCTTTGAATAGATCAATAACAGGTTCTGAAATTGTGGCAGTAATCATAGCATACCAACCAAAAAAAGTCCAGGACCAGATGGATTCACAGCCGAATTCTACCAGAGGTACAAGGAGGAGCTGGTACCATTCCTTCTGAAAATATTCCAATCAATAGAAAAAGAGGGAATCCTCCCTAACTCATTTTATGAGGCCAGCATCATCCTGATACCAAAGCCTGGCAGAGACACACCAAAAAAGGGAATTTTAGACCAATATCCTTGATGAACATTGATGCAAAAATCCTCAATAAAATACTGGAAAACCGAATCCAGCAGCACATCAAAAAGCTTATCCACCATGATCAAGTGGGCTTCATCCCTGGGATGCAAGGCTGGTTCAACATACGCAAATCAATAAATGTAATCCAGCATATAAACAGAACCAAAGACAAAAACCACATGATTATCTCAATAGATGCAGAAAAGGCCTTTGACAAAATTCAACAGCCCTTCATGCTAAAAACTCTCAATAAATTAGGTATTGATGGGACGTATCTCAAAATAATAAGAGCTATCTATGACAAACCCACAGCCAATCTCATACTGAATGGGCAAAAACTGGAAGCATTCTCTTTGAAAACTGGCACAAGACAGGGATGCCCTCTCTCACCACTCCTATTCAACATAGTGTTGGAAGTTCTGGCCAGGGCAATCAGGCAGGAGAAGGAAATAAAGGATATTCAATTAGGAAAAGAGGAAGTCAAATTGTCCCTGTTTGCAGATGACATGATTGTATATCTAGAAAACCCCATCGTCTCAGCCCAAAATCTCCTTAAGCTGATAAGCAACTTCAGCAAAGTCTCAGGATACAAAATCAATGTACAAAAATCACAAGCATTCTTATACACCAATAACAGACAAACAGAGAGCCAAATCATGGTGAACTCCCATTCACAATTGCTTCAAAGAGAATAAAATACCTAGGAATCCAACTTACAAGGGATGTGAAGGACCTCTTCAAGGAGAATTATAAACCACTGCTCGGCGAAATAAAAGAGGATACAAACAAATGGAAGAACATTCCATGCTCATGAGTAGGAAGAATCAATATCATGAAAATGGCCATACTGCCCAAGGTAATTTATACGTTGAACGCCATCTCCATCAAGGTGCCAATGACTTTCTTCACAGAATTGGAAAAAACTACTTTAAAGTTCATATGGAACCAAAAAAGAGCCCGCATCACCAAGTCAATCCTAAGCCAAAAGAACAAAGCTGGAGGCATCATGCTACCTGACTTCAAACTATACTACAAGGCTACAGTAACCAAAACAGCATGATACTGGTACCAAAACAGAGATACAGATCAATGGAACAGAACAGAGCCCTCAGAAATAATGCCACATATCTACAACCATCTGATCTTTGACAAACCTGACAAAAACAAGCAATGGGGAAAGGATTCCCTATTTAATAAATGGTGCTGGGAAAACTGGCTAACCATATGTAGAAAGCTGAAACTGGATCCCTTCCTCACACCTTATACAAAAATCAATTCAAGATGGATTAAAGACTTAAACGTTAGACCTAAAACCATAAAAACCCTAGAAGAAAACCTAGGCAATACCATTCAGGACATAGGCATGGGCAAGGACTTCATGGCTAAAACACCAAAAGCGATGGCAACAAAAGACAAAATTGACAAATGGGATCTAATTAAACTAAAGAGCTTCTGCACAGCAAAAGAAACTACCATCAGAGTGAACAGGCAACCTACAAAATGGGAGAAAATTTTTGCAACCTACTCATCTGACAAAGGGCTAATATCCAGAATCTACAATGAACTCAAACAAATTTACAAGAAAAAAACAAACAACCCCATCAAAAAGTGGGCGAAGGATATGAACAGACACTTCTCAAAAGAAGACATTTATGCAGCCAAAAAACACATGAAAAAATGCTCATCATCACTGGCCATCAGAGAAATGCAAATCAAAACCACAATGAGATACCATCTCACACCAGTTAGAATGGCGATCATTAAAAAGTCAGGAAACAACAGGTGCTGGAGAGGATGTGGAGAAATAGGAACACTTTTACACTGTTGGTGGGACTGTAAACTAGTTCAACCATTGTGGAAGTCAGTGTGGCGATTCCTCAGGGATCTAGAACTAGAAATACCATTTGACTCAGCCATCTCATTACTGGGTATAGACCCGAAGGATTACAAATCATGCTGCTATAAAGACACATGCACACATATGTTTACTGCAGCACTATTCACAATAGCAAAGACTTAGAACCAACCCAAATGTCCAACAACGATAGACTGGATTAAGAAAATATGGCACATATACACCATGGAATACTATGCAGCCATAAAAAATGAAGAGTTCATGTCCTTTGTAGGGACATGGATGAAACTGGAAACCATCATTCTCAGCAAACTATTGCAAGCACAAAAAACCAAACACCACATGTTCTCACTTATAGGTGGGAATTGAACAATGAGAACAAATGGACACAGGATGGGGAACATCACACACCGGGGACTGTTGTGGGGTCGGGGGAGGGGGGAAGGATAGCATTAGGAGATATACCTAATGCTAAATGACGAGTTAATGGGTGCAGCACACCAACATGGCACATGTATACATATGTGACAAACCTGCACATTGTGCACATGTACCCTAAAACTTAAAGTGTAATAATAATAAAATTAAAAAAATCCATCCCCTCAAAAAAAATAATAATAATTCAGTTGTATCTAGTTGAAATCCTTCTAGTATAGTAAAAGCAATCACAGTGTTAGATTATAAAATATTACCAGATTAAATGTATTTTCACAAGAAACGGCCCAAGTAAATGATCGTATTCATCTTTCACAATGCAGAAACCCATTCTGTTGTAAGTAATCACATTATGTTAAAAGTCTAGATAAATGATCAGAATTGTCTATTATTGAACAAATAAATAAATGACTTCCTCCTTAAAATTAGGGTTTCTTAAAATGAATAAAGTTCATTATCTGATTGAAAAAAAAACAAAAACAAATTAACCTAAGCTTACTGCGACTTTTTTACTTTATAAACTTTTTAAATTTTTTACTGTTTTGTAATAACACTTAACTTAAAACACAAACATTGTATAGCTGTACAAAAATATTTTATTTCTTTGTATCCTTATTCTGTAAGTCTTTACAAAAAAATAAATTTTTCCTATTTAAACTGTTTTCTGTGGTTAAAAACTAAGGCACAAACACATACATTAGCCCAGGCCTGCACAGGGTCAGGATCATCAGTATCACTGTCTTCTACCTCTATATCTTATCCCACTGGAAGGTCTTCAGGGGCAACAATATTCACAGAGCTGTCATCTCCCGTGGTAACAGTGCCTTCTTCTGGATACCTCCTGAAGGACCTGCCTGAGGCTGTTTTTTTTTGTTTTTGTTTTTGTTTTTGTTTTTGTTTTTGTTTTTGAGATGGAGTCTCACTTTGTCACCCAGGCTGGAGTGTAGTGGCACAATCTTGGCTTACTGCAACCTCTGCCTCCCGGGTTCAAACAATTCTCCTGCCTCAGCCTCCCGAGTAGCTGTGACTACAGGCGCACACCACCACGTCCAGGTAATTTTTGTATTTTTTTAGTAGAGACGGGGTTTCACTGTGTTGGCCAGGGTTGTCTCGATCTCTTGACCTCATGATCCACCTGCCTCGGACTCCCAAAGTGCTGGGATTATAGGCATGAGCCACCACACCCAACCCCTGAGGCTGTTTTATAGTTAACTTTTTTTTATAAGTAGAAGAAGTGTACTCTAACGTAGTGATAAAACGTATAATATAGTAAGTACATAAACCAGTAACATGGTGATTTGTTATCATCAAGTATTCTGTACTGTATATAATTGTATGTGCTAGACTTTTATATGACTGGCAGCGGAATAGGTTTGTTTACCCCGGCATCACCACAAACACGTGAGCAATGTGTTGTGTTATGATGTCATGATGGCCGCATCACTAGGCAATAGGAATTTTTCAGCTGCATTATAATCGTATAGACAATTGTTGTCTGTGTGGTCTGTCGTTGACCAAAATGTCATTATGCAGCACATAATCAATTTCACACAGTATCATTTTTCTTCCTGAAGGACTTCTTATATCACTTCTTATAGTATTCTGTGATTAATTATTTCAGCTTTCATATGGCTAAAAACATCTTTATTTTGCCTTCATTTTTTGGAAGCTGTTTGATATGGTTTCGGTCTGTGTCCACACCCAAATCTCACGTCAAATTGTAATCCCCAGTGTTGGAAGAGGGGCCTAGTGGGAGGTGATTGGATCATGGGGGCAGATTTCCCCCTTGCCGTTTCTCGTGATAGTGAGTTCTCATGAGATCTGATTGTTTAAAAGCATGCAGCACCTCCCCCTTCTCTCTTTTCCTTCTACTCTGACCACGGAAGATGTGCCTGCTTCCTCCTTGCCTTCCGCCATGATTGTAAGTTTCCTGAGGACTTCCCAGCCATGCCTCCTGTAAGGCCTGCAGAACCACGAGCCAATGACACCTCTTTTCTTTATAAATTACCCAGTCTTGGGTAGTTCTTTATAGCAATGCAAGAACAGACTAATACAATATTTTTGCTGGGTAGAGAAATCTAGGTTAACAGTTTTTTTCTTTCGTTACATTAAAGATGTTGCCTACTGTTGATCTTATCCACTGAATTTTACATCGCAGATATTGAGTTCTAGAATTCAAGTTAGGACCTTTATGCACTTCGTGTCTTTATGTTTTGAACAACTGGGATACAGTTCAATAGCTAGCTTCATGTCCTTGTCTTCTCATTAGAATATTGGCATCAGTTTTGAGTTGATGTCAATTAATTCATTATTCTCTTCATTATGGGTTGTGCTTTTGTGCCTCTTTGTATGGCTGGTAATTTTTGTTTAGGTGCTAGACATTTTAAATTTTACCCTGGTGGGTATTGGATCTTTTTTTTCTTTTTTGTATTCCTGTAAATATTATTGAGCTTTGCTCTGGGATATAGTTAAATTACTTGGAAACAGCTTGATCCTTCTGGGTATTACCTTTAACTTGTTGTACTGTGTTAAACAGTGTCCCCCACAAAATCCTGTCCATGTGAAACTTCAAAATGGGACCTTATTTGGAAATAGGGTGTTTGCAGAGGTAATTAGTTAAAATGAGATCATACTGGATTAGGGCAAGCCCTAAATCCAGTGACTGGTGTCCGTATAAGAAAGTCATATGGGCCAGGAATAGTGGCTCATGCCTGTAATCCCAGAACTTTGGGAGACCAAGACAGGTGGATTGCTTGAGCCCAGGAATTCAAGACCAGCCTGGGCAACATGGTGAAACCCCATCACTACTAAAAATACAAAAATTATCTGGGCATGGTGGTGTGCGCCTATTGTCCCAGTTACTCAAGAGGCTGAAGTGGGAAGATCACTTAAGCCCAGATTGAGGCTGCAGTGAGCCATGATCACACCACTGCACTCCAGACTGGGTGACAGTGGGGAAAAAAAGGTCATATGAAGACACACAGAGAAGAACGTAATGTGAAGATAGAAGCAGAGATTAGAGCGATGTACCTACAAGCCAAGATTGCCAGAGATTACCACCAGAAGCTGAGAGACAGGCATGGAACTGATTCTCCTTCACAGACTCCAGAAGGAACTAACCCTGCCAACACCTTGATTTCAGACTTCTGGCCTCCTGAACTGCGAGGGAATTAATTTCTCTTGTTTTCAGTCACCTGGTTTGTGGCAGCCCTAGGAAACTAAAAGATGTACATAATTTAGTCTAGAACGAATAATTCCCCACATCTGAGACAAGATCTTTTTGAGCACTCTGCCCCGTGCCCCACAAATTCTGAAAGTTTTCAGTCTAGCCAGTGAACACAGCCATTATTCCTGGTCTTGGACCAGTGCTGGCTGCTGTTCACCCCAGTACTTTCAAATGGTTCTCTCCTGGCATTGTTATCACACAAAGGACTGACCAGTACTCAGTCAAATACTTGAGGGGCACCCCCTGTACATCTCTGGGGTTCTCTTTTCTTGTGCAGCTCTCTCCTCTCTGGTGCTCCATCCTTGTAAACTCGAGCTGTCTGAGTCTCCCTGACTCTGCTCCTCTCCTCCATTCCAGGAGCCTGCTGGGCTCCACCTGGGCTCCTGCTTCCTGCACAGCGATCTGAAAACCGTCCTCAGGCAGTGAGCTGGGGGTCATCAGAGGACTCGTCTCCCTTGTATCACTTTTCCTCAGGGATCACTGTCCTTGGTTATCTGATGTCCAGTGTCTTTACAAAAACATCAGTTTATATATTTTTCTTTCTCTTTCTTTATTTTTCTCTTTTTCTTTCTTTCTTTCTTTCCTTCCTTCTTTCTCTTTCTTTCTTTCTTCCTTTCTTTCGGTTGTTCAAGGATAAATTCATTGCATTAGTCCATCTGGGACATGAATAAAAGCATAATATCTTAAAGGCTTAGAATCCAAAGAAGTCTTCAAATCTTGAGATGATTTAATCATAGAATCTCAAAGTCTTGGGCTTTTTGAACTACAGCAATTTGGAATCTTAGCTTGCTCAAAGGAGTGAACACTTTCTGATAATGATCATCTCCAATATTCATTAAGTACAAATTGTGCCAGACACTGTGCCCACTGCTTTGAACACATGTCATTTAGTCCCCATGACAACTCTGGGAAGTAGAAACTTTTAGTTTGCCCGACTTTCCAGAAGAAAAAAACTGAAGTTCGGCATGTCATGCTATGGTCTGAAAATATCTCCCAAAATTCATGTATTGGAAACTTTATCCCCAATGCAACAGTGCTGGGAGGCAGGGCCTTGGAGGAGGCTATTAGGTCAGACTAAGGCTACTATAAAATGGCTTGGTGGAAGGAAGCTGGCCCTTTTTTGCCCTTCTGCCTTCCGCCATATGAATACAGTATTAATCCCCTCTGGAGGATGCAGCTTTCAAAGCTCCATTATGGAAGCAGAAACAGACCCTCACCAGACAAACCTGCCAATGCCTCCATCGTGGACTTCCCAGCCTCCAGAACTGTGAGAAATAAATTTCTGTTCTTTATAAATGACCCAGTCTGTGGAATTTTGCTATAGCAGCACAAATGGACTGAGACAGGAATTGTTACCAAAGCAATGGAGTGTTGCTATAACAAATACTTAAAAATGTGGAGACAGTTTTGGAAGCAGGTGATGGGGTACAGACTGGAACAATTTTGAAGCGAATCTAGAAAAAGCCTGCATTGCTATGAACAGGGTATTAAGTAAGGGTGATTCTGGTGAGGGCTCAGAAAACAAGAGCTGTAGAGAAAGTCTCAGTCTTCTTAGAAATTACTTAAGTGGTCATGACCAGAATGCTGTAGGAAAACGTATAGTGAAGGCCATTCTGATGAGGTCTCAGACAGAAATGAGAAGGAGATCCTTATGGATAGAAGGAAGCCAGGTGCTCTTCATCCAGAGAATGGAAGAATAACCAAAAGGCATTTTGGAGATCTTTGGGGGCTGCCACACCCATCACAGGCCCAGGGTACTAGGGCCTTGGGGACAGAAGGGTTTCAGAGGAAGGACCCAGGACACACATGGGGCCTCAGGACTCTGCTCAGGACCACCATGTGTCTCTGCTCCCCTCATTCAGGCACAGTGCTCCTTGACCACCCCAGCTATGGCTCAAGCAGACCCAGATGTGGCTTAGGCCACTGCACCAGAGAGCTCAAGCAGTGAGCCTTGGAGGCTGCAGAGTGCGGGAGCTGTGGAGGTAGATGTGAATGGATACATCAGAAAGCCTGTGGGCCCAGGTAGAGACCTGCTGCAGAGATAGAGCTGCCACAGAGAGCTCCCCACGAGGGCAATGCCTTGTGGTGCCATGGGAGTGAGGCTGCCCCCGAGACCCCAGAGCTGTAGAGCCACCAGCATGCAAAACTCCAGCCTGAGAGAGCCAAAGGCATGAGACTCCAATTCATGAGAACTGCAGCCAGCAAGGCTATGGGGGAAGGGTTGCTAGGGCCTTGGGTTCCCAACACCCGCCCCATGTGTCTGGAAGGCTGGACATGGAGTCAATGATTATTCTCAAGCCTTAAGATGTAATGCTGTTTGCCCTGTTGGGTTTTGGACTTACCTGGGACCTGTTACCCACCCCCCTTTTTCTTTTTTTTTTTTTCGATGGGGCTCGCTCTGTTGCCCAAACTGGAGTGCAGTGGCATGATCTCGGCTCACTGCAACCGCCATCTCCTGGGCTCAAGTGATTCTCCTGCCTCAGCCTCCTGAGTAGCTGGGATTACAGGTGCACACCACCATGCCCAGCTAATTTTTGTATTTTTAGTAGAGACTGGGATTCACCATGTTGGTCAGGCTGGTCTCGAACTCCTAACCTCGTGATCTGCCCGCCTTGGCCTCCTAAAGTGCTGGGATTACAGGTGCCCAGCCCCCTTTTTTCTTGTTTATTTATCCCTTTTGAAATGGAAATGTCTGACCTGCATCTCTCCCACCATTGTATTTTGGAAGCACACAAAATGTGTTTGATTTCACAGGCTCACAGCTGGAAGGGAATCTGCCTCAGGATGAGTGCCTTGAGTCTCTCCCATGTTTGATTAGATGAGACTTTGCACTTAGGCCTTACTTACCAACTTAAAGTAGATGGTAGAATGAGTTAAGACCTTTTGGGGCTACTGGGATGGGATGAATATATTTCATATGTGAGAAGAACACGAATTTGGGGGAGGCTAGGGGAGAAATGCTATGATTTGAAGGTGCCCCTCCAAAATCCAGGTGTTGCCGATGTAATAGCATTAAAAGGTGGGACCTTTAAGTGGTGACTAGGCCGTGAGGGCTCCTCCCTCAAGAATGGGATTAGGGGCCCTTATAGAGGGTTTGATGGAAGACCCCCCATCCTGTGAGGACACAGCAAGGTCTTCACAGATGCCAGAGCCTTGATCTGGGATTTCCAAGCCTCCAGAGCTACAAGAAACTCAATTTCAGTTCTTCATAAATTACCCAATCCGTGGTATTCTGTGACAGCAACACAAAATGAACTGAGGCAAGTCGGTTGCTGAAGTCAGATCCCCTTGTAATCAGTGTGGTCAGAACTTAGCCCAGGCCTCTCAGCCTCTCTGCTGTTTGCTTCCTACAAGGCCCCTCTGCTGAGTGCTCACCCATCTTCTGTGCACACCTCCAGTATCGGGGAACTCATTACCCCTCCCCAGCGCTGCCCACCCATCCCAACTTTGGACACACTTCTTTCTCGGGACATCCACCCATTGGCTCCCACATCTGCCCTAGGAATCTTCACCCAGGACCTCTATAGAGAGAGGGAGCAGCTACCCAAGGTAAGGCAACGACTACACAGAAGAGGACCGTGGGATGAGGAAAGCCCCAGATGCAGCCCATCCTGGTGAAAGATAAGGAAGTTTATCCAGAGGGAGGGAAGCCACTGGAGACATGGGGAGCAGGCCCCCGGTAAGACAAATGAGAACAAAGCCCAGAATGTGGGAAGGCAGCGGGGCCAGGCGGGGCTGGGCGAGCAGGATGCACAGCACAGGCATGTGATTCTCCAGCAGTCAGAGCTAGGGCCCTAATGAGACTGGAATCCTAAGTGCTGTGCCTTGAATTTCTTGGCTTTTCTCCCTAGAAATTTATTCTGCAAAATGTGCCTTGTGCCATCCATCCTCCCAGATGGCTTTTTAAGTGAAGCTGTTTGTTAAGTGGGAGAAGAACGGGGACAGGGTGGGAAGGGGAGGAGCAGGTGGAGCCACTGCAGCCCCGCCCCCTGCCCTCAACCCTGGAAGGAGAGGAAGTAGGAACAGCAAGTGGGAGGAAAGTGGGAGGGTGGGCAGGGGGAGCCCCTGTGGTCCCACAGACTGTGGCCTCCCAGGACGGAACCCTGTGGCACAACTAAGTCCACATAACCGGAGTCCCAGTGACAGTCTCTTAACAGTGACTGGGCCCCAGTGTGAGCACTGGGTGAGCACTTTGGAGTCGCCGGCCCCATACATCCTCCCACATCCCCATGCAGCAGGCACCATCTCATCAGTCCCCAGAAGAGAAGCTCAGAGAGGTGCAGCCACTTGCCCAAGGTCACACAGCTGGTGAGAGGCTGACTGGGGATTGAAGCCCTGGCTCTTAACCAAGATGTCACTGTTGCTCAGGTTGTCAGCTGGAAGAACCTTAGTGATCAGCCCCACTGAGGCATGCAGGCCCCAGGTCATCAGTTTCTCTCTCTGTACAGTGGGCTGGTTGGTGTAGCTCAGTGGTCCCCAAGCCTGACTCTGCATCAGAATCTCCTGGGGACTTTTCGGCAATACTGAGGCCTGGGCCCCGCCTCTCAGTATCTAGAATTTTTAAGTCCCACCCCATCCCAGGACAGTCTCTCAACCCACTTGCACAGGGTCACACTGAAGTTTGGAGGGTCTAGAACCCATACTCTACTCACTGGTGAATTCTCAAGGTGAGTGTTTGCAGAGCTGATTGCAGTAGAGGGATGGGGAGGTAGAACTGTCCATGCTGCATATCTGCAGCTGTCCGGAGGGAGGACGGTGATGGATTCCATTTCCACCTCTGAATCTCGAGGTCTCTTTTGCCCCCTCCTTCCTCTGTGCAACCTCCACCCCCACTCCTCCCTCCAAGCCTGGCTTGGAGGGGCCGTGATGGATCACCATGGTGCCTGGCCACCCCAGCCTGGGGTGCACAGCAGCAATTCAGTGAATAATTATGGAAGGGAAGAAAACAGGGCCCGGGGAGAGGCGTGGTGCCAGGACAGGGGTGGCGCAGTAGAAATGACAAACAGGCTTCCCTGTGGCACTTTTCCAGGCTGGCATTATGTTTTCCCAACTAGCAAATGCAAGGCATGCACACACACACACACACACACACACACACATACACACATCCCTTTGTTGCCTTTTCTTCCCTACTGACAAGGTGGATGTTTCAGCTTCCTTCTCAATCCCTGAGTGAAGGGAAGGGAGACGCAGGGTTGGCTTGATGATTTGGTGGTGGAGATGAGGCGTCTCACCTTATACCTGGGGGTTTTGTGTTCTCGGCTCCTCCAAGAGGCCACAGGCACTGCCCCTGAGGTCTGTGAGCGCAGTGTCCTCATCTTAGCCAGGCATCCTCACACCCCTCACAAAGCCTGAGCCCTTGCAGGTCACAGAAAGCCCTGACACTGCCTTGCTAGGAGGCTCAGTGAACAGAAGAAGTTTCATTTCGTGAACCCACAGGGACTCCAACCCGGACCTCTGAGGAGCAAAGGTCCTATCCATTGAGGCTCCCAGTCCCCAGGGGGGATGGGCCTCTGCAACTGTCCCCTGCAACTGTCCCCTGGTCCCTCTCACACTGGGGCCTCCCTGGCCAGGATTATGTACCTGAACAGAGGTCCAAGCACAGGAGCATGTTCTGGAACCCACCCCTGATATCCTGCAAAAAACCAGGGAGGGCAGCAGACAGGAGAGGGAGTGAGGGCTTCCATCAAACCCACTTCTCTGATACTAACCCCGATTCGGCCTCTGTTGGTGAGTGTGGACAGGCAGGTGATTTGGAGAAAACTGAACATATGGGAGTGGATGAGAATCCAGCATCTCCGTGGACATCTGCTGCCACCGTTGACAATGACAGTGATGATCATCCGTCCCTTGTGTGCCAGGCATGGTGCCAGCCCTGCATTCTTTATCCCCTGGAATCCTCACAACCATCTCCTGAATAAGGTCCCTCCTCAGAGGAGGAGACCCAGACTCTGATAGAAGCCATCGCCTGCCTGTCCCTAGTCTGGGCCCCTGGTGGCTCTGGTGTCACCTGAAACCCCCAGCTTTTCCCGCTGACACCACCTCATCTGTAAGATGTAAAATCTGCCCACATTCTGAGGACAGCATGCAGTGGAGACAGTCCCTTTTAGAGGAAGTCTGCGGAGGCGAGTGTCAGAGACGATGGAGTACCGTGTCCTCCGAGACCAATATTGTCAGAGGCGCCCATTAGGGAACAAATGAGCTGTGTGCTGGCTCAGGATGCACGGAGGAAATCGCTGCAAGGACAAGAGAGTGAAGGGAGAATCCATCAGCCCGGGACAGGGTGGGGCTGCCCGCGGTCTCACAGCCTGGCTGGGGACCAGCTTATAGGGGTGATGGGTGAGAAGTGAGGGGTGGGGAACACAGGGCTTTCACAGGAGCTCTTCCTAAGACACGAGCTGCTGGGATCAGAAGTTTCTCCTGGCTTAAATTTGTCCCATGAAATCCAATTCCACAAATGTTTTATATAGTGGGTATCTGCGTCTGGGGCTATGCTAAATCCTCCATATATACCTTTAATTATCTACTCTTCAGGGCAACCTATAGAAGTAGTCATTATTACTCTAATTTTCCAGAATGGGAAATTGAGGCACAGAGAGGTAAAGATGCCTAAGTTTACACAGTTGCTAGGTCCTGGAGCCAAGATTCACACCCAGGTTGCCTGGCTTCAGAGTCTGGGTCTTTCACCACCTTGACAAACCATGCCTGCATGAAGCGCAGTGAAGAGAGAGAAAGCAAGTCACTCTAAGTGAAGGAGAGCTTGAGCAAAAGATGGAAGCAAGAGAATTCTACAGCCAACCTGTCTTTTTCAAAGAGCACGTGACATTTCAGGTTTCAGCAAAGATTTCTTGAACACCTACTGTGCGTCAGGCAGTGTTCTGGGCACTGGATTGGCTGCAGGGAGGGAGACCAGATGGGAGGCTACTGTGGCAAGTGGGTAGAGGGAGACCTGGAGGAGGAGAGAGCCATGCCTGTGGCACACAGCAGTTGAGGCAGAGATGGAACCAGCTCCTCTGACTCCCTACTTGGGGCTGCTTCATCCCAGGCTGGTTCTTGTCCTTGTCAAGCAGCTTCCTGGAAGCTCCAGAATTTCATTTGATTATCAAGTTGCTGGGAAATAGGAGCCACAGGCCAGGGCTCCGTGTGCTAATGACACCATGAAATATCATCTGGGACCAATCAAATCAGTAAAACAAAAAAAAGCAAATAAAACATTAATACATAATGCTAGTGAATGTGTGGTGAAATAGACATTCTCAGGCAGTGCTGCTGAGGGGAGTGTCAAGCAAATCATTCAAGAAAGTGATTAAGTAATAAAGACCATGAGGCTTCAACATATTTATATCCTTTGATGCACTGATTGCACTTTTAAGAATCTGTCTTGAAGAAGGGATCAGGGATTCAGGCAAAGATAATGCCCCAAGATGTTTATCCAAGTCTGATGATGTATAAGAATGAAATATTGTAGCCCCTAAGCATCTAAGCTAAAAGATGGTGATACCAAATTTAATGCATCCAAATGTTGGTCTGTTATAAAGTTATTAACATGATGCTTTTGAGAAATTTCTAAGGATTGGAAAAATGTTCCCAATATAATAATACATAAGAGAAAAAGGCCAGGGGTGGTGGCTTACACCTGTAATCCCAGCACTTTGGGTGGCCAAAGTGGGCAAATTGCTTGAGCTCAGGAGTTCAAGACCAGTGAAACACATGGTGAAACCTCATCTATACCAAATACCAAAAAAAAATACAAAAAATTAGCTGGGTGTGCCAGCTACTCGGGTGGCTAAGATGGAGGGATCACCTGAGCCCAGGAGGTCGAGGCTGCAGTGAGCTGTGATCATGCCACTACACTCCAGAGTGAGACCCTCTCTCAGAAATAAAAAAAAGGAGAAGAAAAAACTGAATAAAAGCATGATCTCAATTACATAAAATTTGATACATGCATAGTGAAAGATTAGGGGGTGATGACGATAACAAAAAAATAATAATAATGAGGCTACTATTTACTGAGCACTTGCTATGTGCCTGGCACTGCACTAAATGCTTTATGTATATTAGTTCACTTAATATTCACAACAACCCCATGTAGAGATATTACTATCTCCATTTTACAGATGAGGAAAGAGAGGCACAGAGAGGTTAAGTGACATGTCCCATGCCACAAAGCTAAGAGGCTGAGCCAGGATTTGAACCCAGGTCCGGCAAACTCCAAAATCTTTGCATTATCACTATAACTCACTCCATTTGCCAAGATGGGGAAACCAAGGCAATGTATGTGATGCTGAAGGTTGGCAAAGCCAGAGCACCAAGGGTGTTGTGATCCATACTGAGACGTTACACTTCATGGCCCTGAACAGAAAACCCTGGCTGATATAGGTTGGATCTGTCTGTCCTCCCACATTTCATGTTCAATTGTAATCTCCAGTGTTGGAGGTGGGGCCTGGTGGGAGGTGACTGGATGGTGCGTATGGAGTTCTCATGAATGGTTTAGCACCATCTGCTTCCTGCTGCCCTCAAGACAGTAAGTTCTCGGGAGATCAGGTCATTTAAAAGTGTGTGGCACCTCCTCTTTTGCTCTCTTGCTCCTGCTCTGGCCATGTGACATGCCTGCTTCCCCTTCACCTTCCATCATGATTGTAAGTTTCCTGAGGCTTCCCCAGAAGCCGAGCAGATGCCGTCATGCTTCCCGGACAGCCTGTGGAATCTTGAGCCAATTATAAATTACCTGGACTCTGGTATTTCCTTATAGCGATGCAAGAACAGATTAACACACTGGCCATGCCCTTGAGGATCTCAGACCAGGACAATGACCACTCACTGGGATGCCCTGTTAGCAGGGGGAGGGGATGAGCATAGGGGCTGCTTTCCATCCCCCACTTCCTACCCTGCACTTTGTGCCCCAGCAACACTAACCAGCTTGTCAATTCCTACACTGCTGATACAGTCTCTTCCCTCCACACCTTCGCTCATGCTGTGTCCACTGCCTAAAATGCCCTCTCCCCTGCCTTGCCTGGCTACCTGGCAAACTCCTCTGCATTCGTCAGCATCCCAGGCAAAATGCCATCTCTCTGGGAAGCCTGCCTTCTTGCTCCAAGGTGGAGTTAGCATCTTATGCAGTCCTTGGAATGGTCCTTATCACCGGTGTTGCTGTCATCTGTGTGTCTGCTCCTCCACTAGAACGTGAACACTGTGGGACAGGCACTGCGTCTTATGCCAGCAAGACCAGGCATGGTCTAGGAGGGGCCAGAGCATGGGCACTAAGGGTGGAAGCTCCAGAGTCCAGCTCCAGCATCGCCACTTACTAAAGCATGATGTGGCAGGTGACTTTATCCTTCTGTATCTCAGTTTCATCATGTTTCAAGTGGGGGTCACACTGACATCACCTCATAGGGCCTGCGAGGGTGAAAGGAGTGAATACCTGCAGTGTTAGGTGGTGCCTGGTGTGTAGACGGCACTAAATAAGCATTTGCTCTTGTCTCTGTCTCTGACTCTTCCTGCCTACACGGAGCCTGATGCGGAAACTGTAAATGTTTTCTGAATGACTAAGTGACTGTCTTGGCCTGGCTTTGACAACCATTAAAATTCCCTATCCTCAAGAGCTCCTTGCTCAGGGTCTCTTCCGTCTTTCCCAACAAGCTGATCTGTACCCTCACCCCTGCCATCCTGCTCTGTGGTCCCAGAGGCCCTGTGCAGGCAGGCCCTCTGGCTTCAGGGTGGGCTTGGCCACTGGGGCCACTAGCAGGAGATGAGAGAACAGGCGTTCATCTCCCTGCACCTCCCCTGCTGTGTCTCCGGATTGGCTGCATTCCTCCCCCAAAGGCCACAGCCCTTCTCGGCGGAGCTCCACATGCAGCTCTCTAGCTGGCTCTGACTGCCCCTCCTCAGACCTTGGCACTGAAGGACTCCCTGCTGCTGTTAATCCTGGGGTCCTGCACCGTCCCTCGTCATCAGTGCCTTTGAGAGTTACTGCAGCCCTGTGTGAGGGAGCCCTGGCTCCTGCGGGGCCCTGCCCCTCACTGCACTGCCCACTGACCTTACTTTAACATGGCCTCTGCCAAGAGAGCCGGCCCCTTGTCTCTCCAGCCACCCACACCCTCCCTGGTTCAATGTCCTCCTAGAACCTCTGCAGACTCACCTCCTCTGACCCCAGGGCCCTCCGGAGTCCCATGGCTGGAAGCATCTCTCATCTAGACCTGCACGGCCTCTCGTGTTTGAGTTGTTAACGTGAGGCAGAGCTGACGTACTTGGGGCCAAAAGCCCTGAGTTCAAATCCCACCTCTGCTCCACACCAGCTGGGTGAGCGTGGCAAGTCATCTTGCCTCTCTGAGCTTTGAGTTTCTCACCAGTGAAGTAGCCATGACCATCAGGACCCTATGTGGCCAGTGGAGGCTGCGAGGCAGTGACAAAGGCAAAGCACTCTGTGCACGGAAGCGGCTCAGTAGACGGCAGGGACCACATTGCTGTGGAAGTGACAATGATTTTTGTACGTTCACCTCCTTCCCATGCCGCAAGCTCCTAAGGGCAGGGACCAGGCCTGATTCAACGCCACACCCTCAGTGCCTAGCTCAGGGCGTGCCAGATGGTGGGGGCTCAAGAAAGATGCTCACCATGCAGCCAATTTATGCCACCAAATGAGTATTAATAAGCACTGTTCTAGATGCTGGGACTGCAGCAATAAGCAACACAGACACAACACAAATTCCTGACCCTGAGGATCTGGACAGCTCCAGGGACAGAGCCTGGAGTTGAGTTGCCTGCAGAGCCGTGAGAATCCGAGAATGTCAGAGCAGTGAGGGACTTGGGAGATGCAGCGGGGCTCTTGCTGTGCCACCTCCTAGCCCCTCAGGCCATGCCTGAGCTCACCTGAAGCTGCAGTGGACAGTTCCCAAGAACCTCCCAGCTTCCTGCTGCAGGTGCCACGCTCTGGATGTCTCCAGCCCCAGAGGAGCTTGCACAGCCCATGAACAGGGCCAACTAGAGGTGCAGGGTATTTCAGGCACACACAGGTAGACCTCAACCATAAGGGGCGGGAGGCAGTCGGGGCATGCAGCATGTGGTTTCTACAAGGGGCCCCAGCAGAAGGGAGTCAGTTGCCCAAAGAAATATCAGCTCCCCGATGCCGCCTTTCTGACCCTTCTCTCCCTCCAGCTCTTTCTCTCTCTACTCCCTTCTGTATGCTTCCTGAGGTTACCTCCCAAATACACCACCAGCAACTCAAAACCTTGCTTCAGGGACTGTTTGGGGAGAGCCCGCCTAAGACAGAGGCCCTCTAAGTCCAGCTGCATCATTGTGCCGCTGAGGCCAGGGACTCATTTGATTCTCACAGCAGGCTGAGCCAGAGCAGCCCCTCCCAAAGGGCAGAGTCCGCAAAGCCAGCCTGGGCTCTGCCTGCCCTTCCTTCAGCCACAAGCTGAGCATTTCAAAATTCTTTGGTTTTCCATTCAAAAGATGCAGAGAACAGATGATGCAGTTAAGTTTACACAAACGTGTTCAGGTGTGAGTGTTCTGGTCCACCCTGTATCCTTAAACGGAGCCTGTGTTTACTTCCAAATGAGGTGTCTTCTCAGCAGAGCCATCTGGGCTGCTGTGCAGCTCTGTGCACCTTGACGAAGATGGTCACTTCCTCCTCATCCTGCCTTCCTTTGCACGGAGTCTGGGCCATCTCACCCACATTAGGTCTTGGAAGGATGTCTCAAGTCTCCATCAGGTCCCACCCCCTGGGTCTAGGAGCAGAGATGCGACTTCCTTTGTCCTAAAGGGTCCATGCAGGGTCAGGGAGGTGTGGTGGCCTCCTAGGGGACAGAGTGAGGCTGGGGCAGAGGAGTCCATCTCAGGCTCCTCCCACTTCCCGTCTCACTGCTCTTCCCGTCCAGCTGCACATTCAGGCCAGAAAAGTCTCTGAGCCTAAAGAGGGAATGGAGATCCTCTCATCAAAAGGAGAAGCCTGGCATATTTTAGTGCCCACTCTGTGCTGGCTCCAAGCTTGGCCCTCAATTTACATCACTGCATTCAACCTACAACAGCCTTGCAGGGGTATCATGTTCCAGTTTCATAGAAGAGGAAACCAAGGGTCAGAGAAGAGCAGTAGCCTCACTGAGCCTACACAGCAGGCAGGTTAGAGCCTTGGCATCCTCCAGCTTAAGGGACAGGTGTTCTTCCCACCCTGTGTGTGTGGGACGGATAAATGAGAGGAGAAAATTGGCCTTTCCTCAAATAAATGGAAACATTCTTTTCAACGCTTCCCTGTGCCTGAGGAACATTTTAAACACTGCACAGTCTCAATCATTCGTCTCACCCCCCAACCTTCCATCCACTCAGCTACAACCATTGCCCAGTGGTTCCCACACTGGGCCTGGGCCACATCTGGGGCCTCTACGTGCAGCTCAGCCCTTATTCCAAGAGCCCCTGAAAGGCACTCCCTTCTCTTCTCAAGAAAAACACCACGGGACCCTTACCTGCCCCTCCCCTGACCTGGCTTCTAGCCAGCACCCAGTCCTCTCGACCAACTCACCTAATGTCAGCTTCCTCTGGCCATGTGGGGCCCTGAACTGAACACAGTCAGGCTTTTATTAAGCACCTACTGTGTGCCCAGCATCTGTCCTCAAGTTCCCTACTCCTGGGGGGAGCATCCTCTCCTTATTCCTGATGTGGCCCCAAGTCTCAGGGTCTGACCAGCCCAGAAAGGTCAAACAAGGCCTTGCTCTTCCTCAAATGCACCATGCACACTCCGGCCTCAGGGCCTACGCCCTTGCTGTTCCCTCTGTCTGGAAGGCATTTTGCTTTTTGTAATGGCTCACTCCTTTACTCACTCAGATCCTTGCTCAGAAGTCTCCTCTTTAGAAGAGTCCATGATGATGGGGGGGTCTGACCTGGCCTGGGGGGTCAAGGAGGGCTTTGGAGGAGGTGGCCATGGGATGCGATCAGAAGGGTGGACAGGACTTAGCAGAGAAGGGTGGACAGGACTTAGCAGAGAAGGGTGGACAGGACTTGGGGGATGGTCAAAGGTCTGGGCAAGGTGATCATTAAATTCCCCCAAATCCTAAAATGCTGTGATTCTGACTTGAAATTGTATGATGTTAAGATTCTATTAAATGCAGTTCTGAGTTCCAGAACTACAGACCTGTAGGGCAGGTGAGTTCTTAGGGGCTGGGATTTGCACGTGTGAGCCTTCACTCCTGGAAGAAGGGCTGCCAGCGCTTCCTTTGGCTGAGAAGGTTTTCCCTCTTCCTGCCCACCTCCCTCAGTGCTTTGTGAATGTGGCTCTTTGTGGCTTAGAGAATGTAAATTTATTCTGCATTTCCGGTATCACACTCTCATCTACATGTTCCAGTTTCCGGAATAAATATCAGGAGATGAATCTTTAGAGATTTTCTGTGTGTACAAAGGCTAACCCCCTGCAGCAGGGGCACATCCAGACATGGATTTTAGTGCAGGCACTATTCCTGCACTCACTACAAGGCGGGGCAGGTGAATGGGCCTCAGTGAGCCCAGAGGAGGGATGAGGCCCCTGTTTCCTGCTAGAAGGACTGAGGAGGGGCTTTGTGTGTAGAGCTGAGGGGCTGAGGCAGAGGGAGGGAAGGGAGAGCACCCCTAGAAAGTCTGGGCTGGCCGTATGAATGGGTGGGGTCATTCTCTGCTGAGCAGCTCGGGGTCTCTGTGTGAACCACTGTGTCTCAGTCAGGGGAGGCTGGCGCTATGGGCACCTACCCGGGACGGTGGGAGGGAAAAGAGCAGCCTCACCAGGAGTCAGACACTGCTCTGGGAACTAGGTGGGCTCCAAAGTCAAACAGATGGGGATAGATCTTGGCTCCCCAGCTCACCAGTTCAGCCATAAAACTTTGAAGAAGCCATTTCACCTCCCTGGGACTCAGTTTCTTCAACGTGACCCATGGTCCTATCCACCCATCTGCCTAGTGGTTCCAAAGGTTGGAGGAAAACACCAGGCATCAGGCATATCATGAGCACCAATCCCAGCAACGGCCCTCATGACACCTACTGAGAGCCGGGCACTGCTGGAAACACTGCACCTGGGTGTTATCCTCACCCTAGCCCAGTGAGGGGGGTGCTGCCATTATCCCCACCCACAAATGAGGAAACTGAGGCACAGAGAGGTTAAATAAGTACCCTAATATCACATAGGTTTAAAATGGCGGAGGCTGGGCATGGTTGCTCACACTTGTAATTCTAGCACTTTGGGAGGCTGTGGTACAAGGTTAGCTTGAGGCCAGGAGTTCAAGATCAACCTGGACAATATAGCAAGACCCCACCTTTCCAAAAAATAAAAAATTAGCCAATCATAGTGGTGTGCATTCGTAGTCCCCATTGCTCAGGAGGCTGAGGTGGGAGGACCACTTGAGCTGGGGAGGTAGAGGCTGCCATGAGCTGTGATCACACCACTGCACTCCAGCCTGGGCAATAGAGTGAGACTCTGTCCCAAAACAGAAAAATGGAGGCAGGATTTGCAATCAAGCAGGTGACTCTAAAATAAGTGAACTTATATATTATATTTAAATTTTTCCAACAACTCTCTGCGGGGATTGCCCAGGTGTTGACACTTTCAGTACTGGCTCCCTCCATCCGGCCCTCATTCTCTTTTCTCTGATGCTCTGGTTATTTCCGGGCAACAGTGACATTCAGTCCCTGCCTCCAGGCCTTTGTTCATGCCGTGCTTTCTCTCTGGAACACCCTTGCCCCTGCCTGTCCATCCAGGAAACTCCTACTCACGCTTCAAGACCCAGGCCAGGCATCATGTTCTCCATGGGCAGCCCCCACCCCACCTGTCCCTGCATCTGGCACATCCTCCATCATAGCACTTTGCAGGGGGGTCGGGCAGGGGAGAAGGGACAGGATTCCGTCCTCGGACCTGCCTCCTCTCTCTGTTCACCCACCCCTTCCTTCCACCAACATTCACTGAGTTTGGCTTCTGTCCGAAGGCTCACATTCAGGGAGGAATGACCAGCCTCATGAAATTGGCATTACTGTCCCCTTTTTAGAAAATCTCCCACTCAGGTTTTGTAATTCCTGAGACCACAGGCCCCACTAGAAGGGAGCAGTCTGGGAACTCTGATCCCAGCAACCCAGGAACTCTGACCCCACTCCAGGCTGCCAAGGTCACCTTGGGGAGTTAATGGGGGAGCTCAGAGGCTGTAAGAGTGCCCCCTCCCCTCATCCACATCAGCTCCTCCTTCCTGCAGCTGTGCGTGCAGGAAACGCTCCTCCTCTGTGTCGCACACTATAACACCATTGCCATTCAATCAGCAGTCGCGTTAATTAAATATGAATTGATTGTAAGAGCAGTGCTTGAGATGTAGAAGTGATACACTTAGGCACCAGATAATTAACTCAAAACAACAGGCAATAAGCATGGAGCCCGGTAAATACAACAACCTGGCAGACATCATTTAGATTCTTTTTACCCCTTGACTTTGAGGTTCAGTAGTAGCTGCCAAGTTCTTATTGATTAGCAATCCGTTGAAAATTTATGGCAAGATGAAATTAACTGGCCACAGTGAGGAGTGAGTTTGACCCAGGCCAAGGTCCTGTGGCCTGGCTGAGTTGAGATTGGAAAGCAATGTGAAGGAAGCACCACCATGCAGACACCCTCGGGAGGCATCAACCCTCAAATGGCTTTTGTGGGGTCTCCATCCCTGCAGCTGGGAAGATGGCTGTGACCCACCAGCCCCAGGGGCAAATCTGACTGGAAACCTGCCACAGCCCCTTACTCTCCAGACATTTGAGGCCCTTCATGATGCACTTGGCCTCTCCCTATCCCCATCTTCCTCCATGCACCCACACTGTCTCAGCCTGGCCAGGGCTGGGCACACTCAAAGTAAACCCCTGGCCTATTTGCAGACCTGCTAGTCCCCAGACTCTCCACCAGGCCCAGGGAAAACGAGCCCCAGGGCCTGGAACCAACACATTAGTCAAGTGAGTTGCTAAAGTCTCACAGGGCATAACTTTGGGTCATTTCTGGTGCCCTTTCTTCTATCCCCAGCATGGATGGAGCCCAGATGGTGTTTGTCTCCTGGCTCCCATGATGTCTCACCTCCAGGGCCAGGTACCTCTGAGACCACAAAGACAAAGGCCTATATACACAGCTATTACAAGTTACTCAGAAACTGGAGTCAGCCTGGGAAGTCACTTGGAACCTCTTAGGCCTAAAAACTGCTGCTTTCCCTTCTCTTCCCACATATAATCCTTCATTGTCCACATAGATATGGTCAATACATTCCTGCAAACCCCATGACACCAAGTGACGGCATGTCTGGATGCCAGAGGTAGAGGCACCGGAATGCCATTGGAAGGGCTCTGGCACGGAAGTCAGAACTGGGAGTCAGTCCCAGCTCCACCACAGGGCTTGGGCAAGCCCCTTCTTCTCTTTGGGTCTTGGCATTTTCACAAGTGAATGAAAAGCATTTAACCAGATATCTCAGGTCTTTAAAACTCTATGAGTCTCTGAGGCAGTAATAGATAATAATAATAATAGTTAATGATAGTGTTGTTGTTAATACTGACAGTACTATGATGATGATGATGATGGAGAGGATGCTGATGGGAAAGATGATGATGATGGAAAAGATGAGGAGGATGGTGATGATGAACAGGATAATGATGACGATAATGATGGAGAGGATGATGATGATGATGGTGGTGATGGAGAGAATGATGACAAGGATGGGGATAATGGTGATGATGATGGTGGAGAAGATGATGATAAAGAGGATGATGATGGAGAGAATGATGATGAAGGAGAGAATGATGATGAACATGATGATGGAGATAATGATGATGGAAAGGATGATGATGGAGGTGATGATGACAGAGAGGATGATGACGATGATGATGGAAAAAATGATGATGATGAAGAAGATACTGATTATGGGGAAGATTATGATGATGGAGAGGATTATGATGGAGAAAATGATGTGATGGAGAGGATGATGATGATGATGGAGAAGATGACGATGAAGAAGAAGATAATGATTACGGGGAAGATTATGATGAAGAAGATTATGATGATGGAGAGGATGATGATGAAGAAGATAATGATTATGGGGAAGATTATGATGATGGAGAGGATTATGATGATGGAGAAGATGATGATGATGAAGAAGATAATGATTATAAAGATTATGATGATGGAGAAGATGATGATGGAGAAAATGAAGATGATGAGAGGATGATGACACCAAGTGATGGTGGAGCATATACCTTGCTTGGTGCTGCATTGGGTGCCTCACACACACCATCTCTCACAGCACAATAACTTATGCAAAAGAAGTTTTCTTGGTTTTATCTTCCGTATGAGAAAACTGAGGCACAGCAATATCAAGTGTCCTGGAAGGTCACACCATTTCAACCATGAAGGCAATAGAGCTCCAGAGGCCGCATGCCTCCTTCATCCTGGGCTTGGAACTATCCTGACGCATTAAGAACCCCCAGCCCCTCAGTCCTCCTCCTCTACTTAAGTTGGGCAGAAAGTGAAAAGCTCACCATCAGTTTTCCTGAAACTCATCTTTTGCTTTGCAATTTGGCCTGCTAGCTGCTTGAGGCCCATTTTTCTCTTGGCCTCAGATGCCTTTTATGTCATATCCATTTTCACTCTATCACATTTAGTTAAACATCCAAACTATGGATTCAGATGGGTAACTCCTGATCCTGGGAGGCTCTCTTGGTACCTTCCTACAACTGCAGTTTGATGTCTGGGGTGGCCAGAACTGCAACAGGACCTGAGTCCATGTAGGGTTGGGCAACAGCCAGGAAAACCACACTGTCACTCCCTGAAGACCCCCAGCTCATAGATACTGAGGGCAGAAGAGGGCTGGGTGGACCCTGACTCCAGGCTGAGACAAGAGAAGTTCAGACACCAGCCCTGGTCACTCAGCACAAAACCTCAGAGATGGGATGAGGAATCTGCTCCTCCAACTCCATGACCAGCCCTGTCCCCCAATAGGCACTGAGTGTTTGGGGAGGTGTCTGATCATGTCTATGTTCTCTCTGCCTGAGCCTAGCCTCATGCAGCCTCCTCTGATCTGCAGCCAGCATATCCTCTGCTCCCAAGACTGTGCCCAGCACAGCAGGGTGCTTAGTAAATATCCATATTTTAATACTATAGTCACCACGTTGTACAATAGATCTCTTGAACTTATTCCCCTTATATAACCGAAATTTTACATCCTTTGACCAACATCTCACCAACCCCCATACACATATTTTGTTTGTTTGTTATAGAGTTTCACTCTTTTCTCTAGGCTGGAGAAAAGCAGCACGATCTTGGCTCACTGCAACTTCTGCTCCCCGGGTTCAAGCCATTTTCCTGCCTCAGCCTCCAGAGTAGCTGGGATTACAGGCATGCACCACCACGCCTGGCTAATTTGGTATTTTTAGTAGAGACAGGGTTTCGCCATGTTAGCCAGGCTGGTCTCAAACTTCTGACTTCAGATGATCTACCTACCTCAGCCTCCCAAAGTGCTAAGATTTTAAGAATAATTAAGAATGAACAAGTCCTTCAATTAAAATGAAATTAATGTAATTGTCCTTTCAAAGATGACCCCCTGTCCTCTAAACAGGCAGCCCCAGATTCATAGCTGCCTGCTCTGGCATTTTCCCTTGGAGGTCTAAAACCCATCTTCAGCTTTCTTGTTTAAAACAGGGCTATTTCCTCCCTTGAACTGACTCTTCTCCCACCTTACCCAGCCCAGGGCACAGCTTCACCCCACCCCACACTGACCACAAGCCCTGGAGTCCCCTTGATCACTCCTGTCCTCTGCCCTCTGCCCTCTGCATCTGATCCATCCTGCAGCTCTTTGAGATACTCCTTCCAAAATGCATCCCACTCCGGTCATGTCCCTTCATCTCTGCCCACTGCCCAGTCCAGGCCTCTCATCTGGCCTGCCCACAGCTACAGCCTCCCTGACATCCCCTGCCCCCATCCCTGCCTGGTTCACAGGTGGAATCATGTTGCTCCTCTGCTTAAAAGTCAGCCATTGCCTCCGGCTAAACTTGGAATAAAACCCAAGCTTCTCACCCAGCCCTCACGGCCATGGGATCTGGCCTCACCTGCCTCTCAATCATTTGGCCCTACAGTTCCCTCTCCCAGGAGCTCCCTCCCCTGGCTTTTCTCATGCTGGTTCCTTCTCAGCCTCAGCTGTCAATTTCAACATTGTCTCCTCCAAATCATCTTCCCTGAGCACTGTGCTAAGGTCACCCTTCCCCCTGCACAGGGGTGTCCCTTCCCACCCTCGCTTCACCCTTGTCCCCTCTACTCTGTGCTTCTGGGTGGCAGCCCTTATCGGCTACATCAAGGGGCTCCTCATCCTCTGGCTTCAAGGTGAGTTTGGTTAACAGGGAGCCCCAGCAGGAGATCAAGGAAGGAGGAGGAGAGGAAGGTTGGGGTGTTTATCCCCTGACAAGGTCCTGCCCTGGGAAGAGCTAAGGCTAGCTTTCCTCAGACTGCAGCTTTCAGCTCCTGTTATCATGTGGTCCCTCCCCACCCAGCCCCCTGGCAGGGCTCCTCCACCCAGCTTTCTCCATCTCCGGGTTCCACTCATTGCTCCTCCCCGCACCCTCGCAAACCCAAGGGTGGTAATGGAGCCCTCTGTTGCCGGATGCCAGGAAACAGCACCATCTCCAGGATTTCCTTATGCCCTGCCCATGCCTTCGCCTTCTTGGTCTCTTTTTTACACTCTCCAAAAATTGCCTGACTTGACTGTGCCATCTCATCTGTCCCTTGCCACATCCCCACTGACACACTGCCCACCCTCCTCACTTCCGTCTCCTCACCCTGTCCAATTCCCCCACGGAACTTCTCACTTCCCAGCATGATTGCTTGTGTACTATCTGCATCCCCCACCAGAACACAAGCTCCATCTGAGACGGGGATTCATTGCATCATATGTCAGCGGAATAGAGAAAACACATGCTCACACCTCCTAACTCTGCTCAAACTCGCAGGGAAGCCCAGCCAATTCTGTGAAAGTTCATGGTGAAATCACATTGACTTTTAAATGCCTGCACACGGCATTTCCCAAACTGGGATCAGGCAACACTCATTTAGGAGGTGTTGGCAAGCAGTTGGCAACCTGATACCGACAGACCATATCTGCCAGGTTGTCCTCATTTCACCGAGCGCCTCTGACAATTTCATCTCCCGCTATCATGACCTCAAGTCTGTCCACTGGCCCCAGTCCAGACTGGGAAAGCCCTCATGCGCCAGCCCCTCTGAAGCCCAGGGAGTTCCAGCATGAGGCCTTTGCTCCATGGGCTTCATTTCACTGCTGTCTCCACACCCCTCAAAACCACGTGGGCCAAGGCAGAGCCAAGACTACATCAGCCATGGGTCAGGAGATCAAATCCTGGTCTCTGTTCTGTCACCAACTTACTATGTGACTTTGAGCAGGTTGAATTCCCACCCTGTACCTCGGTTTCCCCAAATTCTCCTGCTGTTCCTGCTGCCTGGAATTACCTTCCCAGTGAGCAGGTTGGATCATACATTCTCCTAGCACGTCCCTGCACTGGTGGTGAGACATTGCTCAGAGAGATTAAACTGGCATAGTTCCTGTTGATGGTCATCTTTCTTTAGAAGGTGAGAAAGGAGAAAAAAATGTCAGCTTGGCTATGACACATAACCACTATGATCAGACAGCAAAAGACCCAAGCTCGTGCTGGTCTCTGCTGGCCTGACTGCCAGCATGATTTAGTTCCCAGGGTAAGTAAACTCCTCCTTTCTGGATGAGATGAAGCCTTGAGACAATAAAAATGTGCCCCTCCTCCAATATGTAGGTGATAGTACCAGCTAAGCCAGAGAGGAGGGATGAGGCCCCTTCTTGATGACATAGCCTTTTGGGAGATGGACCAACAAGAAGGTGCTGAACCTGATGATGGGGAGCTGTGGGAATGGGAGAGCCAGCATCAGCCTCATGTTGCCACTGTCATCATGGCGTAGCCTCTGCTGTCCTGAGAGCTCTCTGTGGAGCAACTCACCTGACTCTCACAACAGCACCATGAGGAACTCAGGGTCAACACCATCACCATTTCCAGGTGAGAACAAGGTTTCAGGGCTATATCTCTTGCCCAAAGCCACAAGCTTGTAAGTGGCTATAAAAAGACCATGACAGCACCAAGCCCCAGCCAAGAGCTTGTTCTGTGTTTGCTGATTGATGCACTGACACCCGGTGTGGTCCTTACTGTTCCCTTTGCATCAAGCAACCAAGGACAAGGGCCCAGCCACCATGAGTCAGAGTCTAGGTGGGGCCACTGGCATCACACCTGTCACCTGGCTCACATATGTCACCTGGCACCTCCTGCCACCTGGCCCAGATCATGAGGACCAGTGTTTCAGAGCTAGGGAATGGAGAGTGTTTGGGGAAGGAAGCTAGGGAATGGGGAGTGAATGGGGAAGGAAAGGGGGTGACATTGCCTCCCCCTTCATCAAGAAGGCTGCTGTGAACTCCATTTTCATTCCCTTTTTTGGTGGGTCTGAGGTTCACACAGCCACAATCGTTCAGCCCTGTGGGTGGGTCAGGGCATATGGGATAAACTATTTTTCCTTGTCATGGGTCTGCCTACAGCAGCAGAATTGGATTCTAGATGATGTATGAAAAAGATACAGTCCAGGCGCGGTGGCTCATGCCTGTAACCTCAACACTTTGGGAGGCCAAGGTGGGTGGATCACTTGAGGCCAGGAGTTCAACCAGTCTGGGCAACATGGTGAAACCCCATCTGTACTACAAAATACAAAAATTAGCTGGGTGTGGTGGCAGGCGCCTGTAATCCCAGCTACTTGGGTGGCCGAGGCAGGAGAATTGCTGGAACCCGGGAGGCGGAGGTTGCAGTGAGCCAAGATCGTGCCACTGCACTCCAGGCTGGGTGACAGGGTGAGAAGGGGAGGGGAGGGGAGGGGAGGGGAGGGGAGGGGAGGGGAGGGGAGGGGAGGGGAGGGGAGGGAAGGGAAGGGGAGGGGAGGGAAGGGAAGGGAAGGGAAGGGAAGGGAGGAAGGAGGGAGGGAAGGAAGGAAAAGAAGGAAGGAAGGAAGGAAGGAGGAAAGAAAGAAAGAGAGAAAAAGAAAGAAAGAGAAAGAAAGAAAGAAAGAGAGAGAGAGAGAGAAAGAAAGAGAAAGAAAGAAAGAAAAAGAGAAGAAGGAGAAGGTACTGGATGTGCAGAGGTGCCACTGCTGCAGCACTGAAGACAAGAGCAGCAAGTCAAACCAGGAGGAACAGTGGCTGGGGCAGCTCCTGGATTTCAAAGGAGGAGCCAGCATCCAGTTCCATGGGGCCTGAGCTGGGCCGAGTGCTCCCTCCAGGGCAGGGAGAGCATCTGGCCAAGGTCAGGGGCCAGTCGCTGGTTGTGGACAAGTGGGGCCGCCTCCAGTGTCTGCCCCTCCAAGAGTTTCTGCCGTGGAAGTCAGTCGGTTTCCCCAGTGAATAATCAGGACACCATCAAGACAAGATCATGGGACACATGTGAGGAACAGAAGCTCAGTGTTCCTCCCCCACACGCCCACATGAGCTAGCCCAGCGCTAATGCTGCTCTGCCCTAGACCAGCCAGGCCTGGGGTGAGCCGCTGGTGTGAGGGGCATCAGGAATGGGGGCCGCTTATGCAGAGGGATTCTGAAGCCGCATAGAAAGCTTACCCTGGGGGGAAATAAAAAAAGGAAGTTAACCCATCATCTTACAACTGAGCCCCAAATTCTGCTGAAGAAGAAAGAGGAGGAGGAGGGAAAGAAAGAGTAGGAGGAAGGGGAGGAGGAGGATAAGAAAGAGGGGGAGAGAGAGGAAGAGAAGGAAGGGAAGGAGGAAGAGGAAGAGGAGGAAAGGGAGGAGGAGGAGGAAGAGAAACAGGAAGAGGAACAGAGGGAAGAAGAAGAGGAGGAGGAAATTCTCTGATGTGTGCCCCATGATGGTTTATGAAGTGCTTTCTCTTTGAAACCCCATGTGGCCCCCACAACCCTCTTTGAACCACGTGAGGCAGAATCCTAGGAGGAAACTGAGGACCAGGGAGGTCCGCACAGTTAGTAGGAGGCACAGCTGGGACTGGAGCCCAGGCCTCCGGACCCCCAGTTGAAGGTTTAATCTCATGAAGCCACAAAGAGTCACAAAGCTCTTTCACAGCCATGTGCTAGCCCCACCCCAGAACAGAGGCCCATCTCCCTGAGTGGTAGAGGAGGCATTCCCAGGGAGGGGGAGGAGAGAGGGAACTCCTGGGTCTGTGTGTCTGCGAGCCCCCGCCCAGCTTCCACACATAGCACAGGCCCTGGCAGGCTAGTGAGGGTGCAGGTGAATGAGGCTTAAATGGGAGTCCATCAGGATCCTTGGGCATAGCACCAGGCAGAGGCAGGAGCCGAGAGGGGAGTGAGTGGACAGGAGCCACTGTGGCATCAGATTCAAGTGTGTCCATCAGTCCCAAACAGTATTAGAGACCTGCCAGAGCCAGCCACGTGTCCCCGCCCAGCTCGGGACATTTCAGGCTCCAGCAGTGACAACTGCTCTGTTTCTGTCAAGGTCCAGCTGTTTTAATGGAGACTTTAAATAATCCCTCTGCTGCCAATAAATTTATGTCATGGTGTTCCAGCCACAGCCAGGCTCTTGTTTCATGAGTCATCCCTGGTCGGCTGGTTCAGAGGGAACCCCCGGCTGGTGCAATGAAGGAAGGACCAGGTCAGCCTTCTGCCCCTTGTCGGGTGTCAGGAAAGGATCTCACACACCCACACTATGGCTCTAGGGCTCCATCTTCCAGAGTGACCAGTGATCAGCATTAATAGTAATCCTGCCTGGGGCCCCTCAGCTGGAATCCTGCCCGAATCCAAAGAGAGGACTTTTCCCTTGATCGTGTCCCTCTGAAGCTGAGAAAGGAGAGAGACTCCGTGACATCCTGGAGGACATGGTGGAGCCCAGGGCCTGGAGGCCACCATGCATCTGCAGGGCAGGGGTGGGGCAGGTGGTCACAGGAAACATGGGCAGAGAGGGCTGGAAGCTGGAAAGTACAGGAATGGGGAAGCCAACCAGGTGGGCAGGGGTGGTCATCAGCCACAGAGCCCACCCAGAACAGAGGCCGAGCCCAGCCTAGGGTTGGGAGAGGGTCTCTGGGATCAGACTCCCTGGGTTCAAGTGAGTCCCTGGGTTCAAGAGGTTCACTACCTCTACCACCGACTAGCTGTGTGACCTTGAGGAAGTCACTTAACCTCTCTGTGCCTCAGCCATATGAGCGTTAAATAAGATAAAATACATAAAGTGCTGAAAGCAATACCTGGCCATGGTGATCATTCATGAGGGCTGCTATTGGGCAGGTTCCTCATGTTCACCCTCCCCCTGCCTGTCTGTTCTTCAAGGGGTGGTCATCCCTGATGCTGCAGAAAAGCATCCAAACTGAAGGGCACAGGGCTGGTGGAGATTTAGACAAAGGGAGCCTGAACTGGGCCATCCTATCCCAAAGGAATGATTCTCCAGGATGCCCTCCCAGCATCTGTAGACTGGTCAGGCAGCTACTGTGGGTGGGCCTGGGATTTGCCCAGGGAGCTGGGGGGTTGCAGAGATCTGCCCTGGATCCCTGAAACCCGACCATGTGGGTGGCCTCTCCAGCCGTTTGTAACAACATTTCTCAACAAGCAACATCCCCATGAGGTAGGCAGGGTGCTTCCAGGTGAGGCAAGTGAGGCTCAGTGAGAGGAAGAGACTGTTCTCTCCAGCGCATCACTGGCAGTCAGATAAGAGCCCAGGACTCCAAGGCACACAAAACAGGTAGGTGCTTAATGCTGGAAAGCTTGGTGACCCCTTGGCCACTTGTGAGGTCTATTTTTGAAGCTGCTGAAGGGGCACCTCCTCTCCTACCTGCCATTTGCAGCCCAGCTCCCAGTGAACTTCAGAAAATGAGATGAGAGGAGAAAGGGACAAGGATCCCCACATCCCCAGTCACAGCAGCGCTTACAAATGCCTGCCCATTGTGAGCCCAGGCGGCCCTTCACACCGCCAAGGTCAGACAGCGTCTTTACATCCTAAACATGGCCATGACACAGGCGTCCTGCCGGGAATAAATCCTGCCCACATTTCCCTGTCCTCAGGCACCTCTGGGCCCCAGCGGTGACAACTGCTCTGTTTCATCAAGGTCCAGCTATTTTCATGGGTACTTTAAATAACTCCCTCTGCTGCCAAGGAATTTGTGTCCTGCTGAAACGTGTGCTATTGAATAGATGACCAAGAGAGGTTCAGGGCCTGGCTGTTGTTGGACAATGAGCACAAAGCTCCCTCCCTGTCCTTCATCTTCCAGGAAGCCAGTTTCCAGTGACTCAGCAGATCCACCACGGAGTGCCAGGCCATGTGCAGGGCTCTGGGCTCAGAGAGAACGATTGTTCATGTGCCTGTGACCATGAGAAGTTCATAGTCAGATGGCGGAGGCAGACCTGCCAGCAACACACACCACCCACCTGCAAAGCGCCAGATGAGAGGTCACAGCAATGGCTGCCATTCCATGACCACCTGCTGTCAACAGCGCTACTCAGTTAGGGCCTACTGTGTGCCAGCCTGGGGCCAGGAGAGTCACAGGTGTTGTCATTAGCTCTCACAACAACCTTCCTTGTTGGAATGTAATTTATTCTGAACAGCTTTATTGATGTATAATTTGCGTACAGTAAACGATGCATATTTAAAGTATAAAATTGCATACCTTTGACATGTAAACACCCATGAAATCATCATAATCAAGATAATGAGTTCCCTCACACCCCTTAGCAATCTCTCTCTTTTGCTCCCTGTCCCCATTCCCAATCACTGATCTGCTGTGACTATAAATTAGTTTGTATTTTCAAGAGTTTTATATAAATGAAATATTTCAGTATGTCTGGCTTCTTTCACTCACAATAATTATTTTGAGAATCATTCCTGATACAGCACATGTGAACAGTCCATCAACAGTCCATTCCTTTTTGTAGATGAGTAGTATCCCATTGTATGGAGATCCCACAATTATTTGTATCCATTGTTTGATGAACACGTGAACTGTGTCCAGGTTGTGGCTCTTACAAATAGAGCAGCTATGAAAGAATGTTCATTCAGGTATAAGTCTTTGTGTGGACAAACGCTGACATTTGTCTTGGATAAATTCCTCGGAGTGGAATTACTATACCATCTGATAAGTGTATTTTCAACTTTTTAAGAAACTACCAAACTGTTTTCCAAAATGGTTGTATTATTTTATATCATCACCAAGAGTGCCAGAGAGCTCCATTTCCTCCACATCCTTGCCAGCACATGATATGTTCAGTCTTCATAATTTTAGCCATTCTAATAAATATGTAGTAACATCTCACTGTAGTGTTAACTTTTGATTCCCTAATAACCAAAGGGTCAGAGCATCTTTTCATTTGTTTGTCATCTGTATATCTTCTGTGATAAAGTGTCTGTTCAGGTCTTTTGCTATTTTTTGTTGGGTTTTTTACTGAGTTTTGAGAATCTTTGTATATTCTGGATAAAAGTCCTTTACTAAATATATGCCTTGCAAATATCTTCCCCTAGGTTGTGTCTTCTCTTTTCATTCTCCTATCGGAGTCTTTTAAAGAGCAATGGTTTTTTTCTTTTGATGACGTCCAACTTATCATTTTGTTCTTTTATGGATCATACTTTTTCTGCCACATTGAAGCAATCTTGATCTAAAATAAGGCTGTAAAATTTTTTCTATGTTGTCTTCAAGTTGTTTTGTAGTTTTAAATTTTACATTTAGATCTATCATACATTTCCAGTCAATTTTTGTATATGGTACAAGGTAGGGATCAAAGTTTCCTTTTTGTTTGTTTGCTTTGTTTTATGACTATCCAGTTGTTCCTCCACCATTTGTTGAGGAGACTATTCTTACTCTCCTGAATTGCCTTCATGCTGTGGTCAAAAATCACTTGTAAATCTTTACATAAGTTTATTTCTAGACCCTCTACTGTTTCACTGATCTATTTATCTTGACGCCAATATCTCCTGCTTTGATTGCTGTAACTTTATAATTCAAAATTGGGGACTGAATCTGTACTTCTTTTTTTGTTCGTTTTGGCTTGTTTTTAAGACAGGGTCTCACTCTGTTGCCCAGGCTGGAGTACAGTGGCATAAACAAGGCCCACTGCAGGCCTGAATTCCTGGGCTCGTGTGATCCTCCCACCTCAGCGTCCAGAGTAGCTGGGACTGCAAGCACGTGCCACCATGCCCAGCTAATTTTTTTTATTTTTGTTTTTTGGAGAGACAGGTTCTCACTATGTTGCTCAGGGTGGTCTCAAATCCCTGGGTTCAAGCGATCCTCTCACCTTGGCCTCCCAAATTGCTGGGATTACAGACATGAGCCACCACGCCTGAACCTTAACCTGTACTTCTTTTACAAAGTTGCTTTGGCTTTTATAGGTCCTTTGAATTTCCATGTGCATTTAGAATCTGCTTCTCAATTTCTACAAAAAAAAATTATATATCTATAATATATATAAAAAACATATTATATCTATAATATATATAAAAAACATATTATATATAATATATATAAAAAACATATTATATATAATATATAAAAATACATATATATAATATATAAAAATACATATAATATATAATATATAAATACATATATGCATAATATATATAAATACATATATTATATATTATATCTAAAAATACATTTCATATATATATGCTTGGTGTGGTGGCTCACACCTGTAATCCCAGCACCAGGCAGATCGCTTGAGGTCAAGAGTTCGAGACCAGCCTGGCCAACATAGGGAAACCCCATCTCTACTAAAAATACAAAAATTAGCCAGGCGTGGTGGCATGCACCTGTAATCCCCCCAGCTACTCGGGAGGCTGAGGCAGGACAATCGCTTGAACCTGGGAGGCAGAGGTTGCGGTGAGCCGAGATCGTGCCACTACACTCCAGCCTGGGCGACAGAGTAAAACTCTGTCTCAAAAGAATAAAAATGAAAATATGTTTAAGCCTAGTGGGATTTTGACTACGGTTTACAATAAAGGGAGAGACTCCATATTTGATATTGACCCCTGACAGCTTTCAAGTCTCCCAGTCTTTCCCCTGTGCCTCACACCTGGGCAACCTGATAAGAAAACCCATATCCTTCCTCTGTTCCTACACCTGCAGAAAGTTCAAATCACTCAAGCCCTGGCCCACACATGGGCACTAACCACCCCACATCCCAGCTCCGCTCTCTAGTAACAGTGAACACTCAAAGCTGCCACCACCACCCTTGCTTCTGCTTCCCTCCAAACCAAACCCCCTTGCCCATCCTTTTCCTGTTTACCATGTCACTAATAAGGATTATTTCACATCCATTACGCCTGTGCACCACTTGTTCCAACATCTGTAAATTCCTGGGGACGGGGTGTCCAGCATCCAGTATAGGATGCTAAAAGCCTAAATACAATAGGATTTTATTGAATCTATAGATTAATTTGAGGACAATAGGTATCTTAACAATATGGAGTCTTCTAATCCATAAAACCCAGTATTTTTATTCATTTGTTTAGGTCTTCTTCAGCTTCCATCAGCAATATTTAGCAGTTTTAAGTGTACAAGTCTTTTCCACCTTTTGTCAGCTTTATTCTTAAATGTTTTATATTGTTATGTTATTGAAACATAACAATATAAAACATCTGTCCAATATAAAAAAGATGGACAACTGATTTTTGATTAAAGCATGAGGCAATTCATGGAAGTTAAAGATAGTCTTCTCAACAAATGGCAAAGAAACAATTGGATAGGAACAACTGGATAACATATGTTATGTTGTGGTATTTTTAAAATTTTAATTTCCAATTCTTTCCTACTGGTATATGGAAATACATTTGATTTCTGTAAGATGATCTTATATCCTGCAACCTTATTAAACTGACTACTTAGCTATCATAGATTTCCTGTACATTCCATCAGATTTTCTGTAACACATAGAGAATCATTTTATCTGTGAATAAAAACAGTTTACCTCCTTTTCCCATCTGAACACTGTTTGCTTATTTTTCTTGCTCCCATTGGATTGGTTAAATCTCCAGTGCAATGTTGAATAGAGGTTGCAAGAGCAGATATTTGTGTTTTGTTCCTGATCTTAGAGGGAAGACACTAAGTCTTTCACCACTAAATATGACACTAGTTGTAGGTTATTTGTAGATGCCCTCTATCAGGTGAGAAAATATCTTTCTATCTTACTTTGCATAGAGTTTTTATGAAAAATGGATGTTGGATTTTGTCAAATGCTTTTTCTAAATCTATTATATGGTTTTTCTTTTTTAACTTGTTAATATGGTGAATTGCATTGAAAATCGATTAATTTTCAGATGTTAAACCCACCGTGCATTACTTATATACCCCTTAATTGGTCATAATGATATTATATCATTTTTATATACTTTTAAATTCAATTTGTTAAGATTTTATTTAAAAACTTTACATTTGTGTTTATGATAGATACTGGCCTGTAGCTTGCTTTATTAGTAAAATGTTTTTCTGGTTTTGGGATCACAGTAATGCTGGCATCATGCAATTAGTTAGGAAGTACTTCCTCTTTTCCATTGCCAAAAAAATTTGTTTAAAATTGGTAATTTTTTTTCTTAAGTGTTTGGTAGAATTCACCAGTGAAGCCATCTGGGCCTGGAGTTCTCTCTGTGAGAGGTTTTTAGCTACAACTTCAATATTTAAAAATAAATATAGGGCTATTCAGGTTATCTATTTCTTCATGAGTGAGCTTTAGTAGTTTGTGTCTTTCAGGGAATTCATCTATTTCATCTAAGTTATTGAATTTAATGCCTTCAAGTTGTTCATAATATTCCCTTAATTATACTTTTAACACCTATGAATACTATGATAGTTTTAACATCTGTGAATCTCTCTCATTCCTGATGTTGATCATTTTTGCCTTCTTTCTGTTTTCCTAACCAGTCTGACTAGGCATTTATTAATTTTATTGTCTCAAAAACCCAGCTCTTGGTTTCATTTATTTTCTCCATTCCTTTTTTGTTCTTATTTAATCATTTTTAAATTTTAACCTGTTTGTGTCTTTATATTTGAAGTGTACTGGTCTTGAGAAGCTGCTGATTTTGCCTTTCAGCATCTATCCTCCTTCTTCTGATTTTCCATCAGGACTTCCCCACCTCCCTCAGTCTTCGTCTATGTGGTTTGACCAAGGTTTAGCACACACCCAGCTGCGGTGTGAGCATGTGAGCCAGTCCTGACCAATCAACGACTTCCATCCCCCTAGAAACAGTGTTATGCTCAGAGATGGGCACATGGCCCAGATGGGTCCTCAAGTTAGCCCTTGATTTCTTTATGTAAGTGAGTAAGAGGCCACTGCTTTTCTTCAGGGCTGCTAAAGTGGCAAGGATGGGCATGAGTTGCTGGTGACCATCTAGGGAAGAGGCTGTCAGTGAAAGAAGCTAACACAGACAAATACAGCAAGAAAAGGTGGAGAAAGTGAGACATAGAGAGGAAGCATGCACATGTCCTAGTCACATTGACTGTGAGACCCATGAAGACAGAGACCCTCTCTGTTTTGCTCCCTGCTATGTGCCCAGTGCCAAAACACTGCCTGCACAAACCCACTGCCTGACCCCAGAGCAAGGCAAGGCTAAAGCCAGCAGCCCCCCGAGACTTCCCAGTTCCATGAGCCAATCTGTTCCCCCTTCTGTTGCAGCCATTTTGGGTTGTGTTTCTAACACCTACAGCTCAAAGGTCCTAATCCTGCTCTCTAGCCACCACCAGGGGAAGCACAGTGCCTGGTGCATACAGGAGCTAGGTAAACATCTGTGAAAAATAAAATAAATGAACCCCAAAATCCCTACCTCCCCTGGCCTCTCAGCACTCTTCCCCTTTCTCAGGAGCCCTCGTGCTACAAATAACCTAACTGGGACCTCAAAGCAGAGACCAACAAACGAGCAAACACCTGCTTCCCCAAAGCAGCAGCACCTGCTCCTTGGGCCCTTGGAAGAGAATGGCTAGGCTCAGGGAAGCAGTCAGTATTTGTGTGTGGGAGCAGCACCATGGGGAGAAATGAGCTTAAGGCTATTCATCTGGGACTAGACATGACTCTCTTGGGCTACAGGATACTGCAATAAAAGGATAATCACATTAACTCTATGCATGTCCCCAACACTTTACAATGTACAGACAATGAGTCCAAAAGAGAAGACTGGACTTCGGAGCTCAACAGGCCTGCACTGAAATCCCATCTGAAATCTGCCACTGACCAGCCGTGACCTGGGGCACTATCCCCACGTTACAGAGGAAACAGAGGATACTCAAGGTGATGTGACCTTCCCAAGATGACTCATGATTTAGAAGAATGGACTCTGACTCCCAGGCCAGTGCTCCATCCACTGCATCCTGGGCTTTCGGGGGAGCAGAGGTCCCAGAATCCCCCACATCCTGCCAGGGAGCCAGCTTCCTGAACATGTGTCATCAGGTGGGTCCCAGGATGCTCAGAAGGGTGGGAACTCTGCCGAGGACACTGAGGGCAAGTGTCCCAGGAGGGGAGCTGAGCCAGAACATCATCCCTCACATTCCCACTGGCCACTGTGCTTTAACAAAACCATACTTTTATTTCCATCGCCATAGAATGCATGCACACATGCATGAATGAATAAACTCAAATACATCATTATACCTGGAGGAAATGGAGTCCCTGAGAAGTCAAGTGATTTGCCCAAGGTCACACAGCCTGGGATGGCAGAGGAGGCCCAAACCCAAGCTTCTGCCACTAAGGCCCATTCTCCTCCCCACCCCCCTACTGCCCCACAGAGCAAGGGGACAGAGTTTGGAAAGGAAGAGGCCAGCGTGGGCTGGAGGCATCAGGGAGGGCTTGCTGGAGGAGGGAGACCCCAATCTGGGCCCTGAAGGACACACTGGAGAGGAAGAGCATGCAGGGAGGGAGGCATAGCCTGCAGTTTGCTGCTCCCAAATCTTTAGGACTCTGGATTTCTCCACAAAGAGAGTCAAGGTCTTCCTGGATCTCCCCAAGACCCTCTCCCCAGAACAGGTGGAGCTACATCCAGGCAGGATGGGAGGGAGGCAGCTCCCAGGTAGAGGTGGTGGGTTGGGTAGAGCAGGAGCTACTGGGAACTTCCTGTTCACTTGGTTTCCGGACCAGGTGCACCTGAATGGGAGCAGCGCCTTTGCCCATCTGCTGTGAGGGGGACCATGGTCTCACAAGTGCTTCTGATGAGGCCATTAGACCACATTCCATCAGCCAGTCAGCCCCACCAGCCACACAGACAATTGCTGCAAAGCACCTCATCAGCTGAGAACTGCACAGCCAAAAGGCCTTGTGATTTCCGTTGCAAATTCCCCCATGCCAGCAGTGTTCTTCAGAGGTAAGAATCCCCCCGTTATGTCCTTAGTTGGGAACATTAGACCCTTTCTCTTTCTTGCTCTGCCCCTGGAGCCCATTTCTCCGTGATGAGCCTGCAGAAGCAAAACAACATCACCTGGACATGAAAATACACATCAGCTCAGCTGCCCAGGGGTATTCTTGATGTGTGGGTGGGGCCCCCTAAGCTGGGGCTAGTTGGGCAGCCTGATGCCTGTCTGGGTGGAAAGCTCACCGATTCTCTGCACAGATCAGCTTTCCAGAGGTAGGCCCAGGAAGCTGAGCCAGCGATTCTTTAAAATCTCAAATCTCCTTTCCGCCATGCTCTCCCTCCCTCCCTCCCGTAGACGGACGTTTATTGATGCCTACTAGACGCAGACCCTGAGGTGGGCACTGGACTGTGTGGGTGATGGGGATGGCTGAGGCAGATTCCAGCCCTTGGGGGAAGCCTGTCTTGGGAGAGAAGCACACGAATCAGAGAAAACCCTGCAGGGACAGCATCCGCTTATTTATTGACACTTTTGTTGAGCACCTACAGTGGGACAGCCACTGTGTTAGGGAAATTAAGCAAAACCATACTGGTCCCTGCCTGATAAGGCTCACAGTCTAGAGGGAGAGACAGACACTAATCAATACGTCACACAAAGAAGTGTGAGCTTACACATGCAGTGAAGAAGTGGGGAGATTTGAAGGAGACCAAGGAAGCCTTACCTGAGGACTGGAATGGCTGAACTGGGATCTGAAAGGAGAATAGGAGTTGGCAAGTGAGGGTGGGGAAGGGAGAGGGTTTCAGCCAGGGAACAGCATGTGCAGAGGCCCTGTCATGATGGCCAGCTGTCAGCAACCATGAAGAACTCCAAGGCCTGTGTGGTTGGAGGGCAGGGGGTCAGTAGGGGCTGTGAAACGAGGCTGGGGGTGGAGAGGTGAGGGCCAGACATCTAAGGGGCCTCAGATGCCACCTTAGGGATTTGGATCTTTGTCCCAAGAATAGCAACATCCCATTCAAGAGTTTTCAGTGGGGCCAAAGGACAGGGAGAGGATTGATGGGACAATAGTTGTGTTTCCAGAAAAATCCTGAGGTCACGATGAGATGAATTGTGATGGAGGAAAGTGGGGGGACAGTGAAGTCTGAAGGAAGGAGTGACCAGCCTGGCTTAGAGGGAGACACATGGCTTCCAGAGGAGGAGATGGGAACAATGAGCATCCACATCTGCGTGGTCTTCATTCAGCCATTCAATTCCTACCTGCAGCAGACCTCCTGCCATGCTCCAGGCCTTATGCTCGGTGCACGAGGTACTGTGAAAAGGAGATCGGAGGTCTCTCTTGTCTGGTGCAAAGAAAAGACAGGTCTCAGGTCTCAGCCAGGAATGTTTCCACATAAGCATCAAAGCTCCTTCATGCCAGTCAAAGGGGTCTGAGGAAAGGACATGAGTGGCATTGTGGGTGTGAGGTGGGGCCAGGCCTTACAGTCTCATGTCCCTCCCACTCATGTGATCATTGCTGACACATGGTCCTTCTTGGCCACCCACAAGGGGTGCCCTTTCAGCTGGCCCCCAAGTCCTCCTATTCTGAGTCCCACGTTTGCACATCGGGAGCAGGAAGCTGAGTAGGCTCGGCTCAGGTGGTAGCAGCTGTAGAAGGAGGCTCCTGGCTCAGCAAAGCTGACATCCTCGTCCCCATCCTGAAGCTCAAAGAAGGGAAGATACTTTCCCAAGGTCACACAGCCACTAAGCAGCAGCACCACCATGCCAGGCTGGTGAAGACGTGAGGAGGAGTCATTGTGCACAGAGGGCATTACCCACCCAGACCCTCATCCGATGACAAAGACAAGCACCACCAGACAGCCGGGCAGCCGGGTGGTTGATAACTACAGCAAATGCTATTGCGGACCTACTGTGGTTCTGGTCCTTCATGTCCTGCTAGTTTATTTCCTCTTCACAAGAACTCTGTGGAGATGGATCAGCCAAAATGATGCTAGGCAACTGCTAGAAAATGCAACGCTTTTGACTGTTAAAGCAAACTAAGTAGGGCCTGAGAAGTACTCTGTACGCCTATATTTGAGTCCTTGTGGACAAACTGCAAACCTCCTTAATAGGTAGACAAGATTGAAAACCTAACTTAGGAGTATGCTCCTGTAACAACAGGTGAGTCTTGGCCAATCCCAGAAGCCATACTTCAGCCATTCATACACTGCTGAGTATACAAACCGTATTCAAACGGGGCACATGCCGAGCTACAACCAATCCAGCTGTTTCTGTTACTTCTGATTTCTGTACATCACTTGCCTTTTTTTGTCTATAAATTTGTTCTGACCACAAGGCATCCCCGGAGTCTCTCTGAATCTGCTGTGATTCTTGGGGCTGCCCAATTCCTGAATCATTCATTGTTCAATATAACTCCTTTAAATTTAATTCAGCTGAAGTTTTTCTTTTAACACAACCAGTAGCATTTACTGAACTTACTTACAAGGCTGCAGCTGCACAACCTTCTGATTTGGGCTGGGCTTGCTCGTGCAACTGTGGTCAGCCCAGGGGTCAGCTGTGGGTTGGCTGTGCTGGTCATAGCAAAGACAGAGGGGCAGAGTCAGCTCAGCTCCACAGGGTCTTTCGGCCTCCAGCAGGCTGGCCCAGGCTTGTTCTGGAGGTCACAGGGATTCAAGAGAGTCAGTGAAAGTGTTCAAGGCCTCTGGAGGCCTAGGCTGCTGCTTCCACCCCATTCTATTGTCCAGAATAAATCACAAGGCCAAATTCAAGAGGTAGGGACAGAGATTCCACTTCTTAATAGGAAGTGAGCTGAAGACTCATATTGCAAGAGATGTGAACACAGGGAGGCATGGAGACTCAAAGTTCTTTAGCAAGCAAACTATCACAAGGTAGGTATTTTTATAACATCCCACTGAGGCCCAGAGAGGTTCAGTGACTTGCTCAAAGTCAGACAGCTACCAAGGGGCAATGGTGAGGTTTGGGCCCAGGGCTGTGCCCTTCTCTACAACTCTGCTGCCTCTTAAAAGCTGTGAGCAAACCAAGGACAGAGAAGCCCAAGGCCTTGGGCTTCGGGGATGGAGCATATCTACTACACACCAGACCTTATGCTGGATGCAAGGGGTACAGTGAAGACTAAGAATGGCTGAGTCACTGTCCTTGTGGAGAGCTATATTCCAATGGGGCAGAGAGAGCACACAATTCCCTGGTGGGCACCAGGCCCAGCTCTGCTGCCAAGTGGAGGGTCTGGATTAGATTCAGTCATTCATTCATTCACCCATCTGTTCAATCAGTATGACCTTGGAAATGCATCCCTTTGACATGCTCTGCCCTGGCATTTGTCTGTTAAGCTCAGAAGTCTTCTGCTCTAGGAAGCCCCCGTGATCCTTAGGGCCAGTTGCTCTAGACATTTTGCTTTCACAGGCCCGTGGAAGTGTCCTTGGATTGTTAATTTCTGCATTGTCCCCTCACCCACCTCCACCCTCAGGGTCCCATGATGGAGCCAGACCCTCAAGAGCAGGCAGGCATCACATCTTTATCTCCATCTTCTGTCACCTTTCCTGGGCAGGAAGCTCTAGGAGGCTCCCTGGGCCTAGGACATTGAGGACTCATAGCAGAAGCTCACGAGTTGTGGATAGAAGGAAAAAGGGAAGGGGGGCGGTGTGGGGACTAAGTGGCCTTGCTTCCGATGCAAATTAGAACTGGAGGCAGAGGAGAAAATTGGCAATTAATAGGTTGTGGGAGTGAGGGCACTCAGAAAAGATTCAATATTAAAAATGGTCACACGGTGACCTATGACATTTTACTTAATCAGAAGCAAATTACTCTGCACCCTGGAGCTTTTTAGTGCAGAATATTTCTTACATGGCCCTTTCATGCTGAGCTGGACACGCTCCAGATGGCAGAAGGCAGGGAGAATCCCAGCATCTCAGCCCAGGGACCAGCAGAGGCTCTATGTGAGCTGCTGTGAGCATCCTCCGCTCCTCACCAGCCGTGGGAACCAGAAACAGAAGGAGCCGCTCAGCCTCTCCCGCCTGGAAACTCGCCCTCCCTCCCCTATCGGGGCCACCTCTGAGAATTCAGATTAGGCCCCACCCTCTTCCAGGAAGCCTCCTGGATGGCCCCACCTGCTGGGTAGGGGCTCCCAGTGCCCACTGTGAACGTTGACTGCCCAGCGTGGAGTCAGACTGGCTGGGTCCTGTGTTCTAGTCCCTCATGGCTCAGGGGGTGTTGCTGGCCCATGGGCATCATCTGGAGACTTGTCAGAAATGCAGAATGCCAGGCCCCACCCCAGACCAGAATCTGAATCTGCACCTTAATGAGTTTCCTGGGTGATCTATGACCCTGCCCTTGGCCACATCCCTGATGACTGGCACCCCCCGGCCCCTGGAGTTCAGGGAATTCACTCTTTCCTCAGAGTTTGCTGCAAAGACTGACCCATTCATCACAGTGGTGAAGAGCCCTGTGCTTGCCACTTAGACTGGGTGAGGATCCTGGGTTTGCCCTCTCTAGCCTGTGACCTTGGCAAAGGTCCCCTCTGACCTGTTTTCTGTACCCGGAGCTTTTTAAATTTTCTCTTGCCTCCAGGCCTCTGAAGTATTGCTCCCTCTGCCCGCAACCCCCTTTCTACTTTCCTCACCTGGCTAATGCCTATGCCTCCTCAATCTCAGTCTCACACTCCCTGGGGAAACCCCTGAGATCCCCCAGCCTGGGTTTGGTCCCGGCCTCCTGTGTGCCCCTCTGGTCATAAGGGGCCCCTCCCCCTTTAGCCTCTAAGTGCAGGTTCTGAGAGCATCGGGGTCACTGCTGCATTCCCATGCCTAGTACAGAGTCCAGGGCACAGAGATGCCCAGCAGAGGGTGAACAGGTGCAGGAGAGAGTGAGTGACCCCTCTCCAGCACAGTCTGTCTCCTCCCTCACAGAGTGGCCGTGATGATGCTCAGAGGGATTCCAGGTAAATGGTCCCGAACACAGAAGGCTCTCGGCAGGTATTGCTCCCACCCCTACTTCTCCAACAGGAGGAAATGATGGGAAAGAAATCAACTCTGGCTTGAGTGAACTGCGCCCGGCTGCAGAGCCTGAAGGTGGTACAAGTTGGTCTGTATGGGATCAGTGATGGGATCAGTGGGACCTCAAGTAAATAGTGTCGGGCTGTCCTGCAGCCTGAACACCAACAGCCTGAGGGGGTGGGGAATGGTGCCGCCTCTCTCTGCAGAGACACCTCCAGGGAGCTATGAAAACTCACTTGTCAGGCAGTGTGCACTTGTCAACAAGCAGCAGTAGATGCATTTGTAACATTTTTGCCTCAGACTCTCAATATTTATCTCAATAAACATAAGTCTGGTGTTTTTTTTTCTTTCCCCATCCCTCTGCTATAAAATGCTTAGAGTCAACAGTGCATGATGAAGGGTTGATATGCAGGGTTTCTAGAGGATTCATTTTTAGGGAATTCCACCGAGTTCCATCAGCCGTACTCCCCTTCCAGCAGAGCCCAGCAGATCAGGAGGCAAGCTGGGGTGGGGGAGCTGAAAGAAGGGAGGTGGGTGCAGCTCTGGCAAGGAGCTGTCCACTGGGTAGGCTTGTTTGGGTCTCGGAGCTGTGGCAGGGCCAAAGGGAAGGGCCCAGACAGACTGTGACCCCCTTTAGATCTCATTCTGGGACCCTAGAATTCCGTGCCCAAGTGACCCTGAGCTGCCTCCAGGAGCCTGCCTGTCCATCTTGCCAGGGTCTAGGTTGCAAAGGAGACCTGAGGGTAAACACTGTTCCCAGAGCCCACACCCCAGGCCCAGGTGCAGCTGAAGGTCCACACCCAGCCAGACTGCTCACAGCCTGCCTTCTCCACGTCCATCTGGAGCTTCTGGCTTGTGCTGAGGGGGTGGTTATATATGGGGTAGTCTTTGGAGCTGCCAGGTGGGGCTGGGGCTGGGCTGAGGAGCCAGAGATCCTAGCTGAAGGTCCTCACACAGGCAGCAGCATGCCCTGTAAATGCTGTCATTTTCCAGGTGGGCCCTGAGGACAGGAAAAGGTCAGGGATATGTGGTCCTGCTCTGTGCTGGAAGTCCTCTTGTGCAAGCATGGAACCAAGATGGCTGTTGTGATGGTGCTGGTGGTGCTGGTGATGCTGCTGGTGCTAGTGGTGCTCGTGGTAGTGGCGGCAGCGGTGGCTGGTTTCGTCAGAACCACAACTAGACTTGATTCCTCAGGATGTCTGCACACAAAGGGAGCTCCAGGGAGTTGTTGTGTTAGTGTCCTTAGATCTCCCCTTGAATCCTGTTTAGCCCCCTCTCTGGAGACCTGAGTCAGGCTCCATCTGAGCCTTCCTGGCCCCTTTTACCCTTTAGTTGGGATCACAGGGGTTCCTGTATCCTGTTATGTGCTTGCTTGTCCTAAGGCTCCCCTGGGCCTTCAAGAAGCAAGGCTTATTTTTTGTTGTCACAACAGGCCCAGCTGTGGGCCCCATTAAGTCAATAACACTACAAAAGAAAAGGGGGCATCAGTTACAGAGACATTGGGGTTAAGGAGGCCTAAAGGGGGCATGGACCACAATTCTGGTCCCTCCTGAGCCTCACTACATCACCTCTAAAGCAGGAGTTGCAACAGTGATGGTCTAAGGCTGGGTGAGTGTTAAATGGGAGCAGGGGAAAGTGCCCAGAGCAGAAGTGACCCTGGTCACAACTGCTGACCCCTATGACCTTGGGCAGGTTGAGCTGCAGTTTCCTCGTCCATAAAATGGGGAGAATGCCACAATTTTCCCATAAATTCACTGAAAGGATGAAAAGAGCTCATCACATCCCCTGATTCCTGCATCATGCACCTCGGCCCCACCCAAGGACACTGATGCCTCACACATCCTCCTTTCTTAGGCCCCTGTATTCGTCAGTTTAACTCTGCTAATAAAGACATACCCAAGACTGGGTAATTTACACAGGAAGAAGGTTTAATGGATTCACAGTTCCACATGGCTGGGAAGGCCGCGCAATCATGGCAGAAGGCAAGGAGGAGCAAGTCACGTCTTACATGGATGGCAGAAGGCAAAGAGAGAGCTTGTGCAGGGAAACTCCCCCTTAGAAAACCATCAGATCTCGTGAGACTTGTTGACTATCATGAGAATAGCACAGGAAAGACCTGCTCCTGTGATTCAGTTACCTCCCACCGAGTCCCTCCCACAACATGTGGAAATTCAAGATGAGATCTGGGGGGGAACACAGCCAAACCATTTCAGCCCCCGAAAGAGGCTGCCCTTAGGCTCACCATAATTAGAAGCCCCAGGCTCTGAGGCTGGGCTGTGGGTGGGGGGAACAAAGATCTTGATGCTTATCTAGAGCAGACTAAAGGGACCCAGTTACAGGGAGTGGCTCGAAGCTTTATTGACTTCTCATAAAGCCAAACAGTCTGTGAAAGTCATTGCTAATTTCATCACCATCATTTTAAGTGCAGTCATTACCCAAAAGCTCCAGGTGCTTAGAGAAACAACCACCAATACGGCTACTACCTCTGTGCCTCTGGAACTTTGTTCTACCCTGGAGCTCCACATATGTTGCAGATGTTTATTTTAAAACCAAGCGGTCTCAGCTGTATGAGGGAGAGGAGACTATGCCACCACAGGACAGCTAGGTGAGCCTGTGCAGGCTAGGGCCAGCATCAGGGATCCAGTTAGGCCCAGGGATGGCCTGGCAGGAGCATTCGTCACAGGGTGAGAATCATGGGCAAACTCCTCAGCCAGCCATGCAGGTCTGAGTCTGCTGATGTGAGCCAGAGTCCCCAAGGTCTGCAGACAGAACAAGTGCGAACCCACAATGCTGGCTCGCAATTAGTAACCAGCATTTCCTGAGCACTTATGATGGGCCAGGCACTATTCTAAGATTTTTATATTTATGTGTTCATTGCATCCCCTCTACAACCCAGGAAGTATAGATTCTATTATTGTCCACAATTCACAGACGAGGAAACGGAAGTAAGCAGAGTGAAGTGACCTGTTCAATGGCCTGGATCTTGGAGCTATGGCAAGGGTTGGGGAAGGGAGGTGACAAATGTTTAGGGTAGAACTGCCCTTAAGCCAGGATACCAGAGTCCCCTGTGCTTTGGAGGGTCGCATCTGGGCTGTCTCCCACCATGCTCTGCCCCATGGGGTGAAGAATCTGCAAGGCCAAAGGGAAGGGCCCAGACAGACTGTAACCCCCTTTACATATCATTCTGGGACCCTGAAATCCTCTGCCCAAGTGACCCTGAGCTGCCTCCAGGAGCCTGCCTGTCTGTCTTGCCCAGGTCTGGGTTGCAAAGCCAACCTGAGGGTAAACACTGTCCCCAGAGCCCTCAATCCCAGGCACCGGTAGTAGGTGGCAGAACTGAGATTTGAACTCTGGGCATCTGGCTTCAGACCTGCACTAAGGCACTGTTATAAAGTCCAGATTTCCCAACCCAGTACAGAAAATATTTAAAAATCAGGCACCTTTTAAAATGTATTGGTGAGCTTTTGTTGCATAACAAAGCACCCCATCATGAATTGGCTTAAAGCAGCAAAGGAAACAGGAGTGACATGGCCATGGTGGCAGGGACAGAGGCTACGGATGGGTTCAACAACATGGACCTCCCCTTATCAAGGCTGCTACTGCTATTGCTATCACTGAGAACCTAACCTACCAATAGCAGAGACAAACACTGAGTCCCCTAGATGGAACACCCGAGCTCAGGAGACAGGAGGTGGAAGTGGGCATAACTTGTGACAGGATTACACCTCATAACCCACCCACAGAGTCTTTGCTTCCCATTCTGGCAACATTGAGTTCTTCTAGCTTAGTTTTCTGAGTTTAGTCCTCAAGTGAGAAACACAACAAGGAACACACCCATGATGCTAGTGAATTAGAAGATGAGTCGGCCACCTGGCCACGTGGGGCTCCCATGCCACCAAACCAACCAGCCAAGAAAGCTTTACTCTACTACCTGGAGTGATTTATTCCAATTACCATGGAGAACTTGGCTTGCCGCTGCACAATAGAAGCAAGAAGGGCTATGTGTACAACCCAGAGGAGTTCTCTGGCACACCTCTTAGCACTCCCATGCCCCAAAGTAATGGTTAATGGAAAATTACAGCAACCAAACAAGGCAGAATAAAGGAGGACTCAGGCCTTTCAGAAATTAAGGTTTGGGCCACACTACCCAAGTAAAGAACCCCAACCACCTGCAATTCGAACTGACAATGGAAATATGGAATAACTCGTGGAAGAAGGAAGCTGTGGATATCTACTATGGCTTTGCGACCAATTACAGAATCAAGAACCACAATAGCTTTGCCTGTTGTCTCCCTGTTTGTTTATGCATGTGTTTCTCTGTATATACTAAGCATTGTCTTCTAGTTACTCCTCTTCCCGTTTTTATTTTATATAAAAGTTGTTGGAGATTAATCTTTGGGTCACAGACCATTCCATGGAAACCATCACCAAATTTCAGCAGCAATTAATATAGCCAATGATTAATCAGTGACTATTAGGACTATACATCTTCCCACTGTGGGAAAAGGTGAGAATTTCTTCACTTCCAGGAAGGAAGTCAGATGGACTTAAGTAGTTTGTTGTAGCACCAGTGTTCAAATGCGTGTAGAATAATGTGGAAACTGAGTAGCCACAGGGGTGCACAGTGCAGTTATGAACTTACTGCCTCTGACCTTGAAATTCACCCTTCAGGACCTGCTCTGCAATGATGGACTGAACTCTTTAAGTCCAATAATGGATTTATTCTTTACAGTGATCACATTGTTACGCTTTGTCATTAGAGATCTCTGGAAAGACACTGCAGGAGGCAGAGCAAAGGCCCAGAGCACATGGCCACTCAGCAACCTTATAGCCCCAGCCCACATCTGGTGGCCCTGACTGTGCCCTACCCCCTTCCTGACACAGACACCATGCAATCCAGGCCTCACGCTCACAGCACAGTAACAACAACGTCTATGTACCCGTGCCTGCCCACTAGCTTCATCTTACCTGAACTCTGGAGCATTTTTCCTGCTTGCCCCACAACTTCAGTAAACAACCCAGTGAATTTCTCTGCCATCCAGCAGGCTGCAAGTACACATTCTCCAATATGGTCTGAAGCTCATCTTTGAAAGAAGAGCCCCCGCTTCCAAGGGTGTCCTTCCTTGGATACTCCCCCTTAGCCTTAGGGAATTCTTCAGAGCTCTCTTTTCAACTTTACTAAAATTATTTACCCTGTTAGAGTAAATAATTTTAAATTAAACTTCCCCTGTTTAAATTACTATGTAATTTGTCTCCTGATTGTACCCATTCTGATACAGGTACCTCCTTCACAGTGCTACAATGAGGAATGAATGGTGTAATTTGTATATAGCAAAAGGCTCATGCACATTACTTAGAAAATACTTGAAATTCCTGTCTTGAACTAGAAAACCTATTTTTTTATGTTGCAGGGTATCCAGTGACTTGGAGCTTGTCTTGGTTTTTATTGTCGTCGTTTTTGGTTTTGTTTCTATTTTTTTCTGTAAGAGAAGCTATTAAACCATGGACTTGAAGGATAGTGGGGTTTGAAGTGAGTAATTTGCCTAAGTAGCCCAGGGCCTTCTGGGAGGGAAGAAATAAGCAGATCAATGTCTGTTCTCTCCGGTTCAAAGCTCTTAAAACACATCAGAAAGGTCTAGGTCAATCTGCCTGAGGCTCAGGGATAGGAAAGATAATTAGTCCTCTGAAATGAGACTTCCACTGAGGGTGTCAACCTAAATCACGAAGAGAGAGGCTCTTTGAAGAGCCTCTCTACAAGAAAAAGATATTTGGTGATATTTATTCAAGGAGGAGGGCACTGCAATGGGAATATGCATGCTATAGTAAACCATGTTCATTTTCATGGAAGTAAAGGAAGACAAAGGTTTTTAAAGGGAAAATGAGAAAGATTACATAATTGTTTTGAAATAATTATTTCAAAGCTGCAAAGATCAATAACAAGGATGATGCCAGTCCAAGATTGCTGGGCAGATGTCCTCACAAAAGTATTTTTTGTGTAAGGCTACAATGGCCTTTGTGCAAGGCTGTGATTTTTGCAGTCTTTTATGATAATTTTGTCAACTTATATACAAGTACGAGAACTTTCCCTTCTTGGCCTTGCCTGGCTCTGTCAGGGTTGTTTTTTTGTTTGTTTGTTTGTTTTGCTTTCTGTTTTAGCACTAGTGACTCCATTTTGATTCTGATAATTTTCACAGAGGAAGGAGAAGCGAACACAGGCCTTGCCTACTAAGGAGAGTCAAGTGGCTAAAAATGCTGAGAATAGTGAGTATGTCAGAAAGGGGTTGGAAAGTAATGCTTAGTCCCATTGTGGGTAAACTTGTGTGTTCTGACATGTGTCATTAGGTGGGACTGAAAGGCTGTCGCATTGGGATCCCACTTGCATAAAGGCGGAGCAGCCTCAGTGGTGAGAGCAGTACTGAAGGCAGGGATAGCTCTGCCCTGAAGAACCCCTTGGCCCAGGCAGAGTTTGGAACTAGAGGCAGTGACAGGGACACTAGCAGGAGGCTACACTCATGGATGAGTCCCCGAGGACAGAGACAAAGCCCTGGACTGTTCAGGATTCATCTGCTTTCAACTTCAGGATCAGAATCAATGACCATGTTGACTCCCTAAAGAATAGCTAACTTCTAGCTGTGACCCTTTCACAGATGACAAAATGGAATCCCAGAACAAAAACTCAACTGACCAAGGTCACTCAGCAAGTCAGCCATAGCCAGGTGCTCAAATTCCTCCCTTAAACTCTCATGCAGGCCAGGCCAGGAGAAGGACATGTTTAGAGACCATTGGGAGCAAGGTGGTACACTGTGCAGTGTCTGCAACTCAGACACACACAGCAAATTTCAACTGAGGGAAAGAGCTAGAGAGGGAGAGATACAGAAAAAATGAAAAAGAAGGTTATGAAATGTAAACAGATTTGTAAAGGAAAAGGACAAAGACCACAATTCCCATTTCACAGATGGGGAAAACAGAATCAGTTGCCTAAGTAGTGAGAGTGATGAGCTATCTTAACAACATTATTAATAATATGTCTTCAGCTTTAAAAACTGTGCAGTTACAGAGCTAAGGGTATAAAGCAATGAAAATGCTTCAAATAATTGATTCTGTCACATAGGCCCACAGGCTGAAAAAACAGAGAGACAAATCATGGGAAGCTCACACACAGCCATCCAACAACCAGGCAGACCAGGGCACTAAGGCTTTGAAAAGATGCCACCTACTGTGTTCATTAGGTCACACACTGGTCTGTTCTTGATGAGATGAAAGAATTCATCACCAGCAGATCTCTATATAACTATATAAAATGTTAAAGAAAACCCTTCAGGAAGAAGGAAAATAATATCAAAGAGAAATCTGGATCTATGTCAAGCACTGAAGCACATCAGAAATGCCAGATATGTAGATATGTATAGAAACCATTTTTCTAATTTTTCAAAATAACTTTAAAAAATAATCAAATGCACACATATGTTCACTGCAGCATTATTCACAATAGCAAAGATATGGAATCAACCTAAATGCCCATCAAGGATAGACTGCATAAATAACATGTGATACATATACACCATGGAATACTATGCAGCCATAAAAAGGAATGAGATCATGTCCTTTGCAGGGACATGGTTGGAGGTTGAAGCCATTATCTTCAACAAACACAGGAAAAGAAAACCAAACATCGCATGTTCTCACTTATGAGTGGGAGCTAAACAATGAGATCACATTGACACAGAGAGGGGAACAACACACACTGAGACCTGTCGAGGGGTAGTGTGGAGGGAGAGAGAGCATTAGGAAAAATAGCTAATGCATATTGGGCTTAATATGTAGGTGATGGGTTGCCAGGTGCAGCAAACCACCATGGCACACATTTACCTATGTAACAAACCTGCACATCCTGCACATGTACCCTGGAAGTTAAAATTAAAATTTAAAAAAGATAAAATGTTTAAAGAAAAAATAATAACAATATATATTAGGTTTCATGACATGTAACAAAAATAACAAAAAGTATAGGAGAAGGAAAATGGAAGTATACTGCTTCAAGTTTCCCTCACAATATGAGAGGTGATACAATATTACCTGTAAGTAGGTAAGTGAAAGCAACTACCTTTAAAATGGTACAATTTATAAGCCAAAAATGAGATAAAAGGGAATCATTAAAAATATCCAATAAATTGAAATGAAGGCAGAGGAAACAAGGAACAAAGAACAGATAAGACAAATAGAAAGCAAATAATTAGACAGTATTTTTAAGCCCAGCTGTATCTGTCACATTAAATGTAAATAGTCTAAATAGCCCCAATTAAAAGGCAGATATTGTCAGGGTGAATTTTAACAAACAAGAATCAACTATATGCTGTTGTATTCCCCTTTATATCTCCAGGGCTTGCACATTACCTGGAATACGGTAGGCACAGATACGTGTTTGTAGAATGAATAAAATAATAAATGAATTATTTAATAATTAATGTTATTAAATAATTATTAATAAGTAATCATATTGTTGGTAATATTTAATAATGTTATTAAATATTATCAATAGTAAATGGATTGTTTAATAATTAATGTCATTAAATAATTAATAATTTTAATAGTAATTGATGTTATTAAATAATCCATTTATTATTTTATTCATTCTACAAATTAATGAATTATTAAATTCAATAAATATCAAATTCACTTATTAAATGAATTCATTATTGGCAAATTATTTGCAATTCATTTATGATTAAATGAATACATTATTGGCAAAATTAGTCTTAGCTTTCTTTGGAAGGGCAACTGCTTGTCATATGCTGTGCTTTTAGGGGTAGTAGGGAGATGTCCTTGCCCCCAAAACATATTCCTAATAGGATTCCTAGAGAAGCCCCTTCTACTTTCTAGGCTCACTTTCCTCATTACAAAAAGGAGGTGTTGGACTGCTTGATTTTTAACATTGGGTCTCTTACTTGAGTGACAAGAAAGGTCAACCTGGGGGACCCTGGGCAAACAGGAGAGCTCTGGAAACTTTGTTTGCTGGGACTCTTAAGACAGGGTCATGAAAAGATTCTGGATGTACAAAGTAGGAATTTTGTCTAGTTCACAATTTCCCCTTATGTTATACTATGGTAAGAGCCTTCTAAAACTCAAATAGACTTTCTAAATATTGAATATTTTTTTATATTTTCATGGGGAATATTGAGAGATTTGTATTTAAAAGTATAATAAAATCTTATTAATTCAAATTAGAACTAATTCTGGACACATTTGCATTATCTGGAAAAAATATTCTGCTGTCTCTTAATGTAAACAAGACAGGAAGTGAGCTACTTAAAAGTGAGCAACTAGTTTTCAAAGCTTTATTCAGAAATTTACTGGTCTGGAAGGGACCTCAGTGACCATCTAACTGGTCTCCACCCTCTGGTCTTGCCCCATGTTATGTGTACCCAAGTGAGCTTTCAGAAACATAATAATAGCTAACATTTATGCAGTACCTTCTGTGTGCTAGAAATTGGACTAGGCACTGTACATAGATTATATCTTTAACCCTTATTACAAGACTATGATTCTGTTATCAGCCTAATTTTACAGATTAGGAAACTGAGGCACAAAGAGGTTAGGTTCCCAAGGTCACACAGTTAGCAGCTGAGCCAGGACTGAATCCCAGAAAATTGTGCTCCATAGTGCATGCTTTTAGTTACTCCCCCGTGCAATCTCCCATTACAGAGCTAACCAACTGATTCTCCTGCATTAAATTATCTTTTAAGATTTTCTTTTAAATCCTACCTCCAGTACTGTGTCTTTTTTTTAAACTTTTATTTTAGGTTCAGGGGTACATGTGTGTAACAATACCTTACATTGTTACATAGGTAAACTCATGTCATGGGGTTTTGTTGTACAGATTAGTTCATCACCCAGGTATTAAGCCCGTACCCAATAGTTACATTTTCTGCTCATCTCCCTCCTCCCACCTTCCTCCCTCAAGTAGACCACAGTGTCTGTTGTTTCCTTCTTTGTGTTCATAAGTTCTTATCATGTAGTTCCCACTTATAAGTGAGAACATGCAGTATTTGGTTTTCTATTCCTGCATTAGTTTGCTAAGGATAACAGCCTCCAGCTCCAACCGTGTTCCTGCAAAAGATGTGATCTCATTCTTTTTTATGGCTGCATAGTATTCCACAGTGTCTATGTACCATGTTTTCTTTATCCAATCTGTCACTGATGGGCATTTAGGTTGATTCCATGTCTTTGATATTGTGAATAGTACTGCAATGAAAATTCATGTACATGAGTCTTTATGGTAGAATGATTTATATCCTTCTGGGTATATACCCACCCAGAGCAGCTGCTGCCATCACACCAGCTGCAGTAGAGAGGCATGAGTGGTAATGGCAGGAGCAGCTGTGGGAGCAAAAGTGGCAGTCCCCAAGGCCATCAACTGCACCACCTCCACCCTTGCATGGCCAGGCAGGACCCATTCCCAGACCCAGAGCCTCTGCTGCAGCCTCAACCTTGCTCCCGGCACCGTCCTGCGGTCCCACAAGTGTTGGGTTTGTTTGTGACACCATCTGCACCTCACCTGCTGCCCTTGGAGCCACTGTGATGCAGCCAGGCTGAGTCACCCACCAGTAGGGGAACAGCATGGCCGGGCACAGAGGGGTGGGCAGAGAGGGGCCCCAAGGCGGAGCTGGGCCTGGGATGGTGCCATGCTCCACGGAGCCAGCAGGAGCTGGAAGCAGACAGGATCCCTGCCTTCCTGGGCATGGCTGCAGTCGCCCAAGTTGCAGCTGCAGACCCAGGCATCTCTGGATTCTTGGGGGCCCAGGAAGGCCCCACATTACCCCTTCAGGCTTGGAGGTATCTGCTCCCACTACCTGGCCTCTCCCCATTGTCAGTACCCACTCCAATCACAGAGCAAAGTTGAGGCCGAGCCCTGGTACTGTTGCAACCTTCCTGGATGTGCGTATGCTTGGGGCAGCACTGAAATGCCAGCCCCTTCCAGATTTTGGGCATCCACAAGCATGGGAAGAAGGCTGAGGGGGCGCTGAAGGCAGCTCAGCACTGGCCTGCAGGTGCCCCTTGGCACAAACAGCCTGGGCACCATGAAGAGTGGCAGGAGCAGACAGGCTCCTGGGCAGCAGGGGGTGGTTCCCCAGTGAAGCTCCACCTTCAAGACAGGAAGGGCCTGAAGCCTGGGGGGCCAGGCTGCCAGTCCTGCCAACCAGAGTGGAAACTTGTCGTGCCTTTTCTGGGCCTGCCCATGGCTGCCCATGGACCAGTTAGTGTGCACTTCCTCCCATCTGAGGCCCAGAAAAGCCCCAGACTCAGTCAGACTCAAGAAGATGGCAGGACAACCAGCTGCAGAGAGAAACTATCCTCTCTGCTGAGAGCTGGACACTTCTTGGGATGACCTGCTTAGCAGAAAGGAGCTACCCTCTCTGCTGAGAGCTGAAGAAATGATGAGATGACTAGCTGCAAAGAGAAAGAGGAGCTACCCTCTCTGCTGAGAGCTGAACACTTGTCAGGTCACCCTGGCTATGGAGAGGAGTGGCCCACTGCAGGTCTCCTCTGAGCTGTCCTATTGCTCAATGAAGCTCCTCTTCATCTTGCTCACCCTCCACTTGTCTGTATACCTCATTCTTCCTGGATGCAGGACAAGAACAGGGGACCTACTGAATGGCAGGACTAAAAGAGCTGTAACACAAACCGGGCTGAAACATGCCCCTTGCTCGCCACGTTTTTGGTGACAAGAAGAAGAGAAGAGCTGTGCCCCTTTGGAAATCCCAGACCTATGAGCTCCCCAACCCAGGACTGTGACTCCCTCTTTGGGGTCATGTGGGTCCTGGTGTCTCCAAGCTTCTGGGCACCACCGCGTTGCCTGCTGTCAGCTGTGGAAGCTGCTTATGGTACACCTGGTCCAGCCACAGCCTCGCAGGTATCTGGCACACATGCCAGTGCCTGGAGCTGCCCACCCCACTGCAGCTCGCATGCCTGGCTATGCGCAATGGCCAGACACCACTCTCACTCACACCCCTCACCACTCTGCACCAGGCTTGCCCTTGGAGACATGAGATCCAGGCCAGTAGTGGAAGCCAAGTGCAGCTTGCCAAGGCCAAGTGAGCAGAATGACCCAGTAGGCCAGAGCAAAACTTGGGCAAAGGCACCACTGACCACAGAGGCTTCTGGCTGGTGAAACGACACACCAAAGACCCCATAACACCAGTAATGAGATTGCTGAGTCAAATGGTATTTCTGCTTTTATCTCTTTGAGGAATCACCACACTGTCTTTCACAAAGGTTGAACTAATTTACACTCCCACCAACAGTGCATAAGCATTCCCTCTTCTCCACAACCTCACCAGCATCTGCTATTTTTGGACTTTTAGTAGCCATTCTGACTGATGTGACATGGTATCTCATTGTGGTTTTGACTTGCATTTCTCTAATGATCAGTGATATTGACTTTTTGGCATATGCTTGTTGGCCACATGTATGTCTTTAGAAAAGTGTCTGTTCATGTCCTTTGCCCGCTTTTTAATGGGGTTGTTTTTCTCTTGTAAATTTGTTTAAGCTCCCTATAGATGCTGGATATTAGACCTTTGTCAGATGCATAGTGTACAAATATTTTCTCCCATTCTGTAGATTGTCTGTCGACTCTGTTGATAGTTTCTTTTGCTGTGCAGAAGCTCTTAAGTTTAATTAGACCCCACTTTTCAATTTTGGCTTTTGTTTTGATTGCTTTTGGTGTAGAGCAGGGGTCCAGCTTCAATCTTCTGCCTATGACTAGCCATTTATCCCAGCATCATTCACTGAATAGAGAGTTGATATGGTTTGGCTCTATATCCCCACCCAAATCTCATGTCGAATTGTAATCCTCACTTGTCAAGGGAGGGACCTAGTGGGAGGTGATTGGATCATGGGGGCAGATTTCCCCCTTGCTCTTCTTATGATAGTGAGTTCTCACAAGATTTGGTTGTTTAAAAGTGTGTAGCACTTCCCCCTTTGCTCTCTCTCTCTCTCTCCTTCTCCACCATGGTAAGATGTGCTTGCTTCCCCTTCACCTTGTGCCATGATTGTAAGTTTCCTGAGGCCTCCCAGTCATTCCTTCTGTTAAGCCTGTGGAGCTGTGAGTCAATTAAACCTCTTTTCTTTATAAATTATCCAGTCTCAGGTAGTTCTTTATAGTAGTGTGAAAACAGACTTATACAGGAGTCTTTTTCCCATTTATTGTATTTGTCAGCTTTGTCGAAAATCAGGTGGTCGTAGGTGTGTGACCTTATTTCTCGGCTCTCTATTCTGTTCCATTGGTCTATGTGCCTGTTTTTTTTACTAGTACCATGCTGTTTTGGTTATTGTAGGATTGTGTCTTTAATGTTCCCCTTCCTGGGAGCTCTGTGCCCCAAGTTTCCAAGTGGCTAGCTCTTTCCACTATCCAGGCCTCTTCTCAAATATTACCTTATCCTATTACACTTTGCTGTCCCCTCACCCCCATTCCACCCAACCACCCACAGCCCCAGGCCCTTTTCTTACACAAGGTCTTTGTTTATTTCCTTCAGGCACATAATTACTGTCTGAAATCAACCTGTTATTGTTGCCCCATTTATTAGCCACCTCCCCCTCTGAAATGCTCCACAGGGCCAGACCCTTGCCTGATTTTTCATGGCTATATTCTTAGTGCCCACAATAGTGCTTGACACAAACCAAGTGCAAGATATTTATTCGTTGGATGAATATATAAATAAACAAATGAATTCCTATATCCCCAGCCCTAGCATAGTGCCTAGCACGTGATGGTTTCCAATAAACGCTTTTTAAAGAACAAGTGAATGCAGAAAGTCTAACTACCTCAGAAGACATCCCAAATCAGGTGTGAAGTTAATCTTTGATTTGTCTGTGAAACAAGTCTTGCTGAACTATTTGAAAAAGTCAGTAAGATGGTTAAAGAAATGTTTGTCCTGTTTAAAGAAGCACATCATTTCTGGCCATTTCTATTCACAAATTCATTGCCCTGGAAGCAGCTTCAGTGGTCATATAGGACCAGAGCCCTCTTTAAAAATGAGAAAACTGAGATAGAGTGAGGGGAAAAAAAGATGCATGCAAAATGGTACACTGAGTCACTTAATCCGTTTTCTGTTGCTTATGACAAAACATCTGAAAGTAGGTAATTTATAAAGAAAATGAATTTATTCCTTAGCATTATAGAAGCTGAGAAATCCAAGATCAAGGGGCTGCATCTGGTGAGGGCCTTCTTGCTGGTGCAGGCTCTCTGCAGAGTCCCAAGGAGGCACAGGGCATCACATGGCAAGGAGGCTGAGATGCTAGCTCAGGTCTCTCTTTCTCTTTTTAGAAAGCCACCAGTGTTGCTCCCATGGTAACTCATTAATCCATGACCCAATCACCCATTCACCTCTTGAAGGCCCCACTTCTCAATTCTGCAACATCGAAGATTAAGTTTCAACATGAGTTTTGGAGAGGACAGACCTTCAAACCATAGCAGTCACAAACAGATCTGAGACAAGAAACTAACTCTCCTGTTTCCTTCCTATTTATTTCTGAAGTTGTGAGGAGGTGCTCTCACAACCTGTTTGTGGGCACATAAATTGACATAACTGTACTTGAAAACATTCTGATTACAATAATCATAACAATTTCAAAAACAATAATAGTAGCTTCTACTACAGTATGATAAGGCTTTAAATTCTCAGAACAACCCTAGGAGGTGGGTATCATTGTTATCCCCATTTTACAGGTGAGAAAACTGAGGCCCAGAGAGGTGATGTGTTCTGCCAGTGGTCACATCATTTACAGATGGTAATGTCAAGGTTGGAACCCAGGCAGTCTGGCAATGGGACATCAAAAGCATTTGATTTGATGGAGCCACTTCTAGAAAATTCACCTAAGAAAAATATTATGATGTGGGTGACAACACAGTTTAAATGAATGACACTGTCTTCCTAAGAACACAGACCAGGGCTTCTGTCTGCTCTCAGTCCTCTGATGTGGGCATCACAGATGTGATTTGCCCCTTGCTTTGAGACTCAGCACTTCAAGACACTGAGAATCTTGCTTCTCTCAGAGTTGGGGCCAAAGACCCCTCTCCCAGATCCCACAGCAGTTGGGCCCCAGTCCTCAGCCTCAAAGTGATGCGACATCCTGTCCACCAGCCAAGCAGTTTGTCGTAGATCAAAAGCAACTTGTTCAACTCCAGGCTGAATTGCCCTGGATCACTCATTCATAACATGGCTCTCACTATCTGTTGGAAATTGAGATGCAGACACCCAAAAGTGCAAGAAAGGGTGGTGTGAGGAGGTGTATTTCTTTAGCCTAAAAGGATCTGTTTTGCAGGCAAGCAATGGATGACAAACGGAAAAGCCAGCAAGGCTAAAATGACAAAAATGCTTGTAAGAGGATGTGACAGCCTCAGCACTTAATGGGAGGATGCCAGGTATGTGGAGGACACAGGGCCAAACCCCTGCTCCTCCGTTCTCCCTAAAACACAGGTGCATGTCAGCAGTGCACGAAAACATTTCCCAGCAGGAGGGTAGAGTATTGGTCTTCTCTTCTTTACTCAGCTGGTTTTACTTTTTGGGACATTAAGCAGGCTTCTAAATGTGAGTTTCCCAGCATTTCTCCATCCTATGGTTTCAACTGAATATTATGTATCTCTCATATTTGTATTTTTTCCCTTTTCCTACAACCTTAAAAGTCAAGTAGGTCTTTTCTAGAAGCACTGAACTGAGATAAAGATTGTGTGGATAATTTTGTCCCATTTAAAGGTAACCTAAAGTGAACAGGAATAAGCAAATCCACCTGGAGCTCATCACCTCCTCAGAGGCAGCCCTGGGAACTCAGTCACTGTGGGAATTCATGCATCCACCAGGGCCTGGCTTCCAGAAGTGAGTTCCCACATTAACCCTGATCCAAGGCCAGTTACCAGTGAAAGACTCTGATTTCCTGGAATATTGAAGAGTCTTGTGGGAAGAACGGGGAGGCCCCTTCATTCCTTGGAATAAGATTCCAGTGACAGATCCTCTGTGGCAACACCTTGGGTTTCACCCACAGACTCCTTGGGGCCACCTGAAAAGACTCCAGGCTTTGAACAGGTCATCAGCAGGTTGTTAAAATCAGCTGACAGATGTTCAATAGAAACTTAATAACTTCTAATGCAGAGCCCCCAAGGCTGCTTAAATATTTAAAAGTACTACAATTCATCACTTTAAAGGCCAGTTAGGGCTGCACAGAGATGCCAGTCTCCTAGGATCTTCATTACTGGTATTTTAGCTATTATAGCATCTTGCAAAAGCCTAAGGACTGTGTAAATATTCATAATACTGTTTTTAAATTATTGAACACCTACTAGGTACCATGAACTATGTGATGAACCATACATACATGATGTCATTTTTATCTCCAAAGTAACTCAGAGGCAGATGATGTTAACCATTTTATACATGAGAAAATGGAGATTTATGGAGGCTGAGTGATCTGCCCAAGGTCACATAGCAAGAAATTGGCAGAGTCAGGATCTAAACTCATGTGTTAGATTCTAAAACCCACACTTTTGACTTTCATTTTGGTCATAGTAGAGTAACTGGTATTGTGTCTACTCCATCTCCACCCCATTAAAAAATGAAAAAATTGGCAAGACACATGAAACAGCTATTTCAGACATTGAACAGCAAATCTTAAAGAACTCTGACTGCTAAGAGAAGGTAAACAAATGAAGTGAGCCCATTAAGCACAACAGCTTTCAACCTGGAGGCACTTTTTAGACCTCAGCACAGGAAAGGGTAACAACAGAAGTAGAAAATGGAAGCTTCACTGAGTTGGCAGGGAAGACCTGAGTTTGGGGAGACAGAGGTGGCTTGAATCTGCAGGGAAGAATGGCAGAGAAGTCGCCATATGTATAAAGAACTCTAGGAAGCTGCATAGAGAGCCACGCGCTGTGGCTCATGCCTGTAATCCCAGCACTTTGGGTGGATCACGAGGTCAGGAGTTCGAGGCCAGCCTGACCAGCATGGTGAAACCCCATCTCTACTAAAAATACAAAAATCAGCTGGGCTTGGTTGTGTGTGCCTGTAATCCCAGCTACTCAGGAGGCTGAGGCAGCAGAATCGCTTGAACTCGGGAGGCGGAGGTTGCAGTGAGCCAAGATTGTGCACTCCAGCCTGGGCAACAGAGTGAGACTCTGTCAAGAAAGAAAGAGAGAGAGAGAGACAGAGGGAAGGAAGGAAGAAAAGAAGGAAGGAGAAAAAGCAAGCTGCATAGAGGTCCTCTTGTCTCTGTTGCTGAATACAAAGCTGTGTGGGCATAGAGTGAAAGCTCATAAGACCAGGCAAAGAATCACCAAAAAGCACAAATCTCAGAACTCACACATGGCTGTGCAACACTTGAATTCTGATCATCCAGAATGGAGACACCTCATTGAACATTTGGATAATAAGTAGAGACTGTTAAGGATCCTGCCTTATAAGGGAAGCCCTAGCTCAGAGGCTACCCTAGACTCATCATAACAAAGCTAGAAAACAAGCTCCAATCCTCTTTAAAGGAAGAAAACAAAATCCAGAAACTTCAGAAGAAAACATTCAAAAGTCCAGATGCAATCATAAGTTATCAGACATGCTAAGAAACATAAAAATGTGACCCAAAACAAATAGAAAAAAAAAATAGTCAATATAAACCAGCCAAGAAATAACAGATATAGGTCAGGTGCAGTGGCTCATGCCTGCAATCCCAGCACTTTGGGAGGCCAAGGTGGGCTGATCACCCGATGTCAGGAGTTCAAGATCAGCCTGGTCAACATGGTGAAACCCCGTCTCTACTAAAAATATCAAAAATAGCTGGGCATGGTGGTGCACGCCTGGAATCCCAGCTACTCGGGAGGCTGAGGCAGGAGAATTGCTTGAGCCCAGGAGGCAGAAGTTGCAGTGAGCCAAGATCATGCCATTGAACTCCAGCCTGGGCAACAAGAGTGAAACTCTGTCTCAAAAAAACAAAAACAGACAAACAAAAAAGACAGATATCATGAAATTAGCAACCTGGGGTTTCAGAATGGCTTACATATGTTTCCAGACTTAAAGTAAACCACTACATAATAAGTAGAGAAATGAAACATATTGTGGAGAACTCAAGGGAAGCAAAATGGAAAATTTACTAAAGGGGAGTAGCAGCAAAATAAACACTCCAGAAGAAAGCTTAGTAAACTGAAATACATAGCAATAAAAACTATCCAAACTGAAGCACCCAGAGAAGAAAGACTTAAAAGAAAAAAGAATACAGCATCAGGTCCAGGTGCAGTGGCTCACACCTGTAATCCCAGCACTTTGGGATGCTGAGGAGGGCAAATCACTTGAGGTCAGGAGTTCAAGACCAGCTTGGCCAACATGATGAAACCCCATCTCTATTAAAAATACAAAAATTAGCCAGGCATGGTGACGTGCACCTGTAGTCCCAGCTACTTGGGAGGCTGAGGCAGGAGAATCGCTTGAGCCAGGGAGGCAGAAGTCGCAGTGAGCTGAGATCACACCACTGCACTTCAGCCTGGATGGCAGAGCAAGGCTCCATCTCAAAAAACAAAAAACAAACAAACAAAAAATAGAGCATTAATAACCTTTGGAACAATATTGAGTGGTCTAACATATGTAAAATTGGAGTCCCAAAAAGGTGAGAGGGTAGAGAAAAAAAAATTTAATAGCTGAATTTTCTCCAAATTTTATGAAAATTATAAATACACAGATTCTAATATCTCAACCAACCCCAAACAAAATAAATACAAACACAAAAACCATACTAAAGCACATTGATAAATTGCTGAGAAAAACAATGAAAAAGTGAAAAATTTAATGTAGACAGAGTAAAAAGTCATATTACATACAGGGGACCAAAGATAAGAATAACTATAAACTTCATGCTAGAAACAGTGCAAAAAAACTTGGAATAGCATCTTTGTAGTGCCAAAAGACAGGGGAGGGAAGGTCCACTTAGAATTCTATCTCCAGAGAAAGTATCTTTGGAACATGAAGGCAAAATAAAACTTTTTTCAGACAAATAAAAACTAAGCAACTTTTACTATCAAACCAGCACTACAGGAAATGTTAAAGAAAGTGCTTCAGGTTGAAGGAACATGGTAACAGATGAAAACTAAGATTTAGCAAATGAATGAACAGCACTGAAAATGGTAAATATATGAATACATTTAAAAGGTAATATTCTCATTTTTAAGATTTCCTTAAAAGAAAACCACTTAAAGCCAAAATAATGACAGTGTATTTTAGGACCTATAACACTTGTAGAACGAAAAGGTAGGAAAGAAATAGCACAAAGGGCGAGATGGGGAAAATGAAAGTGCAGTAGCCATCCCTTATCTGAGTGGTGTGTGTTCCAAGACCCCTAGTGGATGCTTGAAACTGCAGATAGTACCAAACCTTATATGTTTATCACGTTTTTTTCTTACACATACATAACTATGATAAGGTTTAATTTATAAATTAGGCACAGTAAGAGATTAATAACAATAATAAAATAGAACAGTTATAACAATATGCCAAGATCACTACTCTTGTGCTTTGGGGCCATTATTAATTAAAATAAGGGTTCCTTGAACACAAGCCCTATGATACTGCAACAGTCAATCTGATAACTGAAAAGGCTACTAAGTGACTAAAAGGTGGGTTGCATATTCCATATGGGTACACTGAACAAACACAACCTGAGTGAGATGGAGCAGGATGGTGAGAGATTTCATCATGCTACTCAGAACAGTGGACAATTTAAAATCTGCAAATTGTTTATTTCTGAAATACTCCACTTAATATTTTTGGGCTGCAGCTGACCAAGGGTAACTGAAACTGCAGAAAGTGAAACCTCAGATAAGGAGGGACTACTGCACACTGTTGTAAGGTTCTTACATTATATGCGATATGTTATAACATCGTTTGAGGATACAGTGTGCTATGTTAAAGTTGCATATTGTAAAACACAGAAGAACCCCTAAAAGATAAATCAAAGAAGTGGCATAACTGTTAAGACAATAGAGAATATATAATGTTAAAAAATGCATGCTGTATTCAAGAAGTAGCAAGAAAAAAGAGAATGGAACAAGTAGAAAATTAATATTACTTAACAGATACTCTCAAAAGACTTAGATCTAACCATATTGTTGTTTACATTAAGTGCAAATTATCTAAACATTCAAATTAAAAAGCAGAGATTGTCAGACTGGATTTAAAAAGAGACAACACTATGCTGTCTATAAGAAACTTGCTCACTTTATGTATGAAAGACACTAGTTAAAAGAAAAGGATGGGAGAAGATATACCATGCAAACACTAATCATAAGAAAACTAGAGCAGTTATATTAACATCAGCAAAGTAGACTTCAGGACAAGAATGTTAAATCAAGAAGGACATTTCATGATAAAACAGCCAATTTTTCTATAATACATAACACTTCTAAATCACCAAATAATGGAGCTTGAAAATACATGAAGCAGGAACTAATGAAAGCAAAAGAAGTAGACAAGTCCACAATTAAATCAACAAGAATATAGAAACTTGAACCATACCATCTTGAGCATTGATTGATATTAATGGAACACTGTACCCATCAACAGGAGAATACACATTCTTTGCAAGTACACGTGGAACACACACAAAGACAGACCACAAGCTGGACCACAAAACGAGTTTCAAAAAAAAATTTTTTTTAAGCATTAATATTCTACAGGGCATGAACTTTAACCATACATAAGTAAACAAAAAAATCAATAACAAACAGATACCTGAAAGAAAACAACTCACATTCAATAATCCGTGAGCCAAAGTATAATAGAAAGCAGAAGTAAAAATTTTAAAATATTTTGAAGTGAATGACAATGAAAACACAATATATCAAAATTCATAAATTTTATAAGCAACAAAACTGTGCTTAGAGGGAAATTTAACCTTTAATTTCTCAGAAAAGAAGAAAGTGAAAAAAAAATAATGACCTAAGTTTTTCTTTCCTAAGAAAGGAAAAAAATTAATGACTTTTTTTTCTTCTTCTAGCTTTTTACTATAAAAGCTAAAAGAAGAAAACAAAAATTAAACCTCTGTGAAAGTTTTCAGAATCAATATGCAGTCACTAATGTGAAAAAACCCTGACGAAGTCAGAGAAGGCTAAGAAGAGAGGATTCTCACATTTGTATGCCTGTTAACAAAAACTTTCACAAAATACTCTGCAAGAAACACAGTCTTTCACCAAGGCCAATGCAACCTTACACAAAAAATACTTATTCAAGAACATTTGCCCAACAACTGCCTGTCAAGGCTTGAACTGGAATCACCCTTGTTATTGATATTTGTAGTCAAGGATAATTGTTTTTAAAAATTAGGTAATCCTTTTCATTTTTCTTTAAAAACCTTTGTTTTCCTTTACCTTTCTGAGCATACGCACAGTTTACAGTTGCATGCATATTCCCACTGCAATGCTCTATTCTCAAATAAACATCATTTTCTTTTTAGAGAGCCTCTCTCTATGATTTAGTTTAACAAACACAGTGTCAGAAATGGGACCTGAAAAAATATCACTATCAAAATAAATTGGCAATCAGTGTGCAGTACTCACTTGAGCCCTTTGAGCCCCCGACTTCTACAGCTAACCTTTCCTGCCCTGGTGAGTCATCTCCCAAGCCGAGCCTCCCTCTTTTTGGTGGAAGCTCTTGAATTTACTCAGGATTTGATTTGAATAAGGCCACCTTAATAAAGGACTATGCATCCCACCTGGGATGATGAAAAAAACTTTTTGTCTTTTCTGGTAAGTTCTTTCTGGTATAAAGACATATGTCTCTCTGAATACTCTTGATTTCTACAGAATTTACATTCTGTCTGTGAGGCATATCTTTTCTGGTGAATTCGCGTTTAGTCTGCACGCCTAGTTTAATAGTTTGTTTGATCTGCATGTCTGGGTTAAAACTTTTGTGAACACCCGTATCTTGGTTTCTTTTGATTTGGTTTGATTCTTTTCTCTTACCTGTTTCTAAAAATCTTTCAGAAGCAAAAGTAAACATTCTGAATGATGCACACAGAATTACTAATTAAAAGCCACTAGGATGGTTGCCATCATTTAAAACACTGACCTGAACTTCCCACATTCCCTGACAGGATAAATAAGATTTGCTTTGCTTTTGAGAGATTAATAAGAAATGGAATGGGATTCTCAAACATTAAGACATGCCAGGTTTTCTAGGAGTCCAGCTGGCTACATATTATGGCCCATTCTTCTGCACATTTTTAAATTGATGGGCAAATTACATCAAGCAAAATTCAAAAGTCAAGAGATCATTAATTGAACTTAATTTTAAAAAACCTGCAACTATAGAGTTAACATGTAGAGCCTTCTAAGTTCTCTATCTCTCTCTATTTTTTTCTCTGCCTACTTTGACTCTGCTGGCTTTTCTACTGGTGTTGAGATAAAACTCATTGCCTATGGCATTCTGGCCAAGACTTTTTTTTAAGTCTTAAAGGGCTTCCAGATTAATGGCTTTACAAACGGTAACCAACAATCTAGACAGTTTTTGGACATGTAAATGTAGGTTCGCTTGACTAACAATTACTTAGGGTCATAGAATAGTTAACTGAAAGATCAATAGTCTAAACTAAAAGAACTGGATAAATGTTTATAAAAGGTGGGCTTTCAGGTCAAAATGAGGCAGGAGAAGAGGGAATTAGGGTAACCAAGAGTTAAGGCAGAAGCAAAAGAACAGCAGGTGCTGCCAGTTCTAGGCAAGATTAGGCAGCATACAGGCCACATCCTCACTCCTGTGATAACAAGACAGAAGTTTCCAATTCAGCCTCTGATTGACCCCAAGCCAAGTCTCCACTTCAGCCTCTGATTGGTCACAGGTGAAGCCTTTATAAGGTGTAACCAATTGGAGGCCTCTAGGGAGCATCTAGGGTTGTTACCAAGTTCTTTAAGCTTTATAGAAACCCTAATTGTCAGGGTGGGAGGAGGGAGAGCTCTTGAGCTGCTTGTTTAAGCCTGCTCCCACTCTGTGGAGTGTACTTTTGCTTCAATAAATCTGTGCTTTCATTACTCCATTCTTTTGTTGCTTTGTTTGTCTTTCATTGCTTCATTCTTTTGTTGCTTTGTTTGTGTGTTTTGTTCAGTTCTTTGTTCAACACACCAAGAACCTGGACAACTCACAGTCAAGACCCTCCATCCAGTAACAAAAATATTGAGCCCAGAGCAATGATATAAGGTATTTGTCTGACATAAAAATTTGGCTTTGTCTGCCATGCAGGGGCCAAAAAAAATTTGAGAAAAAAAAATCTGCTAAAATACTTCCCCACCCACTTCTGACTAGTCAAGCAAACCAGACTGGAAAAGAAAAGACAGATCCAAAGCTACTTGGAGATGTTATTTTCTTAAGTAAGTCCTAGTTAAAATGTGAACATTTAAAATTTAACCCTAAACGCATTTGAAACAGAAAAGGGAGGGGTCAGGAGTATGAAAGAGGTATTTTTTAAATTAAACTGCCATAGAAACTGCTTTATCCAAAATTTTGGCCCATAGCCTTCAGTAGATTACCTACTGAGGCAAGTAAAGTCTAGCCAATTTTGTTAGAAATATAATTTGGACCCAACTATCTTTGATAAACTGGTGTGCATGTATTGCTATCTCCTGACTAAAATTCTAAAAGGAAAGTGTTAATATCTTTATGTGTGTGTGTGTGTGTGTGTGTGTGTGTATGTATGTTTAGCTGTGTTTATGCATATGTATATGTATTATGTTGTATATTGTGTCTACATGGTAAACTCTAACATAGCCAGAAATCCCTTAAGGAATTCTATTTGTATTGGCTTAGATAAGCGAGCAATCATAACATATATAGCATACCTTTTAATTCACGTTACTTAAGTAAATCTTTAATAAATGAGCTGGTTTTAAAATTATTAGTAAAATAAAAATTGTCAGCATACACTTTTGCCTGGGTTTACTGGTCAGATAGTTTTATATTTCAGATATCTTAAAGTATCAAGTTTTATTACAAAAGATATAAAACTATAAACGCAGCCTAAAAAACAGAATGATTTTTGTTTGTGTATGAGTGTGTGTGTGTGTGTGTGTGTGTGTGTGTGTGTGTGTGTGTGCACGTAGATGAGATGAGGTCTTGCTCTGTTGCTCTGTTGCCCAGGCTGGTCTCAAACTCCTGGCCTCAAGTGATACTCCTGCCTCAGCCTCCCAAAGTGGTGGGATTACAGATGTGAACCACTGTGCCCATCTTGTTTGTGTGAGTTTTGATAAGTAAGACTAGTTTAATGTTGTTCGTTTAATGGAAACAACTATATTTTCTGCATTATTGGCAAAATACTCATATATTTAAGTTTCTTCCTTAGGTGAACACCTGATATTCACAGGCTATAAAAATGGTTAACAGGGAAATAATATGAAAGGGCTCTAACTTTGTCTAATATCTCAGTTTTTATAAGTAATCTAAGTAATCATTTAAAAAATTACATAAATGTAAATGGGATAAACATCTATAAATGAACTTTTCATGTAATTTGAAATCTCAAACTTATGTTATATTAAATTAAATAATAGTACTCCTTAATGCCTGGGTCATTTTTAAATAAGATTTTCAGAACTGAAATAAATAAACATTATAAAAGTGTGTTATTTATGTCTTAAATTTTATAGAAAGACTATATTTGGGTCTATTCGTACATACAAAAATTATGTTATGGGGAAACATGTTTCTAAAAATTATAAAATGGTTCTCATCTATAATATACTGATCTGTGACAGACAATTCAAGATTTCTTGCTTCCTAGATTTTCACTAAAATTTAAAAATACTAAGTATTAAAAGTTTTAATTAATAGAATTCTGTACCAAGAAGTTAAGATGTATTTTTAATAAGAAAGATCTTAAGAAAGGCATAAAAGTGTGGTATTTACCTTAAAAAAGAAAAATTTTTTTTCTAATTTGGAGGTTATTTAATGGTTGTTTCAAAATTTAGGATGTAGGAAGAAAATAGAAACAACATTGAAAGTAACCAGTAAATAGGACAGAGAAATGTGAGGAAAGTTATAGGTAGAAGATGTATTTTTAGTAAGGAAGGTTAAAATAAAAACAAAATAAATAGGTATGAGAAAGAATTTCATGTGGCAAATTATTATCCTAAAGTAAAATGACTGGTAGCTTAAGAAAAAGGAAGTGTAAGACAAAGCAGAAAGTCCAAGTATGTCATCAAAATGTCTGAGCAAGTCAAGAAAGGCTTGCAGAGGATGAATTTAAGAAAGGAATTTAGTGTATGACCAAATTGGCTATAATTAGAATGGAATTATTTATAAGTCTTTCTAAAGATCAAGCTTTGGTATTAAAAATACACTAATACAAAACTAAAATTTTGGGCCACTATATTAGAACAATAAGGTTTTCCTGTAATATTCATTTGCTTTTAGTAAAATTGCAAGAGGTTTTAATTTTTAATTCCGAAATATATTTATTTAACTGCCATTTCCCAAATGGCAAGCAGTTTTTATTGCTGCCACATTTCTTCCTAAAATTTATTTAATTTCCCTCATTTTGGGTTAGAAATGGTGTCTTTTTCATTCAGAATGGTAATTTCACTCTCAAGGTAAAAATTTCCTTTTAAAACTTCTCAGAATCCTATCTCAGTTCAACTTTTGCTGTATATCACTGCACATGATTTGCAGATAATATTTCATTGCTTTCTGTTCTTTACCCTGTTGTAAAGGTGCAAATTTTTGGTTGGCTGGGGTGATAATTTCCTCTTTCAACTTTGTTGTCAGCTCCTGTAACTTGTTCTTTCCTTCAGTTCTAACTGTAACTAAAACATTTATCTTAAAGGCCTAGAAATGTAATGTTTTCATCCATTATAACTTAGTTCTATACACGGCTTTTCTTGATATGTCTGAATTATTTCCCTGTAACCAGGGAACTCCCCATGTTGTTACGAAGAGCCACGTATTGCCCTACTCAAGGTGCTGGTTTTGTTACTTACATTCCTCTATAATGTGGTGTACATTCACAACCCCGGACACACTATTCCTGTGTCTGATTAAATATAATTACTCTTTTCATCAGGTTTGATGACCAGGTTATCTAAATGGGGGCTTCCCGTAAGGAGAAGCAATCAACATTGCAAGAGATTTTTCTTTACCTTTTTGGTAACTGGCCTAAAAAACAAAGAATTTAATTTAATCAAGATAATTTACTGTGGTGTCTTTATTAGGTTTTTTTATTACTTAGGAAAACTGAGCTGTAAAAGAGTTAAGGTTTTTACATCCATGTAACTTTCTGTGTTGCTTTTGATGTCTTTTGATTCCATGATGGTTAAATGAATGACTATTATTTTATAGTGACCTAGATGAATCTGTTTTAATCAAGTGCATTGAAACTTTTGACATCTTTGGCAGGCTTTCCTAGGATCAAAACTCTTTATAAGTCTTTTTGACCTAGAATTAACATTAAGATTTTTCCAGCCGGGCCCCTGGAGAGCATCAAAGAATGTATCTCTCATCTTGTAGAGACATTAAATAATTAGACTTGTTTGGTAAATTACATGGGAAGCATTTTCGAATTATAAGCAATACTAAATCTTCTTTCAGTTATATTTGTGGGTATGTTTTGATATAAATGTTTTTAAAAGTATATAAATTCATAGAAATCTAATATTATTAGCCCTAATTTTATTTATGTTAATTTGTTTAAGTTATATTTGTTTGGGTCTATTATTGATGTGAGTATTCTAAACATTACATGACATTTATAAAAGTCCTGATGGTCCTGATGTGACACTGTCAGTCATGATTCTGTTTGTTATCTTACAATGCTGTACGAAATAGAAATAACTAAATTTTCTTATCAATTATGAAATTTCATCTGATTTTTAACCAAGGCTAGCCTTAAGTTTTTGTCATCCATAGTTATTGTTTTGATTTTCTCTAAGAGCATTTGCAGTCAGATCATGGAAAAAACTCTAACTCCACTCTTGAACACAAATTTCTGATAACATTAAGATCAATGGACTAAATAAAAATTTTCCAGAACTCTGATTTTAAAAATCTGATGGGTTCATAAACCCACTAATCAAGATCAAGTAAAACAAAAAGTAATTACATTAAATTAAGTAACAAGATAATGTTTTTATGACTTTTGTTAAAACATAATTGGTTCTTTACATCAATGTTTCATTTTCCAGATTTCAGGAAATTTTCTCTCTTAAGCTATCTACAGTTTATAGCAATTTGGTAAAGCATACTTTTGTGAACAATGGTGGAAGCATTTGCTTTTTCCCTCTAGTTGATTTTTTCAAAATTCAAAACTATGTGTGAATATTCTTATTTATATGGCAGTATGGTTATTTGCATATGTTCAATAAAAATCTCTTTATAGCAGTATACAATTAGAAACACTGATTTTAATACCAAAGCTTTGACTAAATTATCATATTTGAGAATGTACACAGAATGCCTGATTTCAAGAGTTCCCAGTCGTAGAGTAGTGAGTAAAAATTGTCACTTCCTGACAGGGCCAAAAACCTTAAGACTGTAAGTAAAATCCAAAATCTGCCTTTGTTTGGCTTCATAACCTCAAGAGGTTTTTAAACCTGAGGTTCCTATGTGATCAATGTAGAGAGAAAAAGTGATGTTTCTAATGCAAAACTATAATACACCATGAGGAGTTTCCATGTAACCAGGGTTATAAGATTGTATCCCTGTGCATTGTTTTTAAGTCTTGTTATCTACCAGTAGACTAGAATAAATCCTGAATTCATCTAGATTTATCTGTGCTTTCTTCCATGAACTACTGAAAATGGAAACTGCTCTGTTCCTGAATCTCTATAAGCTGAAACTAAATAAATTTTAAAAAACAAGCCTCATCAACCTACAACATGGGAGAAAATTTTCGCAACCTACTCATCTGACAAAGGGCTAATATCCAGAATCTACAATGAACTCAAACAAATTTACAAGAAAAAAACAAACAACCCCATCAAAAAGTGGGCGAAGGACATGAACAGACACTTCTCAAAAGAAGACATTTATGCAGCCAAAAAACACATGAAGAAATGTTCATCATCACTGGCCATCAGAGAAATGCAAATCAAAACCACTATGAGATATCATCTCACACCAGTTAGAATGGCAATCATTAAAAAGTCAGGAAACAACAGGTGCTGGAGAGGATGCGGAGAAATAGGAACACTTTTACACTGTTGGTGGGACTGTAAACTAGTTCATCCATTGTGGAAGTCAGTGTGGCGATTCCTCAGGGATCTAGAACTAGAAATACCATTTGACCCAGCCATCCCATTACTGGGTATATACCCAAATGAGTATAAATCATGCTGCTATAAAGACACATGCACACGTATGTTTATTGCGGCACTATTCACAATAGCAAAGACTTGGAACCAACCCAAATGTCCAACAATGATAGACTGGATTAAGAAAATGTGGCACATATACACCATGGAATACTATGCAGCCATAAAAAATGATGAGTTCATATCCTTTGTAGGGACATGGATGAAAATGGAAACCATCATTCTCAGTAAACTATCGCAAGAACAAAAAACCAAACACCGCATATTCTCACTCATAGGTGGGAATTGAACAATGAGATCACATGGACACAGGAAGGGGAATATCACACTCTGGGGACTGTGGTGGGGTCGGGGGAGGGGGGAGGGACAGCATTGGGAGATATACCTAATGCTAGATGACACATTAGTGGGTGCAGCGCACCAGCATGGCACATGTATACATATGTAACTAACCTGCACAATGTGCACATGTACCCTAAAACTTAGAGTATAATAAAAAAAAATAATAAATCAATAAAAAAATAAATAAATAAATAAATAAATAAATAAATAAAAAAAACAAGCCTCATGCCTGATATATGGGTCACATGAAAAGTTCACCTAATCACCCAAGGTTATGACCAGAGACATTCAAATCACAAACTAGGATGAGAAGTTGACATTTTCACACTGTAGACAGCTTTTCCCAAGATGTTGGAACAAGACTCCATATCATAATGAGATTATTACCCCTTTTAACACTACCTTTCCCACTTGGCAGGATAGTGGTATAATTGCAGTTTCACAGTCAGTAGCTTCTGCTGGTCACTCGACAGAACCTGACCTAAGAGATCCTTTAGTGTCTATTGGTTAAATAAGAAAATGTCTGTGATGTTGCTAATACTACCTGCTGTTCCTATGTAAATTCCTCTGGGAAAGTTGAGACCTATATATACAAAATAAGAAAAAAAGGCCACATGGTTAATAACAGGTTTCAACTAATTCCCCATGGTCATTTGATTTATTTAATTGGTTGCCTTTAAGCCTAAGTTTATGGTTCAAAACCTTTATGTGAATTACAATATTGCATAATTACATATTAATTTTACTTTTTATTTTCCCTTTTTAAAACCTTGTATCTGTTACTTGTTCAATTTTTGCAGAAGTACAACTTCTAACAGAATACTACTGGTACAACACTTTGAAACGAGAGCAAAAGACTATGGAACAGACAGAACCGAACTTAATCATGGACTCCAGACAGACTTAGCCAGAGAACCACTCCCTTCAAACTTTCCTTGTTGCTCAAATGTGGCTAAAAGAATCTTGACACAGACTCCTAGTGGCCAAATCACTCCTGCCAATTTGGGAGGAGACCAGCAAATGGGACAGGCCCATCCCAGCACCAAGGGACATCAAAACCTAACTACAGGATGAATGATCAGTGATACTTGTAGAGAAAGATCTTAACCAAAAGGAAGAAATGTGAAAGCTGTCAGAATGAACATGGAATCACTAGTGTCTAAAAAAAAACTGACAAACCGAGCTGGGAAAAGCTAAGAAGAGAGGTTTCTCACACTTGGATGCCTAATAACAAAGATTTTCACAAGAGACTGCAAAAACCACAACTTTGCACAAAGGCCATCACAGCTTAACATAAAAAATACTTCTGCAAGGACATCTGCCCAGCAACTGCCTTTCTAACCTTTGACTGGCACCACCTTTGTGATTGATCTTTGCAAATTTTTGTATCCTCAAGTGAGTCTTAGCTGCGGATGACAATGTCAGCACCGATCCTCTGTGAGATGCTCCTCTCTGCATTTGCCAGGATGGGGAAAGCTGAGGGCGGGGGAGGGGGCGCGTGGGACAATCTAGGCAAAGCAATGGCATGGGTGAAGGCAGAGGTGTGGCAGGTGAAGGGTGGAAGTGGGGCGGTAAGCAGCTCTGTGGGATGGAAGCAGAATGTATGGGGTAGGGATGGAGAGGGAGGGACGCAATGTGAGGAGAGGCTGGCAAAAAGCAGACTGCAAACTCCAGGGTGAAGAGTTTTAAATGGGTTCCAAAGGCCAGAGGTGTCACCAAGGTGCCTGCCCTGAGATGCCTCAGAAGCCACTGCAGGAGGGTGGGGAGGGCCCGGCCGAGTTGGCTGCTTCCCATCTCAACCAGAGAAGCTCGGCTGCTACTGTTTTAGATTTGGGGGACCTATGTTAGATCCTGTTTGAGGAAAAAAGGGAATGATCCTTAATAATGATACAAAAATGTGTATTAAGCCAGTTAATAAATTACACCTAAAGTCTCTTCTGGCCAGAGTCTAGAGTGTCAGCATGCAAGATGCAGGCTGAGGACACTGCTGTCCTTCACCAAATCTCCTGGGCATAGAGGTATGTCCCCTGTGTGGAGGGCTCTGGGGGTGACGGGGTAGGGCAGGGGCACAGAGCACTGTGGACTGCTGGTCTGAATCTCACCGCCCTCCCAACATCCTACTGGATTATGCTGTTTTAGGGAACAAGAGACAGGGCAGTGTCTTCACCATTCCTGCGTTCCTTTCAGAGCCCAGTACCAGCCTGGGACACAGAAGGTTCAACAGGGACGCAAACATGACCATATCACCGGATGAGGCTTTGGATGGGGTTCAGTATCCCGTTGCTATGTGAGGACGGTGTTTTCCTTCTCAGAGGCCCTGGGACCTCCCCTGCTGCCTCCTTAGCCACGTACACTGGGCAGAGTGCCCAAGGACAGGGGCACTGAATCTCCCCCATGCAAGTAAACATGTTGGCAGTGCCAACTCACTGCAAGAGGCTGGGCCCCCCTAACAGGGCGCTTGCCCACAACTGGGAATGTCTTTAACACCTATTGATGGCTTTTCCCCCATTGCTCTGTGCCAAAGTTGAAACAGTAAAAGGCATTGATTTCCCAGGACCTTGATCTTGGCCTCCCAGCTCAGTCAAGGCAGGGAAGAGGTGGGTTGTGGGGAACGGAGCAAGATGGGTTTTACATGAAATTATAATTCTCGCTCTCCAGGTAGCGTTTCTTCTATGCCACCACGACAGATGGCTCACTGAGAAATGGCAGATTTGTATGTCCTCAAAAGATCAATGATGCTTCTCAGAACCTCTCTGCCCATCCACTGGGGTGGGTAAGCCTGGTGAGAAGCCTGCAAAGACCCAGCTAAAATTAGACAGCTACTGACAGACACCCGGTTCACAACCACAGAGCATCGATTACAAAAGTGGTGCTGGGCTGAAGGGCTTTAATCAGCCCCTGTGTTCTGTCTTTGTGGATAAGGTACTTTTGTAATGAAGTGGCTCCCTCTCTGGGGAAACGGAGCTATCTGGGGCAGGTTCAGGACTCAGCAGAGTGCGGAGGTAGGGTGGGGTAATCAGTGATGGACAGCTCTGTGGTCTGAATACTCATGGACAGCACCTGGGGACTTATTAGAAATGCAGACTCAGCCCAGGTGATCAGAAGCTGGAGTTTAATAAAGTCCCCAGGGTTTCTGGGCCTGCAGAGCATCAGTCCACATCCACATCTGGCTAGATCCACTCTCTCTCCCACTTCCCCTTCCTTCCCCCTCTCTCCTCCTCTCTCCTTCCTCCCACATTCGACCAGCCAGGCCATCTTCTCCAGGCTCCCTCATCCCCTAGGGCCTCTGCCTGGGCACCTGCCAGCACTTTGCTCTCTCCAGCCCTCATATTCTGCCCACCGTCAGGACACAACCCCTCTTGGGACCCTCCCCAGTTCCCAGCAGTCTGTGGCCCCTGTCTGCCCTATAGTGTCTCATTTTGACCTTGTAGATTTTCTGATAGTTTTAAGAGACACCACGATTCAGGGAGAGGAGGACCCATCAGCTCTAGAACCAGAGAGATCTATGTTTTCATCCGGATACACTCTCCAAGCTCTGAGACCTTGGGCAAGTCATTCCAGTGCTCTGAGCCTCAGTCTCAGATAATTCTACCTTCCCAGCTACTGGGATTATATCAGGGGTGGGGGGTATAAATTGTGAGCAACTGAGACTAGGCCAGAATGTGTGGGGAGAAGGACAGACAGGAGAGGTTGGGGCAGTGTCCTTTTGTGCCTTAGTAGTCATTGGTGCCACTCTCAAAATATTTCCAACCTTGCCCTCTTCTGGGCACATGGCAGGATGGCATCCTGGTGCTCTGGCTGGGCATGTCCATGGGACTGATGCTGGCCAGTGAATCATGAGCAGGAATGTTACTGTTACTTCCAGATCTAGCATTTGATTACTGGAGTGAGACCTTCCAGAGCTCATGTCCCTCTGGCATGCATGTGAGACTGTGGCTGCTCTGTTACCCATGGCCCCTGGGTGACCATAATGGGGCAGCCTCCTCCACTGGCCCACGGTGAACAGGCAGCATAAGCAAGAAATGGCCCTTTGTTGTTTAAGCCACTACCACGGTCACTAAAGCAGAGCCTCGCCCATCTGACAGAGGCCATACCCAGGGCTGGGAAAGCTGCACAGTTATGGAACTCAGTGCACTGGTGCCCCAGTGATGCTGGGACAGACAGGGATGGGCAAGGGATGGCAGTGGGTCTCTACTCAAGCATCATGCACCTGCTATGTGCCAAGCCCTGCAAAGGGCACTGGGACACAGGAATGAATGACACAGACATTGCCCTTGAGGGGTTCATAGGCAGTGGTAAAATCAGCCTCTGGGGAATCCAACAAGAACCTGCATGTGTCAAATGGACTTCATGAGCTGTAATAGGCTACAGAGCCTCAGGGAGAGGACAGCGTAGGGGTGAGGAGCTGTGTGCTCTGGGACTGGGCAGCCTGCACTCAAATCACAGCACTGCTGCTAATGGCAGTGTAACCTGGAGCAAATTGTTTAACTCCTCTGTGCCTCAATGTTCTCATCTATGAAATAGGGATAATAACAGGCCTGCCTCATAGGTGTGTTGTGAAACTGCAATGTAACACAGGCAAAGCTCACAGAGTACCTGACATAGCAAGAGCTTAACGATGTTCAACCAAAGCCTGTTGTCAAAGCTCCTCTGACTTCTTCTGGGTCTCCTGGCCAGGGCCCAATCCCAACTCCACCACTGAATTGCAAAGCAGCACTGGGCAAGTCAGCCCACTGGTCTGTGCCTCAGCTTCCTGATCTGTACATGGGGATAATAGCAACCTGCCAAACTCAGGTCTGGTACAAAGAAGGGGCTCGGCAGGTGGTGGGGAGATTGTCTTGGGTGGGGTCAGGATTTGAACCCAGGTCCCTCTGAGTAGCTGCCTGTGGTCCCACAGCAGACACCACACTGTTACTTTCTTCCTGAAACTTCTGCGGGGATGCATCATTATTCAGGTGGGAAGGTGGCCAGGACATTTGGGTTTCTGTGTGTTGAGTAATGTCCTCACAGGGCAGCCGACTCCAACTCGGGCAGAGACTGCAATGAAAAGCCGTGCTCACCCACCAACTTCCTGCCCTATAAAACATGAATGCCAATTCTGCGCTTTCCCTGTGCCAACCACAGTGCCAGAGGCTGTCATTTGATTTTCGTGAAAACTCTAACATGGAGAAACGGTCTTGAAAATCAAAACCAGATGAGGACACAGGCATGGAGGAGTTAGGTAACTTGTACAAGGGTCCGTGGAGGCAGAGCTGAGATACATGACATACCTGCAGAAAGCCCTGGGTGCTTGGGCCCCGGCTGCCTGGCTGGCTCCACCTGCTTCCTACCTGCCTTGACATTGAGCAAGTACCTGATCCTGGCACACAGTTTGTCACAGCTGATCCTTCCATTTGTTTCCAAGCTCCCCTGGAAATGTTGGGTTCTGAAAAACACCAGCTCTCTGTTGTCAGAGACTTGGGCTCAAGTCCTGGCACTGGCTCTTAGCAGCAATGAGACCTTGGGGGACTTAACCCTCCCTGAGCCTCCACTTCCTTATCTGCAAAATGGGATAAAGAAAGCTCCATTGCACTTTGATGGTTAAGAGAGAGGACTCATTTAAAAATGCTTCACACAGGGTCAGGCATGTGGTTGACTCTCTATAAGTGTTCCTTCCTGCCTCCTTTGGCCCAGACTCCACATCCCATACCTGCAGCCCTCCCCCAGATGGTGGTAATGGACCTTGGAGTGAAAAAGGCCGGCCCTAGGCCCTAGGGATATCATAGTGGAGCTGAAGAATTAAGAGAGAATGCAAGAGAGAAAATAAGGAGCACTAACTATGTGTCAGGATGGTGATAAGCACTTAACATGTATCTCATTTAATGTTCACAATGGTCCAACAAGATATATTCTATTATTGTGCTCTTCCACAGGATGGGATTGCAGCTAACAGAGGCAACATGACTTCCCCAAGGCCATCGCCTAATATTTAGTGCAGCCAGAATTGAATCCAGGCCTGACAGCCTGAAAGCCTAAAATTGAATTTAACTAATTCCACTTACTATCTCCACTGCCTGGGCCCAATTTCTGAAATTCTACCACTCTTTCCTTTGAAAAGAAATAAGTATGAAAACGCTTCCCACTACCTGGAACTTAGCAAATCCCACTCAAAAGGCTTGTCAAAGGACTGGTAGATTTGATGTTTGTGTAGATAAGATTGTGAGCAGCATTTGAGGTCACAACCCCATGAATTAGGAGAAGAAAAACACACACATACACAATTTTGTTTTGGTGTTTCAGAGAATTCTGGGCTGCCCGGCAAACCCTACAGCTGAAACCTGGGAAGCCCACCTGGCTAAAGCAATTATCACCCAGCAAAACCCTCAGGGCTCCCACCAAGGCCTTTACTTGGCGATATGGTTGAGCTGTGTCCCCACCCAAATCTCATCTTGAATTGTAGCTCCCATAATTCCCACGTGTTATGGGAGGGACCTGGTGGGAGGTAATTGAATCATGGGGGCAGGTCTTTCCCATGCTGTTCTCCTGATAGTGAATAAGTCCCACAAGATCTGTTGGTTTTATAAAGGGGAATTTCCCTGCACACGTTCTCTTGCCTGCTGTCATGTAAGATGCGACTTTGCTCCTCCTTTGCCTTCAGCCACGATTGTGAGGTCTCCCCAGCCATGTGGAACTATGAGTCAATTAAATCTCTCCTTTATAAATCACCCAGTCTCCGGTGTGTCTTCATTAGCAGCATGAGAACAGACTAATATACTTGGTAAAACAAACACTGCAGGTCAAACCCTGTTCCTAGAGATGACGTTTAGCATAAGTCTCACTTCTCTGAGATATAAAAAGAAAAACTACCTCATATCTCCAGGGGAGACTGAGTCTCATTGGCAGGGCTGAGGGAAGACAGGGTCCCATCTGTCTGTCCATAAAAGCAATGTTTCAAGATTCACCGAAGTCGACACTCTTCTATTTGTAACCAGGTTAAATATTGTAGTTAAATGAATCTGGACTGGGCAAAGTGACTCACACCTGTAATCCCAGGACTGTCGGAAGCTGAAGTGGGAGGATCCCTTGAGTCCAGGAGTTTGAGACCAGCCTGGGAAACGGAGACCCCACCTCTATGAAAAGCAAAAAGATTAGCCAGACATAGTGGCAGACACCTGTGGTCCCAGCTACTTAGCAGGCTGAGGTGGGAGGATTGCTTGAGCCCAGGAGGCTGCAATGAATTGTGATCACACCACTGCACTCATCCTGGGTGACAGAGTGATACCCTGTCTTAAAAAGAAGACACACACACACACACACACAAATCTGGCACACTTATTGGGTGGGAATGTGTGATGGGAAGTGCCTACCATGTGCCTTTATAAAGCTATAATCAAGATTTACTCATTATGTTCAGACTGGGGGTAGATCCCAATCCATCCTTGCTCTGCCTAGTGGCAACTACTCCATACAAATCAAATGCAATGTTAAATTCCAAACCCCACAGGAAAGAGCCATCCCCAAGAAAACAGTGAAAGCTTAACAATGTAAAACTTTAGAGTATACTGCATTAAATTAGTACTAATTTACAGTAACAAGAAGTTCCTTCCAGAGTACAAAAAGAGAATCGTGGCAGCTTTTTATATTACATAATCATTTTTATGGTCTTACAGATTTGAAGAATCAAAATGAAAACAATCTCCATTCCACATCCCATCCTTTTTCTCTAGATAAGGGTGAAATCAGTTTTTTTCAAGGTGGAGTTTTGAGAGTCCGTATTTCTTAAGCCCCATTTAATGAAACCGTGTCTTTCACTAATTGTGGCTGTTCTCTATCCTTTTCACCTGGCATGCGAAACTCCAGCTGATTTCACAGAGGCACGGGTCAAAGGGTCAAGTTCTCCTGATGCTCTTCAAAAGAGTCAAATGTGGGCTTTGCAACATTGTCCATTTCAAGAAGATATGGGGTGGCATTGGTAGCTTTGATGAAGCCCTGTTATTGTTGTTTATCCTTGAGATGCCATGTGGGTTGGGATTGAAAAGGTGAGTTGGAGAAGTGCTATTGCTCAGCCTGAGTCTCAACAATAAAGATGACGAACAAGGGAGAGAGACAAGACGGGGACACCAGCTGAAGACTGCAGGGCACTGACACCCTCAGTGGTGGCAGCTTGCATGGTTGTCTTGGCAGCTGTCTGCAGAGGTAGCAACAGTCCCAGAACCAGCAGCCCCTGCCCCAGCCTGGCCAACATGCTTCCTCCCATCTCAGCTCTGTGGGTCGGTCTGGTCATGCTCAGGAGGACCACGGGCTGCAGGTAGGCAGGTGCAGGTGAAGTAGCAAGTGCAATGGCCAAGTCAGGCCTTATATACTGGGAGCGTCACAATGCCCTGACCTGACACTACCCCCACACGCTCGCCTCCCCAAGGGCTGCCCCCACCTGCCTGCTCATGATCACAGACCAAATATTTTCTTTTAGAAACAAAACATTGAAAACTCGTTTAGAGCATCTGGACCCAGCCACTTAGAAATCTAAGGTTTCCTCTTTTATTTCCTTGAGCAGTGGTTTGTAGTTCTCCTTGAAGAGGTCCTTCACATCCCTTGTAAGTTGGATTCCTAGGTATTTTATTCTCTTTGAAGCAATTGTGAATGGGAGTTCACTCATGATTTGGCTCTCTGTTTGTCTGTTGTTGGTGTATAAGAATGCTTGTGATTTTTGTACATTGATTTTGTATCCTGAGACTTTGCTGAAGTTGCTTATCAGCTTAAGGAGATTTTGGGCTGAGACGATGGGGTTTTCTAGATATACAATCATGTCGTCTGCAAACAGGGACAATTTGACTTCCTCTTTTCCTAATTGAATACCCTTTATTTCCTTCTCCTGCCTAATTGCCCAGGCCAGAACTTCCAACACTATGTTGAATAGGAGTGGTGAGAGAGGGCATCCCTGTCTTGTGCCAGTTTTCAAAGGGAATGCTTCCAATTTTTGCCCATTCAGTATGATATTGGCTGTGGGTTTGTCATAGATAGCTCTTATTATTTCCAGATACATCCCATCAATACCTAATTTATTGAGAGTTTTGCTCATGGGTAGGAAGAATCAATATCGTGAAAATGGCAATACTGCCCAAGGTAATTTACAGATTCAATGCCATCCCCATCAAGCTACCAATGACTTTCTTCACAGATTTGGATAAAACTACTTTAAAGTTCATATGGAACCAAAAAAGAGCCTGCATTGCCAAGTCAATCCTGAGCCAAAAGAACAAAGCTGGAGGCATCATACTACCTGACTTCAAAGTATACTGCCCAAGGTAATTTACAGATTCAATGCTATCCCCATCAAGCTACCAAAGACTTTCTTCACAGAATTGGAAAAAACTACTTTAAAGTTCATATGGAACCAAAACGGAGCCCACATCACCAAGTCAATCCTGAGCCAAAAGAACAAAGCTGGAGGCATCACACTACCTGACTTCAAACTATACTACAAGGCTACAGTAACCAAAACAGCATGATACTGGTACCAAAACAGAGATATAGATCAATGGAACAGAACAGAGCCCTCAGAAATAACGCCGCATATCTACAATCATCTGATCTTTGACAAACCTGAGAAAAACAAGCAATGGGGAAAGGATTCCCTATTTAATAAATGGTGCTGGGAAAACTGACTAGCCATATGTAGAAAGCTGAAACTGGATCCCTTCCTTACACCTTATACAAAAATCAATTCAAGATGGATTAAAGACTTAAACGTTAGACCTGAAACCATAAAAACCCTAGAAGAAAACCTAGGCATTACCATTCAGGACATAGGCAGGGGCAAGGACTTCATGTCTAAAACACCAAAAGCAATGGCAACAAAAGACAAAATTGACAAATGGGATCTAATTAAACTAAAGAGCTTCTGCACAGCAAAAGAAACTACCATCAGAGTGAACAGGCAACCTACAAAATGGGAGAAAATTTTTGCAACCTACTCATCTGACAAAGGGCTAATATCCAGAATCTACAATGAACTCAAACAAATTTACACGAAAAAAACAAACAACCCCATCAAAAAGTGGGCAAAGGACATGAATAGAGACTTCTCAAAAGAAGACATTTATGCAGCCAAAAAACACATGAAAAAATGCTCATCATCACTGGCCATCAGAGAAATGCAAATCAAAACCACAATGAGATACCATTTCACACCAGTTAGAATGACGATCATTAAAAAGTCAGGAAACAACAGGTGCTGGAGAGGATGTGGAGAAATAGGAACACTTTTACACTGTTGGTGGGACTGTAAACTAGTTCAACCATTGTGGAAGTCAGTGTGGCGATTCCTCAGGGATCTAGAACTAGAAATACCATTTGACCCAGCCATCCCATTACTGGGTATATACCCAAAGGACTATAAATCATGCTGCTATAAAGACACATGCACACATATGTTTATTGCAGCATTATTCACAATAGCAAAGACTTGGAACCAACCCAAATGTCCAACAATGATAGACTGGATTAAGAAAATGTGGCACATATACACCATGGAATACTATGCAGCCATAAAAAATGATGAGTTCATGTCCTTTGTAGGGACATGGATGAAATTGGAAATCATCATTCTCAGTAAACTATCGCAAGAACAAAAAACCAAACACCGCATATTCTCACTCATAGGTGGAAATTGAACAATGAGAACTCATGGACACAGGAAGGGGAACATCACACTCTGGGGACTGTTGTGGGGTGGGGGGAGGGGGGAGGGATAGCATTGGGAGATATACCTAATGCTAGATGATGAGTTAGTGGGTGCAGCGCACCAGCATGGCACATGTATACATATGTAACTAACCTGCACATTGTGCACATGTACCCTAAAACTTAAAGTATAATAATCAAAAAAAAATCTAAGGTTTTCATTTTCTTTCTTCCAAGTGACATTATTTTTTCCCTGATCCTTAAAAGGGCTGCATGTTTGTTGTTGAAAGTTGGTGGCACTGAATATGAGCAGAGGTTATATCCAGAGATGTTCACCATTGATATTTGGTATGTTTTTATACAGTACCTATGCATATCTTTCACACAATAGAGATTTTGCACTTTGTTTTTAAGAAAACATTAGCTTTTTTAACAGGTTGCATGCTGAACTGTGTGTGTTTTATTCTCATTCTGTTTGTGAAGATTCATGTATTTATATAGAAAAAGAAAATATCCTATGATGTCATTCTTGGTTGTTTCTAGTTGATGAAATTTCTGTATTTTTCCAACTTTTCTACACTGGTTTATATACATATATATATAATGTTGAACTAGTACTTTTGGAGTTGTTTTGTCTTGTTTTTGAGGGGAGAGGTTAATGGAATTCAAGCTAGAAGAAATCAAGGTGGAAAATTGCTTTAAGAAATAAGACTATGGAAAGTTGACAGTGAAAATTAAAGAATAATGCCATGGTTCATGGTTAATAATGGGGCACTTGTAGTCTGAATGGCAACCGATCCTCTTTGAAGGACTAGAATGGGTAAAAAATAATACACTCACTGATGTTTGAAATTTGGGGTATGATTTATAATAAGGCATTTAATAGAAGATTTAAAAACTTTGGCTTGGATTCTTTCATCAGCTTGAGGAGACACTTTCAAGTTTCTTAATACCTTGTTTGTGTTTCCTTTTCCACAATGTAAATATTTTCTTTGCATTCCTGAAAATGAAAGCTTACTTTCCCTTTGTTTAATTCTAATTGGATTTCTTCTTCAGGAATCTGATGCTCTTTTTCTGAACCTTTTGGGGATAGCCTGAAGAATTCTCCCAATTCTTTTTTGCCATTTTGGAGCTGGTCCCACACAAACTGATTCCCTCCTGCTTACTTATTTTTGCAGAGAGTGATATGGAGGTGCTGGCAGATGTTTGGGAGGCAGGAACCTTCCTGGGGGCTGGAGAGGTCACCTGATTTCTATAGGTGCCTATGTTTACTTCAGTCTACACCATGGTCAAAAAGGAGTGGTTGAGAGCAACAAACTGACTTTCCAGCCAAGGGCGTTTCAAGGACAAGGATTCTTACAGAGGTATCTTTTCTCCCAACTTTTTGACTACTTTTTTCATTTTTTAATGTAATTATTTTTAATGAGACAGGGTCTTGCTCTGTCACCCATGCTGGAGGGCAGTAACACGATCCCAGCTCACTGCAGCCTCAAACTCCTGGACTCAAGAAATTCTCTACCTCAGCCTCCTGAGTAGCTGGGACCACAGGTGTGTGCCACCATGCCTGCCTAATTTTTTAAATTTTTTGTAGAGATGGGGTCTCACTATGTTGCCCCAGCTGGTCTTTAACTCCTGGCCTCAAGTGATCCTTCTACCTCAGCCTCCCAAAGTGCTGGGATTATAGGCATGAGCCACTGTGCCTAGCATAGACTTTTTTTTTTTTTCCGAGACGGAGTCTTGCTCTGTCACCGAGGCTGGGGTGGAAGGGCGTGATCTCGGCTCACTGCAACCTCCACCTCCCAGGTTCAAGCAATTCTCCTGCCTCAGCTTCCCTAGTAGCTGGGATTACAGGTGTCCGCCACCACGCCCAGATAATTTTTGTATTTTCAGTAGAGACAGGGTTTTACCAATATTGGCCAGGCTGATCTCGAACTCCTGACCTAATGATCTGCCCACCTCAGCCTCCCAATGTGCTGGGATTACAGGCGTGAGCCACCACACACAGCCTTGACTACTTTTTGTTGTTGTTGTTGTTATTATACTTTAAGTTCTAGGGTACATGTGTACAACGTGCAGGTTTGTTACATAGGTATACATGTGCCATGTTGGTTTGCTGCACCCATCAACTCATCATTTACATTAGGTATTTCTCCTAATGCTATCCCTCCTCCAGCCCCCGACCCTGCCAACCAGCCCTGGTGTGTGATGTTCCCTTCCCTGTGTCCATGTGTTCTCATTGTTCAATTCCCACCTATGAGTGAGAACATGTGGCGTTTGGTTTTCTGTCCTTGTGATAGTTTGCTGAGAATGATGGTTTCCAGCTTCACCCATGTCCCTCCAAAGGACGTGAACTCATCCTTTTTTATGGCTGCATAGTATTCCATGGTTTATATGTGCCACATTTTCTTAATCCAGTCTATCCTTGATGGAGATTTGGGTTGGTTCCAAGTCTTTGCTATTGTGAATAGTGCCACAATAAACATACGTGTGTATGTGCCTTTATCGCAGAATGATTTACAATCCTTTGGGTATATGCCCAGTAATGGGATGGCTGGGTCAAATGGTATTTCTAGTTCTAGATCCTTGAGGAATTGCCACAGGGTCTTCCACAATGGTTGAACTAATTTACACTCCCACTAACAGTGTAAAAGCTTTCCTATTTCTGCACATCCTGTCTAGCATCCATTGTTTCCTGACTTTTTAATGATTGCCATTCTAACTGACATGAGATGGTATCTCATTGTGGTTTTCATTTGCATTTCTCTGATGACCAGTGATGTTGAGTATTTTTTATTTTGAGAAGTGTCTATTCATATCCTTTGGCCGCTTTTTGATGGGTTTTTTTTTAATTGTACATTTGTTTAAGTTCTTTGTAGATTCTGGATATTAGCCCTTTGTCAAATGAGTAGATTGCAAAACTTTTCTCCCATTCTGTAGGTTGTCTGTTCACTCTGATGATAGTTTCTTTTGCTGTGCAGAAGCTCTTTAGTTTAATTAGATCCCATTTGTCTATTTTGGCTTTTGTTGCCATTGCTTTTGGTGTTTTAGTCATGAAGTCTTTGCTCATGCCTACGTCCTGAATGGTATTGCCTAGGTTTTCTTCTAGGGTTTTATGGTGTTAGGTCTTACATTTAAGTCTTTAATCCATCTTGAGTTAATTTTTGTATAAGGTGTAAGGAAGGGATCCAGTTTCAGCTTTCTGCATATGGCTAGCTGGTTTTCCCAGCACCATTTATTAAATAGGGAATCCTTTTCCCACTGCTTGTTTTTGTCAGATTTGCCAAAGATCAGATGATTGTAGATGTGTGGTGTTATTTTTGAGGCATCTGTTCGGTTCCATTGGTTTATATATCTGTTTTGGTACCAGTACCGTGCTGTTTTGGTTACCGTAGCCTTGTAGTATAGTTTGAAGTCAGGTAGTGTGATGCCTCCAGCTTTGTTCTTTTTGCTTAGGATTGTCTTGGCCATGCAGGCTCTTTTTTGGCTCCATATGAAGTTTAAAGTAGTTTTTTCCAATTCTGTGAAGAAAGTCAGTGGTAGCTTGACAGGGATAGCATTGAATCTATAAATTACTTTGGGCAGTATGTCCATTTTCACAATATTGATTCATCCTATCCATGAGCATGGAATGTTCTTCCATTTGTTTGTGTCCTCGTTTATTTCCTTGAGCAGTGGTTTGTAGTTCTCCTTGAAGAGGTCCTTCACATCCCTTGTAAGTTGGATTCCTAGGTATTTTATTCTCTTTGTAGTAATTGTGAATGGTACTTCACTCATGATTTGGCTCTCTGTTTGACTACTATTGGTGTATAGGAATGCTTGTGATTTTTGCACATTGATTTTGTATCCTGAGGCTTTGCTGAAGTTGCTTATCAGCTTAAGGAGATTTTGGGCTGAGACGATGGGGTTTTCTAAATATACAATCATTTCTTCTGCAAACAGAGACAATTTGACTTCCTCTTTTTCTAATTGAATATCCTTTATTTCTTTCTCTTGCCTGATTGCCCTAGCCAGAACTTCCCACACTACGTTGAATAGGAGTGGTGAGAGAGGGTACATTTGTCTTGTGCTGGTTTTCAAAGGGAATGCTTCCAGTTTTTGCACATTCTGTATGATATTGGCTGTGGGTTTGTCATAAATAGCTCTTATTATTTTGAGATACGTTCCATCAATACCTAGTTTATTGAGAGTTTTCAGCATGAAGAGCTGTTGAATTTTGTTGAAGGCCTTTTCTGCATCTATTGAGATAATCATGTGGTTTTTGTCGTTGGGTCTGTTTATGTGATGGATTACATTTATTGATTTGCATATGTTGAACCAGCCTTGCATTCCAGGGATAAAGCCGACTTGATCATGGTGGATAAACTTTTTGATGTGCTGCTGGATTCGGTTTGCCAGTATTTTATTGAGGATTTTCACATTGATGTTCATCAGGGTTATTGGCCTAAAATTCTCTTTTTTTGTTGTGTCTCTACCAGGCTTTGGTATCAGGATGATGCTAGCCTCACAAAATGAGTTAGGGAGGATTCCCTCTTTTTCTATTGATCGAAATAGTTTCAGAAGGAATGGTACCAGCTCCTCTTTGTACCTCTGGTAGAATTCAGCTGTGAATCCATCTGGTCCTGGACTTTTTTTTGTTGATAGGCTATTAATCATTGCCTCAATTTCTGAACCTCTTATTGGTCTATTCAGAGATTCAACTTCTTCCTGGTTTAGTCTTGGGAGAGTGTATGTGTCCAGGAATTTATCCATTTCGTCTAGATTTTCTAGTTTATTTGCTTAGAGGTGTATATAGTATTCTCTGATGGTAGTCTGTATTTCTGTGAGATCAGTGGTGATATCCCCTTTATCATTTTTTATTGCATCTATTTGATTCTTCTCTCTTTTCTTCTTTGTTAGTCTTGCTAGTAGTCTATTTTGTTGATCTTTCAAAAAAACCAGCTTCTAGATTCACTGATTTTTTTGAGGAGTTTTTTGTGTCTCTATCTCCTTCAGTTCTGCTCTGATCTTAGTTATTTTTTGCCTTCTGCTAGCTTTTGAATTTTTTTGCTCTTGCTTCTCTAGTTCTTTTAATTGTGATGTTAGGGTGTCGACTTTAGATCTTTCCTGCTTTCTCTTGTGGGCATTTAGTGCTATAGATTTCCCTGTACACACTGCTTTAAATGTGTCCTAGAGATTCTGGTATGTGTCTTCATTCTCATTGGTTTCAAAGAACATCTTTATTTCTGCCTTTATTTCATTATTTACCCAGTAGTCATTCAGGAGCAGGTTTTCAGTTTCCATGTAGTTGTGCAGTTTTTAGTGAGTTTCTTAATTCTGAGTTCTAATTTGATTGCACTGTGGTCTGAGAGACAGTTTGTTGTGATTTCTGTTCTTTTACATTTGCTGAGGAGTGCTTTACTACCAATTATGTGGTCAATTTTAGAATAAGTGTGATGTGGTGCTCAGAAGAATGTATAGTCTGTTGATTTGGGGTGTAGAGTTCTGCAGATGTCTATTAGGTCCTCTTGGTCCAGAGCTGAGTTCAAGTCCTGGATATCCTTGCTAACCTTCTGCCTCATTGATCTGTCTAATATTGACAGTTGGGTGTTAAAGTCTCCCATTATTATTATGTGATAGTCTAAGTCTCTTTGTAGGTCTCTAAGGACTTGCTTTATGAATCTGGGTGCTCCTGTATTGGGTGCATATATATTTAGGTTAGTTAGATCTTCTTGTTGAATTGTTCCCTTTACCATTATGTAGTGGCCTTCTTTGTCTCTTTTGATCTTTGTTGATTCAAAGTCTGTTTTATCAGAGACTAGGATTGCAACCCCTGCTTTTTTTTTGCTTTCCATTTGCTTGGTAGATCTTCCTCCATCCCTTTATTTTGAGCCTATGTGTGTCTTTGCCAGTGAGATGGGTCTCCTCAATACAGCACACTGATGGGTTTTGACTCTTTATCCAATTTGCTTATCTGTGTCTTTTAATTGGGGTATTTAGCCCATTTACATTTAAGGTTAATATTTTTATGTTTGAATTTGATCCTGTCATTATGATGTTAGCTGGTTATTTTGCTCATTAGTTGATGCAGTTTCTTCATAGCATCGATGGTCTTTACTATTTGGCATGTTTTTGCAGTGGCTGGTACCAGTTGTTCCTTTCCACGTTTAGTGTTTCCTTCAGGAGCTGCCTTCAGTGCTGCCGGTTGCTAAGACAATGGGAATAGCACAGTATTTGGTCAGGAGTGTACCATTCCTCCAGATACAGTCTGTCATGGCTTCCCTTGGCTAGGAAAGGGAAATCCCCTGACCCCTTGTGCTTTGCAGGTGAGGCGACACCCCGCCCTGCTTCAGCTTTCCCTCCATGGGCTGTACCCACTGTCCAACCAGTCCCAGTGAGATGAACCAGGTACCTCAGTTGGAAATGCAGAAATCACCTGTCTTCTGCGTCGACCTCACTGGGAGAGCGCAGACTGGAGCTGTTCCTATTTGGCCATCTTGGAAGCCGGCCTTGACTGTTTTTTAACAAACACACTGAATCCACTTCGGTAGCATCAGTCTCCTCCACTTCCACCAGACAGTCACGATGCATGTCTTGCATAAGGAAAGAACTTTGGGTTTTTGTCTTTCTGTTCCAATAAACGCAGGGGCTCCTCCAAAGTATCAGGGGCATTTTCCCCTCTCCACTTGAGTATTTTTTACCTCTGCACTCAAATGTCCACCATCACAACGTGGATTGAGCATCTGCCATTGTTGGTGGTCACCCAGAACAGAAACACCTTCGCAGATTATGGAATTTCCTGTCTTAAGAGACAGAGCCTGAACATGCCAGAGATTTTTCTTCCCCAGTCTCCTTAGTGGAATAAACCAAAGTAGAAGCATATAGCAAGGTTCCTCCAGTCAGATGCACCCCAAGCCCACCCTTTGGAAAGAAAGTCCTTGACAACATTTCTCCTTAAATTGATTAGAGAGAGTGTGTGTTTTGTGAAATAATCCTGATTCATAAACTACAGTTTTGCCTATTCAAAAATTCTGCACTTTTTAGAACCAAGTTAAAATGCTGCCTCCTCCACGAAGCATTTTCTGATCTCTACAGCCAGAAATATTCTCTCTTTTCATCCAGTTTGCCTTTGGGTTTTATTTCATGGCCTTGTAGATCCTTGAGGACTGTGACAACACAGTCATCTAGAATAATGGTTAAGAGCATAGACTTGGGATCTACTGCCTGGGTTCAAGCCCTAGCTTTTCCATAAACTATCTGTGTGACATTGGGCAAGTTACTAAACCTCTCTGTGTCTCTATTTGCTCACCTATAAAACAGGGGTGACAACAGCACCTACCTCCCAGGGTTGCTGTGAGGATTATGACATGTGTTCATATAAAGCACTGAGGACAGTGCCTGTCCTGTCCCAAACCCACATTGTGTGACTCCATTTCCTGCTGTGTGGCCCTTCAAGGGTGTGTCTGTCATTCCTGCTGGCAGTCCACAGAGCACTCCGGGGTTACTCGCTCTTCCACGCCACTGGAGACCTCTGACTGTAATCTACACTGTGCCCTTCACTGGCCCAAGTGCTCTCAGTCCCCCGAGACTGCTCCTGTCTATCAGTGTCTCACCATCCCCACAGTGTCTGTCTGTGGGGATGTCCCTACCCTCACCTGTCACCTGCACCATCGAAGGCATCTTAACTGATCTCTTTGCTGCCAGAGCCTCCCTCCCTGTTCACCTGCACCCAGGTGCCTTCCCCAAACGCCGAGGATCTGAACACATCCTCCTGCTGAAACAGTAACAGGCTGTGGCCCACAGGCTAACATGCAAACTCTTCACCCAACATTCCAGGCCCCTCCTGCTCTGATGCCTGCAGCTCCCAGCCTTCTGTGCTGCTTCCTCCTCCCACAACCAACACACAGCCTCCCAAATATCTCCCAGATCCCTGACCACAGGGCACTTGCTCCCCTGCACCTGGGCCTCTGCACAGCCCCTCATTCTTTAATCAATGGCCTCCCCCTCCTCCACTAGGCCCTCAGCCCTTGACATCTTCCCCGTTCTTTGCCTGCTCTGAGGTCCCTGAGGGTGGGGCCTGCATCTGGTTTTCTTTACCACTGAATTCTGTTACCTGAGCGGAGCCTGGCACACAGCAAGGGCTCACTAAACACCTGCTTACTGGATGCATAAAGGAGAGCTACTGTTTAGTAGGCACCCACTGTGTGCCAGCCACTGTGCCAAGCACTGAACTGCATCAACTAATCCAACCCCCTAAATCCCAACCTGATCCTCATCGTGGGGATAAGAAACCAAGACTCAGTGAGGTAACCGACTGTCCCAGAGTCCCACAGCCAGCTGGTGGCAGAACTGTCTCAAACCCAAGTGCCTCAGAGCCCAGACACCCTGGGGCAACTGCCTCCCCACCCCTCTCCCTCCCACTCACTCCTGCCCTCTGCTCTCCAGTCATAGTATCCACCTCTCAGCCAAGAAGGTGTCAAGGGCTCCTCTGCCACAGGGGCACTATAGGTTTAGAATTTTCTTTCTCCACCTCCTCCGTCTAGTTAAATATTACTCGTCTTTAAGATTCTGGCTCACCTACCACCTCCTTGGTGGAGCCCTCCCTGACAATGCCACCACACATACCAGCTACCCTAGGACACTGTGTTCCAGGCATTCCTAGGGCCCCATCCCCCCCTTCAAAGCTGACCTCAGTTTGTGATTCTTATTCAGCCTGTGATTATTTAATCAATCTCTCCCTTCTCTGATAGACTGCGATCCTTGAGAACAAAGACTGTGTCTGGTTTTGTTCATCAATGAATTCTTAGTTTCCAGTCTAGCATCTAGCATATAATAGATGATCACTAAATATCTGTGTATGAGATAGATTAATAAAAGTGACTATTTAATAATCACCTACTATGTTCCAGGCACATGAATGCATTATCGAATTTGTTCCTCCAATATCTGCATGTCATGGGTACTGACATGATTTCCATTGTAAACATAAGAAAACTGAGGCTCAGCAAGGTAAGTCCCTGGCCCAGAGTCCTACAGCCAGTCATTGGCAGAGCTGGGTCTCAAGCCCACATGCCTATGACCTGTAAACACCTCATTTCAGTGCTATTTTAAATGCTGCTTAAAATCCTATACTCAGCTTTCCATAGGGCTTACTATCCTGCATAACTCTCCATTTAGGCATCTGCCTCTCCATCAGACTGTGAGCCCCTGAGGGTGTTCCCCCATTTGAGCTGGAACTCCGGGGAGGCTACTTCCTTCCTGTCTGCGACCACTGCTCTGTGCCTCACTTTCTGGTCTGCAAAATGGGCTCTCATGAGGAGTGAGTTGGGGGAGGGGTGAAGCACCCGGCACTGGGCCTGGGACTAGGGAGCGCCATCCCTGTCCATTTTCATTGGTGTCACAAGGACACAGCACTCACATGTCCTCGGCCAGCCAGGAGTCCTCACCGGGCAGATGGGAAACTCTTACCCCTCAGGGGACTGGGGGTTTCCTTTGGAGATGCCCTCCCAGACACACCCCAAAGACTTCCTCACTTCAGAGGTTCCCAGCTGCCTCAGGTTAGGGCAGGCCCAGTCCACAGAGCAGGGGAAAGAGGAGGGGAGGAACATCTACGGGACCACTGATGGGGAGGATGGTGGTGCCTATGGGGACCCCGCCCATCACACCCTCTGAGAGAAGCCTCTGGGCGGTGGGCCCAGGGGCCGAGTCCTCCTCACCACAGGACACACCCTGGCCCTTGTTACTAGTGGAGTCATCAAATAAATCCAACACTTAGAAAACAGCCTGAAGAGGACACTTTCCTGAAATTCAACAATAATAAAAGAGAAAAATGGACCAGCTTACTCCAGACAACCACCACCAGAGAATTAATTACGCTGCTCCTATCCTGAGCTGGGAAGCTGGTGGCAGAAGCACCTGCCCAGGTAATTCCTCAGCCTGGATTTATGGACTCCCCAAGAGCTACCTACACGTGGTCTCCATCCAGGTTACTCAGCACACCTCTATTTAGATTTCACCAGCACTTCCTCTGCCGCCCCGAGCAGGGAGGCAGGCACCATACCGGGTGGCACAAGTGAATACTGATTTGCTGACAATGGCCTAGAGAAAAACAGTCCATTCAAGAGAAACAATTGTTTCCAACTTCCCAACCTTCCCAGGCCTTGGTTTTCCCTGTGAGTCACTGAGTTTTGGGCATCACATCAGGTAAACAAGAACTCAGTTGTACATTCACAGAGAATAAGGGTGGGTTGTGTAGACAGTGCCTCAGTTTTCTCATCTATAAAATGGTCCTAAGGGTGTGAGATGATGGGGGCTCTCATTTTATTGCTTGAAACCTTTTTAAACGAACATACTTTGTTGTTCTGAGAAAATAAGGCACCATGCAAGTCTAAATAAATTAATTAAATGAGGATAAGAGTAATGATTGGGTTTCAGTGAGGGTTAAAGGAGATGAAACAATACCCACAGCACAGGGCCAGGCACGTGCTGAGCACACAATGCCCATAGTTTCCACTCTGCTCCAATTATTGTGGCTGATGATGGTTTGGTTGTCACTGCTGGAAATCAGGGTTCTTGGCAAGGTATTGATTGTGTGACTTTGGACATAGGGGCCAACCTCTCTGGTTCATTTATAAAATCAGAACAATAGTCTCCCAGCCTAGAAGCACAGGGATGGACCGAATGACATTTTTGTGCCATTTCTTCTCCCTGAAGCCTCCATTTGTGAGTCCCCTCAGTGTTGGTGACCTTTGATGTTCACACTTCAGGAAGATAGGAGGTGGCTGCAGAGGCCCCTTCATCTCTCCATAACCTAATGCCTTCAGTCACTCACTCATGCACACCTTCATTCATTCAGCACCCACGAACATTTATATAGCATGTTATAATCTTTGACTTGATCCTCGAGGAGTGGTCAGGGAATTCACAGGAACAGGTGAGCCTGGTGGAGGTGCTGGCTGCCAAGACCTGTGAAGTGCTGGAGGAGCTCTGGGCAAGGCTTGCCCAAATCTCCCTGGGGAAGTCAAGGAAGCCTCACAGAAGTGACATTGAACCCAGCCAAGAAGGGCAAGTAGGAGCTTGTTGGGGGGACACAGTGAGAAGGATACTCAAGGTGGGGGCAACTGCATATGCAAAGGCTCAGAGGCTTGGGAGCATTTGGCCTGTTCAAGGTAGAACACATGGTCAGGATGGCTGGAGAACTGGGTATGGTTTAAGGGCAAAGCAAGAGGTCAGATGACCCTTGTGGGGACTGGAGACCACAGATTGGCATTTGACAAAGCTGTGTGGAGTCCTTGCCTGAGCTGGAACTCCAAGGAGGAATCTGGAGAGGCCAATGCCTGGGGTTCCCTCTCTCTGTTTCCCCATGAATGATGCTTGCAGGACTTTTTTCCATGCCTGAGTTCAAGTCCCAGCTCTGCTCTTGATCTGCTACATGACCCTGGGCAAGTGGCTTCATGTATCTGAGTCTCAGTTGCTTCAATGACAAAACAAAGATAAGATGTACATCATAAATTTGTAAAAAAAAAAAAAAAGTAAAGATATTCATTCCTTTATTCACTCATCCGGCATGTGTTTCATTGGGTGTCTTTCCCCAACTCTGTGCTAGGCATGGAGCCATAGCTGAGGACAACATAGCCCTGACCTCATATAACAAACAGGCTCATGAGAGACACAATTGTTAAATAAACACTAATAAATATATGATTTTGGAATTTGATGAACAAAATGAAAGGAAACTAAAGAATGTAATGAACAGTTAGAATAAGGGGCCTCTTCTTGATTTGGAGCAGGGAGAAAGAGTCAGGGAAGACTGTTATGAGGATGTGACAGAGCCAGGCAGAGAACCAAAGATGGGGCCCTCCAGATGGAGTAACCAGTACCTGTGAAGGCCTTGGGGGAGGCCCATCAAGGTGTGTTTAAGGAATATCGATTAGGCCAGTGTGACTGCAGCAGGTGAGTTCCTAAATACATGAAGCAAACATTGACAGAATAGAAGAGAGAAATAGATAGCAACACAATAACAGTAGAAGATTTCAATACTTCCACTTTCAATAACAGATTGAACAACCAGACAGAAAACCAGTAGGGAACCGGGGGACTTGAAAAACATTATAAACCAATTGGACCAACAGACATAGACAGAATACTCAACCCAACAACAACACAATAAATATGAAACATTCTCCAGGATACGCCACATGTTAGAGCACAAAACAAATCTTAATAGATTTAGGAAGATTGAAATCATACAAAATATCTTTTCCAGCCACAATAGAATAAAACTAGAAATCAGTACTAGAAGAAAAACTAGAATAGCCACAAATATGTGGAAATTAAACAACACATTTTTAAACAACCATGGGTCAAAGAATAACTAACAAGAAAAATTAGTTAATATCTCCAGATGAATAAAAATGAAAACACAGCATACCAAAACTTATGGGAAGCAACAAAAACAGAACTAATGGAGAAGTTTATAGCTGTAAATGCTTACATTAAAAGAAGAAAGATCTCAAATCAACAACCCAACTTTACACCTCAAGGAAAAAAATAAGAACAAACAAAACCCAAAGTTAGGGAAGGAAGGAAAGAATAAAGATTAGAGCAGAAATAAATGAAATAGAGAATAGAAAAACAATAGAAAAAATCAATGCAACTAAGAGTTCGTTTTTTGAAAAGATAAACAAATTTGCAAGTTCTTAGCTGGATTAACTAAGAAAAAATATAAAAAATCAAATAACTAACGTTAGAAATGAGAGGCCATTGCAACTAATGCAACAGGAATTCAAAGGATTATAAGAGAATACTATGACAATTATATGTCAATAAATTGGATAACCTAAAAGAAATGGATAATCCCTAGAAACATGCAACATATGAAAACTAAGTCATGAAGAAATAAAAAACCTAACAGACCTATAACCTATACTAAAGAGACTGAATCAGTAATCAACAACCCCTCAACAAAAAGAAGTCCAGGACCAGGACCAGACCAGGCTTCACAGGAGAATTCTACCAAATATTTAAAGAAGAATTAACACCAACCCTCCTCAATCTCTTCCAAAATACTGAAGAGGAGGGAATATTTCCTAACTAATTCTATAAGGCCAGTATTACCCTGATACCAAAGTCAGAAAAATACACTATAAGAAAAGAAAACTACAAACCAATATTTCTGATGTATATTGATGAAAAAATCCTCAACAAAATACTTGCATATCAAATTCAATAGCACATTAAAAGGATTATACACCATGACTAAGTGGAGATTATTCCTGGAATGCAAGGATGTTTCAACATCCAAAAATCAATCAAAGTAGTGCACCACATAAAGAGACAAAAACCACATAATCATCTCAATCACAGCATAAAAAGCATTTAACAAAAATTTAACAACTTTTCATGTTAAAAACACTCAACAAACTAGGAATAGAAGGAAACTATCTCAACATAATAAAGTCTGTATATGAAAAGCACGCAGATAACACATATTCAATAGTGAAATGCTGAACATTTTCCTCTAAGATCAGGAACAAGGCAAGGATGCCCACTCTCACCACTTCTAACAACTTCGTCCTGGAAGTCTTAGCCAAAGTAATTAGATAAGAAAAAGAATTAAAATACATCCAAATTAGAAAGGAAGAAGTAAAATTAACTCCAATCAAGATGATATGATTTCATGTGTAGAAAACTCTAAAGGGCTCACACACACACACACACAGTTAGAACTAATAAATGAATTCAGCAAAGTTGCTGGATACAAACTCAACATGCAAAAAGCAGTTGCATATCTATACAACAACAACGATCAATCTGAAAAGAAAATTAAGACAATAATCCCATTTACAAGAACATTGAAAAGGATAAAACACTTAGGAATAAACTTAACAAAGAAGGCAAAAGACTTGCACACTGAACACTACAAAACATTGTTGTAAGAAATTAAAAACACAAATAAATTTAAAGATATCCCATGTTAATGGATTGAAAAAGTTAACAGTGTTTAATTTTTCATACTACCCAATGCAACCTACAGATTTAAGGCATTGAGATCTATCAAAATTTCAATGGCATTTTTTTTGCAGAAATTGAAAAAAATTCTTAAGATTAATATGGAAACCCAAGAAATCCTGAATAGCCAAAACCATCTTGAAAAGTTGGAGGCCTTATGTTTCCTAATTTTAGAAAATATTACAAAGTTACAATAATCAAAAGAGTGTACTACTGGCATAAACACAGACAAATAGACCAATGGAACAGAATAGAAAACACAGAAATAAACCCTTACATATATAATCAAATGATCTTCAATAAGATTCCAAGTCCACTCAATAAGAAAAGAACAATCTTTTCAAAAAATGGTGCTGGGAAAGCTGTATAACATCATGCAAAAGAATAAAGTTGGACCTTTACCATATACCACATGCAAAAATTAACTCTAAATGGATTAAAGAGCTAAACATAAGACCTAAAAACTATAACGTTCCTAGAAGAAAACGGGGGGAAACCTCATGGCATTGGTTTTGGCAATGACTTATTGGATATGACACAAAAAGCACAAACAACAGAAGCAAAAATAGATGAATAGGACTATATCAAAGTTTAAAACTTCTGTACACCAAAGAAAATGATCAATAGAGTAAAAAGGCAACCTATAGAATGGGAGAAACCATTTGCAAATCATATATCTGATAAAAGGTTAAGATCCAGAATATTTTTTAAAACTCTCTAACAGTAAAAAAAAAAAAATTTTAAACAATTAGAAAATGGTCAAAGGACTTGAATAGACATTTCTGCAAGGAAGATATACAAATGGCCAACAGCATATGAAACGATGTTCAGTGTCACTAATCATTAGCAAAGAAAAATCAAAACCACAATGAGATAATACCTCACACTCATTAGGATGGCCACTATTAAGAAGAAAGGAAGAGAAGGGAAGGAAGAAAAGAAAGAAGGAAGGAAGAAAAGAAGGAAGCAAGAAAAGACAGAAAGAAGGAAGGAAGAAAAGGAAGGAAAGGAAAGAAGGGAGGGAGGGAGGGAGGGAGGGAGGAAGGAAGGAAGGAGGCAAGGAAGGAAGGGAAGGAGGGAGGGAGAGAAGGAAGGAAGGAAGGGAAGGGAGGGAGGGAAGGGAGGAAAAGGCGGGGAGGGAAGAAAGAAAGGCTGGCAAGGAGATGGAAAAAATGAATCCCTTATACACGGTTGGTAGGAATGTAAAATGACGCAACCTCTATAAAAAACAGTACGGCATTTTCTCAAAAAAATTAAAAATAGAGTTACCATAGGATCCAGCAGTCCCACTTCTGGAGCTATATCTAGAGGAATTGAAAGGAAACTCTCCAAGAGATATTTGTGCACCCATGTTCATTGCAGCACTACTCACAATAGCCAAAAGGTGCAAAGCAAACAACCCAAATGTCCATTGATGGATAAATGGATAAAGAAAATGTGGTAGAGACATACAATGGAATACTATCCAGTCTTTACAAATAAGTAAATCTTATCAAAAGCTGCAACATGGACAAACTTTGAGGACATTATGCTAAGTAAATAAGCAAGTCACAAGAAGTCAAATACCGTATGAGTCCACTTACATGAGGTATTGAAAGTAGGTGAATTCATAGAAACAGAAAAAGTAGAATGGTAGTTCCCAGAGACTAGAGAATGACTGTTTAATGGGAGTTTCCATCTAGGAAGATGAAAAAGTTCTGGAAATGGATAGTGATAATGGTTGCACAACAATATGCATGTATTTAATGTCACTGATCTATACACTTAAAAATGGTTACATGGGTGAATTTTATGTTGAGTATATTTTACCACAATCAAAATTTCAATACAAACCACTTTAATCAATGTAATACACCATATTGACAGACTACAGAAATATAGCAATATCATCTCAATAAATGCAGGAAAAAAAGCATTTGACAAAATCCAACATCTGCTCACCATGAAAACTCTGCAAACTTGGGAATATAAGGAAAATTTCTGAACCTGATGAATGGCATCTGCAAAAGACACAACTAACATCACACTTACAGATAACAGACTGTTTTCCCCTAAGAGCAGGAGCAAAACATGTTCCTCTCCACATCAGGCTGCTCCTGACATCCTCACCTCCACCCATCTCAGCTACACTCAAGGTTCATAGACAAAATCCACTACCCTGCAGGAAAAAAGAAAAAGAAGGTCTAAAGGAAGCAAATCACTGCAGCCTGCCACAGGAATCCACAATCACCAACATCAGAGGCATAAGCAGGTGCAAAAATGAGGTGGATGACCCCAGAGGTGGGACACATTACAGGGACTGCACCTGCTTTCTGGGGAACCAAAAAACCCTATAGATGCCTATAGGCTACCTGTCTTCCCTAATAAGTAGCCTTGGAACTTGCTGTCAGGGGGTTCCTCTAATGGCTTTTTGTGGTAGCTTCGAAAGCCATTGTGTCAACATATTGCCCTGTTGTTTTTGTTTTGTTTTGTTTTGTTTCAAAAAATACAACTTTTATGGAACATGCTCAGTGATGGGGGAAGACAACAGAGAAGTTCCTCCCTTCCTCCAGGTGACCTCTGCACAAGCCTCGGACACTAGAAGCCCTTCTTTGCACTCAGCTGCTGGTTGGATTTGCAGATAACCCTGAGCATTTTGCAGAGTTGGACCTGACAACAGTGTCCTAGGCACATTTTTCTCTAAGATCCACCTCTGTGAGAGCATCTACAGCACCCACTTTCCCTTTGAACATGAATCTCATTCCTCTTTGTTCCCCCACAGTGCCAAGCACAGTGTCCAAAGACTTCTTAGGAACTTGGAAAAATGCTGGTTGAATTGAACAGAACATGAAAAAGAAGTTAAACAGGCTCTTAAGGTTGCATCTGAGAGGGAAAAGAAAATGTTTTAAAAGGAAAATCCTTTTCTGTTCATCCCTGGAGAGCACAGGACTTCAAGGAAGGCTTTGGCAAATCCCTTCGTAAAGTGCAGAAGTGTGGAATTCTGGGGTACAGTCACTTGCACTCGTGGCATTGTGACTTTGTGTATATATGCATATATACATATATTAATGTTGTATACATAATACAACATAAATGTATAAATATTGGATACTAAATAGTTAAGTATTAAAGTATACAGGGACGATAAGTTTCTCCCTTATCATCTCTCTGTTCCTCCGCTGGGACACCCACTATTATATTTGGGGTTTTATAGAAACTGCTTAGATAAGAAATATCTCACCTTCTCAGGATCAGATAAAATCAGATCATTTATCACAAGACAGAAAATTCAAGAAACCAACAGACAAAATCTGGCCCAAAGGGTCTGTCCTTCTAGTCCCTGGGAAGTGTATGCCCCAAGTATACAGCTATTACCCCACTGCCCACGCCTTCCACCCTTAGTCTGTAGGAGGGAGCTGTCATTTATCTGATTGGTCTGAAGCCCAGAATAGCTCAAGGTGGGCAGAAATCATCAACTGAGCCTCTAGCAGCAAGTTTGAGCAACTCCTCCAAAAAGGGGAATGAAGGCCCTGGGGCAGTAATGGGGACCAGCAGGCACATCTACTCATGACTCTCTTATCTCATTCAGAACACTGAGAAGCAAGAATTATTTTATTTTCTGTCCTTGAGAGAAGAAGACACTTAGCACTCTACAGAACTCAGTGTGAGAAGAGTACATGTGATCTGTGGTCGTTGTAAAATATGTCTGCACATCCCTGACACTCAGAGTTCTATGTCGCTCCTGAATCTGGGTTGACCTTTGGTGACTGGTCAACCAGGAGACTACGGCATTTCTCCCACAGGCAGAATGTCCTCGCCCCCTCTGTAGAGCCCACAAAAGGCCCATTGAGTATGTCAACAGGCGCAAGGCCCCGGATCTTGTCATCTGAATCAGGTCCAGGTACAGATGAGCCCCTCAGGCAGAGCTCAGCAAGAACAGGATCCCAGGAGGGGAGGAGTTGGGAGAGCAAGGATAGCAAACCCTTTCAGGGAGGGTGACTGCAAAATGAAGCAATGGAATTGGGTTGCAGCAGGAATGAGGGGTTTTGTGATGGGAGAAATAGTGGGGTGATTGCACACTGATGGAAGCGATCCCATGGAGACAGGGACGTCAATGACTCAGGAAGGGCAGTGTTGCAGAACCAGGAAAGGGGTGCAAGCTTGAGACAGATGCAAATTTGCATGGGGAGGGGCACAAACAGCTCCTGCAGAGTCCCAGACCCACAAGGGATTTTCCCCAGCGTCTCCCAACACAGGATCACACGCTTCCTTTGGCAGGAGGCTGGTATAGCTGGAAAGCCACTGGTCATTTAGGAGGCAGAGGGGACACAGCATGCAGAGACACAGAGACCTGAGTGCTGAGCTGAGAGGGAACTTGAAGACCATCCAGTTAAAGTCACTCATTCTGCAGATGTGAAGTCCAAGGTCCACACTGATCTAGGGGCAGTCGGGCCCAGAACCTGGTCTCCCAACTCTGAGTTCAGTCATTCTTCTGCAAAGATCAGATCTTCATTCTGTTCTGACTCCCCATCCCTTACTCCTTCCCTTTGGATCCTCCACTCTCTCTAGAGTTGGCCCTTGGCAGCTCCCCCACCCCAGCAGGATGAGAAATCTCTGAGTTCACAGCACAACGAACACTCCCGGGTACCCACCCGTCCAGTCCACCAGTTCTTTCTCCAGTGCATCTCTCCTCATCCCTGCCCACGCCCAACCCTCTGCCGCTGCTCCACTGCAGCCCTCACAGCTGGACCCCCAGCCCCATTAGCTCTCCCCAGCCTTGGGGGAATGTGGCTCACCCCCTGCATCTATAAGGAGAGCCAGGGGCAGATGGGGCAATCTCCGTGGTAAGCAGTGCTTTACACATCTGTCCATGGTAAGCAGTGCTTTACACATCTGTCCGTGGTAAACAGTGCTTTACACATCTGTCCATGGTAAGCAGTTACACATCGGTCCGTGGTAAACAGTGCTTTACACATCTGTCCATGGTAAACAGTGCTTTACACATCTGTCCTGGAAGCCCCGAGCTGTTTCCCACAACAGGGTCAGAGAGATCCTCTGCACAGAGAATTCTTTGTCACATGTGTTTGGGAAAAACTGCAAACCACCTGGTTCTCTGCCACAGGGCCTCTCAGAGCCTTTATTGCAGCCAGTAACTGAGGAGAGAAGGCCCTGAATCTGCTGGCTCCTCACCCTACTCTGCCCTTCAGCAAGTTACTTAACTTCTGTGAGCCTCAGTTTCCTCATCTGTAAAGTGGGGACAATAATAGAACCTACCCCCAGGGTTTTGGTGAGAATGAAATGAACTCATTTGTGTATCAGCAGTGCCTGGCACACAAGAGGCACCTGTAAAAACTTCTGCTGTTCTTACCTTTCACATCATTTTCATACCATCCTTGGGGGCCAGGTCTAATAACCTGGCTCCTGCCTTTTTCCAAGACCAAATCCTAATCTGGAACCTTTCCCGGTACCCAGTTCCCTCTGACTTGGGTCACAGCCTTGCGCCTGCTAGGCCCACACCTCCCCTCAACCCCCTGTCTTGGACTTCCCCAGGGGCAGACCCTGTGACAGGGAGGGTGAGTGGTTTACTTGGGAGGTGACCCAAGTAAGCAGCATCAGGACTGCCAAGCAGTGGCCAGGGCCTCCTCAGACAATCAGCAACAGGACATGTAAGAACCAGATGAGCACCTCACCCAGCACAATAGGCTGTCTATACCCCTCACTCGAGTCACCAGCACTTATTTATCTGGGCGCTTGCTGTGGCCCTCATAACTGCCCTATCAGGGAAGGTCCATCCACTCTGACTTCCAGGTGGCAAAACTGAGGCACTGAGAGGTTAAATCACCACCCCAAAGTCACCCACCTGATCCTAAGAAGCCCTAAAGTGTCATGGGGAAGGGGACACACATACATCCCTTCCTCCCACTGCCCCCATCTGCAGAAGTGGTTTTCAGTAACCTCCAGGGACAACCCCTGCCCCCTGCAATCCCCCTCATAAATCATTTGACTGTTGTTTACCCGGAATCCCATCCTTCCCACTAAGCAAATGCCAGAGATTGTCTCCTGGAACCAGAGGTCATAACCATCTGGCTGACAGACACTAGGTGAAACCTCAGCCCTGCTCCCGAGAGGGACTTGTTCAACTGACCTTCCCTGGGGCATGGAGTCTGCAGAGGGGCCTTCTCCACTTTGGACTCTGTGGTAATTACAAGATGGCTGCTACCAAAAATGATTTATGGAGGTTGAAAGTCTTAGGAAGATTTTAGGGATCAGACTGGTGGACTCACGTAAATATGTCCACCATCAGTTAGATATTTGGGTAATGCAACAATAATCATGAAATCATGAATCTTAATTCGACTCTTATTTGTGTTGAATAATTGAGCATGGGGTTAAATTGCATTGACTGCCCGGACTTCTCTGGAAGACACCAGTACAGTGCCTTCTTCTGGTAGAAAACCACAAAGTCCCCTGATGCTGGGAGCATTCCCATGGGCCTTCCTCCTGACAGCCCCAGGCAGGTTACCTCTTTCAGGGAAGTCAGCTTTCCTGCTTCCTGCTCTGGTCATCTCAGCAGAATTAAGTGTGGCAGTGGAACAGATGCGGGAGCCACGGCAAAGCTCTGGGGAGTGGAGCTGTGGAAAAACCACAGAGTCAGAGTCCAAGAGAACATGATGTAAGCCCTGAATCTCCACCTTGCCAGCTGCAAGATCTCAGCACATCGCTGTACTCCTGCGGGTGTCGGTTTCCCCAACTGCACAACAGGAACTGTGCCTCCCACCTGTGTAGAGCTGGCCACTGTTCTGTCCTCACATGACTCTCCTGCTTAGCCCAGGCCTGTTTGGGGAGCCCCTCCAAACCAGCAGTTTAGCAGGTCTGGAGCAGACACTGTGTCCAGGCTGGGAAAACAGATCCTCACTCCTGGGAATCTCAGTTTGAAACGTGGAGACAAAGTCAAACAACTGAGGAGAACGGACCACATCAGCCATCATCAGAGGGCAGGGCCACACCTGTCTTGCTCTCCATTGTGTCCCAGCACCTGGCATGTAGAGAGCCCTCATGAAATACATGTGAAACAAACGCTTGAACCAGCTGACCCTCCCGGCTGCTGCTTAACACGTGGGTCGCGTGCCAGCAACAGCAGCAGCATCCCTGGGAGCTTGGTAGACTGCAGCATCTCAGGGCCCACCCAGCCCCCCTGAATCAAAGCTGGCCCTGCACGAGAGCCCAGGGCATGTGCATCCAGGTCCCAGGAGCCCTGGAGGCTCGGCATCCCGTCCACAGCCCCACATGGAGTCCCTCCACCCTCACTTGTTGTCAGGCCTCCTCCCTGAGCCTCTTCTGTCTTCTCTTGCCCCTAAAATACAAATCAGACCATGAACCCCCTGCTGAAACCTCCATGGCTCCCCGCCTCACTAGAATACCCTCCTTCCTCCCTACTCTGTCCAGGAAGCCCTATCTGATCTGCTTCCAGCGCCCTCTCACCCCACTCCCACCCACTGCCCTCTCTTCCCCAGACCCCGAGACACCTGGGTTCAGCTTGAGGAGCCCAGCAGGGCCTCTTCCACATCTGCTCTGGCCTATCTGATTCAGGGGACCCAGGAAGGAGCTGAGGCAGCCAGGGAAAGTCCCCTAATTGGAGTGGAGGCTGGAGAGAGTCCCAGGAGAACAGCCAGTGAGCTCAGCGACCTCAGAGCTGTATCTTTCACATGTCATTGTGATAGAGACAGGAGGCAGGCAAATGCCTAGGCAGCTAGGGGTGGGTCCCCAGAGAAACCCCGCCTCCAAGCAGAAGACAGTTTAAAGCCTGAAAGCCAAGCTACAGGTTAAATCATCGGACTGGATTAAGAACCTTTCTTCCTGCTTGGTTCACTTTCCTCTGATTGGGCCCCACCCTTCACCTGTTTTACATATACCTACCCATTCCTAATTGGTTTTCTACACTGTTGTGCCCACCTTCGAGTAGCGTCTTCACTTTCACCTTTTTTGCATACTCTCAAACCAATCAGCATGCACTCCCCATTCTGAGTCCATAAAAGGCCCCAGACCCAGCCACACAGGGGAACTTTCCCACCTTCAGGTAGAGGGACCAACCCCGCATCCCCTCTCTGCTGAAAGCCATTTTCATTGCTCAATAGAATTCTTCTCTGCCCTCCTCACCCTTCACTGTCCAACGTATCCTTGTTCTTCTTGGGCATGGTACAAGAGCTCAGGAACCACCAAACTTGAGTACTGCCTGTAACACAGGCAAGCTGGGGCACACAAGCGTGGCTGAGCAAGGCCTGGGCGGGGCATTGCCAGCCAGGGGTCCCTGGCTTGCAAAGTGACTGAGAAGAAAAGTCCTACATCAGTTGGATGTGGGGAGCATCCCCAGAGGATTCCTGCTTTTCCTCACAGTTTCCTGGTTCTAGAAAAGGTCTTTCTCGAAGAGCACCAGCTGCCTCTGCAGGTGGAATGGGTGAGCTACAGTGATTACACAGAGCTGAGGGTCTGAATGGCCTGTGGGAACCAGGCAGGACTAACTCACCCCGCCCCTTAGTTACCTCTGGGGCTGAGATTGGAAGAGTGTTGTATGATTCCTCTCCTGTGAGATCCAGGGTGGGCCTGCATCACCCCATCCTCTCCCCCAGCTCCAGGATGCCACGATTCTCCTCCATCCCCCAGCAAGGCCTCTTCCCTTCAAGAGCCCATGGGGGCAGCAGGGCAGGTGGAGCAGTGTTTTGCCTCAGGCCCAGTGCCACACAGCAGACACAGGGCAAGGCTGGTGCCCCAACAAAGGCCTCATGACTCCTACCACAGTGCTGTGTGTGCCCCGTCCTCCAAATGATATTAACAGTAGCCCTGGTTCCTGGGTGCCCTTCCCAGGCCAGACATCTCATAAACATGCAGCCCTGCAAGGTGCAGATTGTCATGTCCATTTTGCAGAAGGAAGCTCAGGGAGGCTTCCACAGAGCGGTGAGGTGACCCTGCAGAGCCCATGCTCTTTCCCTTACCCACTCAACTCTCTGCAGCTGGGAGCCCCAGGCCACCCTCATCTTCAAGTCCCTGATCTTGACCTTCCACTCTATTGTAGGCACCTGTGGTTTCTTCCCCTCCCTGCCCCATCCACTCCCTTCTGCCATTTATGAACCCTCAATCTGGGTTGGTTTTCCTGGGAGAGGAGGGACATACCCCCTCCCCCATTCTCCTTCCATGCATCTGGGATGGGCTCTCCCCTTGGCTTCAGTGATGAACCGTGTGGCCCAGGCCTGGCCAACCAAAGCTCTGCATTCCCTGGCCCTATGGAGCTTGTATTCTGATTAAAAAGATGGATGATGAGCAAATTAACAGATAACATAATGTCAGATTAATGCAGTGAAGAGAAACAAGTGGGATAGGAGAAAGAGGGTGCTGTGGTCTGAATGCTTGTGTCCCTGCAAAATTCATGTGTTGAAATCTAACCTTCAAAGTGTTGGTATTAACAAGTGAGGCATCAGCCTGGCCAACATGGTGAAACCCCGTCTCTACTAAAGTTAGCCAGGCGTGGTGGTGCATGCCTATAGTCCCGGCTACTTGGGAGGCTGGGGCAGGAGAATCGCTTGGACCTGGGAAATGGAGGTTGCAATGAGCCGAGATCACGCCACTGCACTCCAGTCTGGGCGACAGAGCAAGACTTCATCTCAAAAAAAAAAAAAAAGAAGCGGGGCCTTTGGGTGGTGACTAAGTCATGAGGGTGAGCACTTGTGGATGGGATTAGCACCTTGATTAAAAAAAAAAGGAGGGGGATGAGGGGGCAGTCTCAGTGGTTCACACCTGTAATCCCAGCTCTTTTTGAGAGGCCAAGGCATGCAGATGACCTGAGACCCAGAGTCTGAGAGTGGACTAGGCAACATAGCAAGAGCCTGTCTCTACAAAAAAATACAAAAATTAGCTGGGCGTGGTGGCACACAGCTGTAGTCCCAGCTACCCAGGAGACTGAGGTGGGAGGATCGCTTGAGCCCAGGAGATCGAGGCTACAGTGAGCCATGATCGCACCACTGCAGTCCAGCCTGGGCACCAGAGTGAGAACTCGTCTCAAAGAAGAAAAGCGGCCTGAGGGAGCTTGTTTGCCCCTTCCACCACGTGAGGACACCATGAAAAGGCACCCATCTATGAGGAATGGGCCCTCACCAGACTGAATCAGCCAGCACCTTAAGCTTGGAATTCCCAGCCTCCAGAACTGTAAGCAATAAATCTCTTGTTGGTTACAAATTACCCATTCTAAGGTCTTTTGTTATAGTAGCTAAAACAGACTAAGACAGAGGGTGATAGGGGAGGCCTGTGGCCAGGGATGGCCACATAGAGACCAGAAGGAAGGAAGCAAATGAGCCTGGGGTAAACATTCCAGATGCAGGGAAGAGTGAGTGCAAAGGCCCTGAGACAGGAGTGGACAGCCAGGAGGCCAGTGTGGCTGGAAAGGAGGGCAGAGATGGGAGGGAAGCTCAGAAAGGTGACAGCATGAGGCCATCTAGGGGATGTGAGGGCTTTGCAAGAGGGGAACCAGGGACAGCTCTGAGCAGAGGATGGACATGACTAGCTATGAATAACAAAAATAATAATAATAGAAAGCAGCTAGGTATGCTTACTACAGGCAATGCCTTTCTTCTGAGCTCATTAAATGTATATTCATTTCATCCTCACCTACCCAATAAGGTAGGTTCTATTATCCCCACATATTACAGATGAGAAGCTCAGGTCCAGAGAAGGTTTATAAACAGGTTTGTGAAAGGAAAATGAATCTCAGGACCCCAAAATCACTAAGCCAAGGGAAAAATCAAGCTGGGAACTTGAAACCTGCCTCTCATTTTAATTCTTAAATAAGATAGCTAAAAAGATAAAAGAGCTACATACTTCCCTCACAAATTGCCACAAGAAAATTCTTGTAGGCCTCAAGATCTTCATCCTACAACAGTTCTGCTGAATTTCACCCTGGCAACATAAACTAATAGCTGATCTTCAGAGGCATGAACAGAAAGTCATCTTCTGCTCACCTGAGACAAATGCATATCTAATGGCTTCCTCTGCCCCATTGTTTATGTAAAAATGCAGATTCACTGAGTCAGACTAAATTGTGTATTCAGTGAAAGGCTGATCAAGGACTCAGAAGAATGCAATCTTTCGTCTCTTATCTACCTATGACCTGGAATATCCCCCCACTGCCCTGCCCCCTTGGAGTGGTCCTGCCTTACCAGACCGAACCAATCTACATCTTACACGTATTGATTGATGTCTCATGTCTCCCTAAAATGTACAACAGCAAGCTGTACCCCGACCACTTTGGGCACATGTCGTCAGTATCTCCTGAGGCTGTGTCACAGGTACTTCCTTAACTTTGGCAAAATTAACTTTCTAAATTTGATTGAGACCTATGTCAGGTACTTTTGGTTCACAGGTTCAAGGTCACTCCTATGGCTAGGCAGTGGCAGAACTAGGATTTGAATGCAGACAATTGGGCCCCACGGACCTTGCTGGTTATAGGTATCTCATTTTAAAAGGTCAGCCATCCCTATTTGACAGATGAAGAAACTGAGGCTCAGAAGGGATTTGCCTAAGGTGGCAGAGCTGGAATTTGAATCCCTGTCTCTGTGGCCCAAGAGCCTGAGCTCAGGTGCTGATCCTGGACCCTGGTTAGGACTGCTCTTTCTTGCACCTGGGAGTCCCCTCCCCGCTCTCCACCCTAGCGGAACCCAGCCTGCTCTCCCATCCCATGTTGAGCATACACCTAACTCCCCACAGTCTCTCCGTGGTCTTAAGCCCTATCCCACCATGGGCCTGAGCACCTGCCCAGATCTGTCCCCTCTGTTCATGACAAACCCACCGAGACTGTGGCTGTCCCTCCGCCCTGGGCCTGAGACATGTCTGTTGCTCCCTAGGTGCCTGCCCTGTTAGGCCTCATCAGCAGGTGTCTCTTCTGCTCCAGCCCTTGTCTGCAGTGAGGTTGAAAGAAAGAACAGTCCTCCCACAGAGCACACTGCTAGCTTGCAGCCCACCCCAACTTCCCCACCTCAGGCTGGGGACAGCCAAGCAAAGGACACAAAATGGTTCCCAACTCCACCATTGGAACAGCCAGACTGGAAACCTGAGGCTTGGGGTGAGCGGAGGGCAGAGGGTCATTGATGAGACACAGCAGAGAAGCCCCAGCCACACCCACTCTCCACCTACAGTGGGGTTAGGCTGAGTTGGGCTGTGGCCATGCAGATCAGTGTGGCCAGGCAGCAGCGTGAGGAAGAGTTTGTCTCTGGCAGGGCTGCATTGGTATCAGTCATGGGAGGGTGGAGTCTGCTGGCTTTGAGACCTGGTGCTCTGTGCACAGTGGTGTCCTTAGCGATTTTAGCTGAGGCTGTGGGTGCCTCACTCATGTCCCCTGTGCACTCGCCCTCACACACCAAGGAAGGTGCTCACTAAGGACACTTGCCACTCTGTACCCTCTCCATTACAGAACGGAGTGTCTTCACGAAGTAGAGCATCTGCTACCCGCCTGGAGTGGTTCCAGCTCAGAGCAAGACAGAGAAAGCCCCATTCCCACAGAGTGGACCTTCACAGGGAGATGGACATTAACAGACCAACTGCATCTAGAGTCAGAGGGTGAAATGCACTAAGAGGAGCACACACAGCAGGGTGAGGTCACAGAGGCAATGGGGTGAGGGTGAGAGTCCAATGTGGCCTCGCTGTGCGTGGCAAGGGTGGGGATTGGGGTTCATCCTTCCAGAATCTCCAGCCCCTGTGCATGTAAGGATGCCCAGTAATCAAACTGTGGGGGCTGTGGGAGCCAGGGGCTGCTCCCTCACATATTCAGACTGTGGTCTGAGGAACAGAGATCCCCTTTTGGTGGGGGTGAGAACCAGGCACAGGCTGGCCCTCAGCAAATGTCTGACAACTGAGCATCTAGATGAACTGAGCCCCCTCCTCAGGCCCCTTGTGTAGGGAACCGGTGGGCAGAGGCCTCATCCCCTTCTCTCATCTCTGGTGAGACACCACCACACAGCCACATTCCCTGGAGATTGGAGTGCCTGCACCCCCTTTTACCCAGTGTCTCCAGAGCTCATTGCTCAGTAGATGGGGCCCAGGAGGGAGGAGGCAGAGGATGGGGGTGGTCAATGAGAGTGTGGGACTCCTCCTCACCTCCTTTCTCCAGGCAAAGCCATCAATCCCTGGCGGGGAGGAGAGTGACTCCGCCAGCCCTGCCACAGAGATGGGCAGAGCTGGGGTGGGAACAGGAGCAGGAAATGTCACATCACAAAGCAGAGAAAATGACCCAGGATGTAACATTCCCCCGGTGAACCCAGAAACCGTAGAAAGAACTGAGCTCAGCGGCATGGCCCCCCTTGCCTCACCCTCCTGGTCCGCAGGGAAGCTCCCAGCCCTCCATTTCCCCTGTAGTGCCTGTTTCAAGTGCATTGTTTTTTTTCCGCTTGATAAATTGTAATTCATTTAAGGCTCTCTGATGGTTATTCCACATCTCCAAAGCATACTTTTCACGGAAAGATCAATTCCAAGAAAACACTTAAATCTGTGCAAGTTAGATCCATTAACAAGTGCTAAGTGGCCAATCACTCACAGAGGGGGCTTTTGAGTAAGCCCAAGAAATGATCAAACTGACTGGGCGGCTCTGCCGGGAGCCCTGGAGCAACATTTACAACACGGGTTTGCAAGTCTTAATTATTTTTCTTCCCACTGAAATTAAGCTGCATTTCCGAGTCCAGAGAGGATGATCAAAGTCTCATCAGAGAGCAAATCAGCCTCGTGCAGTGGACTGAGAAGCCCCTTCCAGGTCACCCCCAATGAAAAGGGGCCTCTGTTCCTCAAATCTCAGGAGTGTGTTGAGGAATAGCCTCTGGCTCCCGCAGTCCCCATGGTTTGGGCATCAGGCATCCTCACATGCACAGGGGCAGTGGGGAGCAAGAGAACTGGAAATCCCACCTCAACGCCAGGATTCCGAACCTATAGAGACCATTTGTAGAGATCCAAAGAGGGCTAGGGATTGGAAGGGAGCAAGGAGAGGGGGAGTGTCCTAATTCTGACACATTAATAGAGATACCATCTAAAGACTCTAAATGCAGGAAGTGGACCAGGGCCTGGGGCCTCATTAATGCCAGAATCCCCTCCATAAAAGAATATAGTGTGGAAGTAGCACTGCCCTCGGCTCTCAGCCACTGGAAGCCTTTATGTATGTTTTACATGTACCATCTCATTAAAACCTCATAGTAACCCATTGCAGTAAGTAATATTATTATCCTCATTTTACCAATGAGGAAACTGTGGCTCACACAGTTAAAGTCATTCACCCTGAAACACCAAGTTGCAAATCAAAGCCAGGCCTGTCTGATACCATAGTTGAAGCACTTCATCTCACTATTATGCCTCCCTCTAACTCGTGTTTGCACATCCCCAAGGATGGGGAGCTCACCACAACTCAACGCAGCCCATTCTGTCTCTGAACAGGTTTGACTGTTAGAAAATCCTTCCTTCAGGCCACATGGAGGGCATTTACTTCCTCCTTCACATGGCAGCCCTTTTGTGGCGACAACAGACCCAAATGCAGTTCAACTTTTATGGAACAAAGTCGTGAGTTGTTTTCCAGTTTCCATGCACCCTCAGATCATGTAACCTGAACATGCCCAGGTAAACCAAATGTGCAACCACAGGGGGAACCTAAGTACTCAGACAGAGGAGTGGGGACTGAATTAAGAAGCGGACACTACACAGCAGATCCAGGATCCAATCAGATCAAGTTCTGTTGTTACTGCACGGCAGGATCCAGTCAGATCATGCCTCTTGGCATCACCTCATTGCAAGATCTAATCAGGTCGTGCCTCATTATCCTATGCTTATAAAACCTGACCCAGTTCCCAGTTCAGGGAGGCATTACTTGGGGACCTATGTGTTCTCCCTGGTGTTCTCCTTACTTGTTGCAAGTAATAAAATCCCCTTGTTAAATCTTCCTTTGTTGTGGTCATTGAGTTGATACCCACCAAGCAACCAATGCCACCCAGTCTATGAGCAACACTTTTTGTAATCAAAAACAACCCTCTCTTCTTGCAGAGATTTTATATCCCCAGATTCTACAACCCCACCTCTTCCCTGCTGACCCTTCCTGAATAAGGGGACATTTGCTAAGACACAGGGTTGGTCATAGATAGCTGGGTAAACTCTCTTTGATCCTCTGCCCTGATCCCATGATTCTTGTTAAAAATCCCCCCCTCACAAGAGAAGTTAAAGGTCCGTATGATGAGAATTGAAACCATTCATGTTACGTCTGCAAAACTGGCCACAGTCCTCTACCCTTCCCTGTGTCCCTGCCCTTTGAAGCCCTTCCCATCAAGAGGGAAAATTTAGTTCCCCACTACTTCGTCTGAGCTGGACGTCTCCTGGCTTTGGCCAATACAAGGCTGCAGAAGGGACATTGTACCATTTCTGAGCCTAAGCTTCAAGAGGCCCTGTGTACTTCTGCTCTGTTTTGTAACCTGCTTTCACTGTAAGAACAAGCCTGGGCTACTCACTGGAGGATGAGAGAACACATCCTCCAGAGATAAGCTATTCTGCCCAAGGCCTCCTGGACCAGCCAGGCTTCAACCAACACACCAGCCATCCTGAGGGGCTAATAATCCCAACCAAGACCAGCTCAGGCCAGCCCAGAGCAGCAGAACCACCCAGCAAACCTACATATTCTTAAGCTAAATACATGTTTGTTATTTTAAGCCACTATGTTTTGAGATGGCTTGTCGTGCAGCAATAGCAAACTGATATACCATACCTCTCCGATCCCAAAGTAGTTCTGCTTAGTTATCTTTCAACACTGCATCTAGTACCTAGCTTCTTTCAAATTCTCCCTTTACCATCAACTTTACTCTTGAAAAAAAAAGAAAAAAGAAAAAAGCACAGTAAGTTTTCCCATGTCTAGAGAGACCATACGGAGACATTCAGTTGCTAGAACCTATATCTCCCTTCAGTCATTCCTTCATTCAGTCATTCAACAAACATTTATTGTATGCTTGCTATATGTGCTAGGTACATGGTCCCCACCACCACAGAACACGGAGGCTACCAGCACTAAGCAAATAATTGCAGAAATAATAAACAGTAAACAGCATTTCACTCAGAGTTTGCATAAAGTACCCCAGCCTGAAATTAAATTGCAGCCTCAGTGCAGAGAGCCCATGTTACAAAAAAGCAGGTGCTCCCAGGGAAAGGGGACTCACACCTTTAAACGCACAGCTGGGATGGCCCTGCGTGGTGGGAACACCATCTCCAAATCATGGAGGAGCTTGCAGCTTGCAGGCCTGTGCAGGTCCTTAAGACCATGATGACACACAGGGCCTCTGTGGGCAAGACAAGGAAGAGTTCATGTCTCCCCCACAGGATGCATCCTGATTTGGAGCCAGTCCAGGGAGGAAGAGAGGGGAGCTGCTCTGAGGGAGACGCTGTGCATGGAGCTGCTGTAGGGGGAACTGCGGGAGCTGCCATGGGGAAAACTACTGTTGGGGAGCTGCTGTCGGGGGAGCTGCTGTGGGGGAGCTGTTGTTGGGGAGCTGCTGTGAGGGGAGCTTCTGTGGGGGAAACTGCCATGGGGGAGCTGCTGTTGGGGGAGCTGCTGCTGTGAGGGAGCTGCTGTGGGGGGAGCTGCTGTGGGGAAAGCTGCTGTGGACGCACTGCTGCTGGAATGGCTGTCATCGTGGGAGGGGAGCCCCGTCGAACTAGATGTTCAAGCCTCAACCCCTGTCCTGTCTGTCTTATTTAGAGGCTAAAACCTGCCCTCTCCTCTTGGAAGCAAGTGAATGACATCACACCCAGGCCCTCCTTTACCCATGGGCTTTTGCAAATGGCCAAAGATGCCTGCATTCATCAGAGGAAGTCATTTCCAGGAATGGCCAAGGCTCCAAGAACAATCCCTTTCCCCCTGTCTCCCTGAGTGCTCTCTTGCCCCCCCTCCCTCTGTTTCGGAGGGTACAGCAGTTGAGCACATTTGTGAGCACATTTGCAGAGAGCTCCTGATGGTGGGTCAGGTCCCTCTGAGGACTGTTGCACATTCCCAATAATGACATTCATTAGTCTATCTGACATCAATACTGTTCTCAGGCTAATATGTTTAACCTAATGAGGCATTTATTTTCAGTTTGAAAACTACTGAAGAAGCATGTTTCCTCCCCGTGAGCTAAGCTGATGAATAGATTAATCCTAAACTAAAAGCATGAAGTTAACTAGCTTATTTTTGTTCTTCAGTTATGACCAGCCTTGAATTAATTTGAGTTGACCTGGTTATTTCTTATGGGAATAAACAGGAAGAACTTCTCTACTTGGCTTTGTGGCTTTTCCTCCATTTATCTGCTTTTTCCCTTTATACCAGGTCTGAGGAAATTAAATAATAATACCAACATATCATGGGGGGAAGAAAGAATGCCTGAAATTGAGCAGCAGAAGAGCAAGAGCATGGAAGGGAAGCTCTCACATGACAACAGTGACAGCAGCCACAGCAGCCAGGACAGGGAGCCCAGCTGGCCCGTCTCTGCCATTGCCAGCTGTGTGGGGTTCACTGTTGGAGCCCCAGTGCCAGGCCCATAGTGGGCACTTATAGATATTTGTTGAAATGAGTGAAGTAGATATTCAACAATGGTGACTGTTACTGTTACTTAAGGAATCACATCTTCTCAAAAGGGTGAAGATGCCCGTTGTTCCAGACACATCTTGTGGGTAAGCCAGTGTGCAGTGACTCTGCTTAGGGGCCAAAGATGTCCCAAAGGCCAAGTTTCTTTGATGACTTGGTCAATGACTACACCCACATCTCTCTCTCCCCCATAGCCAGCAAGGCCCTGCCAGGCATGGGATGCCAGCCAGCATGCACTACCCTCCCTCCCAGGAAAGGGCTGCCAAGCCATGCCAACTCAATGCCTGCTCTACCCACAAGTCAAAATGGCTTCACACACTTTTGAAATCACCCTGCCTGCTCAGTGACCCAAATTTGCACTGGTGGCAAGATCAGCCCTGTTTTCATTGTGTTCATAGGTGAGAGAGGAGTGTGGTTAATGAGTGGGAGCTTTACAGGCAAAGACAGGTGGTTTCTAATCTCAAGTCTGTGAGTTGTCAGCTGAGAGACTTTGGGCCTTCACCCAAAGTCTCTTCACCTTTGAGGCTCTGTACTCTAAATGAAAAATGGTTATAATGTTTTCTTTCTTAGGTTGCTAAAATGATTAAACGAAACCACAAAAATTGGCTAATGCGGTAAAATATAATTTTAAAAAGGATTTTATATGTTCAAGTACATCTGGTACTTTGCTATTCTGCCACTTCAAATCTATCTTCCCTCTGCAGATCAGTTCTCTGACTTGTTCTAATTTCAAGCTATGGGTCTGATCCATTGGGTTTTCCTGTTCTTCTTGACCTAGATCCCCCCTCTTCCAGGCTGGCCATCATGGTCCTGACAACTATCTATGATCTTGGGATTATAACTCCTTGGTGTTACTGCTTCCTAATTTATCCAGCACCTATTGAGTGACTGTCACATCCAGTTATCTCCATGCCCTTAGGAGCCCAACTCCTGTCCCCAACCAGAATTCATGTGGGGAAGATGAGACAGACGGAAAGAGCTTGACTCTGGTGTCCCTGATGCTGGACAACCCCCAGGCTAGGACAGACACAGCCTCGGGACCTCAGTGGGGAAACATAGTCCATGATGCCTCTCCATCCACCATTTGGGGACTCCTGCATCACCAAAGGCACCTGTTATTTGCAGTTATTAAGGCTACAGGAAGGAGGGATACAGTGGTCTAATGGGGTGGATCGGGAGAGGGGGTGATTTTAGGGTGAAGGGAATGCTTCCTGCTCCCCTTGGCCTTGGATGCCCTGTGACGGGGCCTGACCCTTTCTCTCCTACAGCACCTTGGACAGCAGCCCAGCTGCCATTAAGCTTTTACCCAACTCCTGTGCCCTGGTTCTTATACCTCAAGACATAGTAGATTGACACGGTTGAAAGGAATCTCAGAGACCATCTCAGTTCAGCAGTATCTCTCTTCATTTTGCAAGTGAACAAGGAGAGTTGAATTGAGTAGTGATGTGGTTTGATTAAAACAAACAAAGTCACTGGACTACACAACCCACGCCTAGGTATGCTGTGTGACCTTGGGCAAAACACTTCCCCTCTATGAACCACAACACCACTAAATTATATGATTCTAGGATGCCTGATTTGAGGCACAAGAGGCAGGTAATAACTCACAGCCCTAATTCTGTGCCTGTATGGGGAAAATTGTCTCCAAGTCACCTTGTGGATCTACTCATGACCTACCACAATTTGCCTTCCAAGCATTTTTCTCCTTCTGTTCTACACAGCAGCAATGTGCTTACATTGATCAAACTAATTAGACATGTGCTTAAAAGCTTTTTTATAAAGGGTCTCATGAAACACTGAAAAAGACTCATGTCAAGGAAGCAGCTCCCAGATTATGAGAATATTCTAGCTAGAAGGGTTTTGGCAATTGTTCCGTGCAATCTTCTTCATTTTCCAGATGGTGTCCCTGATGCTGGAAAACAGAAGCCCAAGAAGTGGAAATGACTTGAGTTAGTGCCAGAGCTGGGACCAAACATAAGATTAACTCTTGGCCTTCAGCCAATAGCCATGTCTACTTCCCTCTTTAGGTGATAAGGAGATTGACACAAAGCATTTTGGTCATGCCACTGAGCTAAGAACCCTGAAAATCAGCCACCCAGGAAGATGGATACAAATAGCAAAGATGCTGCCATTTACTGATCATTTGCCATGTGAATCCTCACAATAATTATTTAGAGGAAGCACCATTGTTAGTTCCACTTTAAAGATGAGGAACTCCAAGCTCAAAGAGATTCATGGACACCAATTTTGAAACATAAGCAAAATACCTGGGTCTGTCTCCAAGCAAAGCTCATGTTTTTAACCACTACATTCTACCCACTCTCAAAGGGTCTGTTATACTAACTCTAGTTCCATCCTTGCTGTAACTGCTATCACCAACTCAGCCTGCTTTAACTGAGACTTTCTCCGTGTTAGCACTGCAGGTCCCACATTCCAAGAAACTCTTAGTCCTGGGTGAGCCAAGAAGGTTTGTCACTCTACTATAATGCCAGACTGCACCCTCACCTTGACTCACCCCCACATCTCTGCTCTTCCAGCTTGTCAGGCATGAGACAGCTCCCCAGGGCATGAATATTACTCAAAGATTTGGAGGGCAATATTTCTACTAAAATAAAGTACAAATATTTTATTTGCAGGAGTAGACATGCAAGAGTCACATAGCTTGTTTTAAGATAAGTCATCAGTCTTTAGAATGTTTTATTCATGGGGAGAATCATCTCTGTCTCTACCCCCTAGAATCCCTAGAGGAGTATTCACTCTGCTTTTCCCAGAAGCATGTTCTGAAGAAATATCTGGCTGCAAATAAAATAAAAATGAGGTTCTGCAGATGAAGTTCCTGAAGCTGTACAAACAGGAAAAGACCCATGCCCTGGGGTTAGTGCTAACTAGAGTTAGCATGAGACAGGCATGAGACAGCTTAGAAGTTGCTCTTGGAAGAGAAGTTAGAAGTTTCCTCATCCTAGAGGTAAACTTGATCATAGCCCTGTGAAGCGGATCCTGCCTTTACCTTTGAGCTGATCCTAATCTCACTCAACCAAAAGCTTTCTGGGACTCCTGAACCTAAGAAATAGACTTTGGTGTTAGACATATTTGGATTTGAGGACCAACTTTGCTGCCAACTAGTGATGTCACCTCCACTTGCTCTTCTTTCAAATGGGGATAATGACCTACCTCATAGAAATGTGGTACACTGTTGTAAGATACATCCAATGAGATCATATACACGGTGTTCAGGCCAGGGCCTGACACATGGGAAGGGGTCACAGCATTTTTTTCCTTCTTCTTCTTTTTCAATTTTTTTAATTTTAGACAAAAAAATTATATTTATGGGGCATGATGTTATCTTTTGATATATGTATGCATTATGGAATAATTAAAACAAGCTAATTAACATATCCATCACCCCACAAACTTATTTTTTAGTGGAGCAAACATTAAAAGTCTACTTTCTTAGCAATTTTGGAATATACATTACACTACTGTTAACTATAGGTACCACGCTATGCAAAAGATCTTGAATCTGCAGAATTTAATTTTAATCTGCAGAAGATGCAGTATTCCTCCTAACTGAAACTCTGTACCCTTTGACCAACATCTCAGAATTCTCCATCCCTCACGCCTAGCCTCTGGTAACCACCACTCTATTCTCTATATCTATGAGTTCAAATATTTTAGATTTTATATATAAGTGAGATCATGCAGTGATACGGTTTGGCTGTGTCCTCACCCAAATCTCATCTTGAATTATAGCTCCCACAATTCCCACTTGTTGTGGGAGGGACCTGGTGGGAGGTCATTGAATCATGTGAGTGGGTCTTTCCCATGCTGTTCTCATGATAGTGAATAAGTCTTATGAGATCTGATGGTTTTATCAAGAGGGGTTCCCTTGCACAGGCTCTCTTTTTCTGCCTGCCACCATGTAAGATGTGCCTTCGCCTTCTGCCATGATTGTGAGGCCTCCCCAGCAATGTGGAACTGTGAGTCCATTAAACCTATTTTTCTTTAAAAATTACCCAGTCTTGGGTATGTCTTTATCAGCAGTGTGAAAATGGACTAATACTGCATTATCCCAGCCCTTCCTGAACCCTCTCCCCAACTCCTACCCTTAGGAGCCTCTAGATCTATCACAGAGTGGGCTAGCACCCCACATTGAGTTAAGATGCATCCACTCTCTGCTCCACTCATATCATATCTTGTCAATAACTTTTCAGAAAACAAACAAAAAAAACTCAAAACAGCAAGCAGCTTTGAGAAAGCAGCTGCAAGGCAATTGGATAGGACAGGTGTCAGGAGCTCAAAAGGATAGCTAGAGGATGCTCAGCTCTCACCTTGACCATAGTGGGATGGGGGCTGCAAGCCTAGTCTACATCCTAGCTCTGCCCCAGCATAGCCTCGGGTCAATTACTCACCTTCCTGGCCTTCTGTTCCCACCTCTGTAATAACTTGCCTGGGCCCCAGTCTCTCTAAGGCTCCTCTCCTCTGACTTTCAGGAGACTCTAATTAGCACTAACCCCAGGGCATGGGTCTTTTGTCATTTGTACAGCTTCAGGAACTTCATCGCAGAACCTCATTTGTATTTTATTTGCAGCCAGATATTTCTTCAGGACATGCTTCTGGGAAAAGCAGAAACCCTAACTCTCCCAGTCACCTGCATTCCTGTTAATGAGGCCAGGGTTCCTGAGCCTCCCCCTCCCAGGGCAGTGTATGGGAGAACAGAGAGCAAGAGACCAGAATTCAAGTCTGAACCCTTATGTCTGCTCAGAGAGTCACCATGAGCACATCCCTACCCTACTCTGGGCCTCAGTTCCTCTGTTTAAGTAAAATGCACTGTATCTCCAGGACTCCCACAACCTGATAGTCTGCGATGCTTACATGCCACAACACACCCTGACCTGCCTCACATGAGATTCATTCAAAAGCCATCTGCAGAGGCCCTACTGTGCACCCACTGGTATCCCTGTGACTGGCCCTGGGATACAAGCATAGTCAGGGCCCTGTTTGATCCTCGAGTAGCTTTGGGGCCTATGGGGAAGGGAACCACATGGAGTAATGTTCACAACACGGTGGGCAAAAGGCCAGGACAAGGCCAGCACAGGGCACTGCAGGACCCATGAGTGTCCATTTTGGATTTTCTCAAGAGCTCCCCAAGAGCCTGGGCACACCTGCTCTGTGGCCTCTAGACCCATCTCACAACTTGCCTCCTGCTAGGCCTTCGGCAAGCTGTCTGTCTCCCTGGGGCTCCCTTTGGTTGTTGCCTGGTCTGTAAAATCCAAGTCTCAGTTCAAACATAGCTGGTCTCAGTTCAAATGCCACCTCCTGAAAGAGGCTTTTCCATGCCTCCAACCTGAAGTAGCCCCTGGTCACTCTCTGTCATGCAGTCTTGAGATTATATTTTCATTCATTACTTGTCAATTGCTTTTTTTTCCCTTTTTGAAACAGGGCCTTGCTCAATCACCTAGGCTGGAGTGCAGTGGTGCATTCAAGGCTCACTGCAGCCTCAACTTCCCAGGCTCAAGCTATCCTTCCACCTCAGCCTCCCGAGTACCTGGACTACAGGTACGCACCATGCCCAGCTAATTTTTTATATTTTGTAGAGACGAGGTCTCGCCATGTTGCCCAGGCTGGCCTTGATCAAACTCCTGGGCTCAAGTGATCCACCCGCCTTGGCCCCTCAGAGTGTTGGGATTACATGTATGATCCACCACACCCAGTTTTGTTAATTGTCTTAACATCTCTGACTGACCACACACACAAATCAAATGAGATTATTTCATTCATTCATACAATAAGTATTTATGTGCCAGGCAATATTCTAAGCTCTAGAAATTATTAATAAGCAAAACAATGCAACACCCCTTTCTTCACAGATGCTATGTGTTGCTACAGAGACAGATGATAAGCAAGGGAAATAAATCAAATATACACGGAATATGCCAGATAGTGGTAAGCGATGAGGAGACATCAGATAGAGATGGGGGATGAAGAATGTCAGGAGATTGGGGTGCGGTTTTATACGGGTGATCAGGAAAGGCCTCAGTAAGGACTCACTTGGGAACAGCCCGAAGGCTGGGAGCCATGAGGACATCTTGGGTGGTCAGCCCAGGCAGCGGAAGCCACACGTGCAGATTCCCAGAGGTGAGAGTGACCCTGGCATGCTCAAGGGTCAGCAGGGAGGCCCAAGTGGCTGGGGCAGAGTAAAGAGGGGTAGGGGATGAGGTCAGAGAGGTCATGGGGCCTGGGACCAGGAGAGGACTCAGGCTTTAATCTGCAGAAGCTGGGCACCCATGGAGAGTGTGAGCAAGGAAGGAAATGGTTGCAGGGGCATTTTTAAAGGCTCTCTCCTGCTTCTAGGTGGAGACGAGACCACAGGGCGCAAGAGTGAAATCGAACTGGGGAGATGATCGGGCATCTCCTGCAATCATCCTGGCAGTGGGTGACAGTGAATGGAATCAGGGTGGGAGCTGGAGGGTTAGAGATGATTAATTAAAAAGCGTCTGACACAGTGCTGGCGCACAGTAGGCCCTCAGGCGATGGTAGCTGTGATGACTCATATACTGAAAGTTCTGGGAGCCCTAAATTGAAATCTCTTGGCTGTCTGGCCACATTGCTCTGGCCTAGTACCGACGTCATCTCTCAGAGGAGATTAACAAAGACAAATCTTCAGACTGCATAGAAAATATCACTGATGATATGGTGAGGGGGTAAGTTGCTTGCCAAGGTCTTCGGAGTAATAGGAAAAGACAAGAGGGCCGGATTATACAAGTGATAAAACGCTGACATCTCACACATACGACATGTGCTTGAAAGATGCACATTCAGATTCTTTTTAAGGGTAAAGTAACCTTTAAAAGTGATTTATTCCTCCTCGGTTTAAAAAAAAATGTTTGAGAGGTAAAATATATGTGTGCGGCAACTTGAGTTTTCCCAAGTTAAACCCTTCCTCCTGCAATATATTCTCTCAGTGGGCTTTTTACTGGACGGTGATTATATCAATAGCACACTATGTTCACACGGGCAAGAGATCACACACATTTCTTCTGGAGTGAAACTGACTGTCAGTTTAGATTAGAAAATCTGGCTGGTTGACACAGGCAGGGAGCAGTGTGTGTGTGTGTGTGTGTGTGTGTGTGTGTGTGTGTGTACATCTTAAAAGGAAAAAAGAAAAGAAAACAGCCACAGAGCAATGTAGCAATTTAAAGATACCATTCATTTTGTTGGGTTTTGTTTTCAATGAAAATATCAGGAAAGCATTCCCAGTAGATCACAGGGGACCCAAGAAAATGGAGAGGTGCAGCCCAGCAGACAAGAAAATGGGGCTTGCACTCTTGGGGGGCAGGTGTCAGGACCCTTCCCCAAGCCGGCAGGGTGACCTTGAACCTGTTGCTATTCCTCTCTGGGCCTCCATTCCCCCAATGTGTAAAACATGGACTCCTTGGTCTCTATGATTCCTTCCAACTTCTAAAATTATAAATCAGTCAAAGATGAAGGATGATAAATGAAGGAGTGGAGAGGAGGCAGGAAGGACAATCTTATTGATCTTGAGACTTTGATTCAAAGAACAAAAGTGAGAGGAAATGTCGCTCTCGGTGAGAATGTTGTGACTCACCCTGGATGAATGAGGCAGCAGAGTTGGTTAGATATCTTCACCTCTATCACCTCGATCTTCCCCATAGTCCCAGAAGGTGGGGATAATTATCCCCACTGCGTGAATGTGGCAGCTGTGACTCGCAGAGGTGGTGGGACCTGCCCAAGATTGCATTGCTGGTGAGTCACCTGCCAGAGCTGGATTTCAACTGATTCCAAATTGCACACTCCTGTTCCAGCTGCCCAGACCTGAATTCTCAAGACAGAGCCTGAAGGAGGGACCTGAGGCTGCTCTGCCTCTCTCTGAGATGGCCACGAAAGCTGAGGTTGGGAGGGACTGCAGTGTGGGCTCACAGAGAGCTGCTGTCATTCTCCCAGGGCCAGTCACAGAGATCCTGCTCCTTTGCTAGTTAGGACCAAACAGGAAAATGGACTTTCAGCTTTGTATCTGGTGAAACTTGACTGGAGAAAGCTGTTTGGGCCTGAAAACAGAATGAGGCATCTCACTTTTCCCTCTAGGTCTAGGCAGGGACTCCCTGGGAGATGAGGTTTTTCAGGAGACCTGGGCAGTTGGCTGCCGGGAGAATCGCCACCCACAGCCCTTCATCCCTGGGAGCAGAGACCCCGAGAGAGGGGCAGACCTACCTGCAGAAGGTGGACCCCAGCCCACATGCCAAGGAGGAACAGGGGCATGCACCACCTCAGGGTCAACTTTTGTGTTTGCCTCTTCCAGACCCACCCAGTAAACCAACTTCAGCCTGATCCCAGCGTCCCAAACTCAGTGTCTTCCACCCAGTAGGTGCTCCTGGGAGCTGAAGTAGCTCAGCAAGGCAGCAAAGATCAACTTGGCTAAAATTTGCCTGAAACCACTTTCAAAATGAAACACATCAGGGAACAAGTGGCTGGGTGGTGGTCAAGATGACCAAATTTTTTCTCTTCAGACTTCACCATTTCTTGATTACACCCTGGGCAAACAGCGAGAGACAGAAATCACAGGAAAGGTGCTTCTGCTATACACAGTCCCAGGCAAGGTGTGCAGAGGTGAGACCCACCCCAGGTCTTCTGCTCCCACCCCAGGCCTAATTCACTGATCTCTGCATTTCCACATATCCCATGTCTCCTCCTGGGTGAGCTGTTGGTAGCTCAAACACAATATGTCCAAAAGTGAATTCAACTTCTCTCTAACCTAACTCTCACTGTGTTCCCAGGGTCCAAGGTTTGAGCAACTCTCCTAGTCACCCAATCTTGGAAACTCAGTGTCATCTTGTTACACTTTGACAAAGAATTTTACTTAAGAAAATTGCCCAGCATTTTCTGAGATGCCCAGAAAACGCTGGAGAGCTGAACAAGGCTGGATCACTTCAGACCAGACACAAAACGGCCATAGTTTATGAGCGAACAATACATGTTTGATGAATAAATGGACAAACCCATGCATGAATAAAAGAGCAATGAATGAATGAAGTCATGCATGAAAAAGCATATTAGTAAGTGAACGAATGAATGGATGAGCCAATTAAAGAAAGAATGAATAAATAAAAAGAAGTAAATGAGAGGTAGAATACCACTTATATTAAAATCTAAGAAAACAATATCTGAACAAAGTACAAATAAATGAAAGAAGAAATGGGGGCACTAATGATGGAAGAAAGGATATAGTCACACGTGAATGAGTGTGAGAAGTAATTTTTTGAGACAAGGTCTTGCTCTGTTGTGCAGGCTGGAGAGCAGTGACACCATCTCAGCTCACTGCAGACTCAACCTCCTGGGCTCAAGTTCTCCTCTCACCTTAGCCTCCTGAGTAGCTGGGACTAGCGGCACACACCACCATGCCCATCTAATTTCTGTATTTTTTGTAGACATGGGGTCTCACCATGTTGCCCAAACTGGTCTCAAACTCCTGGGCTCAAGGCAATCCTCCTGCCTTGGCCTCCCAAAGTGCTGGGACTATAGGCAAGAGTCACCACGCCCAACATGAGAAAGAATTTTTAAATAGATTTTGAAACCGATGCAAGAGATGAATAATGAATAGTGAATGAATAAATGAGTGAATGAATGAAGTAAATGTACAAGGATTAACCAGCAAATGAGTAACTGAACCAATACATAAATGGATACAAATGGTGAAGGTGGTCCAGCCTTGATATGAGGGGGTGATGTGGTACAGGGAGGGATGCTGACAAACTCCATGGGAATTCAGTGGGACACCGTGGAGTTGAGGTCTTGGTAAACTAGCCACATTCCTCTTGGGGAAGATTTTTAAAGGGACTTCCATTTGAATTTAATAAGAATATTATTAAACAAATATCAGCTGACGCTAGCTGCTTTCCAGGATTAACTCTAGGTTCGTTGGAAAGAGCTCAATAGAATTGACGATACTGTTGTTCTGTTGCAGATAATTACCCATTACACAGCACCCCTCCAGCATGATTTTGATAATTGCTATTAAAATAAGGACTTCCACTGTCTCTTTACAAATTAACCTCCAAGAGGTGTAATTACTATCGTGGCAGGGAGGTTGGCTGTGTGGCCTGGGAATGATGGCTGGGGTTGAAGCTGTTGCAGTGACCACCTTGTGAGACCCGGCATGGGGTCCAGTAAGGAGGCATGAGACTAGGGTCTGGGGGCTCAGAAGTTCTGGGTTGCAGGCCCCATCCCCTGCCATGAAACATCACACAAGTCGTTCACCTGTTTGGGTCTCAGCTCCATTCCCTATGAAACTGAGGATGGTTCCCCTGAGCTCCCACAGCAATCCCCCACCCACCCCAGGGAGAGCAACAGAGTCTTCTTTTGACATGTGCCGCCTCCCCAGACTAAGGATGGAGACCCCTCAGTGCATCTCAGCAGCAGCACGGGGCCTGGCATGTAGTAGGTGCTCAGTAAGCACTGGCCCAGGGAATTAATGAATGATCTTAGTGTACAGTGTATGTTTTAGGAGCTGCCCTGAGTCCCTTTCAAAAGAACTGTGGTTTGATGAACAGGTGCCTCTCACCACATGTCCTTGAGTCACTTGTCACTCCTCCAGCCATCCCTTGTTCCCTTGACTCCCCCAGTGTCTACCTGTCTTGATCCCTCCTGCTGCCATGTGCTGCCTGTAACATTGGGTGGGCCTGGGAAGCATGGAAACAAGTAGGGGGGCTTGGGAACCCCCACTGCACTCCAGCCTGGGTGACAGAGACAGACTCTGTCTCAAAAAAAAAAAAGAAAAAGAAAATGGCCCAGCATTTTCTGAGACACCCAGTAGTGTGTGTGTGTCTGTGTGTGCGTCTGTGTGTGGTGTGTGTGTTATGTGTGGCATGTGGTGTGTGGTGTGTGTGTGTGAAGGGGAGAGGACGATGAGGCAGAAGAGGGAGTCTAGCCCAGTCACAGCAACCTTGATGCCCATGCTGAGGAGTGTGGTCTCATCTCATCCTACAAACACAGGGAGTGGGTGGGTTTCTGAAGCAGAACATGCACGGTCAGCTCTGCAGAGCCAGGTAACCCCTCCACTGAGCACTGGTTAATTCTTTATTCCATGTCCGGGGACATGGACTTTATTCCATGTCAGAGATCTAGAGGTGGCCCCTTAGTAGCCCCAGGGGAGTGTGGCCATGAGCTACCTTGGGGCTTCTTGCCTAAAGAACTTCCGGGGGAGATCAGTTCCAGGTCACCCCACCTTAGCTGATGGCATTAAGTGCAGAGATGCAGAGACTGTCCCCAGCCGGTCATCCGCATGGGCTCTGTCCAGAGGGCCATTCTGACTTGGATTCCCCCATGCCATCTGCTCTGCTGTAGCAAGTCCAGCCTTGGGGGCTGGTTCCTGATTAGGGACAATTCTTCAATAATTAAATGACTAAAAGGTTTCTGAGAATGTAAGGAGCAGAAGAACCAGGGGCTTAGAGTCAGGCAGACCTGTATTTGAGTCTCAGCTGAGCCATGTCCTTGGGCAGGTTTCACTTCACCTTCCTAACCTTCATTGCCTCCTTGCTAAAGTGAATGACGACTCCTCTCTCGCAGGGTTATGAGGTAAGTTCAAATGAAAGAACATGGGTAAGACAGCACAGCACCTGGGACACGGGAAACAATTAAAACATGGCCACTGCTGTTACTAAGTGAAGAGTAAAGATAAAGCAAGGATTGTCTTGGGAGAGACACTTCTTGCCTCTTTGTCCCTTTGGAAATTTCCAGTGGACTGCATGAGCCCATTAGATAATCTCTTATTCGTCTGAGAAAATAAAGCTTGACTGCAGAGAGCTTTATCTCCAAGAAGAAAAGAAAAATGAAGACATCCACACTGTGATAAACATAAAATTCATTTCTTTACACAAGAACCTGAGAGCAAAGGGGTGAAGGGCAGCCACTTGCAGTATCCCCAGCATTGCAGTATCCCCAGCACTGAGGACTGGACAGGCAGAGTCTACAATGTCCCCACAATAGCTACAAGAGAATGTCATCCTCCCATTGTCCAGATGAAAAACTGAGGCTGAAAGCAGTGACATCATTAAGTCTTTTGCCCAAAGTCAAACACAGATATGAATGCCAGAGCCAGGCTCCTTCCTTCCTATTTGAACTTCTTTGAACTACTTTGAACTTCTCGGGATTTCTTCTGCTGCCTTTTCTTTTCTTTTTGGCTCATTTCCTGCCATATACTGTATTGATCAAGTTTTTATTTCTTTTTATCCTCTATTGATTTGTAAGTGGTACATTCTATTTCTCTTCCTTCTTGGTTAACCTTTATATTTTAATAAGCACACTTGACTTAACACTGTGTAAAGCAAATCAATCTAGCTCCACTTCCTCTGAACAATACCCAGATCTCAGAACACATTGATTCTCACCCCTCTCCCATCTTAGTGTTGTGGTTGCTCCCTCCTTTGTGCCCCAAATTAGTTACATTGCTATTGTTGTTGTTATTGCTCCTGTGTGATGTAATCAATGCAAGTGCACCGATCCCTGCTCAGTGTGTCATCTGTGATCCACTCCTTTCCTCTCCCAGCAGTGTTCTCCCTGGAGTACGTCATGCGTCTGTTTTCTCAGCAAATCCTGTGAGTGATAACATCACTCAGACTTTGTCTGAAAATATCTTTCTTTCTCCCTCAATTTTAAATAATAGTTTAGCTGACCCTAGAATTCTACTTTTGAATTCTACTGCATTTCTCTTGGCCCTGAAAATATTACTCCATTGTTCTCTGGTCTCTATTGTTGCTGCTGGGAAGTCTGTTGTCAGTCTCACTGTCTTTCTTTAGGAGGTAATCAGGTCTTTCTCTGGTTGCCTTTTATAACCCAAACTTTTGAATGATGCATAACATACATACCAAAAAATGCCCAAATCATAAGTATTCAGCTGGATACATTTTCACAAAGTGAACATAAAGCATTACCAGCAAGCCCATTTGTAACCCCTCTCAGTAGCTATACCTCCGCCAAGGGTAACTGTTGTCCTGACTTAACAGGATAGCTTAGGTTAGCTTGTTTTTGAACTTTAAAAAAATAGAATAATGTACTCTATACTCTTTTATGTCTGGTTTCTTTCTCTCAATATTATACTTGTGATATCCACATACATGATATATAGTTTTGGTTTGTTCATTCTCATTGTTTAATATCCTATGAACATATTGTATTTATTTATCCATCCTGTTGTTAATCAACATTTGGTTAACTTCCAGTTTGGGGCTATAATAAATAACGATGCTATGAACATGATTGTACATGTCTTGCACATTTACAAGTAGAACTCATATGTCCTGGGATGGGATAGAATTTGCTGGGTCATAGAATATTTCTTTTCATTTTCTAGTTTTCTAAAGTGGAAGCTTAGTTTATTGATTTTAGATTTTTCTTCTTTCCTAATATAGGTGTGTAATGTTGTAAATTTGACCCTAAGCACCACTTTCTTTGCATCCTGAAAAATTTTTTAAGTTGTATTTTCATTTTCATTTAGTTCAAAATATTTTTAAATTTCTCTTAAGACTCCTTCTTTGGCCCATGTACTATCTAGAAATGTATTGTTTAGTTTCCAAATATTAGGGAATTTTTCAGCTTTCAGTTATTAATTTCTAGTTTAATTCCATTGTAGTCTAAGAATATACTTTGTACGATTTTCTTTTATAAAACGTTCATTAAAGCATGTTTTGTGGCCCAAAATGTGTTCTGTCTTGATGAATATTCCTTGTGAGTTTGAGAAGAATGTGTATTTTGCTGATATTGAAGGATGTGTTCTATCAATGTCAATTAGATCAAGTTGATTGACAGTGAAACATTATGAAGTCTTCTTTGTCTGAAATCATCATAGTATTCCAGCTTTCTTTTGACTAGTGTTAACATTATATATTTTTATCCATACCTTTACTTTTAACTGTCAGAGTCTTTACATTTAAAGTGGGTTTCTTACAGAAAACATGTAGGTTAGTCTTTGCTTTCTTATCCACTATCCACTATGACAATCTCTGTCTTTTAATTGATGTATTAAACTAATCTCATTTAAAGTGATTATTGATATATTTGACTTCATATCAACCATGTTTGTAGCTGTTTATATTTATTACCAGAGGCTTCCTTTTCTGCCTTCTCTAGTTTTAACTGAGCATTTCATATTACTCCATTTGATCCTCACTCAGTGTATCAATTACTTCTTTCTAAAAGAAAGATTAGTAGCTTCCCTCAAGTTCATAATATATACTTTTAACTAATCTGGGTCCACCTCCAAATAACACTATTCCACTTTACATATAGTACACCTGTCTTAGAGTATTCTCAATCCTTCTCTCCCATTCCTTGTGACAATGATGTCATTCATTTTATTTACCCATGTTATACTCACTGAATATATAGTTACTATTATTACTTTGAACCATTTAAACAAACAGTTCTAGATTAAGAATAAGAAAAATAATTACTTTTATCTTCATTTATTTTTTCTCCAACACTCTTCCTTTCTTCATATAGATCTAAGTTTCTGACCATATCATTTTATTCATGCCTAAAGAAAATATTTTAATATTTCTTGCAAAATTTTGGCACCCCAGAGACTGTGACACCCAAGGTGTTTCTCCATCCTCACATTAATTCACACTCAGCCTCCAGCAATTTGTCAAAATTGCCATTTATGTGTTCCTATCACTTTATGGCCCCAGCAGCTTCTGCTTCAAGCAGGGAGATCTCAGCTGTGCCTCTCTGAATTCACCTTTCTCTCATATTTTAGTGTGATGGTTTGCTCTGCAACCTCAGCTCTCTGAGGAAGCCAAGAAAAGTTGTGGATTTTCAGCTTGTCCAGCTTCTTCTTGTGAGAATGGGAATGACAATTTCCAATCTCTTCACATGTCAGATCTGAATTTATTTGTATTGCACCTGCTCAGATTCCTTTGGAAATTATGAATTCAGGTTTTTCATGTATTCTGTAAAATTTAATAAAGGTTTGTTGAAGCTTCTCATTGTCTCCTTCAGGTCTTTGAACTTCTCCACATTTTCCTTCTCTATTCCTTTCTGGATAATTTCCTATTGTCTATATCCTGGTAACTGATTATTTCACCAGTTCTACCTAATCTACTATTTAGTCTGCCCTTTAGGATTATTTTTTAATTGCAATAATTATAAATTTTATTTTTAGACTTTCTATTTTTTCTAATGTGCTTATTCTTTCTTATAGTGTCTTATTCTATTCCTGTGATTTTTATTTTTATGCTTTTAATCACTATATATATGTGTTTGTGTGTGTGTGTGTGTGTGTGTGTATATATATATATATATATATATATAAAATAGTTTCTATCAGAATTTTTCTATTACTTGAAGTTATTTGGTTTTTGGTGTTTTCTCTTTTTTAAGGCAGACTCTCACTCTGTCACCCAGGCTGGAGTGCAGTGGCATGATCTTGGCTCACTGCAACCTCCACCTCCTGGGTTCAAGCAATTCTCAGGCCTCAGCCTCCCGAATACCTGGAATTACAGGCATTCACCACCACACCCAGCTAATTTTTGTATTTTTAGTACAGACAGGGTTTCACCATGTTGGCCAGGCTGGTCTCAAACTCCTGGCCTCAAGTGATCTGCCTGCCTCAGCCTCCCAAAGTGCTGGGATTACAGGCGTGAGCCACTGTGCCTTGCTTTTGGGGGTTTTTATCTTCCTTATTTTCATAGCTATTAACTCTCATTCATTGTAAATAGTTTTCTCATTTGTTTTGAAATTTGGGATTTTGAGTTCATCTTCAGTAGGGCTGTATCTGTGAGAACCCAGTGCAGACTGCGCTTCCTGATCTGCTCTAGACTGGCTTCTACCAGATGCCTCAGAAGTTTCACCAGCCTATAACCAATTATAGGTAAATTGCCTAGTTTGGGAGTTTACAAAAAAAACTCTGTAGGCTGGGCACGGTGGCACACACCTGTAATCCCAGCACTTTGGGAGGCAGGCAGATCACAAGGTCGGGAGTTTGAGACCAGCCTGGCCAACATGGTGAAACCCCGTCTCTACTGAAAATACAAAAAATTAGCTAGGTGTGGTGGCACATACCTATAATCCCAGCTACTCGGGATGCTGAAGCAGGAGAATCTCTTGAACCCAGGAGGAGGAGGTTGTGGTGAGAGGAGATCACGCCATTGCAACTCCAGCCTGGGTGACAGAACAAGACACTGTCAAAAAAAAAAATCTGTAATATAAATTAAAGCCACAAGTAAACCCTGTAGTCACTATAACCCAAGGAGGTTCTCTGTCCTCTCATAGGCCAAGCAGAAACTGACAAGCTCCCCTTTTGTTTCCCAGATCTTGGGAATAAACTATTTTTCTGGTATACTCTATCACTGAGGTTCAGCCCTTTAATGCTCCCAGCTTTATACAACTCCTTGCATTGTACTCAAGACATCATCTCCTGTCCCTGGAAGACATTAAGCCCAAACCCTTAGCAGGGGACCAAGAGTGTTATGGGATCAACAGATTCATATGCCCACTGCTCAGTAACAGACCAATGCACTGAGACAGCAGGGATGCAGCAGAGAAAGAGTGTAATGATCACAGGGTACTCAGTGAGAAAATGGGAGGAGACTCTCAAATCCATCTCCGCAAAAAGTTACAGGCTGAGGTTTTTGAGAGGACCATGGAGGGTGAGGGGCTGGAAAATTGGGGTCATTGATTGATCAAGGTAAGGGGGATGAGATCATCAGGACATGGAAACTGCATTCTTTGGGGAGTCAGCTTCCTTCAGACCAGCTAGCACCAGTGTTTCATTAGTATATAGGATCTGAAAGAATATCTCAAAAGGAATATGTAACATTTCCTAATGTTCAATTTGTTATCTACAGAACAGTGCAGGGGAACTATCATCTTGTAACAGGGTCCATGTGATTCTGAGGCACCAAGCAGCAAACAACTTCAAGGAAGCAGGTCAGAGGGCAGCTGACCTAGCAGGTTAAGGCTGAACGTGCTGCAGGCTCAGTTTATTTTTCTTTCTTTCCCTCTCGTCTTCCCTGATTAATGTTATAAAGATTATAAGGATGGTTTCAAGAGTGTTAACCTTGCTAACACAGCCTGCAGCATGGCAGCTGCTACCCCAGTTCCCACACTCACTTCCTACTCTGCTGTCAGTTCCTCTCCATCCCCTGAGATCTCCCTTTCCATTTTTCTACATTTGATAAAACATTTCTAGAGCTTATGCAGGGAACATTTTCAGGAGCAGAAGTCAGAACCTGGTCTCTAGGTTGGAGCTAGCTCCTGCCCCACCAGCTCTTGCCCTACCCACCCTAGGCACATCTGGCTCAGAGTCTGAGGGTCCCAGGGGTCACCCAGGGCCGGTATCCAGGAGGAAGCTGGGTATATGAGTCTGGGCTCAGTGCACGGGGCTGGGGTGTGGACACAGATGTGAAGTCTAGCACATGTGCTGATTACCACCCTTGGGAATAGACAAGGATTGTGTGAGCAGGGACATAAACTTTTGTGTCTGAGGCCTGGATCAGTGACAAATGTGAATGTGAACTTATGGGGCACCAAATCCTGCTGCCTTTAGGAGTGGAACTAAAAGGATTCCTACAAGCCAAAGAAATGAGGCAGCTTGGGCCATGTCAATAGCCCAGGCTCTGGCATTGATGAGATATGTAACTTTGAGCAAGTCCTTTTTCCTCTCTGAGCCTCAGTTTCTTCATCCGTAAAGTGGGGATAATGCAGATCGCCTTCCAGAGTTGCTGTGAGGATCAGCTGGGATCACTCAGGTCCAGATATATCTACGGGCACATGAGGCGGGGGGGGGGCTCAATAAGTGCATAAGGAGCCCCTGCTTTGTGCTCAGAGGCAGGTCAAGGTGTGATCAAAAAGGTGATGTTTGAGTTGGGCCTTAAAGCATCAAACTTAACCAGGTGGGAAGTGTAGGGAAACACATTCCAGGCAAGGAACACAGTATGTGCAAAGGCTGGGGATGCCAAAGAGTGTGGAATGTTCCAGGAGCATTGAGGCATTCTGTGTAGCTGGTGGGGCAGGGGCAAGATGAGAGGAGGTATAAATTCCATGGACATCTAGGAAGAGTTTAAGGGATAAATAAATAGAGAAAAGTGATCCCACGGGTCATAGTTGGCCACACGCTGAGTTTGGATAAGAAAAACGGAGCTTCTGGGACAACAGCTACCAAGAAACTGAGGTATCTGCACTCAGAGGGGTCCGCCCTCAGCCAGGGAGCAAACCCTCGCTCTGTGTATGGCAGAAGAACCCTTCCTGCTCCTGAGAACACAGGATTCCATGTGGCTCTTCCATTCAGATGGATGCCGGAGATCTGGACAGAGTCCCAAGCAGGACTTGGGTGATTGCAGGGGTGGAATCAGCTGGCCTCACAAGAGGGAGCAATGATTTTATTTATCATCTGAATTAATTACTAATAAGTATCATAGCTGACATCTATGGAGGAATTTCTATGTGCCAGGCACTGTTCTGTATATGAGCTTGTTTATTCCATATGACAAGTTCATGATGTAAATGTCATTATTATCCTCATTTTACAGAAGAGGAACTGAGGCACAGAGAAGCTGAGTTGACTAGAGGAAAGGGAGGAGGGCAGGGTGTGTGGCACAGATGTGGGAGTCAGGCAGGAGGAGTTCAGGTGTCTGTCTAGCCCCTCACCAGCTGTGTGGCCTTGAAAAAGTGACTGGTTTCTGAGCCTCAGAAACGGAGAGATAGAATATGACATCCGCAGGACCACAGGTGTGGTAGGGACTGCAGAGATGAGAGTGTTCCATACCTCCCTGAAGCAAGGGTCAGCACAAAGCCAATTGTGGGGGTCAGAACTGGGGTCAGCGCCAAGCCAACTGTTAGGGTCAGAGCTGGAATCAGCACCAAGCCAACTGGCAGGGTCAACATGTCGGGTCAGAGATGCCCAGAGGAGGATATGGGACCCTTAGTGAGAAAGAGGTTGACTGAGCTGCCTTTTGCAAGCTTCACTGGGGACCTGTTTCCAGCATCACTTTTGGAGTCCGTGCCCCATCTGGCCAAGAACAGTGGGTACTCAATGCTAGCCCTAAAGCCTTTCAGCAGAGGAGCTGAGCTCCCACTGCTGGAGGCTGGACTTCCAGATGCAAGCATCTCTTTGATTACTTTTTAATGAAAAACAGATTTGAATCTAAACTGAAATTATATTGTCAGCAGTTAATTATCACTTGTCAAACAACTGTGTGCCCAGATTGCAGGTTTAATTTCCATATAGGTTTGCAAAATCCTCGTTCCTCTTATTTGATGAGGGCTCTCTGAGTAAGAGACACTCATTATTGAGATTTTTACTTTTTTTTTTTAGCAGTTTGTTGTTGTTGTTTTGTTTTTTTAATAAGTAGATTTCTTTGACATCTGTGTCTAAGGCTCTTTGCAAATAACAGGAAAAAAACACTCAATGATGTAATTTAAACAAAGAAAACTTGGAGAGGGGTGGGGGACCAGGCTCCAAAGGTATCTCTGAGAACTCAGACACCTAACACAGGCCTGGAACAAGGAGTTGAAACTCCCCACTGGGACAACCACAGCTGCTCTGCCCACCCTTCTCTCGGGGGCTCATGATCTCTCATCTCAGGTTTGTGCATCTGTTTCAATCCTCTCCTTCTTCTTGGCATCTCTTCTGATGGTGAAGAAATGGCCACCCCTCCTCTTTGAATAGGTGGCACACCATCTTGGTTGAGGACCTAAAAGACCTGAGTGCAAGTCCTGCCCTGACTCGCCAGTGCTCTTGGGCCAGTCCCTTATCCCCACAGAGCCACAACCTTGTGTGTGAAATGAGGCCAGTACCTGCCTTGCCGATGTGTTTTACGGATGAAATGGCACCATCTAAGTAAAGCGCTTTGCACCTTCACAGTCTCATGGTGGGTTTTGGAAGGAAGGGTACCTGTGACTGCTTTTGTAGCTGTAGTGGCCATTATAATAGTAACAACAATACAGCCTCCTGAGCAGAGTGGAAGCCTGATGTGGTTTGGCTGTGACCACACCCAAATCTCACTTTGAATTGTAATAATCTCCACGTGCCAAGGGTGGGGCCAGGTGGAGATAATTCAATCATGGGGGGACGGTTTCTGCCATACTGTTCTCATAGCAGTGAATAAGACTCATAAGATCTGAAAATTTTATAAAGGGGAGTTCCCCTGCACAAGCTCTCTCTTGCCTGCTGCCATGTAAAATGTGTCTTGCTTCCCCTTCGCCTTCCACCATGACTATGAGGCCTCCTCAGGCATGTGGAACTGTGAGTCCATATAAACCTCTTCCCTTTATAAATTACCCAGTCTCAGGTATGTCATCTTTATTAGCAGCATGAGAACAGACTGGGGAGACAGAGATAGAAGATGCCACTGTCTCTTAGACTGTCTCTTAGATCCTCACTGAATTACCAAGAAACCAGAGCAGGTGCTGTGTGATCTCAGCCCTGAGCCACGAGCCTCAGTTTCCTTGCCTGCAAGGTGGGGATAGTCAGGTCTACCTGGCAGCATCACTGCAGAGACAAAATGAGGTAACAGTGTCTGGCATGCAATAGATGCTCAATAAACCCTCCTTTGTTTTCTGGCCCGGGGTCTTGACCATAAGATGGAACAGTGAGTACCCAATGAACAGAGAAAGAAAGGAGAATAAATCAATGATGATTTTCTAATGGGACCATAAATCACATCACAGCTCAGCTTAGAATCCTCTCTGAGGCCTGGAACTGGAAGCTGGAAATTTTTTTAATTTTATCCCTTTGTTATTTGGCTGATATCTATTTTCTCCAGTTAAACTGGAAGCTACATCAAGCCAAGAACTGAGTTTCTGGTCATGATTCTCTCTCAAGCACCTGGAACGGCATGTGGCACATGGAAAACATCACAAATACATTGAATGAATGAATGAGACAATACAAGTACTCATCTCAGCACCCGGAGCGGTCCATGTTCTCAGTAAACATTATGCATGATCACCACCAACTTTCTAGAGCTAGGCATGACTGAACCTCAAGGTGGGGATAGGAGAAGATGCCAAGGATGGTGCAGGCAGGGTGGAAGAAGTTGGCCAGCTGCCAGGTCTGAGGGTGAAGGAGACTAGGAGGAGGCTTAGGGAGAGGAAGGGGTGGGTCTCCAGTTGTGGGGAGTTAATGCAAGGGAGTGACTCTGTGGTGCAGTACAAAGACCAGGTCTAAGAACAAGGACCCTGGGCCCAGCTCCATAGAATGAGACCAAGCACCTGCTCTCAGGCCTCAGTTTCTCCATATACACAGTCTCTGCAGCACCCCCAGCCCCAAAAGCCCTGAGTTTGTAATGAACATAGCAGCCCAAGTGCATTTTCAGCCAGAGCACAGAACTGCAGGGATCTGGAGTGATCCATGTTGGCCAAGGAGCCAGAGAGGGCAGTGTCTATGCCTGTCAGCTTCAGGGCATCTGTGGGGAGGGCAGGGCGAGGGCTTGGGGTAGGGGGCTGGTCAGCGCTGGAGGCAGAATCCATGCTCATCTCCCGGGAAAGTGAGGGTGGTGGCACCAGACTGGATTTGTAGATCTCATGGTCTCCAGTCTGGTCAACTCCACTGTCACCATCTCCCTCCACAGGGTTGAGGCAGGGAGCATCCCAGGGCCACGGATGCACACACACCCCCACTCCCTTTGCCTCTCCCTTTGGGGGGCAGCCTTGACCCCATCTCTGACTCTGGTTTCCTGACTTCCTTAGCCATGTCCGTGATTGAGCTGAGCCATGTCAGACACCAGGTCAATAACCACGGATGAGTTCATAGGAAGATACGTTACTTAATATGAGCCAGTCAGAGCAAAGCCCAGGACTTCTCCATTCTGGTTGGGAGACACGACGCGTTCTGCTAAATGGGAAGGAGGAAATACATCACCCAAGTTGATGCTGCAACCACAAGAGAAGACAGACTGAAGATGAAGTTGATACTCTGGGAGGGAGAGCAGATCACTGAAAAAATGCTGAGTCCTTGGTCACACAATCGGGTTTCTAGATCAGTCCTTGTCTGAGACCCAATCCAATTCTAGGCTTTATAGTTTAAGCTAGTGCATGTTGGATTTTCTGTTCCCTGAACTGAGCCTCAGCTCATGCTTCTGTAACAGGAAGAAGCCATTCCCTGTAGGCTCTGTTCTTCTCTGGCTCCATGGGGATTAAATGACATCAGAATCCCAGGAGCCAGCAGGTGCCCCAAGCCCCTGAACAAAAAACCTTCAAGAAGTGAAATTCAGGGAGTAGAATCAGGTATCAGTGTAGAATCCATTCATTCTTTCATTCATTCATTCAACCAGTAAAAGTTAAGCAGCTAATATGTTCCAGGCCCTGTGCAAGGTGCAGGGTTGACCTCCAAGGGAAATAAGATGGACAAAAGGAACACAAAAAATAAAGAAGGAAATCAGTAAATAAACAAGACAATTTCAGAGGGTGCAAAGTGCTTGAAGAAAATTAAACAGACAATGTGATAACAACTCAGGTGTTGGGGAGCAGATGCTTTGACCTGGGGGAACCAGGGAAGGCCACCTGGAACAGGTAGCATTTGGGCTGAAACCTAATGATGAAGAGGCGCACTCATGCTAAGATCTAAGACAGAGCACTCCCAAAAGAAAGAACAGCAAGTGCAAAGGGCCCGAGGCAGGCACAAGCTTGTTCTGTTCAGAAAAAAATAAAAGGACAGTGGAGCTGACTCATGTTAGACTGAATAAGTTTTGAGAGCTGTGTATTATAAGCCAGTCACTAATCTAAGCACTTTGCTTGTGTTAACTAGCTTAATCTTCTCAACAAACCCACAAGATACGCCTCATTATCCCCATTTTACAGACGCTGATTATGAGGTTTAGAGAGATTTATTAATTAGCTTACAGTCCAAGAGCTAGTAAATGGCAGAGGTTGGACTTGAACCAGGGTTTATCGATGCCAGAGCCGGTGTTCTCAACCACTACCCTACACCACCTCCTTTGGGGAATGATGGTGACAGCCTTTCTGCGGGCTCCTGTGAGCTCACTGTGGCCTCCCTTGGCTCCTTACCCAGACAAGGGCCTTCTCACCACCTTCAGCCTCATGGTAAGCTTAGTGTGCAGGCCGAGTCCCTGGCAGGGAGGGCTGCTGTCTGGGGAGAAACCGTTCAATACTTGAGACCGTTACCAACTCACCATCACGCTTCCTCTGTGCTGTGTCCTCCAAGCAGCTTCACCAGTAATGAAGGGAATTTTTTTTAATCTGCCTGACTCCTGTGTCTTTGTTTCCATTTGTTCCAAACTTGGGTGGGAAGGAGAAATGCCATGTATCGGCCCCTCAGTGAAGACAAGGAGGGTATAGCAGGGCTTCAGGTGAGAACTGAGAGGGGTCACACAGGGTCATGGCAGTGGGCGCAAACAAAGTAGGTCACTAGAGGGGAATCTAAGAGGAGAAACGGAGTGGATTGTGTGGGGTGTGCATGCATATGTGTGTGCACACGGGATGAATGTGTGCCTGCGTGCTTGTGTGCACATGGGTGTGTGTGAGTGGTGTGCATCTCTGTGTCTGTATGTGTCTGTGTGTGCCTGTATGTTTGTGTTTGACTCATGTGTCTCTGTGTCTATATGTGTCTGTATGAATCTGTGAGTGCAAATGTGTGTGTGTGTGTGTGCATGTGAGATGTGTGCCTATGTGCTTATGTGTGCATTGGTGTGTATGAGGGGTATGTATGTATGTGTCTGTGTGAATCTGTGTGTGCCTCTATGTGTGTGTGTGTGCATGCACATGGGGTGAATGTGTGCCGGTGTGCTTGTGTCTGTATGAATGTTTGTGTGTGAGTCGTGTTTGTGTCTGTGTGTCTGTATGTCTCCGTGTGAATCTGTGTGTGCCTGTGTTTGTGTGTGTGTGTGTGTGTGTGTGTGTGCACGCATGTGGGATGAATGTGTACCCATATGCTTATGTGTGCATTGGTGTGTGTGAGTGGTGTGTATGTGTCTGTGTGTGTCTGTGAATCTGTGTGTGCATGTGTATGTATGAGTGTGTGCATGTGTGTGTATACATTGAATGAACGTGTGCTGGTGTGCTTGTGTCTGTGTGTTTGTGTGTGAGTCATGCATGTGTCTGTGTGAATCTGTGTGTGCCTGTGTGTGTGTCTGTGTGTGTGCACATGGGGTGAATGTGTGCCTGTGTCCTTGTGTGTGAATGGGCGTCTGTGTGTATCTGTGTGTGTCTGTACATGTCTGCGTGTGCTGTGCACATATGTGCACACCTGCATGCACATACGGAGGATTCTGGGTGAAGCCACAGGGCTCACTAAAGCCGTGGACCCAGAAAACCCCCAACTCTAGGCTCGAGGCCCCAGTCCAGTGCTCTCTCCACTGCCCATGCTGCCCCCATTATGGTGATCAAGGAGGGCTCTCCACCTCCGCCCCCACCCAGACCACCTTTCTCTCCATCTCCAGCTGTAATGGACATAAATGCTGCTCTAATTTCTCATCACTTCCTGCAATTTGCAAAATGGTTTCTTTGGTTTTTACAAAATGGGCTACAATGTCGCCTCTGCTCCCCTCCTTCCTTTTTCTGTTGTCTTGTCGTTAAGCAAAGGGAAGAATAACAAGTGATCAAGTATCATGAAGAAGAAAGGCAGCCGCGGAGCCTGAGGGAGATTACAGGGAAATGATGTGAGCAATCATTTAAGCAAATTCTATTTTAACTAAGATGAGTTCAGTCCACTTCCTAATGCACCAGCCCCACCATGTCCTGTGATCCATGCTGGGTAAGGACGGCATGTGACCCAATTACTCACGACTGCTGGGTGACCCGTCCAGCTCCACCACACATGTCAGGCTCATCTGCAGATGGCCTATGGCCTCTGGTTCCATTCTGATTGTCCAGGCAGCTGTGAGCAGAGCAGCCAGACGTTGTTCCCATCCTCCAGCAAATGCAGGGTTTGTTCCACACTGGCCCATGTCCTGTCCCCTGTCCCTGTCATTCCCTCCCTCACCCCACAGGGACCTCTTGCCTCCCAGCATCCTCAACAGATCCCCAAAGAGGCCGGGTCCCCAGTATGCTTAAGCACCTGCTGGATACTAAGTACAGAGCTCAGCGCCAGGTATGGGTAACTAAGGAAGACACAGGCTGTGCCCCATGGGTTTCCAGTCAACAGGACTGGCTAGATTAAAGCAGTAACTGCATGAAGAACCAGGTGTCATGAGATGAGGGCTAACAGGGGACCTGCACTCTTGAGGGAGGTGAGGTGGGCTTCCCACAGGAGACCTGAACGATGCATAGGAGTCAACCAGGTGAGATGTCATGGAGGATGCTCCAGGCAGAGGGAACAACATGGGCAAAGGCTCAGAGGTTTGAGTTGCAGAACACCTGTGTGACTGCATCATTCTGAAAGGGGAACTGTGTCAGGTGCTGAGGCTGTGGAGGTGGCAGAGCCAGGTCATGCTGGCTTTAAGGCTTCTCAGAGCTGGTGACATTGAAAAGAGGGAGTGTGGCAGATGTAGGGAGAGCTTCCAGCTGAGGAAAGCATAGGGCAGAGCCTGGAGGCAGGAACTGCAAAGGCCCTGGTCCAGGAAAGATCTGGTGGGGCTGGAGGGGAATGGATGGCAGGTCAGGTGGGCCAAGGGGTGACAGGGCTGGAGACTGTGGGGGGATGAGGCTGGACTCTGCAGGCCAGGGTCACTGTCAGCTTGGATGCACCCCAGTGAGGCAGGAGCCCCAGGCCTTCAGAGCAGAGCAGAGATAGCTCCACCCTGAGTCTCACCAAGGTATGAGGGCTGCTGCAGGGAGAGTGGGTGGAGCCGGGACAGGGGCAGGAACCTGTCAGGATGCTACTGCACCAGTCCAAGTATGATGACGGGGCAACCAGGGAGAGAGCCTGGAGAGGGAGAGGAGATATAGGGTCTGGTTTATGGAGGGAGGGGTGGTTTGTAGAAATAGGTCTCCTTATGTTGCCTAGGCTGGTCTCAAACTCCTGGACTCAAGCAATCCTCCTGCCTCGGCCTCCGAAAGTGTTGGGACTGCAGGTGTGAGCCACCACAGCCGGCCCTGGCTTTACATTAAAGTCAAGCCAACAAGACCTGAGAATTATTCACTCCATAAATACTTGGTATTATTAGTTTTTAAATTTTCGTACTATTTCACTCAGCATCTCCCTATAGAAATCTTTTCTAACAAAATAGAAATTTAGAGGAAGATTTAAGAATGAAGCTAGCCACAGCAGTGTAATTTATGGCAGTAAAAAAAAAAAAAAAAAAAAAAAAACAGAAACTTCAAATTTCAAAAGCAGGAGTTTAGGAGGACCATTAATCACGTGGACAATTTCCACAAACATACAACGCAATAGGAAACTCATCAGCCTGGAGTGTCAGGCAGGAAAGCCTCAGATCCGTATCTGCACATGGGAGGGCACAGCTGGGTCTACCAGTGTCCACTTCTTTTTCTGGGCCCACAGGGAAACAGCATCTCCCGTGGCCTTCACGTCAGGGTGGCCATGAGACTTGCATTGGCCAATCAAGTGTGAATAGAGGCAGCGAGTGTACCTTCCAGGTGGGAGCATCTATGAGTCAGCGCTCAGCTCCCCTGTCCTCCTTCCCTGTCACAGTGACTGAAGAAGCACATGTGGAGATGTTGACATCCTCAGACAGTGGAGCCTCCATCAGTGACAGTCCCTGCTGTCTGTGATGCCTCCCTGCCAGTCAGAGGGGACATGTAGTAAGAGCAAGAAATTACCTTTGTTGTTTCGGGGGGTTGTTTTTGTGCCATATCCTAGACTATCCTGACAGCCACACCAATGTGAAAGCAATTATGAAAATAGATGCTAGTATAAGAAGAGAAAAGGGAATGAAAAACAAGGTATTAATAGGGGAGTACTACGAGTACTTTGGGAGGCAAGATACCAGATGAGTTATATACTCTCTTACATAAATGTCTGCACTTGCCAAATGCTTCACAGTAAGAATGCATGGCTGTGTCAAGGGGAAAGATCAATGTTATTAACAAGAACACCTGGGCCCCGGCCAAGGCCGTCCTCACCCCGGGCTGCATTTTTCTTTCCTTCATCTCGGGCTCCTGGTCCACTTAGCTTTTGTCCCCTGCAATTATCCCTTTATTATAGACCATTTTGTTCTCTAATTGTCTGCCCTGCATAATGTAGCATAATCATATTCCGTCTTGTTCTCAGATATCTAATTTCGTGTCCCTTGGCCTCAGTTTCTTCATCTCTAAGTGCAGTGGTGGCAGAAAGGGAGATCCTGAGATGCTCCTGAGTGCCGCTGCTCCTTCAGGGCTGGGAGGGATGAAAGCGCCCTAGCAAGCTATGCTGCTTTACAGATGAGAATCCAAGGCGGAGAAGTGGGGAAATTTGCCCAAAGTTTCACCCCCAAGTGAGTCCTGAAAGTGCAATTTGAGCTCTGGAATCTGGCTTCAGCCGAGGTACCCTCATCATATCCTCACAATATCCTTATGTGGTCAGTATTATGTGCCCATTTTACAGGTGGAAAAACTGATGAGGCTCACAGAGGTTCAGCCACTTGCCTAAGTCACACATTGAGTGAGTGCTGGAGGCTGAATCTGTATGTGGGGTCCAGGGTCTGTTCTGTTCTCACTGCTCAAATGGTGAGCGGTCCAGGTGTGGCCAGCACCCTCAAGGTGCAGGAGTTGACCACCCAGGTGCACTTGGGGCTGGAGAAATCACCAGCCCCAACACAATAGCAATAAGAAGGAGAACAGCCCTTGTCCCTGCAGCATGTGCTGGTGGTTGCTAAGCCCGTGACATGCATGATCTCTCTGATTCTGGCCCCACCCCATAAGGCAGATGCTGTGATTACCAACTCACACGTGAGGGAACCGAGCTCAGAGAGTGAGGTTAACTTACCCAAGGTCTTATAGCAAAATAGTGGCAGAACCCAGGCTGGAACCCGAGGCCTATGGTCTAACCAGCAGCCACACTGCCTCCCTCCACCTGTGCCTGGGCTTGGAGACCACTGATGGGATCAAGCTTTCCCTTATCTGGTCAGGATCTGGAATGAGAATGCAGAAGCCCCACAGAGGTGAGCGCAAGGGCTCCAGGTTTGGAAAAGGGAGGAGGGAGCCTGGACCACAAACGGCCACCATGCCGGGGGCCTGGAAGCCAGGCCTGCCATGGGCAGAGAGGGATAGCACTGTCTGCCCACGTAAGCCTGGAGGAAGTCACTGTGTCACCTTGTCATTGAGGCCAATGCCATTATCTGGGCTGACCAGGGCCTATCAGGCATAGCTGGGGTGACTGGCAGCTCTTCAGCGGGCAAGGCCCTGACTCACCATGAGTCCCAAATCCAGCAGGAGTTTATCACCCAACCTAATTGTTCTAATTGCCATTGTCATGGCTGATAACATTAGGTGACAGCCACAGCCATAAACTCAGAAAGTCTGAAGTGGGCCCCGGAGAAGGGAGAGGCCTTGAATGGTTTGGAGGGAGCTTAAAAGGGGAGCAGTGCAGTAACTTGAAGCCCTGGGCAGACTCAGGCTGGGGGCAGTCACAGAGTCACAGAGATTACACTCACCAAAGGTGGGAGTTAGAGACTATTGAACACAGTGAAAGAAGAAGTTTTGGTTGTCGGACAGAGAGATGCATGACACTAAGAGAGTAGAATTGTCAAGATCACAAAGTAAGGGTCACAAAACAGCAGAATGCCAGGTGTGAGCATGGTACACTATTGAGATGCTTAGAACATGGCAGAACCTTGGACACAGCTTGTCAGCATCTTGGGCTTAGGAGGCCAGAGTGGTGTGAGGAGCCAATAGGAGAGGCTTCCAGAGAGGCCTGGATCTAAGTCTTGGTTCTGCCAATGATTAGCTCTGGGACCACTGCCTTGCTCCATCTAAAAACTGGGGAAATTAAGCCCCCCTCATGGAGTAGGTGAACCTGAAATGGCAAGATGGGTGGGTGGTGCTTAGCAGCTAAGCACTGGGTATGAAATAGGCATAGATGTTCTGTTGTATTTTACAAAGAGTATACGATTGGGGTGTGTTGGGGGTCAGGGTGGCAGGGCTGGAAGTAATCCTCGGAAATCACACAAACTGTAGACTAGGGCACTCACTGCATGCTTCCCGTTGGAATTACCTGGGAGTTTTAAATCATGGATTCAAAAGGGCCCCTGAGACAAGGCTGTGTACAGGAGCGGCCCTGCCATGGGGCCCCAGCTCCCTTATTCTCTCCATATTGACCCTGTAGGCAAGACTGAACTGCCACTGATCCAAGTCTTGGCAGAATGCCCGTGAACCCTGGGAACATGAGAGTGGCTGCCTTAGGGTGCAGATGCAGGCTGTTGACTGCTTAGCCACAGCACGGATCAGCTTCTCAGCAACAGATCACCCCACTGCCCACGTCGCGGTGTCATCGGGCCCCCTCTGTGTTCAGGTCATCCCGTGGGCCATGGGACATGGGGGGCTGTCACTTTGCTGACCTTGCTTTTACTGGCTATTCAAGTCATAAGCTGCCTGAATCTAAAGAGAGCTCAGTTTTTGTTTGTTGTTTCTTTACCGACCAAATCTATCCCCTTCCTTAGGAAGCCATGTCTGTTTTGCTGTCTTTTGCATCCCTAGCGTTTAGAACAGAACCGAGCGTGTAGTAGATGCTCAACAAATATTTACTGAGTAGATAAACAAAGCACTGAAGCTTAAGAGGCAGGAGCAGTGGCAGCTGTAGCCTTGGAGGAAGTTAAAATCCTCACGCTGTGAGCCCTGCACCTCCATTTCCCAGTTGTGAAATGGGGTCTCGGCACCAGCCTGTGTCACAGAGAATGACCTACAGTGTGGCTTTGCAGGGAAATCTGTTGTTTAATCAAATCCCATTCAGTCGGTCCTGCCAGGGGTTCCCAAAGGGAAGTGGAGCAATGGTGGGGCAGAGTGAGGTGAGGTCTGATCCGGGAGATTCCACAGGCTGGGATAAGGGAGTTTGGATTTTTCCACCAAGCAATAAGGAGCTGTTGGTGTCTCTGAGCAGGGCAGGGTTGAGAATCTGAGGAACCCCTGGGAGGGTGCTTGTTGGGGATGCAGCTGGCAGCTTAGCCTAGACCGGCTGATCTGAGCCTCAGGGGCCGGCACATGGCAGTCCATCTTTTTAAACCTCCCCAGATGATGCTAATGAAGCCAAATCTCAGGTCAACATTTGGCAACTGTCACTATGGCTGATTCTTCTAAATTCTGCTAGGGATCATTTCAGCCAGGGAGGGACAGGAAGGGAAGTGGAGGGAAGGATGAGGCAGGTTTCTCACCGAAAGTATCATTTTGATAAAGGAGAAGCAACCTGGTCCCTGCTGGTGACAAAAACATTGCTTTGGATCCACTGAAATTGCTGTCTTTACATGTCAAAATGGTTATCTGTCAGCTATTTTATGTGATGGTTATACCAAATAGGTCCATTTCTGCTGTTGCTAAATTTGTTTATACTGAGGGAGTCAGAAATAGCTGAGCCCCTGGGAAATGAATCTTTTCTGATAGGGTCCCCATCTGATGACAGACCATCACCCTAAGAGGACTGAGTCTGTGTCATCCCCACCCCTCTTCCCCTGTCCCCAGTACTGGGTTCTCAGCCTCTGCCCAGAACCTGGGAGTGGGGGTTTCATTCCTCCCGTCCCCAGGGGGAAGGGAGCTGCTCCCCACTGCTCCCTAATGCAGCTCATCTGTCCTCGTCTCCACCCATGAGGCCTGGCAGTCTGCTCCCACCCCCCGCCCCCGCCAGCCTCTCCTTCCCTGAGCCCGCGCTCTGCTCCACGCAGGCTTGGTTCAGATCCTCCAAGTCACTGCACCTCTCCTGCTTCAGAGCCCTCACACATGCTGTTTCCTCTGCCTGAATCCACTGCCCCCCCAACCTTCACAAACTAGGAATCCAAGAGCGCCAGGAAGGCTGACAAGGACAGCAATTCGGCAGTTCTGCATGGGGCCAATAGCAGTGACAGCGGAGGCTTCCCCAGCAGAGCTGGGCTGCAGGCTTCGGGTCCCACTTGGTGCCCAAGCTCACATTATGGTGCTGGGGAGAGACCTCAAGCAGCTGTTAAACTGTGGTGTGCCCGTGGGTGTATAATTGTGGAAGTGGGTTTTGCATATTTTGATAAATTTATAAATATGGAATGTAATTATCCCTCATTAGCATATGCTTATGTTCTACATAATTGTATCCTGTTTCACAAAAAAGTGCGAGTTGCCAGTTCACAACCAAGACACGGTGTCACCAGCTTGACCGTCGTGCGTCCCCACCACTGCTGACACAGAATGTATCCATTCATCATCCTGGGCAGGAGGGCCACCGAGACAGTGGCAAATCTCCCCATGTCACAGGCAGGTCTAGGGCTCTGGAGCCCAGGGAGGGACAGACAACAGGGTTGGGAGAGCAATCGGCCCAGCCACTGGCCTGGATCCAGGGTGGAAAGGGGTCACCTGGGCAACTGCCTGTGCCAGGGTCCTGCAGTAGGTCAGAGCATAGCAGCTGGAATCTGAGCACCCTGGAGCCCCACCTGCCCTCACTCCACCTGGGTTCCCCTTCCTGAGCCTCGGTTTCCTCTGATGTAAAATGAGGATGAAAAGGGCTCTTTCCTTGGGCAGCTGTGAGGATTAAGTGAGCGAGTGCAAGTACACGGTCCCCAGCACGCGTAGGAAGTGCTCGCACCTATGAACTGATATTCCTGCTGTTGTCACCCCCAGGACTGCTACAGAGAGGGCACCACGGGCCACTTTACAGATGAGCCTCATCCCCACAATAGCTGACAGGTGTTAACACCCCCACGAGCCGGACACCTGCACACACGACCCACGTCACCTGCACGACCTTGCACGACCTCCCTATGCAGCAGGTGCTGTCGTGGTCCCCACTCCACAGGGGAGGAGGTCGAGTGCTTCCCAGATCACACAGCCCACAGGGGTGGAGGCTCAGAGACAGGCTTTCTGTCTCTACCCCAGACCCCCCATTGCACTTGTCAGCAAACTCTGACAAGAGTTTGGCTTTCTGAGGACAGAAAGCACGGCTCTGAGCCTCCACCCCTGCGGGCTGTGTGATCTGGGAAGCATTCAACTTCCTCCCATGTGGAGCGGGGACCATGACAGCACCTGCTGCATAGGGAGGTCGTGCAGGTGATGTGGGTCGTGTGTGCAGGTGCCCGGCTCATGGGGGTGTTAACACCCATCACCGTGGGGCTGCCCCCCAGCAACCATGCCCCTCCTCCACTCACAAAACCCTGGGGTTTATTCTGTAGCCCTATAGGCTCAGACCTGAGGGACCCTCCAGCCCTGGGGTGAAGCTGAGCCAGGCACTCCATTCCCCTTCTCCAGAGATTGTTTTAGGCGTGAGCACACAACCTAGACCTGGCCATTGGGTTGAGAGAGGAAATTTGCTCTTGGGTAACAACTGCTTTTAGGAAGCATCCCTTTCTGCCCCTGCCTCCTCCTTTGAATGCGGTCATGAGGGCACTTGATGTCTGGTTGTGGCAGCCATCTTGCAACCATGAGGCAACAAGCTATGGATTAAAAAGCCTGCATAGCCAAAGATGGTAAAGAGGGAAGAAGTATTTGTTGACATCCCGGAGCATCTGACCAAGCGGGAACCACCTTCCTCTAGAACAGGGGCCAGCAAACATACTCTGTGAAGGGAAAGATAGTAAACACTTTAGACTTTGTGAGCCAAGAGACAAAATCAAGGATATAATGTAAGTATTAATTTAATAAGAGAAAAAACAAATTTCCACAAATTTCATCAAAATGTATTGATCAAATTCAAAATATAACAATCAAGGACAATTTTTTATAACCCAGATGTAATGAAAACAATGACATTCTCTTTTGCAGGGGGGAATAACATTTTTCTTACTTGGGATTCAAATTTCGTTTCGCTTTTCCTGTTGTCCAATCAATTAAGAATGTTTGTGTATGAAAGCCATCCTTAGCTTGTGAGCTGAACGAAAGCACTCAGTGGCGCTAATTGGCCCACAGTCTGCAGCCGGACAATCCTTGCTCTAAAACATCAGGTTCTATGAGAACATTTCATGTCTCAATTGCTTGAGCCCCTGTTGTCGGGTTTTCTGTTGTACACTGCCCACACATTCTAATGGAAGTGCCTACTGTGTGCCAAGCACCCATCTCTCCTAAGATTCATGGCCATCTGACTACATGCCATGTCCCTGGGATCTGTCTATAGGGTCTTTATAACCCCAGAGCCCTATACAGATAATGATCCATGGTGAGCCCTAATCAACACGTGAATAATACGAATGAATCTGTGAATTAATTAATGAATGAACAAATAAATGAAGCACTTTGGGAACTGAAAAGTGCCAAGTCCACACACAGGGTTAGGCTCTGGCAGGTGGACACAGAGGTGCAGGGATCAGAGAAAATATAGAGGCAGCTCCCGGCCCACACCCCTCACCCTGGCTTCAGCAGGGATGAGGGTGCCATCATCCTCCCAGAGCTCCCTCCTGCTTTCACACACCTCAAGTCTGTAAGGACCCACCTGCTCCCTTGAGCCTCCTCTGTTCTTGCCGGCTTTGACAGCAAAGCACCTCCCTCCCTTTCCCAAACACTGAAAAACAAGGCTTTGTGCTCTGTCATTTTCCTTCTAAAAACTCGTCGTGAGAAACCAAATGGTCATCATTATGCCAGCTGCAATTCTTTGCTGTGTTATTTTCTAAGAGATGGAGGACAGGGCACCGGGAGAGGGTGCAGTTGGGAGAAGTGGGAAGAAACATTTCAGGGTGAATAGGCTTTAAAATTTCAACTCCAGGTTTCACAGGGAGACTGGATTAAAGAATCATTTCAAATGAATTTTGCCATCAGAGTGAGAGATATGTCTCACCAAAATGCTTTACTTTGACAGTTGGCTTCAAGAGGCTTGACAGAATTCATTTTTCCAGCAGACAAGAAGATCAAAGTATTAAACAAAATACATTCCACCGTGAGAACTCTGTTAGCCATTTGACATAATTGTGTTTCATCCAGAGTGTTTTGGCCTTATCGCTTCCCTTTCTTTTCTTACCTTCCTTCCTTTCTCCTCTCCTTCCTTCTTCCTCCCTCCTTTTCCTTTTCTTTTCTTTCTTTTTTTTTTTTTTTTTTTTTTGAGACAGAGTCTTGCTCTGTTGCCCAGGCTGGAGTCCAGTGGCGCGATGTCGGCTGACTGCAAGCTCCATCTCCCAAGTTCACGCCATTCTCCTGCCTCAGCCTCCCGAGTAGCTGGGACTACAGGCGCCCACCGCCACACCTGGCTAATTTTTTGTATTTTTAGTAGAGATGGGGTGTCACCATATTAGCCAGGATGGTCTCGATCTCCTGACCTCGTGATCCGCCCGCCTCGGCCTCTCAAACTGCTGGGATTACAGGTGTGAGCCACTGCACCCGGCCTCTTTTTTTTTTTTTAAGACAGAGTCTTACTCTGTCACCCATGCTGGAGTGCAATGGTGCAATCACAGTTAACAGCTACCTTGACCTCCCAGGCTCAAGCCATCCTCCCACCTCAGCCTCCCCAATAGCTGGGACTACAGGCACACACCACCACACCTGGCTAATTTTTCTATTTTATTTTTTGTAGCGTCGGGGTCTTCCTATGTTGCCCAAGCTGGTCTCCATCTCCTAGGTTGAAGCAATCCTCCCGCCTCAGCCTCCTCCCTTCTTTTCTTCTCCCTCCCTCTCTCTTTCCTTCTCTTCCTCCTTCCTCTCTCTCCCTTTCCACATGTTTATTAGGGGCCTCTTAGGGAACTGCCCGGTGCTGGGGAATGACTGTGAACAAGTGAGTTCACGAAGCTTACATCCTATAAGACTTATCTGAGAAAAAAAATCAGTATTTTGACAAGTACACTGAAGAATATAGCAAGGTGACAAGACAGAGTCCACCTGGGGACTGGGGTGGGATTAACAAAGCTGGTCACAAAAGGCCTTTCCGAGAGGGTAATATTGGAGCAGAGATCTGAAGGGTAGGTGTGTGCCCACCCCTCTGTGAAGCACAGAGGGAGAGCATTCCAGGCAGAGGCAACAGCTAATGTGCAGGCTCAGAGGCGAGAAAAAGCTCACCACCTGGAGGCAGGAGGTAGAGACCTCCTGGAGCTGGAGCATAGGACTTCAGAGGAGGGAGAAGGTCTGCTCAACTGAGGCATCCTGGAAGGCTTCCTGGAGGAGGTGTGATTCAAAGTTTGGTGGATTTCTGGGCGGGAGTGGGATTAGGCCTTGTGGGGAAGATACAAGGAGTCAGTGAGGGCGATGACTTCATACAGAGCACACAGCATGAGTGAGTATGAGGCATGTTTGAGTCACAGCAAGTGGTCAGGAGACAACACCACTCCAGACTGTGAGAGAAGGTGGGGACAAAAGTGATGAGGCTGGAAAGATGCTGGAGGCAAACTGTCAGGACCCTAAATGCCAGGCTAAAATCTTAAGACTACCAATGGGGTATCACTAGCGTTTTTGGAGAAAAGAAGGGATAAAATAGTAAGCCCTGTTTACTGAGCACATATTATGACCAGACATCAGCCGGGCATTTAACAGATATTTGCCACTCATTTTTATAAAGCCCAATTTACAGATAGGGAAACTAAGGCTGAGAGCAGTTATGCAACTCATTCAAAGTCACACACCAATGAGAGGTGAGGTACCTGGGTCTGTCTGACTCCAAGGCCCTCACTCCAAAATGATGACCACATGAGGGGAGGGGGTTGGAGGTGGAGTAAGGAACCCCTGGGGGTAGGGGGGTGCTAGAAGACAGCTCATTTTCTCCTGCTGTAACAGAATACCACAGATGGGGTAATTTATAAAAAACAGAAGTGTATTTGGCTGTCGGTTCTGGAGCTGGGAAGTCCAAGGGCACGGTGCTGCATCTGGCAAGGGTTCCTCCATGGTAGAAGACATTGGGTGGCAAGAAAGTGTGCATGAGACAGAGAAATGGGACCAAATTGATCCTTCTATCAGGAGCCCACTCCCTACATATTGGCATTAATCCACTCATGAGGGTAGAGCCCCTCATGACCTAAGGCCCCACCTCTCAGTAGTGGTATATTGGCACTTGAATGTGGACATGAATTTTGGAGAGGGCATTCCAATCATAGCACTAGATATCCAAGGAGGCATGACCAAGCCCCAGACACTGCAGGGCTGTGGGAGGGGAGGTGGGGAAAGGGTGGGGAGTGAAGGTGCTCATCAGCCTCAAGGGCCAGGAAAGCTCAACAGAGCAGAGCTGAGGATGGAACAGGCCTTGGGGAGCAGGTAGGGGTGGGGAAGGTATGGGCCACATTTCCCAGACACCAGAGCAGTTCTCTAATGGGCTGGGGGGCCTGGCTCCCCCTTCTGCTGAGCCACTGCCCAGGATCCCAGGAGGAAGCCAAGAGGAGGAAACTCGGGCTGCAGTTGACAAACTCTGCTCCTAATCACTTACTGATCCTCATTGGGACTAATTAACATTGCGTAAATGCTCACACTGGGTAATGGTGTATCTGATAAACAGTCTCAGGAGTGCTGAGGAGGCCCAGCAGTTACAGGGGGAAACAGGACCATCAAAAGCCCTAGGACATTGACATCGGGCAGGTCTGGGTTTGAATTCTGGGTGCAGCCAGTTCCTGAATCAATGCCTCCCCAGCCTGAGATTATGCTCTTGAGCAACTCCTTCCCCTTAGAGAGACCTGAGTGCTCTGTCCTTGTCAATTACTGGTACCACACATGACAGCCCTGCCCCAGCTTGTCACCTCACACCAGGGACATGGGGCCAGGATGGTGCACTGTGCCAGACTGGCTGTGGGCTCCCCAGAGCTCCTTGCCCACATTCTCACTCCTCAGGTTCATGGTTGAGAGCCCGACTGTGCAGCTGGATCTCCTGGGTTCAAACCCCAGTGATGTGTGACCGTGGACAAAGCATTCAACCCCTCTGTGCCCAGTCCCCTCATCTGCAAGTGGAGATGTGTTGGCTACTGCTATTGTCACCAATGCCTTCTTCCCCCTTCCTCCACCCCAGCTACCCTCACCCTCATCATCACCCCATCTCTGCCCACACCTCACTCCTGGATGCCTGGCCCCCTGTCTCGATGTGCAAGCTCATGGAGGCTTTGGGAGGAGACCCCAGGGATGGTTGTATTTCTCAGGGGCCCCAGAAACCTGAACAGCCTTTGAGGCCCACAAGGCTGTGTCCTCAGAGGGAGCAACTTCATCATCATGGCCTTTAGGGATAGATGACCCCACAGCTCCCATGCTGAGAAGCCTTCTCATTATGGTGCTTTTGGAGTAAGGATGAGGCAGTTACCAAGTACCCACAGGGCACCAAGTGATTGATCAGAGCAACTCTGGGAAGTGCAGCAATGATGCCCATTTCCCAGATGGAGAACGGAGGCTCCAGGAAGTAAAACGCCTACGAGGGTGATATTACTTGGATGTTGTCCCCTCTAAGTTGCATGTTGAATTGCAATCCCTAGTGTTGGAGGGCCTGGTGGGAGGGCTTTTGGCTTCACCCTGGAGAGAATTCAAGGGCCAGCCAGTGGTGTTAGACAGCAACTTTTATTGAAGCAGCAGTGTGCAGCAGCAGCATGCAGCAGCAGCAAAGGTACTGCTCCTCACAGAGCAGGGTTACCCTATAGGCAGTGTGCCCAGAGTAGCAGATCAAAGGCTGTTCTGTTGTCAGAACTCACTTTTAAATTATACCCAATTTTAATTATATGCAAATTAGGTGGCAGGTTATGCAAAAAATTCTAGGGAAAGGGTAACTTCCAGGTGTTGCCATGGAAATGGTAAACTGACATGGCACACTGGTGAGTGTGTCTTATGGAAAGCTGCTTCCTCCCCACACTTGTCTTAGATAGTCCTCAATTTGGTCCGGTGTCCAAGCCACACGACCAGAGTTGAGTCCCGCCTCTTGAGGCAAGCCCTGCCTCTTACCTCAATCGGATCACGGGGGTGGATTTCTCATGAATGGTTTAGCATAATCCCCTTGGTGCTGCCCCCACAATAGTAAATGATTTCTCATGAGATCTGGTTGTTTTAAAAGTGTATGGCACCCCTCTCTCTCTTGCTCCCACTCCTGCCATGTGACATGTCTGCTCCCGCTTCCCCTTCCGCCTTTAGTAAGTTCCCTGAGGCCACTCCCTGAGGCCTCCGCAGAAGCCAAGCAGATGCCAGCACCACGCTTCCTGTACAGCCTCCAGAACCATGAGCCAATTAAACCTCTTTTCTTTATAAATTACCCACTCTCAGGCATTTCTTTATAGCAACACAAGACCAGCCTAACACACAAGGTGGCACGAAGAGTAAGCAACTGAGTAAGGATTTGACCTCAGTCTGCCTGACTCTAAATTCTAGATTCCACTGCACCATATGGAGGACTTCTGGGTGACTTTTATGTGTTCAGCTCCAGGCTGGGCATCAGGGCACCGCAAAGATAAGGCAACCATGGGAATGTGAGCACCATGAAGCCTGGGACCACCCCATTCCTGGTACAGGGAAGTTCCAAGTGTCTGACCACGCCAAGCCGCCTCCCTTACCCTCTCTGGAGCCCATCATGAGGATAGTTGCCTGGGTCCATCGCATGGCACCTGGAGCTGACAAAGCCCCTGCCTGAGCCCCGCAGCATATCCCAGTTCAAACAACTGCTCCCACAGGAGCCGTGATGGGGCCCAGCAGACACAGCTGATCCTGGAACACACAGACACTCACAAGGCCCCCAAGCGACATGGGAAGGTTTCCACCCCACTGGCATGACCAGCACAACCACTCCACAGGATCCTTTCATTGGACGGCCGTGAGGTCCAGGACTCCCCGGCCACCCTGCCCATTTCCTGCCAGACAGCTCACTTACAATCATGCTACACACCTTCTACCAGCTGGCTCACCTCCTATCAGCCTACCCACATTCCTACACCTGGCTCACAGCCTACAAGAGCCTGTGTATCTCCTAGAGCTTGCTCATTTCCTATTAGCAGGCCCACCTCCTCCCTGCCTGCTTTTCTCCTCCCTGCCTGCTCACCTCCTCCCTGTCTGCCCACTTCCTCCTACCTCCTCCTTACCTGCCCACCTCCTCTCTGCCTGCCCAGCTCCTCCCTGCCTGCTCACCTCCTCCCTGCCTGCTCACCTCCTCCCTGTCTACCTTCCTCCTCCCTGCCCGTTCACCTGCTCCCACCTTCTCCCTGCCTGCCTTCCTCCTACTTGCCTGATCACGTTCTGCCAGCCTGCTCACCTCTGACTAGTCTACAGAATGATTGTGCCTTCTTTCACTTTTAGCAATTATGGGACATAGAAAATAAATAAAATAAATGTTCAGGGAGGCAGCAGGATTGCTGCAATCCATCCTTTCTCTCCAACTCCCAGCCTTTTCCTTCCCCATCACCTCCATCTGGACCCTTTTGCAGCTTCTTTTCAGCCTCCTGCTCCAGCTCCTGCCCCACAGTCCCTTCCTGATCAGCAGCCAGAGAGAGCAGTTATCTGCTCATGCCTCCCTTGCTTAGACCCTTTATGAGCTCCCCATTGCTCCCAGGATGGAAGTGAAACTGCTCCCCACAGCTGACAAGAACCCACAGGTCCTTGCTATGAACCTTCTCCATGAACCTTGCCATGAACCTTCTCCACCTGATGGGCCTCCTCCATGTTTCTCACGTCGCCCCTGAGGCTGTGGCCCTGGCTCCATCTGATGCCTCTCGCTCTTCCCCTGAGCTGAGCCTGCACTTCACAGTCATGTGAAGTCAGTCCAGGGCGTCCCTGCTGATCTTGCCCTCACTGGGCACCCACAATGGCTGCACCAAGAGTGTGTCTTCCCGGGAGGGTCCTTGCATCACAGGAGACCTTCCCAGTCCTACTGATGGGCCCCCACTGCTCCCCATCAGCAGCAGAGACCCCTCTTCTCTCCCCACCTGGGGCTGGCATTCCCGCGGGCAGTTCCTTCTCCTCTGCCCCAGGAGGATCATTTATCAATCACAGATGTGGGGCTATAGAGTCAGGACTGTGTGTCTATCTCCAGTGACCAGGTGCCAGGGAACCATTCAAATCCCAGCAATGTTGGGAAGGGGAGGAAACACGCCAACAAAACGTGGAGGGAGCAAAGAGGAAACAGAGATGTGTCTGGGAGATTAATCTGTCGCTCAGACATGAAAGAAATATGTTCAATTATATTTTATTGCATTTCATTGAAATGTACACGTCGTACTTAGCCGCCTGCAAGCCTAGGATTACCCAGAGAGAAGCACAATGAAAAACAAGGGAGAATGAAAACACAGATAAAAATGTTCCCGAAATCGAAATGATTTAGAAAGAAACAAAAACCAGGCTGGAGACAAAGAGGCCACTTGGCACCCAGACCCACAGCACTGACGCCGGCCCCACAGACAGATCAGCAGAGTCAGGAAACCCAGGTTATAGTCTTGGACCTGCCGCCAACAAGCTGTGCGACTTGGAGCGGATCACTGCCCCCTCTGACTCTCATTTTCCATATGTCCTGTGGGACTTCTCCACAGCAGCATTATGGACTTCTGGGGGCTGGATAATTCTTTCTCATGGAGGACCACCCTGTGTGCTATGGGATGCTCAGCAGCAGCTCTGGCTTCTACCCTTAGAGAAGGACCCACCACCTCCTCCCTGCCGGCTTTTCTCCTCCCTGCCTGCCCACCTCCTCCCTGCCTGCCCACTTCCTCCTACCTCCTCCTTACCCGCCCACCTCCTCCCTGCCTGCCCACTCCCTCCTACCTCCTCCTTACCCGCCCACCTCCTCCCTGCCTGCCCACTCCCTCCTACCTCCTCCTTACCCGCCCACCTTCTCCCTGCCTGCTCACCTCCTCCCTGCCTGATCACCTCCTCCCTGCCTGCCCACTCCCTCCTACCTCCTCCTTACCCGCCCACCTTCTCCCTGCCTGCCCACCTCCTCCTACCTCCTCCTTACCCGCCCACCTCCTCCCTGCCTGCTCACCTCCTCCCTGCCTGATCACCTCCTCCCTGCCTGCCCACCTCCTCCCTGCCTGCCCACCTCCTCCCTGCCTGCCCACTCCCTCCTACCTCCTCCTTACCTGCCCACCTCCTCCCTGCCTGATCACCTCCTCCCTGCCTGCCCACCTCCTCCCTGCCTGATCACCTCCTCCCTGCCTGATCACCTCCTCCCTGCCTGCCCACCTCCTCCCTGCCTGATCACCTCCTCCCTGCCTGATCACCTCCTCACTGCCTGCCCACCTCCTCTGCCTGCTCATCTCCAGCTGTGACAACTGAAAATGTCTCCAGGCTTTGCCAGCTGTCCCCTGGGCAGCAAAATCTCCCTGAGTTGACAAACCTGAGCCAGATACCCTCTGAGTTCATGTGGGAGAGGGAAGAACAAGAAGAGGGTCACAGTGATCCCCAGCCCAGGATAAAGGGAGACCCCAGAGACATCCGCTGGGGGCGAAGAGCCCATTGATGAATGGAGACCAAAGGGCACCTAACAGATCACAGCAGTTGTGTTGAGGCAGCAGAGGGTGGGCATAGGTGGATCTTAGCCACTCCTCCCTCCCTTCCAGTACATTCCCTTTGCCCTTGAAGTCCAGCCCCTGGGCTCTCTGCCCATCTCCACCAAAAGCCCTCTCAGGAAAGGCCCTGGAAATCCCCTCTCACTGCAGCCTAATTGGCTGATGTGGGGGAGGGGCAGGCACCTGGTCCCTCAGGGCAGCATTGTCCATTTGCAGACAGAGGTTTGTGGATCTTGGTGGGAGGGTGTTTAGGGACCCTCCAGGTTCCTGGCCACTGATTACACCTGCCCTCCAGGCAGGGAAACCATGCAAGGTACACCAGGCAGAGAAGCTGGGAAGGGACCACTGCTTAACACCCAGCTACCGTGTGTGAGTGTGTGTGCGTGTGTGTGAGAGAGAGAGAGAGAGAGTGTGTGTGTGTGTGTGTGTGTAAGAGAGAGAAAGACCCGTGGCTCAGTGATAGTGCACAGCAGGTAGCAGCTCAGACACTCTTTAAGGCTGGCGCCAGTCCAGTGGTGAAGCTTTCTCATCTGTCAAGAGCAGAAAAAGATGCTCCAAGCAGGGTCTGAAGAAATAGAGTGAGCCAGGCACAGCCCTGGGCAGAATCTGGGCCCAAGCCTGGCTGAGCACTCACTGTGCCAGGCCTCAGTGAAACACATTGACATCCTTCCATGCATTCATTCAGCAAATATATACTGAGCATCTACTATGTGCTAGGCTCCCTTCTAGGCACTCGCAACAGCACTGGACAAAACACAAAAGCCTCCTGCAGAGCTTATATTGAAAGTCCTCCACAAATGGCCAACAGTAACCCACACTGATTGAGCACTCGCTGTGTGCCAGGTGGGAGCTGAACACTTTTCCTGGCTCATCTCTGAGTTAGAGATTATGCCCTCGTGTTAGATGGGAGAAACTGAGGCTTTGGGAGGTTAGTAACTTGCCCCATGTCCCACCCAGTAAGTTCTGGGGTCAAAATTCGAATCCAGGCAGTTCTGACCAGGTCTGTTTTCTGAACCCAACACTATCAGTAGTGACAATAGCACCATTATTTTTCTGAGTATTACTTTTAAACCACCCCATCATCAGATCCTACAGCAGCCAAGACACCAGTTGAGTGTCAGGACAGGTCAGAACTTCCAAGGCTGTGGCAATCATCACTGATGCTCACTGAGCTGGGTTGCCCAAGTGGCCCTCAATGGGCCCCGCATTTTACATGCATCAAGCCAGTAAATCTTCACAGAGACCAGAAGGGAGGCACATGATTACCCCCACAGCACAGTTGAGAAAGCTGAGGCCCAGTGAGGCTAAGTGACCTGACCGACGGTCTGCAGCTCGTAGGTATGAGACCCACATTCTTGAGAGCTCAGTGCAGCCTTTCTGGTCTCACCTAAGCCAGACATCCACTGAAACAGAATAGGGCAGGGACTAAGCCCCACACTCCTGGAGGAGTCCCATCTGCACTCGAGGTGCCCCATGGGTTCCCCGCCCCCCTCTACCTCACCCCAAGTCACTCCCTGGCCCCATCCGGATGGGGGTGTAAATGGGAACTTTACCCCACCCCTGCCCCCATCTGACCTCAGAGCTCTAACCACAGTGGCTCAAACTATAGGCCTGCCAGAGCCCCGAGCCCTGCATCTGATGGGTGTGGGGGAGGAGGTGAAGGAAGAAGATGACTGAGCCTTGGGCATGGATGGACTTTTCATGAAAACTCATCATGCATGAGAGACAGCCTCCCCTCCCCAGCCTGTATGCTCAGGCCTGTAGGCAAAGAGGAGCAGCCTCTGAGGGTTGTGGGGTCCTGAGGTCACGTAGCCCAGGTGGTAGCCCCAGTCTCCTCGTCCAGACCACCCAAGAGGGAAAGGCCCCCCAGAGATGGCATCCAACTGAATTCCAAAGCCCCAGGCCCAAATCCAGCTTCTCCACTTCCAGCTGCGCTTACCTGGGCAGGTCACTTTCTGACTCAGAGTCTCAGTGTTCTTTTCTGTAGAAATGGGGACAATGTCAGATCCTGCCTGATGAGGTGGTTGAGAACAAACAGGTAGGCAAGGAGCTCAGTGCCATGCCCCACACACCCAGCAAGTGTTTCCTCTCAGATATCACTAGAGGCTGGAGACCATGGACCCTCATCTCACCTCCCTGGACATGTGGGGTTTCCAGGAAGGCAAGGCATGTGGAGACAGGAGATGACTCACCCGAGGTCACAGGTAGGTTCAGAGTGAAGCCAGGGCTCCTCCTACACCTTCATCCCAGACTCTGATCATCAGCGCTTTCAGAGAAGGGGACAAGGCCTCCTCCCCACCCACCACCACATGGAAGGAGCTAGAACCCTCGTCGTCAGCAAGGAAGGGGAACATAGTCACGGAGGCTGGGGCAGAGGAGAGTGGCATTGTCGCCCAGAGAGGGTGGAAGTGCAGCACCTGCAAGAATTAGCACAGCGCAATTTGTTCTATTTTAGTCGGAATCTCCACGTCTACTATCTTAGTGGCTCCTGCCACTCGGGAGAAATGGGCACGGTAAACATCTGCCTGCTTTCTAGCTGGGGAAACCAAGGCTCAGCAAGGGGAAACAATTGACTTACAACTGAAGAGACAATGAGTCACAGACATGGGATTTGGACTCAGTCCTCAACTTGAACCCAGACTCTCCCACAGCACCATTCACCCAGTGCATCAAAGGGGCACTAGACTGGGAGATGGGGTGCCTGGGTCAAGCCCAGCTGGTCACGAGCTAGCAGGCAAACTCAGCGGTTTCCCAAAGGCGCACCTCTCCTAACCTTTGCACTAGGTGTTTATCCAGGGTGTTCTCCCACCAAGGGCTTCAGAGCTTGACTCTGGAGTTACACAGAGCCAGGTTCAAATTCTGCAGCTCCCTACTGTGTTCAACCTCTCTGACTCCAGAGTCCTCATTGGTGAAATGGGAAATCTGCCTCAGGATGAAGTGAGATGGCACAGGCAGTGCCTGGCACAGCAGAAGCCCTCAGTAAGTGGTGGTGGTGATGGTGGTGGTGGTGGTAGTGATGCTTGTGGTAGTGGTGGTGGTGATGGTGGTGGTGATGGTGGTGGTGGTGGTGGTGGTGATGGTGGTGGTGGTGGTGGTGGTGGTGGTGGTGGTGGTGGTGATGGTGGTGGTGGTGGTGGTGGTGGTGACAGTGGTGACTGTGGTGGTGGTGGTGGTGATGGTGGTGGTGGTGGTGGTGGTGATGGTGGTGGTGGTGGTGGTGGTGACAGTGGTGACTGTGGTGGTGGTGACGGTGGTGACGGTGGTGGTGGTGGTGGTGGTGACGGTGGTGATGGTGGTGGTGGTGGTGGTGGTGGTGGTGGTGGTGACGGTGGTGGTGGTGGTGGTGGTGACGGTGGTGGTGACAGTGGTGGTGGTGGTGGTGACGGTGGTGGTGGTGGTGGTGGTGACGGTGGTGGTGGTGACGGTGGTGGTGATGGTGGTGGTGGTGGTGGTGATGGTGGTGGTGACGGTGGTGGTGGTGGTGGTGATGGTGGTGGTGATGGTGGTGATGGTGGTGGTGACAGTGGTAGTGATGGTGGTGGTGGCGGTGGTGGTGGTGGTGTTACAATTCTGCACCAGTTCTTTATCCTTCAAAACACAGCTCTAGCATGTGCTCTGGGATGGCTGCTGCCTGCACATTCTAGGGGGCGCCCTTCACAGCATGTCCATGTGTGAGTTGTGCAGTACACAGCCTGTGCAGCAGCATGCTGAGGCCCTGAATTCTAGAAAGCCTTCCTCACTGGCCAGGTTTGGTCAGGGGCCCCTCTCTCCTCTGTCACCCCTGGTCCACACCAGACTGTGAGTTCCTTGAGGGTAGGGGCTTTGTCCTGCCCACCCCTGTGTCCCCAAGCCCAGCTCAGTACCTGGCCCACAACAGGGCAGACATCAGCAACCATTCCTTCAGCTCATGGGCAGCTGAGCAGATATTTACATCTATGTTTAGTCTCCAAAGCTCTTAACTGAGGTCCAAAGATCTTAAGTGACTGAAGTAGTTAAACGTACCCTACTGACATTTGCAAAGCCAGAGATCTGAAGTGGCCAGTTAGATGCAGCCTCGTGTCAAAATACACAAGCCCCACGTCTCATTGCCAAGTCACATGCCTGACGACCCCCATGTCCCCGCCCCTCCCGGCTTAGCACCGGCTGAGACTTTGAGGAGATGCAGCGAGGGCGTCTGTCTCAAACGCCACCGAGTTCCCTGGCACTGCAGGAAACCTAAGGGTCTATTTCGTAGGCCATGTCAAAATGTTTCTGGTGTTGCCCAAAATAGCTGCTCCAGACACTCGTGCTGTGCCAACCACAGGAGGAGAAATGGCCCAAACATGTGACATAAGCAGGTGTGATGAGCTGCACCCCCCAACACACGAGAGGGGCAACTCCGAGTGCAGGAGAGTCCTGGCCTTCTCCAGACGTCCCCAAAGGGCCATGCAGGGACCGAGGCTTGGCGTCCACTCACCTCGGGCATTTGGTTTCCTGTGGTGCTGGCCGTGAGGCAAATGTCCCTGGAAGGGGGCATCAGGCTCAGTGGCCTTTGGGGGCAGCTGGAGCCTCCATGTGCCAGGCCCTGTGCTGGGCACTGGGGTTGCAGAGATGCCAGATGCCTTCCGGGGAGGGGCGTCTATGCTGAGCCCCGAGGGTGAGATGTTAGGCAGACGTGGAGGGTGGGGACTGACCGTCACACACTGCTGTCACCTGCCACGTGCTGGGGCTGTGTTCTAAGCGTTTACTTGTATTAAATCCTCACAGTAGCCCCCGTGAGAGTGAGGCAGACACTATCACCACCCCCAGTTTACAGATGAGGAGACTGAGGCACAGAGAGGTTAGGAACTGCTCATCATCCGGTCACCCACCAGGCCAGGTTTCAGACCGAGGGGGCCTGGTTCCCGAGTCCTCCCAGGTCCCTGCTGTGCACGGGCAGAGGGAACAGCAGTGGCATAGGCTCAGAGGCAAGAGTGGGGGCAGGGAAGACTCAGGCAAGGGATGTAGCTCAGTCTCACCTGGAGTGACAGTGTGGGCAGCTGAGGGCGAGTAAGGCTGGGGGAGGGGCTGGCCCCGGGGACCCTGACCCGCAGTCAGGGTATGACCACCCACACTCACTGCCCCGGGCAGGAGGACAGGGATGAAGCTTTGCCCTCAGGTCACTAGGCGGTGACTCCTGCAGGTGTCACTTCCCCACTCCCGGGCTGTCTTTGTCACTTCTGGGCCCACAGCCCCTGGCATGGGGCAGGGGCAGCCCTTGTCCATTTGGACTGCATGGGGCATTGCTTTCTCCTGCTCTGCACTCAGCCCCGAACAGGCACGATGCGGCTGCAGACATGGGGGCCATTGCCCTCTAGCTCTTGACCCAGCCGGGGACAAAGGTGGGCATCCTGAGTGCTGCACCCGACATCACCAGCTCCCTCATTCCTGGCATGTGGTGGGGTCACTCCTCCCACCCCCTCTGAAGGCAGATGTGGTCACGTGACTGGCTCTGGCCGCTGTGCTGTGAGAGGCGGTGGCATGTGTCACCTCCAGGAGGGGCATAAAGGACCAGGGCAGGGTTGATGCCTTCTTCCTTTTGCTGTGTGACAACAGAAGCCCCACCCAGGTGAAAGGTGAGAGACTGCAGTGAGCAGAGCCCCGAGCCCCGCCCTGAGCCTGCCAGGCAGAGGCAGGGAGCCTGCTCCTGCTAAGGGCGCAGAGCCGTTAGTCACTGCAGCACAGCCCAGGCCCAGCCCATGCCCTGCACGGAGCCAGGTCTCCCGAGAAGGTGAGCACCACTGTGAGGAGCGAGGGGGTGGGGAGGCCGACTCCCCAGCCCCCAGGCCCCCACGGAGGCTGGTCCCTGTGGGACGGGTCCCTCGACGCCACCAGTCACAGGTGTGGTGGTCCTGCCAGCATCAGGGTGGCTCCCAGGCCCCACCTCCAGCCTCTGACTGACCCAGACCTGGGGCCAGACAGGCGTGTTCCATGACAACATGCAGCTTGCCCCAGAGAGCCACTGGGTGCCCCATCCCTCTGTATTTACTCAGCCACTCAACAAGGAACATAGCCGCACACCAACCCTGTGCCAGGCGTGTGCTGGGCCCTGGAAATACCCAGGAACAGGACCCATGAGGCCCCTGCCCGCCTGGAGCTCATGGACTAGTGAGAGCAACAGTGATTCCAGTAAACCCCCAAGGAAAGAATTACAGAAGGTGCTGAGAGAAACCAGAGGAATGCCAAGAAGCTGGGGTGAGGGGAGCCAAGTCTGTGGGGCAGTGGGGGGAGAGGTCGCATTTAAGCTGATGAAGATCAAAAGGACTGGCCAAGTGGAGGAGAGCAGGAAAAGGCATTGCAGGCGGAGGGAACTGCATGGGCAAAGGCCCTGTGGCAGGAAAGCGCTTGGGTGTCCTCTGGAGAGACAGCAGGGAGGGGAGGGAGGGCAAGGGCTGGGCCACACAGGCCTGGGAGCAGCAGTGGGGGGTCTGCACTTGATCCTGGAGGGAAGGAGAAGCCACTGAAGGGTCAGGAGGAAAAGGATGTGACCAATCCTCATTTCGGAAGAACCTTCTGGGAGCCCAGGGCTAAGCACAGGGCCTGGCATACGGTTGGTGCTCAATGAATGCTTGCTGACAATGACACTGCAGGAGGGAAATGGGGACACTCCATGTAGGGCGACACTGACCGGCCCTGTATGATGCACCTGAACTAACACCCAGCCGGCAGGGCTGTCCCCTCGAGGACAGTGAGGAGCTGGTGTTTGTGGAACAGCTGCCACTTGCCTGGCTCTGAGTGCAAGCTTCTTACGCGACAGCTGAAATGTCCTCAATGATGACCCCAGGAGGAGGGGGCACAGAGGTCCCTAGTGAGGACCAGGAGGAAAAGCAAAGATGTCCCCAGTGAGGACTAGGGGGAGGGGGCACAGCCGTCCCCAGGGAGGATCAGAAGAAATGAGGACCCCAGGAGAAGAGGCACAGATGTCCCCAGGGAGGACAAGGAGGAGGAGGCAAAGATGTCCATCTCCAGTGAGGAGGAGGAAGAGGGGGCACAGATGTCCCCAGGAGGACCCCAGGAAGAGGGTGCACAGATGTCCCCAGTAAGAGGCAGGAGGAGGGAACCCAGAAGTCCCTAGAGAGGAATTGATGCTGTTTCCACAATGAAACTGGCCCAAGGTGAAATGCTCTAACCAGACACCAGTTCGTTTGAAACAGATTCTCATTACAAAGCTCATCAAGAAATATTTCAATCTGGAAATCGATGGGAGCTCATGGAAAGAATTACTTGCTGAATAATGAAGAAGGACAAGTCGATAGTACTGAGTAAACGGCAGAGGAGGAACGTCTCAATGCCTTCCCTGCCTGAGCCTGCTCGGGCTGCCATAACAACACCCCACAGACTGGGAGGCTTAAGCAACAGAAATTTATTCTCAAAGTTCTGGAAACTCAAAGTCCAATATCACGGTGCCAGCCTGGTGGGGTGCTGGTGAAAGCTCTCCTTAGGGTGCCCATGGAGGCTTCTCACTGTGTCCTCACAGGGGAGAGAGAGAGAGAGAGCACTCCAGTGTCTCACCTTACAGGAGCATGAATCCCGTCAAAGAGGCTCCACTCTCCTGACTTCATCTAACCCTAATCACCTCCCAAAGCCCCCCCTCCAAATATCATCGTGTGAGGGGTTAGGGCTTCCACATCTGAATGTGGAGGGCGAAAGGACGCAAACGTTTAAGTCACATGACCTACGCACAGCCTCTCAGCCATCCAGTTGACGAAACTGTGACATTGAAATATGAGGAAACACGCAGCCTCCTAACAAGAGAGACAGAAGCCAGCTCAAGTGATAATGAATGCTACCTGGGAAACATCAGAACCTGTGGCCTGTCTGGCCATATTTTCTAGCCATATATGTGACTCCTGAGAGCCCCATCAGTGTCCCCAGGAGAGAACCCCATGCCTGGACTCATGGTCTGGCCCTGCTCGGCCTCTAATGAGAAATACAGAACTCAGCACGCCTAACACTGTCTCTGGACCTGATGTTGTCATTCCCTCTTCATCCACAACCTGCACCCCTAATATACAGTCTGCTTAGCCCCAAACACACTGCATACCTTAAGGAGTCCCCCAGACCACCCAGCCATCAACCCTGGCTCTGATCTCAGCCTATTTTTCCTGAACCAGACATTCAGGGCAGCTTGTCCTTGTGCTAATGTTTAATAACAGTGGGGGCAGCGCATTGACGGAGTCGCAGCCAGGATTCTGGAGTCAGAGACCTGGGTTCACATCCCGGCTTCTGTGTGACCCCGGCCAAGCTCCTTTGCCTGTCTGAGGCTCAGTTCCCTCATCTGTAAAGCGGCGGTCATGATTCCTGCCTGATGGGACAACAGGGAAGTGAGATGATGTGCAGAAATTGCTGTGCAGGGTGTCTGGCACCCAGGAAATGCTCAGGAAGCGTAGCTCACTGTTGTTGTAACACTAAACAGTTTATGGGAACAACGGGCATCACTGGCAGGTTCACATTCTCTCTCCCGTGGAAATGACCATCTCTGACATTGGCACGGAGCTTGGAACCTTGCAGAGCCCTCTCATGCCCTTCTTCCTAGGGGACCCTCAGAGTGACCCAAAGAGGCAGGTGAGAACATAAGCTCTGGAGCCAGACTCCCTGGGCTCAAATCCTGTCTCTGCCATTGCTGAGATATATCAACTTTAGCAAGGTATTTCCCTCTTTGAGCCTCATTTCCTCAGCTATAAAATGGGGAGATGATAATAATACTGGCATTGTGGGCTTGTTGCAAGGGTTAAATGATTTGGTTTATGTAAAGCACCTACGATATAGGTATAGTAGTAATGTTTTTACTATAGTACGTAGAGTAGTAATGTTTTTATCTTTATCATTCTTTCCATTTTACCAAGGATGAGGAAACCAAGGCTCAGAGAGGAAAAGTAGCCTCCTTGAGTCCTTGCAGCTGTTGACATTGCTGGGCCAGGATTCAGAAGCCAGTGCTTTGACCCACTTTCCATGGTGCAGTCCCAGGAGTTGCTGTATCTCCTTCGCTTTGGAAGGGGACAGATGGGGACAGGAACCTGGAGTCCCTCACTCTTGTCTGCATGGGCTCAGGGCCAGGCCAGCATCTGCTGCCCAGGCAGTGCACAGGAGAAGGGGGTAGCAAAAGTGTCCAAAGATGACTGACCACACGCCCATCATGGCACTGAGCACCTGAACTGCGTTTTCCCTTTTGTCATGACAACAACTCTATTCCCACTTCACAGAGGGGCAAACTGAGGCTCCGGAGGCTGAGACGCGTGTCCAGGATCACACAGATAATGGCCATCAGAGTCGGCTCTAACTCGGATCTGTCTTTGCCCAGGCCCCACGTCCCACCTGCCCGTGCCAAGTGCTATGCAGTTCCGGACACATCTCATTGAATCCCACAGCATCCTTGGAGGGAAATCTCACCCCCCATTGCACAGGCAAGGAAACTGAGGCCATGCTGGGCATGGAACTCCCCCAAGGCCCCACAGCTAGTGAGTGGAAGAATCCCACAGAATTCAAACTCAGGGCCGTCTGTTCCCAAACCCACAGTGAAGGTAGTTCCCTCCTCCCTGCCTTGTTCTCGAAGCCTGCAGGGAGCTCGATGACCGCACTGTGGGGAGGGCACTGCAGGGACAGAGGGGCCAGCTGGGGCCTGCAGGAGGGCAAGCAGGGCAGTTCTGATTCCTGGAGTCTCCAGGAACTTTCACAGACTTCAATCCTCCAAGAGGCCAGGAGGGAAGACATGAGAAGAATCTCATTCTCTGGGTCCTCTTCCCATGGTCTTTGCAGAGAGATGTAACTGCATCAAAAGTAGAAGTTACCACTTCAAGGGCCCCAGGATAAACCCCACAAAGATGGATTTTTCTTAACCTCACTATCTTTCCCTCCCCAGGGTCGGGGGTCAAGTCAATAACTTCCTGCCCACTGCCTGCTGCAGATCCCAGCAAGGCTGCAAACCTGTGTCAGCTGTAAATCCATCTCCCCCTGGAAACCAACTGGAAACCCAGTTGCCAAATCCACCCTAAATCCAGCAGTTCACAAATCAAAGGCTGCTTCTGGGCTCGTGCTGGGCTGGGCAAGGCGCCCTGGGGACGCCGTCCTTGAGTCTCCATCTCCCCAGACTCAGATTTCAACCGGGGTCAGGGGAGCAGCATGGACCTGCCAGGGACAGGCCCAGCAGGAACTGAAGGATAAACTCCAAACCAGACGAGTGGTTGCTGTTCCAGCCCACCTCGCCCTCACCAGTGAGCTGTAGTGGACACTCCTGCCAACTGGGCCCAGGAGAACTCCAGGCATGCCTGCAAGGAGAGGAGGGCCTCAGGAGCACAGAGAAGCCACCCTGGGCCCAGAACTGAGCTCAAGCAGGTCTCACTCAGCCAGAAGCATTTGTCAAGCACATGCTCCAGAGAACACCACGGTTCTGAAGTTGCCCAGGAATTTACCTCCAAGTTCATTGTTTTGCAAAGCTAGAGAGCTTAGGCAGAGGCTCCTGCAGGTGAGGAGGAAGCATGAAGTGGAGCTCATTCCCAGGGTTCTCTCCCTGAAGCTTCCGGAGGGTGGCACGGGTGCCAGGCAAGGGAGGTGGAGATCACGGGCACTCACTCTGCGTGGAACCCACTCACACTTCTGTCAACTGGGTCTCTATACCAGCAGTGGAATTCTTCCCTGATCCACCAGATTCCCCATCCCTCCCCAGTTCCACTCCACCCCCTACAGAGCTTCCCAGTGCAATCAGCTCCAACCTCCATGCACGGCACAGCCCTCTGTTCCCTCTGTCAGAGTTCCCTTCCTGCCTGTCCCTGAGCTCAGGGACAATAGGAGCCTGTGGCCAGGTTTGCCCAAACTGGCACCTTGACTCCTGGGCAGCAGCTCCATGCATATTGTGAACAAATGAATAAGTGAATGAATGAGTGAGCAAGTGAGTAATCAAATGGATGCAAAAGCCACTTGCCCCTGGTGCACCCCTAGCCTCTCCTGGGAATAAACTTGGCCCCAAAACACTGTCTTCATAAAGCCAACAACAGCCCCTCACACATGGCCATCACTAGCCTTAACAAGTCAATTTCCCCTCCTTTCCTCCTTTGATCCACACAAGGTAGGTGCCGCTATTATTCCATCTGGGAGGTAGGAACACGAAGGCAGAGGGGGACTGAGTAACTTGCTCAATATGGCATGTTAAGATCAGATCTTAACCCAGATCTATGGGCCCACCTCTGTGCCGTCCAAGGCTCCTGACCCCACTGCCAGGCCCCTTGGCAGGGTAGTACATTGTCCTGTCAACATCTTGGGATTAGCCCCTCCCTCTTCCCCAAACTGAGGCCTTTCCCTCTGAGCCTTAGTCTCTGCTGGGCTTTATTAGTAAAGATTTAGTGTCTGGATTGAGGGAAGTGAAAGTCTTGATCAGATCCAGAGGATGGTGTTTGCTCTGGACTTAAGTGGCACCCGGACTAATGGGACTTTGTACCAAGGATCGATTGTGGGGTAATGGGAGCCCTCCCCTGCCACACCTCCTCTGCCGTCCCCAAGCCCGGGGTAGGTCCCATCCAGCTGCGCTGTCTCACACAGCCTGTGGGGAAGCACAGCTGTCAGGGCTGGATTTTCAGGATTAGTTTGGTTGAAGATGCCGAAACCCAGCTCCCGTGGCTGATACCAAAGGGGGCATTCCCAGTGGGAAGCAGCAGGGCCTCCAGGAAGCAGGAGGCAGAATCAGAGACCCCCAGGGCTGGGCTCCTCGCCTCTGCATCGGTTCCTACCACAGGCTGAAAACAAATTGTTGCAAGTCACATCCTCAGCCGCCACAGAGGGATCGACTTTCTCACTGCGGCATCAGTGACAAGTCAGATGTCCGTCACTGTGCCCAAAGGCACAGGGGCCCTGCCTGGTCCTGCTCTGGTGAGGTGCCCATCCTTATGCACCAAGAAATTGTGGTCAGGGGAGGCAGCAGGACGAGGTAAGACCATGGGAGTCTCCACCACTGCCATGTGGAAAGGGAGTGGGGGAGGGTGCAGGAAGAGGGAGGGCAACTGGGCAGACAGACACCCCCATTTCACAGATGAGGAAACTGAGGCTCCCAGAGCAGAAGGAACTTGCTGGAGGTCACACAATGAGTAAGCAGCAGAACTGGGACCCAAGCCCAGATCCATCAGGCTCCAGAGAGTCTGTGCTCTAACAACCAGGAGGCCCTGCCCATTCTGCAGTCTGAAACCCCACAGAGGTAAGAGGGTGGTTCCAGGAGACAGGGACAAACCTGAGAGCCCCCTGGCTCAGGACGCCAGGGAAGATGGCGCTCTGCCCTCGGGTCCCATCGCCCCACTCAGAGGGCCCAGCTGAGTGAGCACGCTCACGCTTCGCGGCCCAAGCCATTGCCAGTAAATTACTCCCAGTAACGGGGTGTTTGCCCAGGGAATTAAAGAGGCAGTAAACAGTTGCCAGAGTAATTAGACACGAATGGCGGACGTGCCAGGCTTCTCAACGCCGGGAAGCAACTTCCATAGTAGCCTCCCTCTGCAGGGCGAGATGAGACCACTGGGTTGCGATTGTCAAGTTAAGCAGCTGAGAGCCAGAGAATCAAAGAGACGGCAAGACATTGCTGGGGGGAGACAGGGTAACCTTGGAAACTACTGCATATAATCCCCTCCGTATACAGACGGAGAAACTGAGGCCCAGGGAGGGAGAACAGACCTGCCCAGGGACACCCAGCAGATTAGAGGGAGAGGTAGGTCTGGAGCCTCGGTCTCATGGGAAGCAGGTCAAGCCAGTTCCTGGCACACTTGGTTACGCACCGTTCAAGGTCATCTTGGGGAGAAGGGTCACAGCTCTGGCAGTTAATGGGGGCACAGGTAACAGCGATGATGAGTGAAACTTTGGGCACACATTCATTCATTCGTTTAATGAGTATTTATTAAGTTCCTACTATATTCTGGGTTCTGTTCTAGGCTCTGGGGAACAAGGCAAGCAAAAGTCCCTGTCCTCAGAGAGCTGACACTCCAGAAACACAGAACCCAAAGGCAAGTCGGGAACTCAGGAGGCTCACAGGGGCCTAGGCAAAGGGAGGTGCAGAGACAGCAAGGAGGTGGAGTTCAGGGGAAAATGCATACATGAGCACCCTCTCCCGCTTCCACATGGCCTGGGAAAGGGATCGAGATTCCAGAGGAGCCATCTGGCCCTGTCTGGCTCAGAACCTGCCTCTGGGCCTTCCCAGATCAGGCTAGTGGACACACAGCAGCTGTGAGAAGTGCAGGCACAGAGCTGGGCCTGGCAGCCACCCACACCTGCAGTTCCAGCCACAAGAGCAGGGCCACAGAGAGCCACAACCCACAGATGGAGCATAGTGAACCACTGCAGATGGGCCTGAGGCAGGGCAGCAGCCCCTAATGGGGGAACAGGAAGATTTGCAGACAGGTAGTGGACCCCTGGAATCTCATGGACCTGCATTCAATCCCAGCCCTGCCGCTCACTTGCTGTGCTACACTAGGCAAGTTACTGATCTCACTGAGCCTCGGGTTTCTCATCTGCAAAGAGGTTAGAAATGAAAGTCTTTAAGCGCTGACCGTCCATAATCAGAGCTTTGAGCAGCAGACAGTTCGCAAGATTAAAGCTGGGAGGCACAGCAGGTACTGTGTGTTGCACATCAACCAGGCCAGACAGTGTGAGGAGCACTTCCTGTAAATCCTGTCATTCAACTGTCTGAAAACCCCTTGAGCCTGGACCATCCTCTCTGCCTGCAGTACCCCAGACCCTCTTTCCCTTCTGTCCCCAGTAAATCCCATCTCTCTGCTTAGAATAAGCAATTGGCCATGGATCAGGAGGCCCAGATCTATGCCAGCCTCTGCCACTTTCTCATTGTGTGACCCAAAGCCACATGTCTCAGTTTCCCCATCTGTGTATTGAGTGCTCATCTTGGAGATCTGACATTTCTTTTCTGCAAGTGGGCTTGAATTGTCAATTCAACACACCTCCTGTGTGACTTTGGAGGAGTCACTTAAAGTCTCTGGGCTGGGCTAACCTGCTCACCCAGAAGCCCTGCAATTGGAAACGGGGCACCTTCCCCTGCCCACCTTGATTCCCATTCAGTGTCAGAGCTTGAACAGAAACTCCAGCTCCACTCCCAAGCCCCTCAAGATGCCAGGGACACTCAGGCTGCCTCCCTAGCCAATCCCTCAGGGCGAGAGACAGGGAAACACCTGCACTCCAGAACTGATAGTCTAAAAACAGCAGCCAGGGCCCACCTGTGGAGGATGAAGAGGAATGCACCCAGGGCCTGAACTGCCCAGAACTTCAGACCCTGGATACAAGCCCCAGGGATGGGGAAGCTAAGCAGCCAGTCCCCCAGCTCGGAGAAGGTGGGGGGAACAGAGCCCAGGAGAATGGGAGTAGGGAGGCTTAGGGACAACCTTTGAAAAATTTAAAAACTGATACAAACTTTATTTTATTATTTTTATCTCCATCATAAAAACAATGCCCAGGCACCCGCAGACAGAGCTGGTGGGAGTATAAATTGGTACAATATTTTGGAAAACAATCGAGTAATAGTGATTCAAGTTAAAATATATATATCTTTTGACCCAGCAAGCCCATATCTAGGAATTTACCTTACAGAAATATACACTAAATGCCAGGAAATGTACATACAAGAATGTTCCTAGGAGCACTGTTTGTAAAAACAGGGAGAAACTGCAAACCAATAGGGGACTTGCTGGTGAAACATGGGGCATCCACACAAAGGAAAGAAATGCAGTTGGTTTTTTTAATGAGGCAGATCTATACATGCTGTCAGAGAGACATTTCCAAGACCAATTAGAAGGGAAAAAAAGAAAATTGAGTAACTGTGCATAAAATGTGATCACATTCTTATAAAAAGAAAAGACTCCAGGGGCCTGAAAACCAAACTGCCAACTCTTGAATGGTGGGTGTCGGGAGGTCAGAGGAGATGGGCGATGTTTATTTTCTACACCGGGCATTTCTGAAATGTTTGAAAGCTTCTATTAGTCAGAAAAACAGTAACAATAACAGTATTCATTTTCAAATTAAATTAGCACACTCTGGTAACAAAAAAAAGTGTTTTGTATTGTTTTGTTTTTTAATGTGAATTCTCAACACCCAAAGGTGTATTTTTAACATTTGGTTGCATTTCTTTCAGTATTTTAAAATCAGTTTTTCAGGCATAGTTATTATTGATCTGTATGTATAATTTAACACCCTAGGGTTTTTAAAAAAAAAAAAAAACTCGTATTATAGCATTAAGCATTTCCCAGCTAGCATGAATGTAAACAATGTTTTCATTGCCTGTGGAGTATTCTGGGTGGTCCACAGTTTTAGGTTGTTCTTTTTTTCTTTTCTTATTTTTTTTTTTTGCTATTTTAAATAGCCCTGTGGTAAACATATTTATGCCTAAATTTTGGCAGGAGAAGCATACGGGATCTTTTAATGAGTTCATGCCTTATTAAAAACATAAAATATATATGTAACCAATCTACTGAATGGGTTGAACTTGGCCAAGAGACAAACAGAAAGGATATAAACCCCCCACTACAACCTCCGCCTGCCAGTGTGCTCTGCCTAATGCCCACCTCGTCCCTCGAGGACATCGCAGATGGGTCTTTGGGCTCTGTGGACCCTGCAGACACACCAGCAACCCTGTGTTAATCCTGTCCACCTGTCAGCATTGACCGGTCCAGTCTGGTTAAGCCACAATGTCTCTGCTCCAGCTCGGGCCTGACTGGAGGTAGGGACCCCCGCAGGAGCTGGAGCCCAAGGTCTGCATCTTCTCTCTCCCTTCTGCCCTCTCTGCTTTTAGCCCCTCCAGGATCCTGTAGGACAGGATGTGAATCCAAGCTGCCAAGTTCCAGGGTCTGTGTTTATAGCCACTGCGCTTCATCGAATGGAAGGATAGAAGGGAGTAGGGGAGCGGAAGATGAAGGAACCCTTGGTCTCCAGCCACTGCTGGAGAGAATGACAGTCTTTCCTTGGACACACCTAACAAGCCCTCTGCCTTTATGAGCAGGCTCCACCCACTCTGCGTGCTTGGCTGCAGACTCAGACGCTCTGGTGAGGAAGGAAGTTCCTCTGGTGAGGTCTAAAAACCTGTCTCACGGTGGATCAGGCCTGTAATCCAGCACTTTGGGAGGCCAAGGCGGGCAGATCACTTGCAGCCAGGAGTTTGAGACCAGCCTGGCCAACATGGTGAAACCCCATCTCTACCAAAAATACAAAAATTAGCTGGGCATGGTGGCACACACCTGTAATCCCGGCTACTCAGGAGACTGAGGCATGAGACTCCCTTGAACCTGGGAGGTGGAGACTGCAATGAGCCAAGATTGCACCACTGCACTCCAGCCACTGCACTGGGCGACAGGATGAGAACCTGTCTCAAAAAAAAAAAAAAAAAAGAACCTGTCTCAGATGCTTCTTTCTCTGGCCACTGAGGTCTTTACCATGAATCCCTTCATTTCTGCAAGGAAAATGCCTTTGAAATAGCAACCAATGTTTTCTCCTATGATTTCCAGTCATCCCTCAACCATGTTTCAGGCCACAGTTAGGTCACTCAGGCCCTGCTGACTCCAAGCCAGGACTTTTAGCAGGAAACTGAGTATAAAGTGAACCTCCTCTGCCTTTTAAGTAGCAAAAATCTAGGCCCCCAGGGTGTTGGCAATAGATGTGAAAGGACACACAAGGATTCTGAGCAGGGCTGTCCATGGGCCAGGAGAAAGATGCCCCTGGTTGGGGGATTGAGGACATGGAGGGCTGGGGAGGTGCTCGCCAAGAGTTCAAATGCTGTCCCCACCGCTGCCACACGGCCTACCAAGCCCCCATCATCCTCCCCCAGGTTACTGCTGTGGCCTCCTCTCTGGTCTCCCTGCCTCCACCTTTGTGCCCCTATAATCTGCCCTCACAGCAGCCAGAGCATCCCCTGATGACCTAAGTCAGATCGTGTCAGCCCTCCTCAGAGCCTCAGGTGATTGTCCTCACTCAGTCAAAGCTAAGTGCTTACAGGAGCGTAGGAGGTCTCCCCACGCTCTGGCCTCCTTTGCCTCTTAGCCTCTCATTCCAGCAGGAACTCTCCACCCTCTCATTGCCCTACAGTCTCACCACCCTTCATGGGCCTTGAACACACCAGATGCACTCCTGCTGCAGGCCCTCGGCACCAGCTGTTCCCTCTGCAGGAAGTAGCCTTTTCCTAGACTTCTGCACAGCTTTCTCCTTTACCCACTTCCAGCCTTTGGTCAAACATCACCTATTCAAGGATGCCTTCCCTGCCGCCGTCTTTACAATTACACTTCTGTCCCCCTTGAGCCAGCAGTTCTGTCACTGGTAAACTGAGTTATTTCCCTACTTTGTGTCAGTTACAGAGAAAGAACACCCAATGGTTTAAAAGGCAAGCAGGATTGGCCAGGCGTGGTGGCTCACGCCTGTAACCCCAACACTTTGGGATGCTGAGGCAGGTAGATCACTTGAGGTCAGGCGTTCGAGACCAGCCTGACCAACATGGTGAAACCCCGTCTCTATTAAAAATACAAAATTAGCCAGTCGTGGTGGCACACATCTGTAATCCCAGCTACTTAGGAGGCTGAAGCAGGAGAATCGCTTGAACCTGGGAGACCAAGATTGCAGTGGACCAAGATGGCACCACTGCACTCCAGCCTGGGCGACAAGAGCGAAACTCCATGTTGAAAAAAAAAAAAAAAGGCAAGCAGGATTTATTCACTGGCCAGAGGAGGAGTGAACTCTTGCTCCCAAGACACCTCCTCCCAGCCAAGCTGTGGGAAGCTGGGGAACTTTAAGGAGTTAGATATTGGGAGAGGGGCAGTTGCAAGTAAGTGCAAGGAATAACTTTAGATTTGCAGGCACAAGTCATAAACATGTCTCTTCATAACACACATGTTCAGAAAATGGTGGCACTTCTATGGGTGGGGATTTAGTATTATAATGATATGTTGATGATCTAAAGGAGTCACTAGTTCTGGTTTGTTCCAGTTTCCAGCAGGCCTTCTCATCCTCTGATAATTAGCAAAGGGTCCTGAAGTTCCCGGGCATATGCAGTCCTTGTAAGCTAGCTAGAGCTAAAGAGACTAAAAGAAACTGTTAAAGAGAAAATATCGAGCTTTTTCAGCCATCTACTGCTTAAGAAAATAATGAGCACTTTCACGTGTTTTGTTCCCTCTGCTATGTTTCTCCAGGACTGCCCTGGTAACAATTCCTGGCCCCTCATCCTGTATCACAATGTTTCATCACAGTCATCCTCTGCCAAGATACTCTGCAGTTTTACTTTCTATGGTATTTACAATCGGCCTGCCCATCACTAGACTCTATGCTATGTAAGGGCAGGGACCTTTTGGTTTTATTTTCCCCAAGGGAGGCACTCAATCAATACCTGTTAAATACAGAATGGACTCCTATCCTGGGGGCTTCCTTCCCGCCTGCCTCCTGGAGTTATGCCTGGGAAGGAAAGGATCTGAGAGCAGAGGGGCGTGGAGCAGCTTTCCCTCCTGGAGTCCCAGGAAGAAAGGGATGCTGAGGTATCCAGGGGCTGTGGCTGCAGGTGGCCACACAGTGTTTCCTGCAACTGGTATGGCATAGAAGAAGCCCAATGAGGCTGACTCGAAGCAGGCCTGCAGGCAGATCAAGCCCAGCTCCCTGCATGACTCCGTGGCCGAGGGGAGGGCAGGGGATGCTTCTACAGATGCCAAGATGGTGAATGGGCCCTGGAGTGAGACACACCCTGGGATAGGATCCAGATGTGTCAGGATCATGAGAAAAGACAACAAGCCACATCTCATGGACTTCTGAACTGAAATTTGTAGCTGCTACATGGGGGGCTCTTCCATCCCCTCCAGGACTCAGCCCCAGCACGGGGGGGAAGGAACAATGCTTTTCACATGCTTTCCACATGCTTTCTCCAAAAAGTGGAAGAGAGTAGACCACACCGGGCTCAGGGGTTTTAACCAAAGCTGATGCCCTCAAGCACCACGGTAGTTAAGTTTATGTATCACCTTGGCTGGGCCATGGTGCCCAGATATTTGGTCAAACATTGTTCTGGGTGTTTCTGAGGGCACTTTTTAGATGAGACTAACATTTACATTGGTGGACTTCTGGTAAAGCAGATTGCCCTCCATAATGTGGGTGGGCCTCATCCCATCAGTCGGAAGCCCGAGTAGAATAAAGAATGACTTGCTCCCCTGAGCAAGAAAGAATTCTGCTAGCGGACCCAGATAGCAACTCTTCCCTGAGTTTCCAGCCTGGCGGCCCACCCATTAGAGTTTGGACTTGCCAAGCCTCCACAGTTGTGTGATCCAGTCCTTAAAATAAATCTCTCTTGGGCCGGGCGCAGTGGCTCACGCCTGTAATCCCAGCACTTTGGGAGGCCGAGGCAGGCAGATCACGAGATCAGGAGATCGAGACCATCCTGACTAACACGGTGAAACCCTATCTCTACTAAAGATAACAAAAAATAGCCGGGCGTGGTGGCAGGCGCCTATAGTCCCAGCTGAGGCAGGAGAATGGCGTGAACCCGGGAGGCGGAGCTTGCAGTGAGCCGAGATTGCACCACTGCACTCCAGCCTCGGCAACAGAGCAAGACGCTGTCTCAAAAAGAAATAAAATAAAATAAATCTCTCTCTGTCTCTCTATACACACACACACACACACACACACACACACACACACACACGGTATTTATGTACTATGGATACTACAGCATCTATAATACTATGTAGACATGTATATAGATACATATACATAGTATCTACATATGTGTGTATGTGTATATACACATGCATACACATATATGTATATATTGGTTCTATTTCTCTGGAGAGCCCTGATGAAAACAAGCACTGAGTTATATTTTATCTCTAATACTATGAACCATTGATGTTTCATTTCATAAGATATTCATATTTGTCTTAATATAGAAATATGCTCAGTATCCTGTCAGTTAAGTTACTCAGCATGTCCCTCACCAGTTCCCCAATTGAGTACAAGGCTGTTTGGTAGGAGATGCTCTTGGCGATTACCCCACCTGGCCCCGCTAAGCCTGCCCTCACCAAGGTCTCTCGCAGTCTCCTCCTGTGTCTCAGTCCACTCTTCCTCAGTCTTCTCAGCAGGACTTTCTTTCTCTGCCTATTCCTTAGGATTTAGGTTTCTCAATATTTTATCCCTCTGCATTTAGTCCATTTGTCAGGCATTAAGGCCCATCATGATTCGGCCCTGATGTACTTCTCCAGCCTCGCTTCTAAGCAATCCCCTGAGCACGTGTCCTTAGCCAAATGCACTCACAGTCAGATAACCACAAACCCTTTCTGAGCACCTGCTATAAGACAAGTCTCGACCCATTTGCCCTTTCCAGAAGATGCTGTGTAGTTTCCTGCCCCCATGCCTCATTTTCACCCTGCTATTCCCTTTCCAGGCTTCGCTTTCTCCCCACTCCTTTCTTTACTTGGAAAACTCCCATCCATCCTTCAAAGCCCAGCTCAGATGTCCCACCTGAACTTCTGTTCTTGGCAGTGTGGTCAACCAGATACCCTAAACAACTCTCCCCATGCAAACAACCTCAATGCTGGATAAAGTTCTTTTTAATCCTTTTAAAGGCATCAATGAACTGGCACAAAATTATGAAATCCAAAGAGGCCAAAAACAAAGAGACAGAAGGATTCCTAGGCAGTGAGAAGCACCCAAACTAGCATTTTTCCCCAAAGTTTCACAAAACCCTGGAGACATTCATAGGAGATAAAGCCCAGAGCCAACCACGGTGATAGGCCTAATAGAAGAGTCCAGCATAAAATGAGAACCCCAAAGGACTATACCCTTTGTGAATGGCTGAATAATAAATAAACATGCTGTAAAGAGAGGAGCAACAAGAAAACATGTCTGTCCCAAACTCAGCGCCAGGTGAACAGAGGAAATACTGTGAAAACAAATTGTAACTATTTCTTATGGATTTGGAGTCAAATTTATGATATACATGACCAAAACTTCAAATAGAACATTTAATAAAAAGTGATTCTGGACTGGGTGTGGTGGCTCATGCCTGTAATCCCGGCACTTTGGGAGGCCAAGACAGGAGGATCACAAAGTCAGGAGATCGAGACCATCTTGGCCAACATGGTGAAACCCCACCTCTACTAAAAATACAAAAATTAGCTGGGTGTGGTGGTACTTGCCTGTAATCCCAGCTACTCAGGAGGCTGAGGCAGGAGAATGGCTTGAACCCAGGAGGCAGTGAGCCGAGCTCACATCACTGCACTTCAGCCTGGAGACAGAGTGAGACTCCGTCTTAAAAAAAAAGAGTGATTCTGAGTTGCTAGTGGTCCCAAGTGATGAGAAGCAACCAATACAAGTTGAAAGAATGCAACCTCTAAGGAACATGAGCTCACAGAACACACAAGAAAACAAAGCACCATGAGTGAGAGCCCACAGAAACTGCAGACAACAAAATCAGACCCATGACGGCTCCAGATGTTAGACTTATTAGCCATGAGCTATAAAAGAGCTATATCTAATATATATAATGCAATAAAAGAGAAGATTGAAAATATAAGCAAGGAATAAGAGACTATAGAAAAATGACTAAGCAAATTTTAGAAAGAAGGAAAATGGTAGTCCAGAAACAGTTGAAGAGAATATTAGTGAACTGAAAGATATTGCTGAAGAATGTGGCACAGAAAAGTGATGAGATAAAAATACGAAAGAAAGGCTAAGAGACATGGGGAATGAGTGAGAAAACTGAATCAATAATCCCATCAGGGTTCTGAAGGGGATAACAGGAGCAAAGGAAATGAAGAAATACTTGAAGAAAATTATCCAGACTTCTTGAAAGACAACAATTTTCATCCCAAAAACATTAAATGAGATAAATAAAAAAAGAGAGCCATGCTGAAACACATATAGTAAAACTGCAGAGTACCAAAAGAAAGAGAGAAAGAAAATATTCAAAACAGCCAGAGGAAAAAGATACAGATGTCTATAAAACAAGGATGGCTGACTTCTCAACAGCAATGATGGTAGCTAGAAAAAGACAGTGAAATACTATTTTCATTGTGCTGAGAAAAATTAACTGTCAACATAGAAGGCTAGCAAACCTATCTTTTAAGAAGGAGAGAAAAATAAAGACATTTTCAGACAAGCAGAGACTGTCACCAGCAGGAAGAAAATTCTAAAACATTCCTTTTCCAGACAAAACGAAACTTACCCTCAGGAGAGGTAAACTCTAAAGGAAGTGGGTTAAGCAGAAGGAAAATAAATTCCAATATAAGGACTGACAGACAAAATGGATTGATGAGGAAATATGTGATAATCACATGGGAATTAAGCTACCATTAAATGTAAGATATAATGACAATAATGTCTAGTTTGGGAAGTTAAAAATAAACAAGAAAGAATTAAAATATGAGATAAAAATCCCAGGTAAGTTGAGAGAAGGTGATCAGAGCATTCTAGAGGACTCTTGTGTTGTTTGGGAAAAGCATACAAATACTGGTGAACGTTAAACCTTGTTAAATTAAGTAGGCATCTTAAAGCAGCTAGGATAACCACTTGGAGAATAGATAGGTCTATTCTCCTATTATCCTATAGACCGAAGTCCTGACCAGCATAAAGTACGTTCCACAAGTATCAAAGGATTTGTACACAGTCTCAGATCACAAAACGATTAGGTTACAAATGAATTTAGAAAGCAAAAAATGCTTATGTGGTTAGAAATTACAACATATTCCTCAACACTTCAAAATAAAAGTAGAAATAATAATGGAAACGTTTAAATACACAGAAAAACAATAATGTTGCTACAAAACATTAAAATTTGTTGGATGCAGTAAAAGCGATATTTAGAAGATTATAGCCCTAAATGCTCACACTAGAAAAGAAAAGCACTCAAAATCAATGAGCTAAGTGTCTAGATTAAGAAGTTAGAAAGGGAAGAACAGAACAAACCTAAAGAAATTTAAGAAAAGATGTCCTGGTGTGGTGGCTCATGCCTGTAATCCAAGCACTTTGGGAGGCCAAGGTGGGAGGATCATTTGGGACTAGGAGTTCGAGACCAGCCTGGGCAACATAACAAGACTCCATCTTGACAGAAAATTTACAAATTAGCCAGGTGTGGTGGCATGCACCTGTAGTCCCAGCTACTCAAGAAGCGGAGGCAGAAGGATTACTTGTCCCAAGGAGTTCGAGGATGCAGTGAGCTATGATCACATCACTGCACTCCAGCCTGGGTAACAGAGTGACACCCTGTCTCTTTAAAAAAAGATCTTTAGGAAGAGAAATTTGAGAGAAATCAATTATTAACAAAAATAGAAGTGAAAGTAAACACATAAAACAATTATGTGCCAAGCACCATTCTGATATGTATTAGCTCAGTTCATCTTCACAAGTATAAGGAATGCATATTGTTACTGTCCCTATTTTTATAGATGGGGAAACTAAGGCATAGAGAAGGTAAAGCAAACATACAATAGACAAGATCAACAATGCCAAAAGCTGGTTCTTGGAAAAGACTAAATAAAGAGAAGGCCCACACATGACTGAAATGAGAAAAGAAAAACATAAACAGCAAGAGAAGGCACAAAGAGACAGCATTAATAATAGGAAACAGATCATGTCATAGAAGCTACAGAGATTAAATAAATAAATAGAAACATATCCAGAACAACTTTATAACAGTACATTTGAAAGCACATGACACTGACTCATTCCTATAAAAATACGACTTATGCAAACTGACTCAAAAAGACATTTTAAAAGTTGTGCAATCATATAACCATTTAAAAAGCTGGATTAGGAATAGAAACCATCCCACAAAGACACTGGGCCCAGATGGTTTTATAATATGCTTTCTAAACACACCAGATAGAAATAAATCTAATATCTCAAACACACTTGTAGTTTATGAGGTTAAGAAAACCGTGACACCAAAGTCAGGCAAGAACAATATGAGACTGGAAAATTACAGGCCAAGTTCACTCAAGAACATAAGTATAAAAGTCCTAAACCTAATATTAGCATAAGAAATGCAGCAATGTAAGTGTATCATGACCAAGCTGGAGTTATCCCAGGAATGTAAGGTTGGTTTAATACCAGAAAATCAATGTGGATCATATTAACAGATTAAAAGAGAAAAAACATATGAACATTTTAATAGCTGCAAATAAAATTCAATATCTTTTCATGAGTAAACTCCTAACTAAGAATTAAATAGGACTTGCTTAGCTAGATGAAAAGCATCTATGAAAACCTACCTACATTGTACATTATGACACAAAGCTCATAGCTTTCCATTTGAAATCAGGAACAACACAAGGGTACCTGCTAGTATCACTGCTAGGAAAGTTAGAAAGAAAAAAATTAAAGGTATAAGGAGCAAAAAGAAACAAACCTGTCACTATTTGGTTGTCTATGTGGAAAATGTGAAATAATCTACAGATAAGTAAACAATAAAGAAGTTTAACATGTTTACTGGATACAAAATCAATATATATATTGAATTAAATTTCCATGCATCAGTAAATTTAAAAAACACCATATACAACAGAAAAAAAAAAGCAAGTATAAAATATCTAGCAATGACTCCAGTAAAAGTTACAGAAGCTGTTTCCAGAGAAAATGAATACTACGTACACAACCTGTTTAGCACAGACCTTGGCATGTTGTAGCTCTTGGTTTGTGCGTCCTTCTTTTTCCACTCCCTTACAGTTCAGGCATTTATTATTGTCAATCTGAAGTGGAAAAACACTACCAATATGTCACAATAATTTCTGTTTATCAGATGTCATTGACATCTTTACTTTAAAAAGAAAGCTTAACATTTGCTTCATACTTTTGAGTTTTCCAAACACTATCACCCTCACTGTCTTTCATAATAGCCAACATGGGCCAGGGGCTGTGGCTCACACCTGTAATCCCAACACTTTGGGAGGCCAAGGCTAGAGGATTGCTTGAGCCCAGGAGTTTGAGACCAGCCTGGGCAATATAGTGAGACCTCCAAATCTTAAAAAATATATTTTTTAAATTGCTAACAGGTGGGCATTTGAGGACACTGAGGCTCAGAAAGATGAAGTGATTTGCCAAGAGATAAACTATGCAGGCAGGATCTGAACCCAGTTCTGTCTTGTTCTAAAACTGAGTTGTTTCCACCACACCTCCTGCCCCTTGAACTGGGGCTCATTTGTTGATTAATTTCCCACATATTCATTAACACTGTGATAGAAGCTGGAGTGCAATAATGAACAAGGCGGACGTGAACTCACTTTCCTAGAGCCTAGAATCCATTGAAGGAAACAAGTTGTTAAATAATTGCCATAGAGCTAGATGATGCTGTGCTGTGGGGGCTCAGAGAAGGAGAGCAGGAAAATTTCCTGGAGGAAGGGGTATTTACTTCTAAACTGGAAAGGGAGTATGAGTCATCCTGGTAAAGAAGAATGGAGGTGAGGGTAAGGTAGAAAAGTGCAGGAAATGTTTTTCAAGCTGAAAGAACAGCATGTGCAAAGGCTGGGAGGAGGGAGTGGCCTGGGTGTGGAGTAGAAGGAAGTCTGGTGTGGCTGGAGCCTAGGCTCTGGTCAGTGAGGGATGACAGGCCAGGGACAATCCACGCAGGGCCCAGCATGGCAGGCTAAGGAGTTTGGGCTTGATCCTAAGGAAAATGGGGAGGCATTGAAGAGCTTTTAAAAGAGAGTGTCGTGTTTAATTTGGGTTTTAGAGGATAGAGTGAACCAAGTATAGAAAGATACTGAAGTCAGCACTGGGTCAGAGGAGACCCTCATACCCAGTTGTCCTGCTTTTTGCCAATCTAGAGCCCTCGTGACCTCATGAGCCCACTCCCAGTATCTGTCAGGACTCCAGGCCACAGCAACAGACCCCAGTCCAGCAGCTGAGGCCTTTAGAAGTGGGATGATTGGCCCCAGTGCTGAACAAGAGGCTCTGATGTAAAAGAAAAGTCTGCCAGAATCAGATCTTAGTGCCCCGGGATTTTCTCTCTACCCATCTTTCCTCTTTGTGTCTGGTTCTTTTTGCAAAGTGGCCTCAGTTTCTCCCACTGCACCTGGGCATGCCCCATGAGGCCAGGGCAGGTGATCCCAAGCATCTACTTTGAGCTCCATGACTCCAAAGGCAAAAGGAAGTGTCTCCCATCAACTCCAGCAGAAAATCCCAGGGAAGCCTGGATTGGCCCATCCTGAACCAGTTACTGTGGCTTAGGGATGCAGGACTCTGATTGGCCAGGCCTAGGTCACATGCCCACCCCTGTGATGTAAGTGGGCTAGAGTGGGGCGGAAGAGCTGTAATTGACCGAATAAACATGGAAAGACCATTACCAGATGAAGGAGGAGGCTCGGTAAACAGGGTGAAAATCAGCAACAAATAGCCAGCAAACACATAAAGAAAAACCAAACAGATGTTCTAGGTATAAGCACTCATTTGTTCTTTAGGACACCACTGTTATCACCTATAACAGGAACTTTCTTGGACCACTCCTGCAAGACACTGTCAGAACTCCCCTTGTGCATCCCCCTAGAATTCTGCACTTACCTTTGTCACAGCCCTTGTCAGCTGGTACAAGCGTATCTCCCACACTGAACTGCAACTCCTGAGGGCAGAGGTCTTTCTGAGCCACCAGCCTAGCATAAGGGAGGTGCTAGCAATGGCTGGTAGTTGAACAACTTAATGCACATCTTCCCCCAACTTTTCCCAGGGCTAACTAGTAGAAATGGGCTGAGAAACTACCAAAACTACCAGTCAACCTGGATCAGTCAATCCAACCACCAGTAAGTACAAGACGGAAGAGGCAGGGTATCAAATGGTGTGTGGGGCTGGCCCAATAGGTGGCCCACAGGGTTGTTCTGACAATTCTTTCCAAAGAGCCACACAGCCAAGAAATCTTACCCAGAGTTGGCAGTGTCACCAAGAGCTGTCCAAGAACATGGACACGGAGAGTTGACCATTAGGGAAAGGCCAGATCCTCAGCCATCTCGCCTCATGCTGCCTGCAGCAAACAGCAACCTGGAACTCACAACCCAGATCTTCCCCAGACTCCTCCTGTTGATGGCAGCAACAGTCCATCTAGAGCAGCCACTGCTATTACACTGGCTGCAGCAGTGAGGCACAACTGGGACTGCACACTCCATGGTGCCAGCAGGAAATGGGGACAAGTGGGAGCCTCACCCCTTCCAAGTTGGTGGGGCAGGAGCTCCCCAGATGCAGCCACAGCAGCCCAAGTTGTGGCTGCAGACCCATTGTCTCCTGCTCCATGGAGCAAGCAGGAGCCCTGCACCCCAACCCAAACTGGGCACAGCTGTAGCCACCCAAACCACAGCTATGGACCCTGGCATCCCTGCACTCTTGGGGGCCCAGGAAGGCAGCCCCTGTCCTTGCAGGGTTGGAAATGCCTGCTCCCACTGCCTGGCTTCCCCCTGCTGTCAGCACCCATTCCAATCTTAGAGCAAAGTCGGCACTAAGCCTGGGCACAGTCACAGCCCGGCTGGGTGTGCACATGCTTAGGGCAGTGCTGACATGCCAGCCCCCTGACACTTTGGCCCCCTCTGGACTTTGGGCACCAATGAGCATAGGAGGAAAGCCAATGGGGCCAGGGGTGCTGAGGGCAGCTCAGGGCTGGCCTGCAGATGCCCCCTTGGCACCTACAGCCTGGGTGCCATGAGCAGCAGCAGGAGGCAGACAGGCTCCTGGACAGAAGGTGGCAGGTCCCTGATGAGGCCCCACCTTCAATTCAGGGAAAGCCTGAATGCTGGGGGCCAGGCTGCCAGTCCCATGTACTGGAGTGAGAACTTGTGCCTTTTCCAGGTATGCCCATGGCCACCCATGGAACAACTGGCATGGACTTCCCCACCTCTGAGGCCCATAAAAGCCCTGGGCTCAGCCAGAGCTGAGCAGACATTGAGACAACCAGCTGCAGAGAGGAGCTACCCACTCCAGGGCCTCCTCTCTCCTGAGAGCTGCAGAGAATGACAGGACGACCTGCCTGCAGAGAGGAGCTACCCACTCCAGGGCATCCTCTGAGCTATTCTGTCAATCAATAAAGCTCCTCTTCACCTTGCTCACCCTCCACTTGTCCATGCATCTCATTCATCTTGGACGCAGGACAAGAACTCAGGACCTGCCAAATGACAGGGCTGAAAGAGCTATAACACAAACAGGGCTGAAACATGCCCCTTGCTCATCATGTTGCAGGTGAAGAGAAGGAGAGAAGAGCTGTGACCCTTCAGGGAGCGCAGACCTGGGAGCTCCCCAAGCCTGGGCTGTGACTCCCTCTTTGGGGCCCTGCAGTTCCTGGAGTCTCCAAGCTTCTGGGTGCCACTGTGTTCTCCAGTGGCCGCCATGGAAGCTGCTTGCGGTGTACTTGGTCCAGCTGCAGCCTTGCAGAGAGGTACCTGGAGCTCCCTGCCCCGTTGCAGCAGCCAGCGTGCCTGACTGTGCACAGTGGCCAGACCCCACACTCACTCACTCACACACCCCTCACTGCTCCATGCCTTGCTCACCCTTGGCAGGCATGGGATCCAGGCTGGAAGCGTGAGCCAAGCCGAGCCTGCCAGGCCAAGTGGGCAGAACAAGCCCAGAGGGCCCGAGCAAAACTTGGGCAAAGGAGCCACCAGCCACAGAGGTTTCCAACCAGAAAAGAGACACCCCAAGGATTCTGCAACTGTGTGGACAGGTCAGACAAAACCTGGCCTGGAAAACCCTTCAACTCAGCCATTCCACTTTTGGGTATCAACACTAGAGAAAAACTCCAGTGTGCACACAGTGAAACATGCATAGAGGTACTTATTGCAGTACTTTTTATAGAGAGGAAAAAATGAAAGGAACCTAAATATTTAACAATGGGGAAATCATTTTTTAAAAGATGACACGTCGATGCCATGGAAATGATACATGGCCTCATTAAAAAGAATGACGTAGTTATTGGCCAGGCACGGTGGCTCACGCCTGTAATCTCAACACTTTGAGAGGCTGAACCAGGCAGATCACTTGAGGTCAGGAGGTCGAGACCAGCCTGGCCAACATGGCGAAACCCTGTCTCTACTAAAAGTGTAAAAATTAGCCAGGTATGGTTGCTAGTGCCTGTAATCCCAGCTACTCAGGAGGCTGAGGCAAGAGAATCACTTGAACCCCAGGAGGCAGAGATTGCAGTGAGCCGAGATTGCACCACTGCACTCCAGCCTGGGAGACAAGAGCAAGACTCCAACTCAAAAAAAAAAAAGAAAAAAAAAAAGAAGAAGAAGAAGAAGAGGAGTGGAGTAGCTCTATATGTACTGACATGGAAATATTTCTAGGATTAGGATGTTACTAATGTAAAAACAAAAGGCAGATGCACAAAAATACATATTGCATGATATTATGTTTTTTAAAATACCCATAATAAAAATGTATACGTATGTACACATATAAATGCATAGGAATTGGGTCTATAAGGATTATATGCCACCCTGATAACAATGGCTATTATGGGGAAGGGATTCAAATATGGAGGAGGGTAGCTCAGGCAAGTTTTTATCTAAATTGTTTGACTATATGACAAAAAGAATATATGCATCTAGCACTTGAATAATCAAAATTAGGATTTGAAAAAAAGTCAGGGGATTATGTGTATTGCAGCATTGCCAGTAATAGCAGAAAGCTGAAAAACAACCTAAACATCCACTGGGAAGGAACCAGCTAAATAAATACTGGTGCCTCTGACAAAAGATTACGAGGCAGCCACTGAATAAATAGGACAGATCCAAATAGGAAAATACTCTCAAATGAAAAAGCAAGCTGCAAATGATGCTTAGGGTATGATCTCATGTTTGTGAAGGAAAGACAAGTTATTATATGCTTAGGAAAAAACAACAGATGCCAAACCACTGTGGCGGCAGAGGCGGGATGGATGAACCCTTGAAGACTCACAGAGCCAGGTTCAGTCCCTGCTCTGGAACCAGCTGGGTGGCCTTGGGGGTCACTCTAATATTCTGAGCCTCCATTACCTGTCCTTTAAAACAGGACAATGGCAGAATCTACCTTGCAGTGTTGATGACAGGACTGAAGGATCTAGTGAATCTGAAGGGGTCTACCCATGGGCATGATTCAGCGAGCTCACTCTAATTAATATCTGCAGTATCTCATCTAGGAGGTGGGTTTCGGGCTTGGGGGACAAAACACTTAAAATCCTTACACTCTTCTACACTGCTTGAATTTTAACAGGGAGCTTGCATCACTTTCATATTTTAAAAAACTAATAAAAACTAAAAAGAGAATCCAGCCCAGCAGTTGCCTGCGATTAGTCCATTCCCCTGGGTTCTCCACCCCCATTGCTGTCCTCACACAAAGTTCCCAGGCCTGCCATGCCAGCCATCCCCAACTACAACCTATGAGTGCATGTGCCTGGCCACCGCCAGCTCTCACCTCGAGAAAATTGCTTGCAAGACTGTGATTATGGAGAAGCGCAGACAAAATAAGCTGGGCCCTCAGGGAACAATGATCCCTCCCTGCTGAGGGCTTGGGACCAGGGGGATAGCCAAGAGGTGGGTGACAAGTGTTCTCCTGTCACCTGCCTGCATCCTGTGATTTAACTTCATTTTGACATTTCTCCAGCTGAGTGGCAGCTACAGCTCCAGCCCCATGAAATCAAGTGGATAAAAGCTGAAGCAAAGGGCATGAAGACCTTGACTCCCTGTCATTTTGCCACCAGCTCTGCCAGAGACAAGCTGGCACACAAAGCCACTGAAGCCAATAAGGAAATGGATCGGCACTGAAGGGAAAAAGAGAGATTGAGAATCCCGTGAAATTGCTCCTTCCTTGAGAGTCTGCTGCTGTCTCTGGTGGGAGGGGGATCAGGAAGGATCCATCCAACTGCACAGAGAAGACCTCAGGCTGCTGGCAGTGGAGTCTAGGGGCTACATGCACTGAGCACCTACTATGTGCCAGGCCAGGGCAGGCCGTAGGGATGCTGCAGTGAACAAGACAGATGAGACCCCTGCCCTCATGGCCAATCGTCATTATCATCCTAAATAATATCATTCCTTCCTTGTCTACTACATGCCTAGCCCTCCAGCTCTGTGCTAAGTGGTCCACATGCTTTTCTTTTTCCTAATTCTTGAAAATAGCTTCTGAAGTAGCATTTTATAGAAAAGGAAACAGACTCAGAAGTTTAGCATGCTGCCCACAATGAAATACTTTCTTTTCTTTCTTTCTTTTCTTTGTTTCTTTTTTTTTTTTTTTTTTTTTTTTGAGACAGGGCCTCCCTTTGTCACTCAGGCTAGAGTGCAGTGGCTCGATCATAGCTCACTGCAGCCTCAAACTCCTGAGCTCAAGGGATCCTCCCACCTCAGCATCCAAGTAGATGGGGCTACAGGTGCACACTACCACACCCTGCCAATGTTTCTTTCTTTTTGTAGAGACTGAGTCTCACTTTTTTGCCCAGGCTGGTTGAAACCCAGATGCTCTCCATTTCCAGAGCCTCCATCCACTGCGCTGCAAGGTCTGGCACCTCTCCTTCTCTGGAACTGCTCTGTGGGCCCAGGAACAGGAGTTCCAGTCCTAAGTGGGTGCTGTGTAAACCTTGTACAATTTGCTATATAGCCCCTGCCCTGCGTGCGTACTTGAGTGAGTGTCAGGGAAAAGGTAAAGGATTTTGCACTTATTCATTCGTCCACTGCACACTACTTGGCACCATGCTGAGCCTGGGGACCAGCAGGGGACAACTAGACAAGGTCCCTTCTGGAGAATGCAAGGGCTTTGGGGGAAAAACCATTATCTCCAGGCAGCCAAGACAAATCCAAGGGGGTCAATGCTATCGTGCAGCCCCCAGCTCCACTACAGTGGCCAGTCACAGAGACCTTCGTCACCACCCTTCCTGGGAGTGCAGGAGGATTCCCAGGGGGGATCAGGGACAAAGGCCACCTCCATCCCTACTGGTACAGGCCCTACTGACTCTTTCTTTCTTTACAAAGTGACAACTTCACAACATTTCAACTTTAGAAAGTTCTCGGTCTTCAGTACCCACCAAATATGTTGAATAATACTCTGTAAGGTTGGGTTGTTGTTTCTGTAGTTTCCTATAGTTAGTTTGTTTGTTTGTTTGTTTGTTTGTTTGTTTGGTCTTGTTTTGTTTTGTTTTTTGTTTTGTTTTTTCCAACCACCTGCCCTGACATCATGTCCACATGACCTGAATTCAAGGGAGTAGCCCTTTCCCTCCCATCTCTGCTCCATCCACCCACACATGGCTGGCTGCTCACTTAATTCCCCTGGAGCCCACACAGTAAGCCTCGCACCCCACCCAAGACTGTGCTGGGCCCTGGACGGCCAAGGGTCTGAGCCCCTCAGCTCTGCATCCTTGGAGAACAAACACCACCAGAGGGACCTACAGCTTCTGACCACCCCCCTTCATCTCTCACGTCCCACCTGGAGGACTTGGGCTCTGTCACATCAGGCAAGCCCCTGCCTCAATCTGGGCCTCAGTTTTCCCATCCGTTGAGTGAGGTCCAGACAGGGGAGTCAGCCAAACACCAACACCTTTCATTACCCACTGTGAAGAGCTCAACTCCTTGACTCACCATGGGCCCCACTTGGACAGTGCATCCTCCATCTGTGTTCCCAGCACAAGGCCTGGCACACAGCAGGGCAGCATGGTGCATGGTTCTGAGGATGAACCTGGAGTCAGACAGGCTGGGCTCAAGTCCTGGCTTTGCTACCCATGTGGTCTGGCGCTTTGCTTCTAAGGGTCTCAGATCCCTCATCTGTAACAAGGTGACAGCACTGTCACCTCTGCCAGGGGCTGTTGTGGGGATCAAATGCGACAGCGGGTGAGAGGCTCTCAGCACGGGGCCCACACACACTGGGTGCTCAATTAATGTTAACAGCTGTTAATAATATTAAATAACTTCCGACTTCCCCCACGGTGGGCGCCTCCCGGGCCCAGCAGCCTCTTGGCTGGGAAAGAGACAGACGGGGGCCCCCTTCCCCGGGAACTGACTTTCCAGTGGGAACAAGGACGACCGTCGAGGAACCCGACAAATGAATTAAACCAGCACCAGCGTGATGAGCAAAGCGGAGAAGGAAAGAGGGCGCTGTGAGGAGAGCGAGGCTCCTCCGGGAAAGCTCCTTCTGCTCCAGGTGACAGCGGAGAGAGATGCCACCGCGCGGCGACCGGCAGGGCCGCGTCCCCTCTGCGTCCTAGCACAGCGACGCCCCGCCCGCCACCCGCCCTACGTCACCCACAGCCCCCGACACCGCCCCCTCCCCCGGCCCTGGGCTTCCAGTCCCTGACAGTCCCTGGGACGCCGCCCCACAACGCCCGCCCTCTCTGGACCCTAGGACGGCCCCGGGCACCTGCATATGATGTGTGGCCACGCCCCCGCCACAGCTAATTGGACCGGGGTGGACACCTGAACCCAGTCGGACCAATCAACTCCTGGGTTGCCCCGAGACCCGGACCGGGCCCTGTCCACAGGCTGGACCTGAGCGAGGGAAGGCGGGAGACGGAGGGCTGGAGGCGGAGGGCGGGAGGCGGAAGGCTGGCCCTGAGCTGGGACCCGAGAGGGAGAAAGGGCAGTCCCCTCCCTCAGGTCCTGCTGCCCTCCCCACCTCACCTCTCCTGGGAGTCAGGTCCCAGCTGTGACTTAAGCCAGTACCAGTGGGTTTCAGTGCCTCCCAGCAGAGCGCCCCATTCGCTTCCCCTGCTCCTCGCAAGCAAACCAGTGTCCTCCCCTCCCCAGCTCCTCTGCACCCCTCTGGGCCCCTGCCCTGTCTTCTCTGGGGCCACTACTGGACCCAAGCTTCCCAGGGGCCGGGCTTCTGGTGTTCTGGAGGAATGAGTGAATGAATAACAAAGCCTCGGAGCCGCCCCCAACAATGGAAAGACCCAGGGCCGAGTGGCAGGCAGAGCTGGACTTAGGTCCTCCTCTGCTCCTCTCGACCTCCCTGAGCCCCCACCTCCTCACCTGCAGCCGAGCGGGGTGGCCACCCAGTTAGTGCCAGCTGCGTGAGTGCTATGCCTTACGCATTTTATAAATTTCTTTTCGGTAAGAGATTGCAGACCTAGGCTCAGCTTCCTCCTCCCTGAATATCTTGAAATGCACCCCCGCCAGGAGCTATAGGTGGTGGGGGCAGCCAGGAGACAGGGTCCTTCCCAGCTCAGGCTGCGGAGGGAGTGGAGGCCCAGCAGGTGCGAAGCCACTAAGGCCAGTCTTGGTTAGCCATGAATGTGGGCCTCGTTCCTCAGGGGAGAGGAGCTGAAGTCAAGAGCCCCTAGGTCCTGCACTTCCCCCACCCCCACTGTTAAGAGGAGGTGGAGGTAGAGGCAGGGGCACCTGTCAGCAGGAGGGACCCTCTGGGATCCTCCATGGCTCCTAGACAGGGATGGAACGCAGGGGCTGGGGTGGGTGCTGAGGGAGAAGAGCTGTCCGCCTCCTGCCCTCCTCCCTTTCGCAGCTCTCTGCTTGCACTGGAACCTCTCAGGGTACAGCTCTGGGGGAGGAGGGAGGAGGAAAAAAAAAAGGAATGAGAGAGGGGGGAGGCTGTGGGACTTCCTTGGGGGGGCTGAAGCAGATAGTAGGGAGAGAGGAGCGGGGAATCTAAGTGCAGAGACAGCACAACCCTTTAATTTAGTGCGGCTTTTTCTAGCAGCTCATCAACTTGAGAAGAGGCTGTTTAACTGCTATTTTTGTAAATCCTGTGTGTCCAAATCTGGCCTTTTCCAGTGCTCCGATTTCAACCCCCACATCATGTACTACCTCCCCTCTGACTCCCAATACAAGTTGGAAGGGTTTATTTTTTTTCTGCATCTTTCTTTCTTGGGCAGGTCCACAGGCTGGGTCTGGGGGCTTCCAGGGAAGGGGAGGAAGCACTGGGACCCCTCCTCAGCCTCCTTTGCCTGTTTCTGTCATCACCATGTCCTCCAAATATGGGAATGCCCCAGGGCTGGGTCTTCAGATCTCTTCTTCTCTCTGTCTAGCCTTATTGCCTAGATGGCCCAAGCCAGTTTCAAGGCTTAAATAGGGACTGAGCATTGAAAACCCCCAAGTGTGTTTCTCCAGCTTGGAGCTCCAGGTACTTATATCCAACTGCCTTTTCCATGTCACCTCTCTGAGGTCTAATGGGCTTCTCAAATTCAGCATCCAAAACTTAACTCCAGACTCGCTGCTGTCCCCAGCAGTCCCCAAGACTGCTCCTCCCACAGCTGCCCCATCTCCATGAATGACACTCCATCCGTCTAGTGGCTCAGTCTAAACCTTGGAGTCCTCCTTGACACCTCACTTGCCACACCCACATTCAATCCGCCAGCAAATCCTGATGGCTTTAACTTCAAAACATGGCCAGAAACTGACCACTTCCCATGACCATGACTTCCCTGGTCCAGCCACCTGCCTCTCTCACCTGCCCACAGGGATGCCTTGCTTTATCCACGCCCACCCTCTGCAGACTCTCCTCGACCCAGCAGCCAGTCACAGTAACCCATCAATCAGAGCATGTCACTCCTCTGCTCCCAAACCACCAAGGTTCGCATCCTCATCACACTCAGGGTCAACCCAAGGGTTCTAATCGCAGACCACAAGGCTCCACAGTGCCCATCCTCCTGTCACCCCCTTTCCTCCATCTGGGTTTCTAGGGGAAGAATCAAGTGAATACAAGGGAGAGAGAACAAGAGGGAAGAAATAGAGCAAGAGTCTGATAGACCAGCCTGACTGAGTAGATGAGAGCGAGAGAGAAAGAGAAAGAGAGAGAGAGAGAGATAAGGAGCCACTCAACACCCCCCATGGGTGCATGGCCTGACCCTGGTCCTCAGGGCCTTGCACATCATGAAGTCAACACCCCAGTTTCCTGAGGACAGTGCCCTTTGCAAATTCAAAGTGAATATGCATCTCCAATGAGCCGGGGACAGTGGTGGGATATACACGCCATGGAGGGCCAAATGAGGCAGCAGGGGAGGGATCTCAGAGCCACTAAATCACAGCCGCGGGAAACTCTCCTTGGTGCTCCCAGAGATTTAGGGGCAGGGGGAAACACTGTGAGTTGAGCAGCTACTATATGCTTCCTGCCAAGCATAGCTTAATGGGGTGTGAAGAGGATTGAAGGAGTGTGTAGAGGGCTGTTGGTATCTGGTAAGCGCTCGGTGAAAGGTGGCTATTGTTACTATCTTAATAACAGCCTCCTGGGGCCAACATCATATTCCTCAAGTCACTGAAGAGACTCAAAGCAGTCAGTCCAGTCTTTCCGATTCCAGAACCTGGGCTGTTGACACTGCCTGCCAGCTCGGCATCAGCCTCCAGTTGCTTCACTATTATTTTTTAAAATCCTATGTGTCTAAATCTGGCCTTTTCCAGTGCTCAGACTCCAACCCCCACACCATGTACCTGCAGACAACTCTGTGGCCAGGAGAGATCTGGAAAGGAGCACAAAGGGCAGAGTGGTTAGATCCAGGCAGGCTGACAGCCCTTCACTGGCGTCAGTCAGCAGTGGCCAGGAAGGGACAGAAACAGGCCTGAGTAGCAGGGTAACTAGAGACCCCTTGCCTGACGGGACAAGGCCCTTCGTTTGGTTTTGGGTGGTTTTTTTGAGACAGCGGCCCAGGCTGGAGTGCAATGGTGAGATCTCAGCTCACTGCAACCTCTGCATCCCAGGTTCAAGCCATTCTCCTGGCTCAGCCTCCTGAGTAGCTGGGATTACAGGCATGCGCCACCATGCCCGGCTAATTTTTGTATTTTTAGGAGAGATGAGGTTACGCCATGTCGGCCTAGCTGGTCTCGAACTCCTGACCTCAAATGATCTGATGAGTCAAGGCCCTTCTTAACCTAGCCTTCCCCAGCCCTGTGTGGCCTCCTCCCCTGAACCATACGCAGATCTTGTTTCCACTGTGCATTGCATTCTTCTCAAGATCCTTTTTCTACCTTATCCACTTGGAAAACCCCTACTGATCCAGCAAAACCCAGATTAGAGGCCTCTTCCAGAAAGCCTCCCTGCCTTCTCCCTATCCCTGTATAGTAAATCTTCTCCTCTCTTCTACTTCTGAGGTTTGCAGCATTCGAGTGGCTCTGGGGTCTTGAGGACCCAGCCCCCTTGGCATGGACACTGTCATCCTCATCCCTGCTGGGGCACCACCAGTAGGGCACCTCCAGGCACCTCTAGAGGCTTCCCGAGTAGAGATCAGTGACAGCCAGGGGGAGAACAGCACAGCCTCCACCTGGTGACCATACCTGGTGGGTTGGTTTGTGAACCCACGCGAGATACCCCAGGGACTCCCAGCTGGGGACTTTGCAAGAAATGGCTGCTCCCTCGGGTGCACCTCGGGTGCAGGAGGACCATAGCTTTGTGCAGACTAGCTTTCCTGTGACCTGCTGCATTTCCGTGCACAGGCTATTGAGATCGCTAGCTACAGCAGACCCCCAGCTGGGTGCACATGTTTCCCTGTGTGCCTCTCCCAAGAGACCTCTGCAGCCCAGAGGCGGGCTCTAACTCAGGAAGAAAGCCTGGCCCATTTTGATCCCTATCACATCTCCAGCCCTGGAACTATCAGAGCCTGCTATGGGCACACAATGGCTGGGCCTAGGGCTATTTGCATGGAAACCCACTGCACCCCACCTACCCAGATCTGTACCCGGGATCCAGACAGCTCAGCAGCATGCTTGATCTTTTTCTTCTGACAAATCACTGTGGTTTTGCTAAAGCCAAACGGTGTGGAAAGTACAATGTATGCAGGTGTCACAGGCATAAAAACCAACCTCTGGTTCTGCAGGTTTTATTGGTCTCATCCACAGTCACCCGCTGCCCCCCACCCCTAGGGATGTGTGCAAAGCCCTGGGCTTCGATTTCCAGCATAATGAACAGCTGTTTTCTCTATTTTTCCTTTCTCTCTTCTTTTCTTTGTTTTTTCCTCTTCTTTCTCTCCTTTATCCCTTGCTGCCTGTAATCTCTGAGAACAGAGAAACACGATCTCAGACTGGCGTTGCCTTCCGCTAATCAGAGCCTAATTCCTTTATCACAGAGCTCAGAGATGGAGATTTCCAAAGGAGGCAGAAAGGAAGATACTGACCATAATTAACATTTGTCTGCTTTGCAGAAAACAGGAATTATTCCAAGGTGTGGATTTCTTTTTCAGGAGTATTAGAATGAGTCACTGGGAGGCAGCCATGGATGAGTAGATACCCCAGCAGGCAGAGCAAGAATTCAGAGGAAAGGAGAAGTGCCAAGCTGAGAGGTGAGAGGGCAAACCTTGAGGCAGAATTGAAGGGGCCCCACAACAAGGGCCAGAGCCAAGCTGGACCCCCTACCAGGACAACAGGAAGCTCTGGGTCTCAGGGGAGGGGGACCTGAGGCCCTTCCTAGGTTTATCCTCGTTCACTTGAACTTTCCACCCTGCCCACCCCCAATTACACCTCTTTCATTAAGATGGCCCTGTCTGACCCAGATAGAAATGAGGGAAGATTCCCGTGTGGCCAGAGTAGAGGGCATTTTGGGGGAACAGCAGGAAATCAGGCTGAAGCTGTGATTCAGGTGAACTCAGGGGGTTATCAAATGCTGTGCCTAAGAGCTGGGTATTATGCTGAAGACAGCTGGGAGCCATTGAAGGCTGTTTGGGTGTTGGGGTTTTTTTGTGTTTTTTTTTTTTTTTTTTTTTTTTTTTTGCATTTTGTTCTGTTGTCTTCTGTTATGTCATGTTCCTTGAACCAGAAGCCATGAGTGGATTTGCCTTTACAGGCAGGCAGGCCAAGTGAGAAACTGCCTCAGTCATTAATGGAGAGGATGGTGGCCTGGTCCCAATGAACACCTGGGTTGGAGCAAAAGAGACAGATTCCATTAGGAGGCAGGAGGTGGAATGAATGGGACTTGGTGACCCAGACACAAGGAGGAGGCAAGAAAATCGGTTCATTCATTAGTGGTCACTGGACACCCACTATGCGCCCAGCCCTATGCTGAGCATCTCACCTCTGCTCCTCATCAGAGTGTGCCAGCCACTGAAAATGCTAAGTTTGGGCATCTCCAGTGATGAATCAGGGGCTTAGTGAGGTTGAGGATATGTCCAAAGTCCCCCTACAAAGCAGTAGGGCCCATGTTCAACCTGAAATGATTCAGGGAATGTTTCTGAGACAGTCTCAGGCCTCAGTGACAGATGATAGGAGTGAGGTGAGAGAGGGAAGAAGAGAGACGTGGCCCCTCCCCTCCCCCTCCTCTAATCCCAGCCTTGGGGCCTTTTTATCCGAAGACCCCACCCCCACACATATGATTCACCTCATTCCTAACAGCTGAACCCATCTGTGGGAAGAGCACTGGACACGGAGTCCAGGGGCTCAGGCTGGACCCCACCTCCATGCTTTCCTAGCTGGACGCCTTCAATTCACATTCCTTCACCTCTGGGAGCTACAGTGTCCTCCTGAGTAATGTGAGGATAACAGTATCTTCTTCCCCACACTGCTATGAGAATGAAAGGAAACCCACACTTACCAAGTCAACACAGGCTGACGCAGGAGGGTCACTCGAGCCCAGGAGGTCGAGGCTGCAGGGAGCTAGGATTGTGCCACTGCTCTCCAGCCTGGGCAACAGGCCAGGCAATGCCCCCATGCACAGGTGCCAAGTCAGTTCACACGACACCCTTAGATAATGTTGGATTTTATTAAATTCAGGCCTTCCAAGCTGTGGCACAGAACTGCACTTTGATAAACATTCATTACATGAATTAGTGTGTTAATTAATGGGTTTGAATTCTGTCTCTGTCATTAGCTGTGTGACCCCCAACTGGGGTCCTGCCCCCAGGACATCTCTGTTCCCACCTCCATTCATCTCTATAAAGTATCGTCATTCGCTCCTGAGTTCCAAATATAAAACACAGAGAAACAGACGCAGATTCAGACAGACACAAAGCCTGAAGGGCAGAAACAGAAAGAAGTGCGTCAGGGAGGAGCCAGGTGTCTCGCACTCCATGTGGCGCCAGAGCTGGAAAGGCGCAGCCGTAGCTGCTCAGCGCACCGCACCAGTAATTAAGCGGGAACTTTAGGACATGGTGCTGGAGGAGGTTTTCATTATCTCTCCTCTGAAGGTTGGGAGGTGGGGTGTCCTGCAGGAGAATGGAGCCCAGGCCCCTCAGAGGTGGAGATGAGGACGGATAGGAGGAAGGAAGCCCAGAGGGAGGAGGGGAGGCTGAGACTAGCGGAGCTCACACCTTGCCAGCGCCATCATTGTGCCTGAGCCCTCGCACAAGCCTGGGGGATGTGGACTACCACCCCTCTGACAGGAGGACACTGAGGTCTGAGTGGTGAGGAAACTGGTCCAGCCCCCGCAGCCAGGGAGGGCAGAGCTATTCAGTCACCACGGGGACAGAGAAGCCATCACTGCCCTCCAGGCCCCCAGTCCAGTGAGGAACAGATGATGGCAGCACCGTGGGATCTGATGAGGGAGACACAGAGGGTGTGGGAGCTACAGGGTCCCCTAGCCCATCCTGGGGGATCAGGGAGCTCCCCAAGGAGGTGCTGCCTACACTGGGACCTGGAAGATAGCAGGGGTTAATTCTACCTGGAGGAGGAGAATGGGAGGAGGATGTGGAAGGGAGAGGAGGAAGAGGAAGAAGAGAAGAAGAGAGGGAGGAGGAGGGAGAGGAGGAAGAGGAAGCAAGGAGGAAGAGGGGAGGAGGAAGAAGAGAGGAGGAAGAAAAAGAGGAAGAGAAGAGAGGAAGGAGAAAGAGAAAGAAGAGGAGGAGAAAAGAAGGAGGAAGAAGAGAAGAGTAAGGAAGAGGAAGAGGAGGAGACAAGGAGGAGGAAGTGGGGAGAAAGAGAAAAAAGGTGGGGGAGAACAGGATGCAGTGGAGAGAACAACAAGTTTCCTTGGTGGTATCAATGGAGGTTTGCTCAATGAATGCATCTGCCAGTCGACTCCCACCCCGGCCTCCGCTCCTCCCAGCCCCCTGCCCAGGTGCCCTTCCTAGCCCGTTTGTGAGTTCAGTGTCGTCTCCACAGCCTGCCTCTTCAGGGGTGACTTGGGCTTCCCCAGAATGCCATCATATCTCTCTCCCCACTGTCTGCTTGGAATGTTGGCTCCTCCAGTGAGATGTGCATTCCCGGGGCCCAGGAACAGCCCTCATGGGACCCACCTCCAAGTGAGCAGCCTGTGCTTCACAGGAAAAGACCCAACGTTGAGCTGAACTAACTGTGGACCTAGCCCAGGCTTGGATCAGTGGCAAGTCCTACCACCAATGTCTGCAGTCTCAGCTCCCCCTGATGTACAAGTCCCCTTGTCCCTCCTGTATGGGGTCAGGGGAAAAGCAGGGACTTTGGGGTCAACCAGACCTGGGTTCAAATTCCCCTCCTGCCACTTAACGAGCTGAGTGGCCTGGGACAAGTCAGTCATCCTCAGGAACTCAGACTCCCCTCCGGGACAGTGGGAGTGGCCATGTCCATGTCAGGGGACAGCACATGGGTTGATGGGGCAGCCCTGGCGCACAGTAGGTGCTCAGTAAACCTCAGCACCCACCAGTCCTGACAAAGCCCATCAAATGCTATAACTTGCATACAATGCAGACAGAACCAAGAATCAAAGAAGCTTCTGCATGAACCCTTGATCAGAGCAGCCTCCAGTCCCCAGCCCCACTCATCAGAGGCTCCAGCCAGGCCTGGAGCCCACCTCAGACCTACTTCTCCTAACATAATTTGTATGTTTTTTGTGAGGGTTATTCCACCCACTACATAGAATAAATCTTTCAGGATGTTTAAATTCCAAGCTTTCTTGTAATTCCCCCAATATGTGAAGAGAGATTGTTGTGTTTCAGCAAAGGTCACACATAAAACGTACCGTACTGGATGGGAAAGGAGGCGAGGGCTGGATTAAGGAGCAATTGCCATCATTCATTAGGGGAAATCACAACACCTCCTTTCAAGGAGCACTTGCTCTGCCAGGGCTGCGAAGCCCAGATGACTGCACTCTCCTCCCCGCCACCTCAGAAATACATAATTTAGGAGCTCTAAGCTGCACTGCTTCTTACAGCAAGGGTGTGAGGCATGTTTCCTGAGTGCTGCTTCCTCAGGCCCATGAGAGCCCTGCAGGGCAGGAGGATCATTACCCACCCCCCACCCACCCCCGCCCCGCAATGATGGAGACAGGTAGAGTGAGAGGTGCAGGGACTCGCCCACGACCACACACAGCAGGAAGGGGTGGGCTGGGCTTTGAACCCAGGTGTCTCTGGCTCTAAGGCCCCTTCTCCTTGTCCCCCACTCTCCTGCTCCCTGAGAACACAGTAGGATTACAGCAGGAAAGGTGAGCAGAGAAATTAGCCCAATCCAGGCAGATACTCCCCCAGGCTTTGGATTCAACCCGCTCCTCTGCTCATTTGCATGTATTTACATGCCAAGGCTCCAGAGGCCTCAAGTATAGGCAATAAAATCAATTAATTATTGCAGCCGACCAGTGGGCACTTAGCTGCAGGATGCCCTCAGATCACTGTAACACACAGAATGGATTTTGGACAAGATCTGTGTCATTGCCTCTTGGGTCAACAGAGCCAGCCCTGAACCGGGCCCAGTCTCTACCACCAGCCTTTCTTGGTCAGAAGTGAGATGCTCAAGGAAAAAGGATGACTTAATTTTCTGGAATAAAGAGTCTCTGCTATTTTGTGTTCTTACACCATAATACCCCTCTATAAAACCAGGGCCTCTGCTCTCTGCAAATGCAGCCAAGGCAGAGCCTTCTCCTACCCAGAGCCACCTGGATGCTCAGATAAGTCCTACCCCAAGCCCGGGGTGAAAGGACACCCCAGGCAGAGTGAGGGAAGGTGATATAGCCCAGGTCACACAGACACGACTGAGTGGTGGCAGGCTTCCCTCTGATGAGCAGCTCCGGTCACCTCCGGGGTCCACCCATTAGTGCCCAGTCCCTGAGAGACCTGGGAGGAGGGGGTGGTGGGGCAGAGATCTGGGGCTCCTGGACCATGAGACCCAAATGCTATAATGCCCTAGATCCTACAATTCCAGTACCTTTAAGTGACATGGGAGGAATCACATGTTTTCTACCAGCCATGTTCAGAGCCCTTTCTGGGGCCTGGTCTGTCTGCCCACAGGCTGGAAAAAGGCTGAACAGTGGGGTTGATCATGCCCAGATGTGTGTGTGAATTAATGCATTGACAAATGCAGGAACAAATGAACTGATGCCTGAATGAATGTAGTAACGAATGGTGTGAATGGGTAAGAGCAAGAATGAACAAATGCACTGAACAAATGACAGTGCGAACTACTGGATGGAAGGAAACAAGTCTGCCTAAGTGAACAAGGCTAGATCATACCAGATATATGCCCATCACATTGCTTTATCAGAGAGGAAACGGGCACAGAGAAATTAGGAACTTGCCCGAGGTCACATGGCTAGTATGAGATCTAGCTGAGATTCCAACCAGGCAGTCTGGCCCCAGGTCCCACACTTCCAGCTCTGCCGTGGGCTGGTGCCAGGGCCAAGGCTCACACAAGACTGAGCCTACCCACCCCACCCCCACCCACCCCCAGAGGACATTCAAAACAAACTAATAAAATCCAGCTCGTACAGTCCGAATGGTGCTCAGTTTCATCATCAAATCATTCCATCTTGTTGTTGGCTGGGATTTTGCTGGAAGCAGATCTTGCTTTTTCCGATGATTTTTCCAGTGGTTTCTAGCTTGCTCAACCTTCTGCATCTGTAGGGGCTGGAGGGGTACCATGCAGGCTGGGCGGGCTGCAGATGGCTTGCTCTAGGCAGGGCACCAAAAGGAGGGAATAAATGTCATTGTCAGAGGATGTCATGGCACACACCTTCCATAGCCCCTTAGCCCTCAAAAGTTATTGTTTTGGCCAGAGCAAGAGTTTAATCTTGCCTTGGTATCAACATTACTTGTTATACACTTGGCTCTTTAAGGTGAATGGGGGATGGCAAGGGGTGAGGCCAGCAAGAGAGGGTGGGAATTCACAGGAGGACAGATTTAGGCTCAGCATTCACAGCTACATCTGCTCAAAAGTGAGACAAGTTGCCCTGACAGGTAATGAGCACCCCGTCCCTAGAAGTGTTTAAGTTATTACAAAACAGTGAAGAGAGAGCTTCCCACATTACAGGAGGGAGTTGGACTAAGGTTATCTTGTGATTCCGAGATTTCTATTTCAACTCTAAGTTTCTCTGAATGATTCCATGTTCAAAGACTCTTGTAGAGATTCCTAAATTCTAAGATTCCGTGGGCCTGTGAGTCCATGAAGGCATCTGTGATCCTGTAATTCCAGGATTCTGTATAAAGACAAGATGCTTAGACCTGGCAATTCAAACATTATACAAAAAAGCATCTCTGAGTGTACGAAAGATGTTCTAATTCCAAGATTCTGTGCAGCTCAGATGCTATGAATGGTACTGACGTATCTGAAAATGCCCCAACTCTGACAGAAGTGAAGGTTGGAAGATCCAGTATCTTTAGAAGGTGATTATTTGACTGTTTATCTCCAGGAACTTCAGCATTAAGAGTGGGATCCCTGGAAGTTCTTGATTCTATTCTCCCCTCTCTTCCTCACCTGGATCAGAGAAAGAAACTAGGGCCTTGAGGGCCTGAGGGAGGGGTGTCCTGGAAGAGAAGGAGGAGAGGAGGGAGAGAGGAAGGGAGGTTGGGTTTTGAGCCCCCACTCCCCACCAGATCTTATAATGGGCACTCCACACACTCTGGTCTCTCCCAGCAAGGACTCAGAGCCCTCAGGGTTCAAGGAAACATCCAAGAAGTCCTCACCTCCACCTGAGCCTGGTCCACCTGCCAGCAAAGATGGGCCCTCTGGGAAGGCCTTGGTCCTTGACACTACTCTACAAACTGCTTTTTGGATTCTCCCACACACCCTCCCCAAAGCCCTCCCCCATCCTGGAGAAAGAGGGCTAGGATACCTCTTGGCTTCTCTCCTCCATCCTCCCGGGGCCCCAAACCCAGGGTGGTGAGTAAGGGCCGCATCGCTGCTGCCACTGGGATCTTCTCAATGGGGTTGTCACCTGTGATGGTAACGTCATTCCAGAGACTCCTGCATCCGACTCCACATGTCGAGTGGGTTAAATGGGTCTTGAAGCCCCAGGTAACAAAGCTTGTTAGAAAAAACTCTAGGTAGATGTGGTCTCAGCTGAACACACTTCAGGGTTTTTCCTCTGGTATTCATTATGAGCATGGTAGGGGCGCAGCCTTTGCAAAGTGGAATTTTTCTAGTGTTTTTCATTCAGGATAAACAGCTTAGGGAGCGAGAAGCAGTAGCCCCCTGTCATTTCGTGTCTGTTTATTCTTCTGATGGACTCATGCTTCCCTGCTGTGGAGGTCTTCTCCCGTATTTCCCCATTTAATTGGTTGTATTCTCAGTGGGCTCTGAGCAGCAGCTGTCCTGCCAGAGTCATCTCAGGTTTCTCTAAAAAGGGATTTGATTTCGGACAGGAGAGAAATGGGAGAATAGGCAGGGAGGGGCTGGAATTCTGGAGGAGGCCGGATCTGCACCGAGTTCCCCAGGTCATCTCAAGACAGCCTCCTCCCCAACCCCCACCCTAACCTCAGCAGCTCCTGAGCAAGCAGGCTGGGGTCCCAGGGCCACCTGCCACCGAGAGGAAACCAGAGCCCAGAGCCAGGCAAATTTGGCCGTGGGGACTCCCATCTCGGTGACTCAGGGACCTCCCCTGAAACAGTCCCCATCTAGCCTGGCCTGAGCCCCTGTGAGCTGTCAAGGGAGGCTCTGACCGGGGAAGGTGGGGCAGAGGCTTCAACAGGCTGTACAGATCCAGCTCTCAGCTCGGATAGTTCCAGACTTTCCAGTCTGTGGGCTTATGGGTCTGACAGGTCTGTGCACTGGCTCTCCCTGGACTCAAAGGGCCTCTGCTCCCACCCACTGCCTGTTTAATGTCTGTCGTGCCTCAGGGACCTCAGCTATCTTGTTCATTGCTAAATAGCCAGGACTAGCCCAGAGCTCCTACTATCTCCAGTGTAGTGCTACTTAAGAAGAAGCCACAACCAGCCCCAAGCTGGAGTCTCTGGCAGTCTGGTGGGAGCTGTTCGGGACAGGGGCTCTTCTCAGAGAGCTGGGTTTCACTGCCAGATCCAGGCATTGAGTGACACCTTCAGGAAACCAGGTGGGACTGAGCCAGCAACAGTATGACTCACTATGGGAGGATTGAAGAAGGGACCTCCTGAGGCCTGAGCCACAAACAGACCTTCCAGGCCACAACTGAGCCCAGAGACAGCTGGTTCACAGCCACCAGGGGCTCACTTGGCCCGGGGAAAGAGGCAGCCAGGGGTCCCAGGGGCCTACCCCTCGAGTACAAGCACACCCTCCTCCTATACCCAGCAGCGCCCCCCACCATAACACACTCAGCCCCACTCACCCACCCAGCCCAGCAAGCCTGCCAGGAGAGTGGAGGCAACTCCTGGGCTGCGCTTCCCAGCCTGGAGGACAGGAACGGGGGTGACTGGCAGATTAACTCCTCCACAGCCCTAGGTGCAGAGGCCTAGGTGTGGGAGGAGAGGGGGAGTCTCTCGGGACCAGGCAGAGGGCACCTATCAATCCGCTACCTACGGCCCCGGGGCCTGGCCAGCCAGACGTCTCTCCAAGTCGCTTCCCCGGCTGTCGCTGGCCAGACTTGAAAGGAGGGAAGCCCCTCACCCACCCTGGCCCAAGGCGGGACAGGACTTCGGCTCAAGGCCCAGAGAGCAGCCCATGGCCTCAGTGTGGAGAGATGCCTTGTGCGGCCAGGGTCTCAGGGGACAGATGAGAACATGCAGCCTCATCACGCTCTGGCCTGTTTTCCACTTCCCTGCCCTGAGCCAAGGTAGATGCTATAGTAACCGCACAGATGCAGTGACACAGGCAGCTCTCGACACAGCCGAGGGGGCATCTCAGACCCCAGAGCCTGCAGGGCCCCAGGGGGACTCAGAGAAAGAAACTAGGGCCTTGAGGGCCTGAGGGAGGGGTGTCCTGGAAGAGAAGGAGGAGAGGAGGGAGAGAGGAAGGGAGGTTGGGTTTTGAGCCCCCACTCCCCACCAGATCTTATAATGGGCACTCCACACACTCTGTCTTATGTAATCCTCACAACAGTCCTAGGAACTTCTGTTAATGTCCCCATTTTTCAGATGAGAAAACTGAGTGCCTGAGGTGACATGGCATGCCCACGTCTCTAGCTGTTCAGTGGTAAAGCCAGGATTCCCACCCAGGCCTATCCAACTCCAAAGCACATGACTTTCCTTGTGCCTCAATCAACAAAGACATGAAATAACCAACCATTACAGGCTCCATCCGGCACAGAGTACAGGGCTCAGGGCCATGGGCATACATTGCAGGAAGAACTCTGGACTGAAAGTGGAGAAACTGAGGCTTAAAACATGGTGTTGCACTTCCTAGATGCATGGCCTTGGGCATCTCTCAGCCTCAATTTCTTATCTGTACAATGGGAGGGATGACCCCATCTGTGGGGTGGTGTGAGGGTTAAAATGAGACCTGTGTGATGGCATACAGTGGGCCAGCAACAAACGTGAGCTGAGGTAGAATCGAGGCTGTGCTGGGCTCTGAGCTCTCTGCTGTGACCCTTTCCTCACCTGGGGATTTCCTGACTCCTGACTCCTGGCTGTTTTGTGCATCCAGCCATCCATCCTTCCATCCCTCTATCCATCCCTCCATCTATCCCTTCATCCATCCATCCATCTATCCATTTATCCTTCCATCCATCCCTCTATCCATCCCTTCATTGATCCATCCATCCATCTATCCATCCATCCCTCCATCCACCTATCCATCCGTCCCTCCATCCACATATCCATCCATCCTTCTATCTATCCATCCATCCCTCCATCTATCCATCCATTCCTCTATCCATCCCTTCATCCATCCATCCATCCATCCATCCATCCATCTATCCATCCATCCCTTCATCCACATATACATCCATCCATCTATCCATCCATCCATCCTCCTATCCATCCATCCCTCCACCACCTATCCATCCATCCCTCCATCCACCTATCCATCCATCCCTCCATGCACATATCTATCCATCCATCCATCCATTCCTTTATTTATCCATGCATCCATCCTCTTGTTGATTTCTTCAGCGCTAACCTAGAACTACTCAGCCCTGGAGGGGGACACCAGGACCAACAAGACACTGCCGCTGACATCCAAAGGCCCTTTCAGCCTAGTGAGTGCATCAACAGGGGTTCAGGCCTGAACAGAGATCTGAGGAACTTGGTGGTCCCTCCATCCGTCACCCACTCTTCTGCCCTTCTGGTGGAGTCCTAGGGGAAACACAGGGAGGGCACCAACCTGAAGAGGAAGTCAGGAAGGGCTGCAAGAGAGAGTGGCTAAGTTCATCTCCAGCCTCAACAGAGCAGGAAGGGCATTCCAGGCACAGCATGTATAAAGGAACAGAGGTGCAGAAGAACCTGGCTGATCTGAGGAAGGGCAGGCAGCTCAGCACAGCTGGACCCAGGCGCAGCATGTAGGTAGCAGGCAGGGGGTGGAGACAGCAGGGAGAGGACACAGCCTGAAAGGAAGCAGGGTCAGGCTGGGAAGCCTTGAGTTCCAGGCCAAAGAGGTTAAACTTGATCCAACAGAAAATTAGGAGCCACAGACAGTTCTTGAGCTGGGGCATGACAGGATAGAATTCACATATTTGAAAGCACTCTCTGGCAGCAGTGAGCAGGAAGAGTTTCAGGGGAAACAGGAGCGAGGGGGCCAGCTGGGAAGCCGGTGTACCTCCTAGGCCCAGCACTTTAGGGCGGTCTTCTCAGGGCAGGTTTCCTGGCACCCCTCCACTTGCACCTACAGGGACACTCACAGAGTTCAATAGCTCAGACTCAAGCATCAGGTGGGAGCCTGGCTGGGCGATGGCCTAGGGTCAGTCCAGCTGGAGCTCAGCCCATGACCCAACACAAAAGTGCACACTGCACATCCCCCACAATGGCCCAAGGGATTCCTGGAGTCACTCCTGGGCTGCCATCAGCCTCATCACCAGGACACGTGCTCTGCCTCCCACTTGGCCGGTCCCCAAGGAGATGATTCAGCCTCTCTCCTCCTCCCTAGGTTTCCCTCCCCATCTCCTGTCTCTCTTAGCTGGTGACATGGCTTCCTGGTGCCCAGAGAAAATCCAAGCCTCAAAATAAGAACTTACTAGATTTCCTGACAACAAATATCCAAACTCCTGGCACTCACAAGGCCCTCCCCTTCCTCCTCCTGAAGATGGAGACTGTCCCCTCCTGCTGTCTGGGATCCCAGCCTGCTCTGACCGGCCCCGCCTACCCACTGCCTGGATCTCTCCAGGGTGGTGGGGACATGTTTAATCTCTTTACCTGTCTATACTCATCCCTGTCTCTATGCCCCATCTCTTCAGCACTGAATCATATTCAAGTCTGTCATCCCACAACAAACCTGAACCTGATGTCTCCCCTGAGCTGTCACCCTCTCACTCTCTCACTTTCCCTTCACTGCCCAACTTCCTGAACCAGCCATCCTTCCTGGTTGATCTCCACACACACTCTGCCCACCTCAGTCCCCATGCTGTCCCCAAGATGCTGCCCTTGTAAGGCCACATTTACCTGCTGGAAGGACCAGGCAGTGGGCACCCTCGGCCCATGCTTAGCCCCTGGGCAACACTCAGCCTGTGCCTGCTTCTCCTCCTCCTCTCTCCTCTTGGTCCCTGGGACCCCGTCCTCATTTTCCTCTTATCCCCCGGCCACTCCTCGGGCTCCCTTGCTGGTCCCTCTTGCTGTTCCTGAAGTGTAGGGGTCCTGGGGCTCTGTTCCAGGCCCTCTCCCCTGACCCTCCTCTCAACTTCTTCTCCTGGGGGCTCATCACTCCCTGCAACTTCAGTCATCTACATATTTGCCAATGACCCCAAACCTTCACCTGCAGCTCAGGACCTGCTTCTCCTGCCCCCTGGACACCCACGGGGCATGCACTGATGCAGCCACATCTAGCATCTCACCCAACCCCAAACCTGCTTCTCTATATGAGGAAGTGAGGGTCCCCCAGGCAGCCCAAGTCAGAAACCTGGGAGCCCCCCTCCACTTTCCCATCACTCATCACTGAGGCTAAGACTGAAACCCCCAAATATCTCCAAACTGCCCATTTCTCCCAGCCCCGCAGTCACTATCCTAGTCAGAGCCCCATGTCCTCCAGCCTGCATTGCAGCCTCTATGTCCTGACTGACTCCTTCCCCTGTCTCAGTCCTATCCTCACCTACATGGTGGTCAGAGGGACTTTCAGACCCAAATCTGCTCATATGCCTCCCCACTCATACCCTACATGCAACTGTCACACTTAGGATGTCAACTCCCCACTCCACCCCGACTCTACCCTAATCCAAGCAGCCGTATTATCTTCAGGCCCATCTCACCACCCATTGGCACTTCCCAGATAAGACTAAGCCTCCACTTAGACAGCCCCCTGACACCCCCTTCACTTGGGGCATCTTAGCCAGTACCGGCAAGACCAGGAAGAGTTCCCTTCACCCATGAAGTCCTCCTGGTCTTGCAGGTTCTGGCTCAGATGCCCCTTCCTCCAGGTAGGTTTCCCTGATTTTTGCCAGAGGCTCCCACAGCAGCCTGTGCTCCCCTCCACAGCCATCCTTACACCTCACGATGACATGTGCTAAACACCAGTTTCTCTGCTCAGCTAAAGCACCATGCTGGCAAAAACTGGGTCTCTTGTCCAGCTCCATCATAGCAGCACATAGTAGATGTTCAGCTGCCATTTAGTGGATGCATGGATGGATGGATGGATGGATGGATGGATGGATGGATGGATGGATGGATGGATAAATGGGTGGATGGATGGATGGATAGATGGATGGATGGATGGATGGATGGATGGATGATGGATGATGTATAGATGGATGGAAGATAGATAGATGGATAGTGGATGGATGGATAGATGATTAATAAATGGATGGATGGATGATGAATAGATGGATGGATGAACTGATGGTGGATGATGGATGGTGGATAGATGGGTGGATGATGAATGATGGATAGATGGATAGATGATGGATGATGGATGGATGAATTGATGGAAGGATAATGGATGATAAATGGATATGGATGGGTGGGTGGATGAATGTGACTTACCAAATGTTCTGTTAATATTTGTTGATTTAAATTCACATTTCAGTGCTACTAAGCTCCCATGTTGTGAGTGGACATGTTGGACAGCTTCAGGGTATCTAAGAACCTCATAAGTAATGATGATTAGCATAGGTAAGATGAAATTTTGGCTTAATTTCAGACTACATATCTGACAATCAGAGCGGGGTCAGACCCCCCGAGATTACACCAAACCTGTCCCCACCGGACCAACAGAAATTTCCCCCATGGAGGACAAAATCTCAGAGGATAAAGCCCTACTACATTCCAGGGACTTGACCTGCCTCTCTTTGGTGTTCCTCACAGTCACCCCCATGAAGTCAGCCTTGTGGTGTCAACCTACAATCAAGGACATGGTGGCTCCAAGAAGCTGTGTCACCACTGGGTGACACACCAAAGCCTGCCTGGCCCGGGGCTATGAAGTTCGAGGAGGAGTTCCCTAGTGGGGATGGCCCTCATGGAGCTCTGTTGAGGATTGGGGTGGCAAGAACTTGGCCCCTTCCCCTCTAAAAGCCATCAGTCACCTCACCCAGAATAAAGTCCCTGAATAACAGTGGTGCCAAAGCCGATAATAATCATAATGATAACACCAACCTCTGCTTCCCTGGCTGGGCTGACCCTGTGCCAAGCTCCTGCCAGCACGCCACCCTCCTCATCTCATCAACCGTCGCCACAACCCTGTGAGCTGTTACTGCTCACCCCATATCACAGATGAGGAAACTGAGGCTCACAGAGATGCAGCGACCTGCCCAAGGCCCCTCAGCCCCAGGCAGAGCCAGGCTGGCCCTGGGTGTCTGACTCTGGGCCTCAGAGGCCTCCTCCACGTCCCTCACACTTGAGCAGCTTCTCTGACACGTTCATGCTTTTTGCTGTCCCCTCCCCCTGCACAATGTTGACTCAATCATCCCTTTAATCTGACTTGAAATAGGCCGTTTTCCATTTGTCTCACCCTGAGCAACAAAATCCATGAAATCAAGGCTTCAATGCGCTAATTTCTTATGGGTTTTTTCCTGATACTATTAAAATACATACATGACTGGGAAACTATGAAATATCAAATGTTTGTGCACCCACAACCCATGGTCACCTCATATCCCAGTGAGTACACCCCACTCCCTGGGTGGCTCTGACTGCTGTTGGAGAGGCAGCAGGACCGGGGAGGAGGCAGCATCCCAAGTGGACGTGGCCTGTCCTCTCCCAGCCCAGCCCAGCCCAACCCAGGCCAGCCCAGGACAGGGCCGGTTCTTCTCCCTCCTGGAAAGGCCCCACCCACGCCTGCTGCTCCCAGGCTGGGCCTGGGCAAAGGAAACTCTGGCAGCTGGAGGTGGCTCAGCTGACCATAGGCCCTGTGAGGGAAGATCCATTGCTGGGGGGATGGAGGGCATCTCCTCCTCCTCTCTCCTCTTGGTCCCTGGGACCCCATCCTCATTTTCTTCTTATTCCCCTGGCCACTCCTCGGGCTCCCTTGCTGGTCCCTCTGGCTGTCCCTGAAGTGTAGGGGTCCTGGGGCTCTGTTCCAGGCCCTCTCCCCTGACCTTCCTCTCAACTCCTCCCCCCGGGGGCTCATCGCTCACTGCAGCTTCAGTCATCTACATATTTGCCAATGACCCCAAACCTTCACCTGCAGCTCAGGACCTGCTTCTCCTGCCCCCTGGACACCATGGGGCATCCACCGATGCCTGGAAAGGCCCCACCCAAGCCTGCTGCTCCCAGGCTGGGCCTGGGCAAAGGAAACTCTGTGGCAGCTGGAGGGGGCTCCGTTGACCATGAGCCCTGTGAGGGAAGGCCCATTGCGGGGGGACGGAGGGCTGTGATGGACCCAAGGGCCCCTGAGAATGGGATGCACGTTGGGGTGCTCATCACATGCACTCCCCAATACTCCTAACTCCTGGAAAAAGCCCCAGGCATGGGACAGAATTCTTGCTTTGCACCACTCACAGGAGAGTGGCTGAAAGACACTTGCAGTACTCAGGAGAAGGAATTCTGCCAGGAACGAAGTCAGGAGACTGCAAGGGAAAATCTGATGCCAAGAAGAGGGGAAAATCCTTCTCGAACTGTGGCGACCTGCCCAAGCAGAAGCTGCACCAGCCGTGGGAGGAGGAAGATGGCAGGCAGACAGGCCTCCAGGCGGGAGTGGAGGCTGCCGGGCTGGGCAAGGGGTCTGTTCCAGCCTGTTCTGCAGCTGGGACTTGGCCACACTGCAGCAGGTTCACAGATGAAGCCCGCAGGAGCAAGACCCCAACCCATGAACCAGAGGTGCCCCAAAGAGCACCTGGGGCAACAAAGGGATTTCCCCATGGAGGAAGGAAGACCCAGGGGCCATGTGGGGTGGACAAGCCTGGGTCCCAGTGCCAAGGCCGACCTGCTGCTGCAGGTTCCTCTGTCTTCTTAGCCTTGCTTTCCCCCACTGTGAACCTGGGGTAGTCCTGAAACCAGACCAATTGTCTGTTAGAACTGACGTTTTTGGTTTCTTTTGAATAGACATAGAATTGACCCTCCCAGTCTTAAAACTTGAGAATGTTACAATTGTCTTATCTAAGTTCCATTCTCAGCAAACCAACCATCAGAGCCCCAGATAGTATCAAGGAGCTGAAATGCATGGATCACTGCATCAGGACAATGAGATGCCAGACTCCTCACCCATCATGATGGCCTCACTGACCACCTGCTTCCTGTTGACCAGTTTTTCTTCCTTACGCCTCCCTAATTCTTATTCTCCTGGATGTAGGTACATTTCTTCCCTGCTATTGAAACCCCCGATTTTAGTTGGTCGGAGACAGATTTGAGACTAATCTCCCATCTCCCATCTCCTTGGCTACAGAACCCAATTAAAGCCTTCTTCCCCAACAGTACTTGTTGTCTCAGTGATTGACTTTCTGTGCAGTGAGCGGCAGGACCTAGCCTGCAGGTGTTTCAGTTACAGTCTTACCTCCCAAAAGAAGTGTGAGGAATAAAGGAAGTTAGCCTTTTCTTGGAACAATGCTTGGCTCATCATAAGCACCAATATATGTTGGCTGTTTATAAATTTATATTTACTAATTACTAGTTAGGAAATATAATACATGCCACAAGTACACTATTATAAAATAACACATCTTTTTTTTTTTTTTTTGAGATGGAGTCTCTCTCTGTCACCCAGGCTGGAGTGCACTGGCGTGATCTTGGCTCACTGCAAACTCTACCTCCCAGGTTCAAGTGATTCTCCTGCCAATTTATTTATTCTATAATATACAAGTATTATACATAAGTATATATACTTGAGTAGTATCTACTGTGTAGATACTACACTGTAAGTCACCACTTATAAATTATTTACTATTACTACCACGGAAGGGCTGTGGGAAGCAAGGAGAGCAAGTTCATGCTTTCCCTCATTCACTCACTATGTATCTTTATCAAGCCTCCAGGGAGCAAAGCTGCCTCAATCTGAGGAGAGGCTGAGTGCGACTCAGCGAACACTGGCTGGCAGAGTTCCCACAGCGGGTGCTGGAGTGTCAGCTCAGTCCACGTGGACAAAACGCCTTCTGAGTGCCTGACACAGCCAGCGGTGTCATCAGTGGAACAGAGCTCAGAGAGGGTCAGGGACTTCCCGAGGTCACTCAGGGCCTGAGTTTGGAGCCACATGTCACACCCCGGTCTGGGCACAGTTCCCTGGAGACTCCTTAAATCAGGGTGCCTGGGACTCTGCATTTGAAAGCCTCCTCAGGACAGCAGTCTGCACTGGGGAAACACAGAGAGAACTCCAGTTTCCGAGAAGAATCGGTGAGGGGAACTTCAACCTCCCCAGAGTCTCTGAAAATCAGGCACCCAGCATGGAGCTAGGAGCTCGGCCCAGCCCCATGGATGGCCTGGCTTGCTGGCCACACAGTGATAATCAGGCCCCATGCCCTGTGCTGAATAAGCCCCTCTGCTCCCTTAGTGCCCCCACCCCACCCCAGCTGCTCTCCCATCCCTGGTCTGGGCGCTGGCACATGCCCCCCACCACCCACCTTCACATCACTCTCTAGACACTCCCTGGACCATCCCCCTGACTCCGCCTTACAGCAGACTCTCCATCACCCTTATGGGACAGGGCAGGTGCTTGCACCTCACGTGGAAGGGGAAGGACAGAGAGAAGCCACGTGAGATACCGCACACCCTGGAGGGGCAAAGGGAAGGGAGACGCTTTGACCTGGTGTAGGTTTTCCATGAGGGAGGAAAGACAGCTCGGAATTTGGAGGAGAGGCTGCCTCCTCCTTGAAGCCCTGGTGTGAACTTGTGATCTGAGCCTCCAGCCTGGGCCCAGACCCTTCGCTGCTGTCGCCACAAGGGTGCACCTTCGTCTCAACAGCTAGGGCGCCCGGCCCATGCTCTGTGCTTTGCACACATCCCCTCAGTTCACAGTCTCCCCCAGTGAAAGGGGAATCATTCTCCCCATCTCCCAGGGGAGCAAACTGAGCCCCAGAGCTGTAGTCACATGACCACGGCCATAGGGCACACCAGGGACAGAGCCTATTCACGCCAGGGCTTTGGATGGCAGAGTCCGTGGTCCCTCCAAGGTGCCTGTGTTGGGCTCCCTTCGACACCTCTGTTTGGTGTCTCTAGTATCCCCCTCCCCCACCAGGCTGCAGCTATTTTTGGCTTGAAGGCACTTATATTCTGATTTGGGGACAAAGGACAATTTGTCCATAGGAACGAGGGAGGGTAGGGCACAGGAAGATACCTCCTTGGGGTGCTCCTTCCTGGCCCCCACTGCACCCCAACGCTCAGATCTGAGCTGCCACCCCCTGCTCCAGCAAATCCTCTGGACATGCCCCTCCAGGGCATCTCAGAGTGAGGCATGGGATAGCAAGGCCAGCTGCAGTTGGGGAGGATACAACCGTTCCCATGAGAGAAGTCACCACCCACTCAGGAGCCTTTGGGAAGGAGGTTGGGAAGGAGGGGATTAAAGAGATTAGATTAAGTGCGACAGGTGCCACAGTGACAGGGACCAGCCCAGCTCACAGCCATGAAGCCCGAGCCCCATCCCCCAGCAAGGCCTGCTCACCCCATTCCTGGGCCAATGGTGCCATCCTGTGGCCAGCTTCCTCCCTAGCAGCCTCAAAGCCAGCCATTCCGGCCCCATTCAAACCACATAATTCCACCGTGGTCATCATTTCACTACGTGTATCAAAACATCCCGCTGTACACCTTCACTATAGACAAGACAAAATAAAGACAGAATAAATAAATTTTTAAAAAAATTTCAATCCATAATTCCAAGGTCCAAGGCAGTCCCTGAGATGATTTTGCCCCGCGTCAGCAGTCCATTTCACAGATGGGCAAACAGGCTCAGAAAGCATCAGCCGAGGCACAGTAAAGGGTGAACAGGGACAGCAGGAACTTCAGAGTCCAACAGGCTCAGCTTCAAATTGCAGCTCCACTACGCCATGACTCAGATGAGTCTCTTCCCGTCTCCAAGCCTGTGTGTCATCTGTAAAATGGGGCTGATAACCATACTGGCTTCACCTCGTGCTTGTGAACTGTTAAGTAGCATGCAGGTCTTTGCCATCATGATTGTGTAGGAATGTCCACCTGTCTGACTCCAGGCCCCACCTGGCACCGTGCACAAGTTCAGAATCAAGTCTGAAACCACAGGCCTGGACCATGTTCACACTGCGCTCCTCCAGGGCAAAGGCCAGGGCACCCCCCACCCCCACCCCCTGCCAAATACAGCTTCCCGGTATGTTCCTCAGCACTTCTGTGTCTGCGATGCTCCCACACTTCCTTTGCCCCTTCCTTCATAGTCAGGCTCCTGTGAGAAAGTAGGGCCATGATTGCAGAAACAGACAGTCTGCTCATTGCTGGGGCCCTGGGGCCTGAGCCAGTGCCTGACACAGAGCAGGTGCTCAGTAAATCACTGTTGGGTGAGTAAATCAATGAATGATTTACTTTTGGTCCCCCCTCTCACATGCAATTACGCCATTATTCCTTTTTAACATCATATTCACTTGTCAATGCATGGCTGTACTAGGTCAGCTCAGTTAGCACTGTGGCTGACAGCACCTGACTCAGGAGTCTGTGAGATCCATTTAGTCCCAGCTCCATCGCTCACTAGATGGGGCACACTGACATGCTACTGAAACCCTCCATGCTTCAGTTTCCTCATCTGTAAAATGGAATGATAAATAGTAAATCCTTCATAGGATCACAGTGAGAAGTCATCAAATCAAGGTCTAGTCTATGAAAAGTGCCCAGAGTGGTGCCGGGCACATAGTAGGTGCTCAATAAACACTGGCCCTTATTACTGGTAGCTGCATTTGGCCTTGACATCTCCAACTCTTTGCAGCATCTTACCCTGTTTGTGTCTTGCCCTGTCCCTTGCCCTCTAGCCCTTCCCCCATCGTAATTACAGAGCAGGGGAGCTCACTGCAGAAGACGGGGTTCAGCCTCTGAAGCCCAACAATCCTCGGTTCAAATCCTGTTTGAGCAGCTTCTTGCTGCGCAGTTTTGGACAATCTGTCTGACCTCTTCGAACTTGTTACTCCTCAGTGAGCAAGAACAGCAATGTGCACCTTGTGCAATATTTGCCATCAATAAAGGAAGGCTGTCGTTTTATTACTATCATTGTTCAGGTGTTCCAGTCCCATCTGTTGTGTTAAATAGACCAGAAGCCTCTTGAGATCGAGGACAGTATCTAGTTGATCACTGTCTCCCTGTCGTCAGCACCTGGCTTGTGCTGTGCACACAGCAGGTTCTCAGGAAGCATTTGGAGAATTAAAAAACCACCCAAGACTTCTCAATCTGACTTCCATGGCAATGCCTGGGACTCCTGGAGCACCAATGGGTGAGCAAGACCCAAATGGAGAGATATCTACACCCCTTACCCTCGTCCTCACCCTGTTTCGCAGCCTAGAAAGTGCCACCCTTTCAGGACCTCCAGCCCTGGAAGTTCTATCTTGCACAAGTGACTTTAGTTCTCTGTGCCTGTCTCTCCATCTCCACAATGGAAGTATTGATGGCAACCTCATATAGTTCTACATTTCTAGAATGCAACCTCTGTGAGATCACAGTGAGGCGAAGTGAGACGGAAGTAAGCAGCAGCCAGACCATACAGCACCTAAGGTGTCAGGCTACGTTTGAATTTTATTCAGGAGGCAGTAGGGAGCCAAAGAAAGTTCTTGAGCAGAGGTGTGAACTGATCAGATGGGCACAGTAGGATCATCACTCTGGTATCAGTGTGCAGAATGGGCTAAAGAACAACAGCCCAAAGGCAGGAAGGCCAGTTAACCAGTGATGGTCCCAACCTTTGAAGAAAGGAATAGGAACCCCTTTCACCATAGTGAGCCTGAACTTCAGAGAGGCCATGTTCTGGAAAGAGCCCTGATTTGGGAGGCAGAGATTTCAGGATTTAAATCTCAGCCCAGCCACTTCCTGTCCACGTGACACTTTACATCTGGCAGCCTTGGTGTCCCTGTCTGTGAAATAAGTTTATTAAAAGGATCACTGAGAAGTGTGAATTGGAAATTGTGTATATATCACCCGGCACATAGGGATCACCCAAAAATGGTAACTCAATAGGTGACCCAAACTTGATTCTGACCCCAAATACTCCAAGGCTGCGACGCCCCCATAAGCAGAGTGGTCCCCTCCCCTTGTCAACATACCTTGATGCCAACCAGGGTTGAGTAGCAGGGCCCCCCAACCCCCAGCCTCACAGGCGGCTCTGAAGAGGATGCAGGCCCAGCCTCAGGTATCAGGAAGTCCCTGAGCAGCTCCTGTCTTCTCCTGGATTAATTGCATTCACATCTGGAACAGATGGGGCATTGGGACTCTCCACCCCCGCCCCCTTTTTTCAAAGAGCACTGGTCCAGGAGAAAACCATGTAATTAAAAGAGGAGAAATGCAAAACAATCCCCTTAGCGGACTGTGCCATCTTCTCTCCCTTGTAAATCCATTAATGAACTGTAATTGCAAAGACAAACCCTTTATTGAAACCTGGTAACCAATGCACTACGGGGCCAAGAGACTCCCATTATAGCCCAAGGCCTGAGGAAAGAAAGAAAAGAACAATCCTAATTAGTTTAGTCCTGTTTATTTATACAAAATTCAAAAAAACAAAATTACAGGTTACAAAGTAACTTGCCATCTGTCAGTAGACCATGGCTGCCCTCGGGAGATGCTGGTTTTCATTTACAACCTTCTGTTAATCAAACCTAGAGCAGAGAGGGATGTGGGAAGTCCATGGAGAGGACGGATTTCAAGAGGACCTGGAGTAGCCGTGGGGAGAACTGCGATGAGTGAAGGGCAAGAGTTTGGGATTGAAAGATCCCAAGAAGCTGGTCCCTGCCTTCATCAGAGCCTGGTGACAAGGTCCTGCCACTACTCCACCCACCGGGCAGGGAAGAACGAGGTCCTATTCCCAGGCAGGGCTTCCACCCCATCTCTGACTCCACTCATCAGGGACATCTGTTGCTTCTGCCCGCCAGCTCCCAGGCCATGGCGTCCGCTAATGACCCTCTCCTCCTCCTTGGGGACACACTGCTGAGCCTTCTCAGTCCATATCAACATGGCTGCCTCTCCCCCTCCCCACCTGTGTGGGGAGGAGAGGGGAGTGGATAATCTCAGAAGAAAGGAAGAATGAGCAGAGTCATAACTTCTCAGGTGGCTGTGTCAAGGAGCCTCCTTGGACAGCAGAAAAACTCCTGCCCCAGGGACGGACAGAGAGAAAGGGTTTGGTGAACTGTGTAGGAGGTGGAGTCAGGTCATGGGGGCGAGGGTGGCTGTGCCCCAGTTAAGTCGCGCTTGTGTATTTGTGCTGTTGTACTGATGTAGCTCTTGGGTACCGTTCGTGTTGTTATTCTGCCTCTTTGAACTGCCTCCGAGGAAGATCTTTCGGTGTGGTCTGAGCTTCTTGTAAAAGCCTTTTAGACATGCTCTCAAGTGTGAATCTAGTAGTAACACTAAAAATGCTCCATTAAACAAGAATAGGTTCAGAAAATCACCAAAGCTCCCCCTCTGAGAGGACAGAGATGGAGATTCCGGAGCAGCACTGGTCCAACAGGGGCCTGGGGGAGGTGGCCGAGATCTCAGGGTGTGACCTGCAGACCCCACATAGGGCTGGAGGAAGGGAACATGGGGCCAGGAGTCTTTCTCTTGTGCAGTCTCTGAGGTGGGGCTGCTGCCATCTGCGTTGGGGACTTTGGGTTGGGGGTGATGCCGCCTGTGCACAGGAAACAAACAGAACTCCAACAGGGCATGTTGGGGGCGGGAGGGGAGAGGCACCTAGGGCAGCCCAGGCCCAGGCTGGAGCCCTTCCCATCATCTCACACACACACTCACCCCGTGGGCTCCCAGGTATCAAGAGGAGGCACAAACCCCTGGTACGACCTAAACCCACTCTCTTTTCCTCTGGCTGGTCCCTCTGGCTGGTGGGGGTGACATGAGCACCCTGCTCAACTGTATGTCTCTTAGGGCAGGAACTACGTCTGTCTCATACAGCACCATCCCCCCCCACCGCCATTGCCCTGTAAGTACATGATACCTGAACGAATGAGTGAACGAATGAATGAATGAACAAATGAGTCCTATCTGGTGTCATTGCCCTTTTTCTCTGAAGCCTTTTTCTTTTGATGTTCTTCAGTCCTAGATTCAAGTCCTGTCTCTCAGCGACCCACTGCTGAGCAAGTCATTTCATCATTTAGACTCTCAGCTTTCCCATTTGTAATGGGGATAATTTGAGTCTTTTCTGGGTAAGGTTACTGGAAGTGAAATGAGGTCAACTAAATGAATATGTAACTGAAAAGGCAGGACAAACACCAGCTGGTTTTGGTGTGGTCACTGTCATCACTGTCACCACCACTGTTACCATCCTTCCAACCATCCCCTCCCACCACATCTTCATCCATCCTTTTCCCTGGTCCCCAAATAACCACACTGCCTCTAGCCCCATTCACTGCTTACGTTAAATCACATTTAATTGTTTCTCACCGGAGAATAGAGAAATCAGTAAAGAAATTCACAGCACTCAGAGTCAAGAAAGGGTTAACTAAAAAAGATGGGAATATATTAAGCTTTTGATTATAAAAATGCAAACGCAGTCCCTCTCACACTCACCCCTGCATTATCACTCTCACACTCACATTCTGGCAAGACTCATGCCCACCCTCAGGCGCACGTGCACACACACACACACACACACACATGCACACATACACACACGCACACATACACACACGAGCTCCCAAACGCCATTACACGCTCTCAATAGGCACACCCAGACACACCCCCTCCCACCCCCGGGCTGGCTTCCCTCACTAAAATGGTAAAGCTACGGCGGACACGTGCAGGACGCTTGGAGAGGCCACAGTGGTGACAGGCAGCCTTAGACAACTGTGTTCTCCAGGATGGCCAGCCGCTTACTCACAGCTTCCAGTGGACTCAGAGTTAAGGAGAGGTGCAGGTTGGCCAGAGCAGGGCAGGGATGGCTGTGGCCCTGCACTCAGGCCCCTGCAACACCCCACTACAGCGTGCATTCTCCCCTCTGTCAGAACTTATCCATCCACTGTCCTCAGAATGGTGCTTTCCAAAAAACACAGCCAGTTACTGTGAGCCACGAGTGCCCAGCCCTGCTCAGTTGCAGATTTAGACCTGCTGGGTTCCCCACCTAGTCCTGGCTGAGCCAGGGGAACTGTCTGGGGCCCAGCCCCACCTCTGAGTGGGTACTGGGGTCAGGCACGTCACCATGAGCCTGAGAAATGGGGCATCCATGGGCTCCATGTTCTTCAGAGCATGTCCAGGACTCTGGTGTGTGTCCAGTCCCTAGATCCTGGCTTCTGCCTCATTTTCTTGTTTACCTTCTAGGAGTCTCTGCTTTTGACAGGGTGTGCACCCAAGCTGGCTTCAGCTTATTCTGCCAGAATGCAGCCCATCAGCAGTAAGCAGGCCAAGAGAAGCCTGCCCAACTGACCACACTTGGGCCATGCCCCCGCCTCCCCCAACACTGGCCTGCGCCCCTCCCCAGCCCCAGCCCCCTCTGGGAAGGGATATGTTTCCTGGTCAGGGCCTGCAGCAGCCCCTCCACTTTGGCTTGGAATTTCACCAGGGACTCGCAGGCACACGGGTCTTCCTCTGCAGGGGACAAGGAGGAGGGAAAGAGAAAGGAACTGTTGAGTGGCTGCCCAGGAGGAGGGAGGACAGTCACTGCCCAGGGCCAGGACTCAGGATTCCCGGGGAGGTGAGGGGCTTAAGGGACCTGAGGAGGCAGAAAGATATAGATAGTCCTTGAGACAGCACCCTTAGGAGTGATAGAGGGGTGACCCCTGAACGTCTTCCTGGTCCCTTGGAGCCCTGAGAATGAACTAGGAGAGCATCCCTGTACCTGCTGCATGAAGAACACTAGTAGGGGCCCCTATGTCACCTCAGTGAGTTCACCTCAGCCCTTTGGGTTTGAAGTCATTAATCCCATCTTACAGGTGAAGAATCCAAGAAGTGAAAAAACTTGCCCATGGCCAACAGCGTCAGAGCAAAGACACAGGCCCAGGCACGTCTGGCTCTGAAACCCACACTCCTTACCACTAAGAACCAGCTGGTGAGGTCACCAGAGAGGACCAGAGAGGCAGTAGGGTTCAAATCTTGGCTCTCCCAGCTATTAACAGTTGTTCCACCCCTTTGGCCTTGTTTATCCCATCTATAAAATGGGGTTAATGACATTCTTACCAAATAGGATCGGATGATGTAATATCCGGAGAGCACTGAGAACACTGCCAGCCACGTAACGAGCATTCAACATGTTTGCTGGTAGTAAGAGCTGTAAGCGCCAGCCCACCTTCTGGTTCTGCCAACTCTTGGTGCCACCTCGGCCCCTGCTTTTCCCCACCCACACCCAGTTCCAGGATGGCTCCACCTCCACAGTGCCCCACCTGCAAATCCCATCAATGCCAGCCCTGGCCTCACTCACCCACACAGATCTTCTTCTGCAACTTCTTGCCTATCTGGTTGATGGTCTTGAAGTCAGCCGTGTAGAAGTAGTGCTCTGCCACAGGCTCTGAGGCTATTTCCCTCAGCTCATCCTCCACGGCATTGCCCACACCCACAGCAAACATCTTAAAGCCTGCCAGGAGGAACAGGAGAAGTAAGGCTGGACATGGGGATGGGCAACCATATGGCTGAGCCTCCTGGGGAAGGCTTAGGCAGCCAACACCAGACACCTCCTGCTGGCAGCTGCTGGAATTGCAAGCACAATGCCTGGAACAAGGACAATGAGAAAATCAATATTTACTGAGGTTCTGCTCTGTGTCAGACCCTATAGTGACTTCCTGTACTGGAAGCTTTGTACAGCAAGCTTCATTTAACCCTAATAATCATCCATCTGGTGGTTATTTTTTCCTCATTTAATAGGTTACAAAACAGACTCGGGCTTGTTCCAAAGTAGAGTTGCCTTCCAATAGTTGATGTGTTCTTGGGAATATCCAGCTGGAAAAGTTCCAAGCCTCACTTACAAAAGGACCATCAAAACAAGCCACTTACTTTTCTGGGGCCTCAATTTTGTCATTGGTATAAGAGAGAATTGGACTAACCAATCCTCCTCATTCAAACTCACCTGGGTTTAGGGCACTAATCAGACGACACCAAGATAAACTACAGTTGGGCTATACCCGTGTGTACCCCTGGCCATCAGTGGTGTCCAGGGTCCAGGCAGGCAACACCTACCGAGGTCTTTGGCCTTCTTGGCAGCATCATTAATGTAGTCCTGGCTCCGGCCATCAGTGAAGACAATGCCCACCTTCTGGGCCCCGGGCCTAGCCCCACTGGACACAGTGAAGGAATTGTCAATGAGGTACTTGAGAGCAGCCCCAGTCATTGTGCCCTTCTCCATGTAGGACATATTCCGCACAGCCGCCTTGATGTCCTTCTTGGTGTGGAAGCGACCCAGGGGGAACTCCTGGCGCACAGAGCTTGAGTACTGCACCAGCCCCACCTGGGCCAGCTTGTCTGACACGTCCAGCGTATCCACGATCTGACTGATGAACTTCTTCACCAGCTCAAAGTTCTCTGGCCTCACACTCTTGGATCCGTCAATGAGGAAGACCAGGTCAGTGGCCGAGCTGCCACCACCACCACTGCAGACTGTGGAGGACAGGAAGGCAACGGGCTGAAGCTGAAGGACATAGTCAACCATCCTGCTCCCCGGCTGGACACCCACCACACACCAAGCTCTGTGCTGAGGATCATTACATTGTGCCCTCAGAACTGCCTCTATAAAGCCAAGGTGACTGGTCCCACTGTACAGTATTGGAAACTGAAACTCCAATAGCTGTGAGATCACACAGCTCAGAAGTGGTAGCACCAGGATTTGATTTTGAGACTATGTGAGTCCTTCTACCACACTAAACCCACCGCCCATTGTGTTGAAAACAGGGACAGAAGTCAGGTGAGAACTTCTGCAGATACCAAACTCTAAAAGGCATCTGTCTGCTTTGAAGATTGGTTCAGAGGTATGGTGCAGGGAGGCTTGAATGGGTTTCCTGGGGAGGCCCCATCACCTCCCCTCCACACCCTCTCCAGGGCGAGCCTGTGTCCACCCCACTGACCATTGCAGGTCTTGCCGTCGCTGTTCAGAGTGAAGCCCTCGTGGCAGGCGCAGGTGTAGGAACCGGGGGAGCTGATGCACACCTGCTCACAGTCATGGTCCCCTGTGGCGCACAGGTCTGACACCACTGCGGGGACAATAAGTAGCTCAGATCTCACAGTCATAGTGCCTTGGGCACTACAGACAGGTTGTCCCTCCCTGACTGTGGATACCAGGCCCCATCCAGACTCAGGGAAACTAAGATCTCCAACATACTGGGGCCCAGGCCCCCGACTCTCAGCCCACGTCTGGAATCATTGCACCAGTGCCTAGATCCCTGAAGAAGGTTATAATGCTGATGATAAGAATGAAAAGTCTCACTAAAAAGGTAAAGGCCAAGGGTTAGGGCCTTTAGTCTGTTTAGTTCACTGCTGTATCAAGACACCCAAGTGTCTAGAACAGCATACAATGAACACAGCACCTATCTGTCAAATACCATATAATGAGGGTTACATTTTGCATTATCTCACTGGATCCTCTCAATAACGTGCATGCTCTTCTTAGACCCATTTTACAAATGGGTAAAGTCCCTGCCCTAACCCTGATCCTGTCCTACTGGACACCCTGCCCCTGCGGGTCACATCCCAAAGACCCACACACACACCTCCCCTCCGAGAAGGGCTCTGAACCTTCTCCTGCCAGTGCCCAGGCCTCTCAGACTCTCCCGCATCACAGAAAACTCTGGCACCCAAAACTCACGACACAGAAACATGTGTAGGTTTTCTGGGAGCTCTCCTTCCTGAGCTCTGGGCCCTCCTTGGTCCCTGCCAGGATTCTGCCACATAAAAGGGCTCTGTTGTTTTTTGTGTGTGCGGTTTTTTTTTTTGTTTTGTTTTTTTTTTGAGACGGAGTCGTCTCGCTCTGTCGCCCAGGCTGGAGTGCAGTGGCACGATCTCGGCTCACTGCAAGCTCCGCTTCCCGGGTTCACGCCGTTTTCCTGGCGCAGCCTCCCGAGTAGCTGGGACTACAGGCGCCCGCAACAACGCCCGGCTAATTTTTTGTATTTTTAGTAGAGACCGGTTTCACCATGTTGGCCAGGATGGTCTCGATCTCCTGACTTCGTGATCCGCCCGCCTCGGCCTCTCAAAGTGCTGGGATTACAGGCGTGAGCCACCGCGCCCGGCCATAAAAGGACTCTTAACATCGCCTCTCCCCAACTCCCTTAACCTGGGGCTGGAGACCCTCCTCCGTTATCAGGCTCCGCCCCAGCTACGGCCCCACCCCTGGTGCTGGCACCACCTCAGTCTAATCCAGGTTCCACCCCCAATCCACCTAAGCCGTGTCCCTAGCCCTGGCCCCGCCCTGATGTTGCCGTGTAACTCAGTTCCCGCCGTTTTATAGGCTACCGCCCCAGCCAGGCCCCGCCCTCTGATGTGGCCCCGCCCCCCGACGCTGACTTTTTCTGTCTTCACTTTAGCGCTGGCTCCGCCCCTAGCCTTGGCCCGCCTCAGCGCGGACTCTCAGTCTCTGCGCCTGCCACGGCCTCGTCCCGCTCAGCCCTGGCCCTGCCCCTGGAGCCGACTCTCTCCGCCTCCGCCCCGGTCCCGCCCTGGCACTGACTGTCTCCGTCTTCGCCCCTGCCCTGGCCCCGCCCCCTGCCTGCTCTGGCCCCGCCCCGCCGCTCTCTCCGTCTCCGCCCCTGCCCTGGCCCCACCCTTGCCCCGCCCCGGCGCTGACTCTCTCCGTCTCCGCCTCCGCCCCCGGCTCCTCCCCGGCCCCGCCCCGGCACTGACATTCTATCTCTCTCCCGTCTCCGCCTCTGCCCCCCCCCCGGCCCCGCCCCTGCCCTGCGCCGGCGCTGGCTCCGTCTGCGCCTCAGCCTCGGTCCCGCCTCCAGCCCTGGCCCCGCCCCGCCGCTCTCCCCTTCTCCGCCCCTGCCCTGGCTCCGCCCCCGCCTGCCCGCGCACCGCAGAAGGCCTCCTGGAACTTCCTGGACAGCTTCTCGATGACGCTGTAGCTCTCCACGTAATCGACGTGTTCGTCCTGCGGCTCGCTGGCGATCTGCCGCAGCGTGGCCTTGTCCACGCTGCCCACTCCGATGGCGAACAGCTCGACGCCGCTGGCCCGGGCCCGCGCAGACACGTCCTGCACGCTGTCCTGGGGCCTCCCGTCTGTCACCACGATGACCACCTGCGACACGCGGGGCGGTGTGACACCGGGCTCCCGGAAGCCCACGGGACTGTCCAGGAGAGGAGGCTGAGGCCCGGAGAGGCGGGAGGACTGCCGGGTCGCACAGCCAGGCGGCACCCGGGGGAAGAGGACCCGGCTGGCCGAAGAGGAGACCCGTTTCCTCTGACTGAGAGACGTGGCTGGGGGGCTTTCCATCTGCTTCGCCTCCCTCGGGCAGGCAGCTCTGAGATGCCCGGAGGGATGTGATGCCCCATCGCCAAATTGGGGTCTCTAAGGTCAGGGCCATGCCTTCCCCTCAGACTGAGGCGGCTGAGGGCAGGGTCCTCAGGCTGATGGCTGTGGGAGTCGTGCCACGCCCCTCGTGCCCCCGGGAGGCCCGGCCGGGGCTGGGTGGGGGGATCCGGTGGTTCCACATGGTGCAGTTCTGCGCTTTGGCCACCAGATGGCAGCCGAAGCTAAGGGATGGGGCTGCCGTCTCCCGTCTTGCTGTCCTTGTCCCGGTAAGACCGGGGACCCTGGACCAGGGAACCGACGGAGGGCCACTCCCATGTGGATGCCCAAGGGACCAACCCAAGAAAGATGCCGCCCTTATCCTCCTCCACTCCCCGGTATGATACATGCCCCTGCCAGAGAGGGAAAGAATCTGCCTGCTCCCCTCCCACTAGGCTCCTCTGGTCTGTACCCTGGAAAGAAAGAGGTGGCGGACTCTGTCACTGAGATCCGGCTTCGTGACCCCCTGTCTGCACCCGCCCTGAGGCTAGGGCGCTCCCAGCTCTGCCCAGTCTGGGTTAGGCATCCAGTCCCGCTTTGCTGCTTCTCTGCTTCTGACTTGGGTCTGTTTCTGATTCCTGGGTCCCATCCTTAGCCCCAGGTCCTGACACCCTGTCCTGATGACAGGCAGTTGAGACAGGCCGTGTTTAGAAATGCAGCTCCACAAGCTACAGGTCACCTTCCTGAGCCTCAGTGTCTTCAACTGTAAAAAGGGTTGTGGTGAGGTTGAGTGAGATGACTCCTGGTTAGAAGCCAGAAGGGGCAACTATTATTTTTACCATCATTACCCTGGGCTACCTGGGGAGTGACTTTGTACAATCTCTTCCTCTCCAGGGGCCTGGGCTCCTGGCTCTGAAAATCTAGCTGTGACTATTCGCTGCCATCCCGAGGCCCACTGCCTCCTCGAGTCCCTACTCCCCTCCCTGCAACCCAGCTTTCAGATTGTCCACCTTGCTGGGTCCTCCCACAGGTGAACTCCAGGCTGAACACCTGGAGTCTGGTGCCAGCTCCCCCAGCGCCGCTGTGTCACCTGCTGGAGGAGCTCTCTCCTCACTTGCCCACCCCACGCCACCACCCCCATCTCCTTCACCCTCTCCACCACCTCAACCATCAGCTTCATCTACAGCACCCCGTGCTGAAACTTGTAGTTGGCCCCAAGACCGACAGGCTGCCTGATACGTCATTTCTCTAAGGGGTGGTAATGGCTGGGATTATATGCTGTTGTCTCTGTGAATGCTTTTCCCACTTATTGGCTGAGCAAGTTGCTTAAGCTTCTTATGCCTCAGTTTCACCATCTGTAAAATGGGGATACCACCTCCGAGCAGAATCATGTTCATTTATCCACTGTGTGCTAGAGAGTGGGGTATGGAGGAGGGATAAGAAAGAACCTCCCCTGAGCTGGGGCCCTGAGCAGGGAAGTGGCGACTCGGGCTAACGAAGGCTGCAGTGGGGAAGTGCTGGAGCCTGTGGGGGTGCCACAGGAACAGAGGACACCTGGCTTAGCCTCAGGTTCTGTGCTGAGCCCTGAACATGACAGTGAGGATACAAGTCCTGGGAAACGCTCAGCCCTCTGCCTGGAGCCCTCACTGACAGCACAGGTGGCAGCACAGCCCTTCCATTTCTGAGCCCCTGCCCTCGGAGAATTATGAAATTAAAAATTATCAAATGCCATGATGGGAAGCCTTATGCTTTTGAACTCAGTCCTCAGCAGCACTTGGAGAAGGTGTTATCATTACTCCCATTTTACAGGTGAGGAAACCGAGCACCAGTGACATGACGTCACTTGCTCGGGGTGGCACAGCTAGTATGGTGGAGCAGGGCGTGAACCCAGGCAGGCTGGTGGCGGAGGCCACACCTTCACTCCTCCCATAAGCATCTGGCCTGTCTGCAATGTCTTCAAGGGGCTCAGACTGGTCGGGAACCAAGGTCAACTAAACTGAAATGATTGTAAGCTCCTAGGATGGAAAGGTTGGGTAAAGGTGGCTTCAAATCCCAGCTCTGTCACTTGCAACTGGTGACCTCTGTCTAATGACCGCCCCTCTCTGACCCTGTTTCCCCAGCTATGAAATGGCCACCTCACGGGGCATCATGGGAATCAAAGTGTCTGCAGGCAAAGCTCATAACTCCGAGCGGGAGCCTCCAAACAGCAGCATCCTAGCAGGGTGGCGTGCACGTACCTTGCTGATGTCAGGGGACCTGGAACGACCACCCTCTGCATCGCCGAAGGCTTTGGTGATAGCGAACTGGATGGCCAGGCCGGTCATGGTGCCTGTGGACAGCGGCTGGATACGGCGCACAGCCTGCAGCAGTGCGGCCTTGGAGACATGAGCCCGCAGCGAGAACTCCTGCTTCACGGTGCTGGCATAGTTGACCATGCCCACCCGGGTGGCATTGGGCCCCACGTCCAGCGACTCGATGACCTGGGACAGGAATACCTTCACTTTCTCAAATTCAACAGGCCGAACGCTGCGAGAGCTGTCGACAACAAACACCAGGTCTGTGGGCCGCGTCCGGCAGAGATGGCCTGGGAGTGGGGCAGGAGGGGTAAGGCAGAGAGCAGAGACACAGGTCAGGGACTGGGCCTGAACACACAGAGTGCGGCTTCTTAGATCCAGGTGCGAGGCCTCGGGCCCAGTAGGCTGCAAACTTCAGCTGGGCAGCTGAGCCCTTTTATCAACATGCAGACACCAGCAAGCAACTTGCCAAAGGCCCCCTGCTCAGCCCATGGGGAACACAGAGGGCCAAGCCTGGCCTTGGGCCATTTGCTTCACTTCTCTGAGCCTCAGTTTCCTCATCTGAGCAGTGAGCTAGCAATCCCTCCTTACAGGATGTTTTGAGGAGCCAGCAGGGGGCCAGGCAAGCAATGAGTATTCCAGGGGTGGCAAAGGACCCTGCGGCCTTGAAAACACATTTAGGTTTCAGCCCAGACTTGCTGCCAGAAACAAGGGCAGCTATTTCTTCTAGCTGGGCAGGAGGGCACCAAGGATGGGCCCTCCAGGCATGGGCACAGGCTTGAGAGCCAAAGCAGTGCCCGTCAACATGGCCTCTTTCATCTGAGCATCAAAGCAAATCACCAAAGTGGAACCAGTTTCCCTCAGCCTGGCAGCGCCTGCTGGCGGGTTGCCAAAGACAGGGAAAAGGAGCAGGAATTCCTGGTGGCCACCTCGGCAGCCTGATCAGGTGCACACCAAGACACACCCCCGAGGAGCAATGTCCTCCAGAGACCCAAGAAGGCAGCACCCTGTGCTGGGAAGTATGCAGGGTCAGAGTGAGTTCAGGCCTGGGTTCAAATCCTGGCTCAGCCACTCTGTGGGGCCCTGGGCAGATCATTGCACCTTTCTGAGCCTCCGTGATCTCACATGTCCAGTGGAGAGAATAAGGCTACTGTCACTGGCCTGGGCCTGCAGTCAGGAAGGTCTCACTACAAAGGCCCTTCCCTCCCCATCCCATGCGGAGTCTGAACTGAGCAGAGCCAATCCCAAAGAGGAAAGGGGAAACGTGCAGGGCCGTCCCAACCCCCAAGTCACAGTAACTCACAGTGCCCTAGACTGGGGCTCTGGACATCAGAGTTCCTCAGGAGACCTTAGAAATCACCATGCAGCAGGCTCCCTGCTGTCTACTCGCTAAGGCTACAAATGGGTAAACTGAGACCCAAAGAGGGAAAGGGAATTGGCCACACCGTACAGCAGTAGATCAATAACCTAGAGGCTCTGGCGCTATCTCACTGTGTGGTCTTAGGCCCTCACTGACCTCAGTTTCCCCATCTGTACAGGAAGAATGGGCATTCCAGGACTCAGTGCCCAAACCTGAAACTCTGGGGGGTGTTATTGCCCCCAGGGAGCCCAAGGCTGGAAGGACCTGCAAAGGGGGCATGAGCTCTTGGCATCCCAGGTCTGCTGTCATCAAAGAGCCATGGGCTCAGCCCTGGGCTTGGTGCAGCTCCAGACGTCAGCCAGCTCTCTGAGTAGCTTCTGCTCCCCAGAGACCTGGAAGACCAAGGTCCCTGCCTCATGCATGGTCCCTGAGGGCTGAGGAGCACCCCTGCCCTGACCCTTATAAGCACCATGGTCCCTGTCTGCTCCTGCACCAGCCCACTGCCCACCACTGCCGCCCTGCTCCCTTCCCCATCCTGGATCCCGTGTGCTCCCTGCCATATCGGTACCCAGCCCCCAGTGCTGAGGGTCAGGGCCCACTAGCTCAGTAGCCCCCATCTCACGCAAGCCCCCTCACCTCTGGACTGGGGGGCGAGGCCAGGGCTGCACAGGGCCTGGAGCAGCAGCAGCAGGCTGCAGAGCATGAGGCTAGTGCCAGAGAGGACCCTCATAGTTCTGGCAGCACGGGCAGCAGCCGGCACGGTTGTGGGACCAGTGGGGTCCAGGTCTTATCAACCCCACTGCCCGCCCAGCCTTTGGGTCAGGTGGCCCCCAACTGACGACTGACGTGGGGGCAGCCCGCCCTGGCCCCCAGCCCCCCCAAAGGGCGGGGCTTGGGCTGAATGGAGGTGTGTGTGCCCTGAGAGGGCGGGAGAGCCTGGCCCAGGCTTCAGAGGCCCCTCTGACCACAAGGGCTCCTTTGCTTGCAGAAGCAACTAGAGCGGCAGCTGGAATTTGGGAAATCTCAGGTGGGTGGGGGGTGGCTCTTCCAGGGGCTGGAGCCCGCGCTGCCTTGAAGCTCCACCCCAAGCCTAGGCATACCTGAGTCCAATGGCCCGGCCCAGCCCTGTCCTGCACCTTCATCCCACACCCAAATCCTTCCCCCACTCACAACCCCAAGTTTCTCATTAAATTCACTTCCCCTTCCCCAGCCTCACTGTGCCCTGCTCTCCGCACACGCCCTGCTCTCCAGCTACCCCTGGATTCTCCTCGAAGGCCTCCAGGCCATCACACATGCAGGGCCATCTGCCCAGAATCCTTTCCTCTCACTAACTCTCTGCCTTGTAGAATCTTTCAAGGTCATAATTAGGGCTAACATGTACCTTCACTGTTAGTATGGGCAGGGCAGTGGAGACCATGGTTAAGAGCACAGACTTGGGAGCCAGGTTACCTGGGTTTGCTATACCAGCAAACCACCTGTGTGACCATGGGCAAGTGACTTCACCTCTCATGTCTCAGATTGCTCATCTGGAAACTAGGGATGGTAATAGCGCCTCCTAGGGTTGATTCAAGGAGCAAAGGAGTTAGATGAGGTTTCTCAGTTAATCCTCTTGACAACTTTTTAAAGCAGCTACTGTTAAAGAACAGAGAGGTAAAATAACTTGTCTGAAGTTACACAGCTAAGAAGTGTTATTGCCAGGATAGAGCCCCAGGCCCGGCTCTCAGCCATGCTGCTGTCTCAGTGTAGCTTGATGTAGGTGGCTTCTCCCTGCCCATCTCTTCCCCCTGTGGGTCCCTGCTTGGCCCACCTCACCTGTCAGCCAGTGGATTCAACTCTGCATCAGGCCCAGCACAGAGAAGGCAAAGATAAAGCCTTCTAAACAAAGTAACATCAGCAGGAACGATCCCCTTCTTTGCATTTGGGTCAAGTAGTTCATGAGATAGAGCAGAAAGAGCATGGGCTTGGCTACCTGAGAGATCCAGGTTCAAAGCCACTTCTGCTCCTAACTGGCTGTGTGACCTGGAGCTGGTGACTTAACCTCTCTGAGCCTCAGCTTGCCATGGTGCAGTGGGAATGGTCGTTCTTGATCTGCCTGCCCCATGTGAGGGGCAAGAGGGGGACAGAAGTGGAAATGGAGTTAAAGGATTGTCATTGCTCCAGGAGGCAGAATCCTAAGACTTGGGACCTATGCACTTCACTCTGTGTAAATTATACCTCAATAAAAGGAAATGTACAGACAAAAAGCGACTGCTGGGTGCAGCAGACCCAACTCACCGCTACCACACTCTTTAGCAATAATTATAACAATCCCTTCCACCCTTGACATGGCAGTTACTCATTCTATCACTCTATCTCATTTGCTCACCCAACAAACCTGTGAAGTCAGCAGATTTGAGTCTCTTGGCCCATTTGTCAGATGGAGAAACTGAGGCCCAGAGAGGTTCACTGACTTACCCGAAGCCACCAGCCAGTTTAGGGGCAGAGCCAAGCCTAAAGCTCAGGCCTCACTCCCCTTTGCACCAGTGTTAGAGAAGGAGGAGGTTAAGAGCATTGCCTTCTGACTTTTTCCCCTTATATTTCATGTGTGCCTAATTCACTGCCCTCCCCAATTCCAAAAACCACTTGAAGCTGCTGATTCCTTTTTCTGCTACAACTTTGAAGTCGAATTCTTCTCCAGAGATGCTGCAAGGTGTGATGATGGTGGTGCCTCTCCCTTCCCAAAATGGTGTAATTAAGGTGTTACCTGTCTCCCCAAGGACGTGAGCTCCCTCCGAGCAGGGGGCTTGCCCGTCTCAGTCACCACTGAATCCCTGGGACCCAGCATGGTGCCTGGCACAGGATCTCTGGTAAGCAAATGAAGGAATGAATGAAAACTAACTACGAACCTGTTCCATTTCCCTATAAACCACCCAGGGTCACACAAGGGCCATCCACGGTGACCAGCGGTGAGAAACGCAATGCTGTCCTCGTGCCATGCTGGAGGTGAACGAGGAGAACGTGAGCTGGGGTCTCCTCACCAACTGCTCCCCCCACCCCAACCCCCCTGACGGCCAGGGCTGTGTCCAGGGCTCAGGGCACAAGGCTCCGTTAGCTGGGCAGCAGCTGGCCCATGAAACAGCCCTTTCAGCTCCACCTCTGAATGGCAGTTCTATGGGCTCCTCGGAAGAACACAGGCGCCTTCTCTGTGTCACTTCTCCGCTCATTAGCAGAGCTGCAGAAATACACTACAGGTAACTTTTCAGGAACAGAGATGGGTCCCCCCCCGAACACCACCAGAAAAAAAAAAAAGGCAGCTTTGGCATTCTATAACAGGGGCAAGGCCTGGGGGCGGTGGTGGAGAGGAGATCTAAAAGTTCAGCATATACATTAAGGAAAGAAAATCAATATTTGTGTTTTTTAAATGTGAAACATTTTTCCCCAGGACTCAAAATTGAGAACAGTGTGTCCGGTATGAGCCAGAAGGAAAAAAAAATGCACGAAGGGGCCTTCTGCAAGGTTGCTCACAAGTCAAACAGGCAGCTGTGAAGGGCTCTGCTGTTCCCTCCTCCTGTTTTCACATCCCTCGGGCTTCCAGAAACTTAAAGCCGTTAGTGTTTCATGCAAGAGAGAGCATCTGTGATCCACGGAGAGGCCCCTGGGCAGTGTGGTTCAGTGGGAAGCACACAGGACTCCCTCCCCAGTGCTCCCAGGATCAGCTCTTTCCCTAAAGAGCAAACCTGGTTATCTCGCAATGACCTAGCTAACACAAATGCAACATCAGCCGGGGCAGCCTGCCCCCTTCACTCTTTGCCCACCATCAGCTGTTTGGCAGTATCCATATACGCCTTTACCAGTATTTATTTAATCTTTTTGTTTAATTCACTCTAAACCAACTCACTTCTTAAAAATTTCTCTGCCTTATAAGAAATAATAGCCATGAAATCACTGGTTTGATGTACGGTTTATTTATTTATTCCAATAAACACTCATTCAATATAAAATTCAAATAAATTCAAAACTAATTAAATTTAGCTTTTTCATCCACATATCACTGAAAATTTTCTTGTTTTCTGCCAGTGGCATGCACGACAGACTTTGAGGAATCCTGTGAAGTGAAACGGCTTTAGAATCAAAGAGAGCTGGGCTTGAGTCCCCCTCTGTCACAGGCCAGCCATGGTGACTTCCGGTAAATCCCTCCTTTTTCTGCCTGTTTCATGTCAGTAGCATTGGAATCCTAATGCTAATGCCACAGGAAGGTTGTAAGGAAGAAATGCAGTGAATGCTACATCAAGCGTATTGGGCTTTTTGTTTTAGTTTTTTCCTTTTTTTTTTTTTTTTTTTTTTTTTAGGATGGGGTCTCACTCTGTTACCCAGGCTGGAGCGCGGTGGCACAATCACAGCTCACTGCAGCCTCGACCTCCCGGTTTCAGGTGATCTTCCCACCTCAGCCTCCTGAGTAGCTGGGGCCATAGGTGTTCACCACCATGCCCAGTGAATTTTTTTTTTTTGTAGAGACAGGGTTTCACCGTGTTGCCCAGGTTAGTCTCGAACTCTTGAGCTCAAGTGATCTGCCCACATTGGCCTCCCAAATCGCTGAGATTACAGGCGTGAGCTACCGTGACAGGCCAATGCTTATTATTTTTACAACGCCTTCTTTTATCAGTCAGGCTAGGATAGGCTATGTTGCAATAGCAGACATGCCCCCCAAATCACAATGGCTTAATACAGGGTTTGCTTCTCTCTCCTAGCACCGTCCAGTGCCAGGTGGGTGCCCCCCACATAGGCCCTCTCCAAAGCTGCCTCCACCATTTCCAAGTCCTTGTCTCAGGCCATGTGGACAAGAGAGAGACAGCAAGCATCTCTCTTAACTGCCTCAGAGAAGGAGTACACATTACCTGACTCTACCTGGATGCCCAGGGCCAGGATATGGCATTTAGTTAGCAGTGACAGTCTCTGTCACCATTGCCGGGGGGAAAGCCTTTGTTAGCACTGGATCACCTCTAGATGGAAATTCAGACTTGGCTGGCATTTAAAGCTCTTCACTGTCAGCTTCCTTCCACCTTCCAGGCCATTGTCAGTCTTTCTCTTTCTCTCCCTCTCCTTCCCTCCCTCCCTCTCCCTCTCTTCTCTAGTCTTTCCCTTTCTCCCCCTCTCCTCCCCTCCCACCATCTCCCTCTCTTCTCTAGCACTGAATGAGTCACTCTCCTGTTTTCAGAGCCTCCCAGATAGACTCCAGCCCTCTCACTAGCTCCCTATCAGAGTTTGCACTCAATGCATGGTGACCCATTTTATTTGTAGGGAAATGTGAAACCCTGAAGCTCAGACTCTGAAGGAAACTCAAAGGTCATCTACACCTGGCCACCCATGCTACTCACCTGGTTGTTAAAAATACAAGGTCCACCCCTGCTACGTGCCTTCTCGGGGCCAGAGGGTCAGCCCTCACCCCAGGAGCGACTGCGAGAGCTTCCCACGGGGAATGGCCCCTGTAATCAATCACACTGGAAGAAGAAATGAGCATCTGGAGGAGCGGGCTCAGGTTTAGCACTGGGAACTCTAGCTGGCCCAGTTAATGCCCCAACCCATGGCCCTTCAGCCCACTGTGGGTTCAGCTCACCTACAGCTGCAGGCAGTTCCCAGGGACGCAAGCAGTGGGCCAGGCAGCCTGGGGATTTAACATCCCCAGGTATAACCCGCAACCTGCAGGGATCAGAAGACCCCAACGTCCCCATCCCCCATTGAACAGTTCTGAGACACGCTCCTCGCCGTTCCTCAGAAGGTCCCCAGCAGGAGTGAGCCGCGGTTGCCCACAGAGGTGACCAGCTTATTCATGCACATTGTATTGGCTTTTATCCTGTCCCCACCTCACTTCCCCTCACTGTATTTCCTGGGATCACCTCCCAAATAAGCTACCTGCACCCAAGTCCTTTTCTCAGGATACCCGGTCACATCTCCAGGCCTTGGCCCAGCTGTTTTCCAGCCTCGCATGTCCTCCCAGCACATAGAGCAGAGGAAGCAGCAGGCGAGTGTTCTGTTCGACTATCTGGGCCACTGAGATGGCAGCAAAATTGTTTCCCAGGTGGATGTTGTTTATTTATTTAGAACTGTGGCTCCCTCGTGCCAGCAGCTCTCTGCTATGCCCACTGACCATCGGCGTGCTCTTGGTGGCTAATTAGGGAGACTTCTTCCTGGGACCCGGGAGACAGACTGGAATGTGAGCACTGGTTCCCAGAGAGCCCATCCGGGAGGGCAGCGGGCAAGGCCTGTGGCTGCAGAGACACACAGTGGCTGCTGCTTATACCCTCCGCAGAGGCCCTGCTGCCACCCAAAGACCCAAGGAGAACCCGAGGGTGGGTCCTGCCCCTGACTTCCTTTAACCTGACTGCTTTTCTTGACACTTAAACGGTTTCATTGCAAATTGGAGACACTGCCAGAGTACCGGATTGGACATGAATCTCTGGTCTTCCCAAAAGTCAGGCAGAGATGTGGAGGGGCCCACAGTCACAGGGCAGATTCCTCACCTGCAAAGTGGCCATGCTCATCGCCCCATCCAGGAGCCTGCAGTGCAGCTGGGCTGCTCCTCCTGCCCAGGCCCCATTCGGGCCACAGACCCCATGATCTGAGGTGTCACATGTGGTTCATGACACCTCCCATGTGCTATCTTGGTCTCAGGCCCCACGCATGGTCAGCCAAACTGGAATCCAGGGTGAGGAGGCGTGTGCTTTCATCTGCCGGCCTGTCTGGGGAGGCCACGGAGCAGCAGCACATCCTTCTGATGGGTTAACACCTGGGTGATACCAGCCCAACCTGATATCCCACCCACATGTCCAAAGATAGCACTCACATCTCAACCTGCCTCCCTCCTCGCTCTCCTAAACTCCAGACCTAGAGACCCAGCTGCTTCCTGAGCACCTCCCATTATATGTCCCCCAAGGAAGCGCAAATCTAGCCCCACCAAAACGCGATGCATCCTTTGCCATCCCCCGTTTCGCATCCTCTGCTCAGAGCTGGGCACCACCATCCGAGGGTCCGCAACATCCAAAAGCTCCCTGCTGCCTCTGAGGCCTCCTGCTTCTGCCAGGGCCCTCCCAAGAGGGCTCAGAGCCTGGAATAGGAATTAAATGAGGGCCTTGTGAGGTAGAAATTCCCAGAGGAAGGGCGAGGTTACCCAGAAAGGTCTAGAGAGACAAGCTCAGGTCCATTTGGGTGGACTGAAGTCCAAGCCCAGGTCTGCCCCTTGGCCAATGCGTGACTGTGGGCAGAGGCAGCCCCTCCCTGAACCTCAGGAATGATCACCACCCAGCACCTGCTGCGTGAGGCCACTGGGAGCTTTGTGGAGCCAGCACACTGAAGGGCCCACTCAATTACGGGGACCCTTCCTGCTACCATCACAGCTCCCGAGAAACCTGAAGTTGCCCCGCTTAGCACCCCAGGTTTAATTTTACCAGCTCTTTTTTCCCTCCAAGAGACAACCACTCCAGGCTGCCCTCACCTGCCCAGGCCTGGAAGCAGCCCCCTCTGTCCTGGGGCCGGCTCCTTTCCAGGCATGAAGCTCAAACAGGCGCTGTCAGTGGGTCCAAACCATCGCAGCCCCGTCAAAGGACCCCTGTGTGAGCCTCAAACGGGGCATTGATAGGGCCTCAGTGAGGGCTGCCCAGGCGATCGTGGGCTCGCTTGGCTTGGCTAGCCATGCGGACTTCCCCAAACCCAGCTATTTCCTGTCCCTCGGGTGGCCCCCTCCCAGCTGCCTGGCCACAGGGCACAATCCCACTACACAGCTCAGCCTGTTCTTCGGCTCCAGGCCAGAGGTGGGAGTCGGGGAAGGCGGGAAGGACGGGAGAGTCGCGCCGGGAAGTTCAGGGCCTCCTGGTCCTTGTGACACACGCAGCCATGGCCCTTCAATCTCCTTGTGATAGGATGCAAGGCTGGGCCAATGTCTCTCCTCCCGTGACCTCTGCTCCCAATCCACACTTGCCGGGGCTTCTCAGCGGGCCCTCTTCCCATGGGTCTTTGCAAGAAGCAACAACTGACACAGACTGGGCCCCAGCCCGTCTAAAAGCCTCCACTCGGAGTAGAAAAAAAAGGTGCTTGGTCTCATCTCTGACCACTGTGTGGCCTCAGGAAAGTCACTTGATGTCTCTGGGCCTCTGCCCTCAAGTGTGAACAGGAGCTCGCTTTCCATTTCTGTGAATTACACTGCACCAACTGCTTGGGGGTCTGATAAGGAGCAAATAACATCCATGAAGAAATCTGCCATTCCACAAAAAAACTGACACCACCAGAAGGTTGACAATGCCTCTCAAACTCATCCCCGTCCCTGCCGCCCCATAGGATGACTTCCCCAGCCTTTGTAGGGGTCCCTGCATTTGGGCTCTTCCTTCCTAAAACCCAAACCTTGTAACTCCTTGGCCCAAAATCCTTCAAAGACACCTGTCTCAGGATTAGTCCATGTTCCTCGGTGTGACATTCAAGGCTCTGAGGGCTCTTTTGGTATTGGTGACAGATCCCAATTCAAACAGCCCTGGTCTCTTTATTAACTTTACTTTCAGGTAAGTCCTCAACAGCTCAGCCACACCGGGGAGAAAAGATAAGAGATGGAGAAACAGAGAGACATTATTAAAGAGTTGTAGTCCTGGATCCTGCCATACCTGAAGCCAAAAATCCCTGGATTTTTTATTTGTATGAGAGCCAAGAAACATCGTGAACCACCTTCTGGTTTCTCATAATAAACTTGGCTCATAAGGCTTCTGTTACTTGCAACCATGTCCTTCCTGTAAATTCCCTTCTTGGCTGAACTTAGCCAGGGTGAGCTTGCACCTAAAGAGCCCCACTGTGTGCAAACACTCTTCCTGACCCAGCCCCACAGCGGGCCGACCTCTTCTCCCTCCCCTCCCCACTTGCAGCCACGCTGAGCAGCTCGCCCCAGCTCCTCTCCCCAATGCCATAGAGTCTTTGCGTGTCCTGCTACCTAGACCTAGAGCACCCTTCCCATTCTGCTTACTGCTGCCTTCTCATCCTTCAGACTCCACTTGGTGACAGCCTCCAAGAGGCTTTCTCTGGCCCTCAGGCCACGTCTGAGGTCCCCTAGGCTTTCCCTATCGTGGCAGCCCTTTTGCAGATCTGTCCCTCCTACCGCAGACTGGGGGGAACTGGAGGCGAGTCTCATCTGTTGAGGTCTTCCCCAGTGTCCAGAGCAGGACCCAGCCCCAGGGGAGTGGAGTGCACGCCTGATTAGGGAGACATCAGGGTGCATCATCTTGGGCTGTGGTTCATGATCAGACAGCATTGGGTCAGGACCACCCCTCGCTCAGCATGGCCCATGGGAGGAGTTTCTGGATGGAGCAACTAGGTATGTGTGAGTGTTTACATGGGTGTGTGGGGGTGGGCGTGTGTGGAGGGGTGTGGGGGGTGTGAGTGTGTGGGTATATGGGGGGTGTGTGGGTGTGTAGGCGGTGGGAGTGAGTGTGTGGAGGGGTGTGGGGAGGGTGTGAGTGTGTGGGTATGTGGGGGGAGTGTGGGTGTTTGGGTGTATTTGTGGGTGTGTGGGGGTGGGTGTGAGTGTGTGGAGGGGTGTGGGTGTAGGGGGTGTGGGTGAGTCCTGGGGTGATGGAGGTAGAAGGCTGGTCTCCACCCTCCCTACACTGTATTTCCAGAAACACATCAGCCAGACAGAAGCTTGTTGCTGCTTTATTGAAACTTCCTCCCTGTCGCACACAAAGCAATTACACAAGGGGGTATTGCCAGGGAGCTCTTGCAGAGCCTTCTCCCTCTGTACCCCCCGACAGTCCCCAGAGACCCTGCCTCCGTGGCCTCCACCTCTGGGTCAGCTCCCTGGAGGACCCCGACACACAGGGAAGCAGGCACAGGAGGGCTGTTGGGGCCAAACCTCCCCAGCTGCCACAACCGCCATGACCCCAGTGGCAGGGTCAGTGCCCACAAGGGGGTTGCCTGCTTTGACTGAACTAACCTGTGGGTTTAGTCCAACGAACAGATGTGCCTGATTTCAGGGCTGAATTTTTGCTTGACCACAAGCCTCGGGCAGAACAGATTCGCCTATGACTGAATCGACTGAATGGATGGCCAGCGACAGCCTGGCCTGGGAATGGACTGGCAGCTCATCACTAAAATGACTCCTTTCATGGAATCCACTGTTATGCAGCCACACTGACCACAGAGCAACTGAATAGGTGAGCATTGGATTGTTGATGACAACTCTTCAGCAGAACAATTGTGTGTTTGAAGGGACTGTTTTATGATGAAATAACTGTTATTTCCTGGAGCTAATTGTTGAATGACAGTTTGTCAACTGTTTAAATGAATTTCATTTGAATTAACAATTATACAGCCACTCAGAGGTCCTACATTCGCCAGAGTTGGCATCCAGTTGATGGGTTCATTTGAATTAAATGGTTTGGAGGCTAACGTGATTTTTTAAATTGAATTTCATCACTATTCTGTGTATTCTATTTATCACTATTCTAAATGACTCATGGTTGGCTAATTGATTATCATGTAAGCAAGCTATTTGAAGAAATTGATTACATATATTTATATATAGGGGGTAACTAATTAATGATTACTTGATTAAATTGCTATGTGAACTGACAACTATTTATAAATCAATGCAATAGACTGTTGTTTGACCAAATTATTTTACTGAACTGACAAGTGGGTTTTTGATTTGTCAGTTGCTTGGCTGAACTGATCAAGTCGATAGTTGCTTGACAAACTCACCAACTTTAGAATGGCCAATCGTCTAAACAAGTGTCAGAGCTGATTGAAATAAACCAAGCATTGTTGGGCTGAATTATGGAGAGACCCGAGGAGTGACTCAGCCTAAAGCGTTGACCCAGTTGTGAGCAGCTCACAGGCCCTGCAGGAGGAGCAGGCCAGCGAGGGAGACACAAGCAGATTGTCCTGCCAGGGAGGGGCGGGAGGGCCCACCCAGGCCACAGGGGCCACCAAAGCAAAAAAGCAGATTATGAGGCAGCTCCACCCCTCCCAGCACTGGGGCTGGGGCCTGGCGAGGGTCACACCTCTGAGTATGGGGGTGGTGCTGGGCCCCCCTCTGGGGTCTTCGATGGCAAAGACAGGGCTTCCTCGTAGGACGGCAGGACCACCTGGGAGAGACAGAGAGATGAGGGCTGAGTATGGTCAAGAATGACCTGCAATTCCAACCTGGGGTCATGGGACCCAAACCCCCACCTCTGGCAAAATGATGATGATAATGACTGGCAGGTCTTGGATATTTGCTATGTGCTAGACATTGCCTGCATGAGATAGGTGCAGTTCCCAGCCCTGTAGTGGACATATTTGCCTTTGCCTATTCAGCATCAAGTCCCCCTTATTTTGAAAACAGTGCACCATTTTCCTTGGGAAAACATTCTCAGTCCATATACCTTCAGAAGAACTGGTCCCATCCCTCAGATCCAGCGAGGTGGCTGGACTTGGCCACTCAAAGTAGAATTCCATCCCCCTGGCTATAGTCCTTGGTTTGGGGATAGGCACGTGGCCCAAGTTGGTCCAATCAGACATACTCCTGGGACCTTCTTTTTCTGTTGGGATTTCTGAGAGGGTGGGATATCTGCCTAGGGGTTTTGGCAGCCTTTTTGCCACCACAAGGGATGGGCTTCCGGAAAATGAAGCCAACATCAAGGAAAGTAGAGTCAAGAGTTGGAGAGGACGAGATCATATCCTGATGTCAGGACTCAGCCAGGCCCAAGCCAGACCTACATTTGGCTGCTAAGTTCTGTGAGCTAGTAAATTCCTGAAGTCAGATTGAGTTGGGTTTCTGCCACTTGCAACCAAAAGTGTCTTAGCTAATACAATCTCCACCTTACAGGTGAGGAAAGTAAGTTACCAGGAATTTAAACCGTCACTTTCCAATAAGCTGCTTCTAAGCACACCTCATCCTCTCTTCCCGGAAAGCCTCCTTCTGCTTTCCCAGCTATCTCATATCCATTGACCCTCCAAGACCAGTTAACTGTCACCTCCTCCAGGAAGGCTTCCCTGATACCTGAGAAGAGGCCAGGTCCTTCCTCTGTGCTTATTGTCCCTGTGCTTCACACCAAGTTGTAATTGTATCTATGTGTCTGAACTGTACACTCCTCTAAGGCAGAGGTGGCATCTTAGTTTTCTCTGCGCCTCCTGGAATCGATATGAGACTAGCAAAGAGTGAGAGGCAGTAAATACTGAATAAATGAATGAGTGAGTGAATGAATCTTAGACTACCAGAACTGAAAGAGAACACATTTCTTCTGTTCCAACCCTCATCTTACAAATAGAGAAACCAAGGTCCAGAGAGGGAAGGAAACTTGACCCAAATGGCACAGGGAGTTAGTGACAGGGCTGGCACCCACCTGCAGCCACACTCACCTTCTGGAGCATCTTGGAGTTTCTCTTCTCCTCCACCGAGTTCATGCACTTGATCAATCTGTAGCACCGCCACACGCACTTGAACATGTAGACCTGGAAAAAGGCCCAGGTCAGGCTGTGCTTTGCTGAGCGTCCTTCTCACGCTCCAGCAGGCCTAGGACATATGCCAGGCAGGAGCCACCACTCTCTCCAGAAGCCAGCATCCAGCTGCTCCTGCTCGGACCTCTCATTCTGGTTGGGGGTTCCTCACCAGCCAGTCCAGAATATTCCAGGTATTGCCCTTTTCATTGCCCCACAGATACCACATAGCAAGGGGATTTGGGGGGCTTCTAGCCCACCCTCCAATTTCCCTGGCAATAGTCCCACAGCTCCTGCTTGACTGCCCACACTGCCTGGAAGCTCACTACCTCCTGAGACAGCCCTGCCCATCTCGAAACAGAGCTGATGGTGGGACATGTTTTCTTCAAAATTGCTTCCGATATGTTGTTTTCTGAAGCAGATTACAAAACAGCATGTGCAGTATTGGTCCATGTTTATAAAGGAGGAACAGTTAGTACATGTCCATCAGCTGATGCAAGTTAATGTAAGAATTGGGCAGAAGCTTTCCAGAGTGGGGCATACAATCCCAAGGGGCAAGCTCAAGAAACAACAGAAAACCCCCAGGATGCCCCCTGAGTAAGAGGAGAGGGTCCTGTACTGGAAGGTCTTGTTTGATGGATTCCCTGATGGGCACATAGGTGGGGCAAGGAGACATATGGAGGTACGGAGTGACAAAGAATGAAGCATGAAGGCCCAGGGAAAATCAAGTCGGTGGAGGGGGCCAGAGAGGCAGAATGAGGGTCAAAGAGGGAAGCCCCTCATTCTGGAGGATAAAAAACAGAAGGGGAGCTGGGGGACGGAGCTGTGTGCTGGGGTCTGCGGAGGGGTCCTGCAGTAGAGAGTGCCATGGAAAGCCCACACTGGCTTCCCCCATGAGGCCTTCAGGGGTGTTCTCACTGTACACTCACTAGTGCGTTTGTGCTAGGTCAGTCCTTGGAGAAGATGCTAAAAGGGGCAAGGTTCTGTTTCTAGGTTGGCATTAGGTGACAGCAGAGACTGCCCAGGGCCTCAGATGGAAGCAGGAGCTGGGGTCTGCAGATGCCCACCCACCACCACAGAAAGGCTGGGGGGAAATGCACCCAGTTGTCAGCAGTGATGCTCTCTGTGTGGGGTGTGGATGGTGGAGTGCTTGTCTTCTTTCTACTTATCTGTAGTTTTTTGGTTTTTGTTTTTTGTTTTAGAGAGAGATTCTCACTCTGTCGCCTAGGCTGGAGTGCAGTGGCATGATTATGGCCCACTGCAGCCTCAACCTCCCAGGCTCAAGCGATCCTCCCGCTTCAGCCTCCCTAGTAGCTGGGACTACAGGCACACGCCACCACATCCAACTTTTTTTTTTTTATGTTTTGTAGAGACAGAATCTTGCTATGTTGCCCAGGTTGGTTTTGAACTCCTGGCCTCAAGCAATCCTCCCAATTCAGCCTCCCAAAGCACTGGGATTACAGATGTGAGCCACCACATCCAGCTCATCTGTAGTTTTTAAATTTCTACTATGACCTATGTTACTTTTATAATCAGAAAAGAACACTTTTTAAAAGCCCTTCCTTCTGTGGTCATCAGCATCCCTGTGGCTTCAGGCCACAGGCCCCCATTGTGGCCTCTAGGATCCCACAAAATTCCCCACAAGAGTTCTTCAGGTATTAAGAAACAGCAGTCAGGTCCCCCTTGAGTCCTCTATTTTCCATGCTGAATAAACGCTCAGGTCTTTGTTGGGTTTTGTGGGGGTTTTTTGACTTCCTAAGATGGCAGCGTTTTCTTGTCTCTTCACGTTGCTGGTTGTACTGCTGTGAACACACTCCAGTGCTTCACCATCACTCAGACCTGGGACCTGAAGCTGGACCCTATCCTCTGGGCCTGACCACCCCAGAGAAGAATGAGACCATTCCCCTCCTGCCTTCTCATCACCAAACCTCTATTAACATAATCTCAGGTACATTTTGATGCCTGAATTACATAAAACTGTAACACAGGCAAAACAAGACTCCTGCCCCTGAGGCCCAGAGAGAAGTGACTTGCTGAAGACCAACCACGCAGCTAGTGACAGTGGGGCTTGGATTCAAACGCAGGCCAGTCCAAATCTAATTCCAGACAGCTGGAATTAGACATCTGAACGCAGGTGGCCTTTACGGATTCACATGCCCTAAATGGGCTGTCTCGGAGGATCCCAAGTAAAGTCAGAGGAGCTGGCATGGGAAAGCAAGAGAAAGGAGCTAAAAGCAGGAGAGGAGGCATGGAGGACACATGTCCCTGCCTTCTAACAGCTTGGCATGGGCAGGCCTGGGCCCAGCACAGCCTCACCACCCCTCCCAGAGCCGCAGGGCAGGGATCCACTCACCTTGAAGATAAGGACAGTGATGAAGGCGATGGAAAAGATGATCATCATCTTGATGAACTGGTTATGAGGCATATCCTCCTGGCTGGGGAGGTAATTCTGCAACAGATTTGGGGGCCACATCAATGTCTCTGGACATAAGGAATTCCAACAGCACCCACACATCCGGGAATAATGATCCCACCCTCCACACACACACGAGCACAGCGTGGCACAGCCGTCACCTTGGTCGACCGCCACAGCAGCCTTAGGAAGCAGGTGCTACCTTCAGCCCCATCCCACTGACGGGCAAACCAAGAAAAGCCAAGTGGCTACTATCTCCAGATCTGCTTCCCAGGCTGGCGCACCGGCCCATCCCCAGCTGGCAGGTGTCAGCTGCCCATGGGCCACACCTATGCTCTTCTCTACAAGATCATTTTGGCTGACAGGGACCACCTAATCCACTAATACCTGGGAGGTTACATTCCCTCCCCTAGGGGCAGCTTGAAACCAATGACTGATGCAGGGGAACTCGCCCTAGGTGAGACTGCCTCTGTGGTCATTTGCAAATATTACCACACATTCTTTGAGACGCCTCCCTTCTAAAGGTGGTGTTTATTTCCTCTCCCCTTGAGTGTGGGCTGGACTTAGCAACGCACTTCTAACTAACAGAATGTGGCAGAAGTGATAGAAGTCTTAAAAGACACTGCCTTTCCTCCTTGCTTATCTCTTACATCACTCCCGCAGGGGAAGCCAGCAGCCATGTCAGGAGAGCACTCAAGCAGCACTACTACAAGTCCACAGGATGAGGAATTAGGCAAAGAGCCCACGCCCTGTGAGTGAGCCACCAGGAGTTCATCCTTCAGATCTAATCAAGCCCTCAGTTGTCCACAGCCCCAGGTACCATCTCTGGTGCAGCCCCACCAGAGTCCCTGAGTCAGAAGAACCCAGCTAAGCCACTCCCAAGCTCCTGATCCTCAGAAGCTGTGTGAAATAATAAATGTTTATTGCTTTAAGCCATGATGCTTAGAGATAATTCATTAGACAACAATAAAAACTGATATTATGTCTGTGTTGCAATTCACATGCCAAAGCCCTCTCTGGGATCATGCAGGGCTGCTCCTACAGCCACATCTTTGCTTCTTTGCTTGGCTTCCTCCTTTTCTCGAACCTGCCTTCCTCACTCCTGACAAGTTTCTTCCTGAGAGGGCTCCCTCAATAAATCACCAGCACAAGAATCTTCCTCCCAAGCTCCAACTCCAGGGAACCTGGCCTAAACCACAGACACACAGAGACGTGAAGTAACCTGTTCAAGGCCACACAGCCAGCAAATGGGCATGGTTCCCTGCCCCAGACTCACCATGTGGTTCATGGACTTGAAGTTGAGATAGGTGGGCACTTCCATGTAGGAGCTGCAGAGGGTCAGGATGCTCAGGCAGAAGTCCAGCAGCTGCAGCGTCATCAGGGGGAACTTGGAGGAGCTCTGGGGAGGACAAATACAAGGAGGAGGAATGAGGAGCAGCAATTAAAGTCCCAGTTACTGAGCGGCACATAGTAGGCCCTCACTTGAGAGACCGTCTCAGCTACAGACATCAGTGACTCTCGTCCCCTGTGCACAGAGAGACATGAACACACAGATGTTCATACCAAGAGCTGGTGGCAGACCCAAGACTAGAACCAAGGTCTCCAGACTCCCGGGCCAGGGCCCTTCCATGATGTAGCCCCCCGGTCTCTTCAAGGACAACAGTTGGGGAGAGTGAGAAAAGCAGGTTTGGGAGACTGTGTCCTTGACTGGCAGCAGCCCTCAAGCCACCCCACAGTGGGCGCTCACTGGCATGAATCATCCTTCTCTTCCTTTCTTCAACTTGGTTCCAAAGAAGAAATAATACTGGGGGCTGGGGGCTAAAAAGCGCACATGTCCTTTCCTCAGGTGTCAATTCACTCCCAGCAGCACTGACTGAGTGCTGACCATGGGCTGCACCCCCAATGTGTGTGTTCCTCATGTAACCCTCATAAGGCAGGCTGATGAGATGTGATTGCAGGTACATTCCACAGAGGAAGAAACTTGGGGCAATGTGGAGGGACTCAGAGACTGGGTCAAGACACCAGCCAGGAAGAGGGCTCCTACCCTCCCCAGCCTGAGCACAGGGCCCGTGTCTGGTCCCCTCCCATCTCCCATGCCAGACCTGGGCTCTGCTGTCCGGTGAGAGGTGGGGGCTGGGTACTCACAGCACGGCTCCGGGAGGCCAACTTGAGGTAGGCGGGCAGCTCAATGTAGGAGCCCAGCAGGGTGAGCAGGCACAGGAGATAGTCCATGATTTGCAGGGACAGGAAGGGCAGCAGGTACTTCTCCCGGTTCTGAAAGGTAGGCCCAGCACCGTCAAGTGTCCCCTGCATGCAGCCAACACTCCGCCACCCAGCCTGATATCCTCATGCATCCCCTTCCCACCCTCTCCCAAACCTTCCCTGCCCTCCTCAGTTGAGGTCACCTCCCTCTGAGTGACACTCTGGGGACAGGGAGTGGATAAGACCCAGGCCCTGAATGAGAGGAGTCTTGGTGTCCCAGGAGACGTAAGGGAACCATCCCCATCTATCAGGGCTCAAAGAGCAGGATTTGACTCAATTTGCTCACAAGAACCCAGCAAGGAAGGGCTTTGTGCACTTTTTACAGAGGAGAGGGGACCAGAGAGGACTTGCTGGAGGTGGGGACACCAGGGCTAGATCGGGGAAGGAGACTAGGAGTGAACAGGAGGGAGGGGCGGGGCACTGGAGGCAGAAAGACCAACATGAGTGAAGGCCCGGAGGCAGCAGAGAGCCCCTCCCCCCCACCCCCCACTCCCCACCACGCCCCGCATACAATTGGACCTTCCTCCACCAGCCACTCCCAGGGGTCCAAAGTCACAGTAAGAGGCCCTGCCAGGAAGAGGCTGAAGTCCCTCTTCTTCAATTGAAAGCAAGTGACCACCATGACCAGTATTCATTCATATGCTCTCACAGCTGGGGACAAAATCACTGCAACAGTGGTTTCCTGGTGTCTCATGTGGTCGTCTAAAATCACTCAGGAGGCAACCAGAACAATCTTGACTGATCTCAGAGTCTTCAGGGACCACCTGCTCCATTTCTCCATTTCTCTAGCTGAACCCTTTGAGTTTCTGCACAAGCACCCACAGCCACCCTGCACAAGGCAAACGGCCTCCCCAGGCAGCATGGGTTCCAAGACAGAGTGAGTGTTAGCAAGGGGAGTGGGTGCTGGCATTTGAGGCAGGGTGGACGCATTCCAAACCAGCACCAAATCATCGCCCCACTCCTCCGGCCCTGCAAGGGCCAGGCCCCTGTCTGCACAGGAAGGACCCTCTTTCTGGATCCTACTCCCATGGCTATGTGGTGAGGCCCTGGCTTCCTGCCTTTCTGGGGACCCAGGGACCGCGGGTTCCTCTTCTGCAGGGGATTGAGCTACAGCCCATCTCAACTCTCCCACCAGATTTGCCTCGGGCCCAGGAGCCCCTCGTTGTCACACTAGACTGTCCCTGTCTCTCTGAAGGCCCATCTTCCCCAATCAGATCATGAGCTCTCTGGGGGCCTTCCAGGGCGTAGGTCCCCCTCAGGGTGCTGGCTCCTGTCACTGCATGGATAGAGCTGCATGCATCCTACTTTCCCCCTTCTTCGGCTCCTCTCATCCATTACAAAATCCAGTGCTTTCTCCCGTCTCTCACCCCCAGAAACAACACTTCCTCTTTTCACTCTCAAAATTCCCTGCTTCCACCTGCCGTTTAAAAGGATGTGAGTCATCAGCTAGTTCTCACCAAAGTGTCGGTGACCAGCATAGCCCACCATGCCCGGCCCCGTGGAGGCTCATGTTACCAGGGAACTGAGGTCACCTGCCCAGGGAATCTCAGGGAGAAACATGGTTCTCCAAAAGGTATGTGTGAAGATCTCCAGAACGCAGGTGGGACCGCCTAACATACCCGCCTCCCACCCTCTCAGCACCCAGCACTGCCCACCACCAGTGGGTGTGAATAACAGGAAGGGGCAGGGGGCAGCGGGGCTCCTGAGCCCTCACCTTGACTACGCCGATCAGTAGGCTCAGGCTGATGATGAAGAGCATGGTGATGAGCAGGAAGCTGGAGATCAGGTCAGCTGAAAGGCAAGGAGAGCAGGGAGGTGCTCAGGGGTGCCCCTGGGACCCCAGCCAGGCTCCCAGGACCACACTTGGGGAACCACTGGTTTGGGGACATGAGGATGCACAGGAAAGCCCAGGCCCTGCCCTCTTGCAGTCCTGAGTCTGGAGTGAGTACAAAGACAAAAGCAGAACATCACACATAGCACAGGAGGATGCGACAGAGGGTGCTGGGCTGGAGGTGCAGGCTGGGGTCCACTTCAGCCAGGGTGAGGCTGAGGAAGGCATCCCTGGGGAGTGGCCTGAGAGCAATGAGGAATCGGCCTGAGACAGGGACAGGGTTGGTGAGGTCAGTGTGGCTGGAGCAAGGTGTGGGGTGGAGAATCGCAGGGAGATGCTGTCAGAGAGGTGGGCAGAGGCTGGATCCTATGGTGAGGAGTTTCCATTTTATTCTAGTGTGATGAGCAGCCACTGACGGCTTTAAGCAGAAGAGTGAGGCTATCACCTTTACCAGCTGGTGGGGATTTGCAAAGTGCCATTCCATCTGCTCTCACCACCTGCAGATGTGGGTGGGGTCAGGTGGAACATCCCCATTTGCGGATGAAACAGCTGAGGCCCCAAGAAAGGAAGACACTTGCCAGAGGTCATCCATCGTCCATGGAGAGGTGGCAGTGCCTCCAACACTAGCCTGGCTATCCCTGGCCAGGGCCCTCCCTGTCCTCCTCCCCCCGCCACTCCACCGGCGTCCCCTGGACCTACCGATCCTGAGGTAGCCCATCTGGGAGAGCTTGCAGGACGCCTTGCCATGGGCCACCTCTACTGAGTGCTCGATGAACAACAAGACGCTCATGATCTGGAGGCAAAGCAAAGCATCAGTCAGCTGAGCCTGCATCACGGCCCCCCGACCAGCCCCTCCCACCTTAGTGGTGTACAGCAGGGAAGCCAGTAGTGGGGATCCTGGAGCAGATGGCATGCCAGGTCAGTAGGGCATCTCAGACAAAAGAGTGGCCTTTACACACAGAGAGCCCATGTTCAGAATCCTGGGTCTTCCTCTCTCCAGCTATGTGACCCTGGGCAAGCTACTTGACTTCTATGTGCCTCGGTTTTCCCATCTGCAAGATGGGGATAATACTAGTAACTTCCTTAGGAGGCTACTGTGAGGAGTAAATGAGACTATCCCAGGAGAGCCCTTAGGCCCAGTTCTCAGGAAGAGTGGTAACTGTTACTACTGAAGGTCAGGCTTAAAGAGGTGGGGTGGGGGGTAGAAGCTGAAGGCCCCTCCACTGCATCCCCTTCTGTAACAACAAGCTCTGGGGATCAGAGAGCACCATAGAGCTTCAGGTTCCCGGAATCATCAACACAGGCCCAGGAGGGCCCTGGAGAGCATCTAACCCTGAATCTCTGTCTCCCATGGCCCCTCAGGGAACAATAACATCTTCCTCATAGGATTGTGGTGGGGCCAGATGGGATAATTCACTTAAAGTACCTGGCAGATAGTAAGCACTCAATCTGTGCTGTTATCCATTATCCCCATTCGACTGTAGGTTCCAGGCAGGGAAAGCCTGTATGTCTCTTTGTTCATTCCCCTAGCTGTTGTATTTGTTGAATGAATGAATGAATGAATGAATGAACAAATGAACCCCACACTCTCAGATGACCCTTGCTAAGAATGATGTGGAAGGGGCGAATCTGATAGGCCTGAGTGTTGGGGTGGCCCTAGAAACAACTGAAGTTCAGCCACAAAACTGCAGTTTTAAAGAACCTTGGAGGTCACCTTATCCATGCCTCCCATAAACCTGTGCCATGCAGCCTCTACTTAAGTGCTTCCAGCCATGGGGAACTCACAACCTTATGTGTGTCCATGTCCTCACAGCAAGCCCTCCACCCTTCCCCTATGACATACATACAGTTCTCCAGGTAACCTCTGCCCATATAAAGAACAAGAAAACTGTCCCCTCCCCTCTAGTCGGTGCCCTATCTCTATTAATATGGCCCTAAGTTTACATCGGCTTTCTAGGCAGCCCTGCACTGGTAACTCATGCTCAGCTGACAGGCAACCAGCCACCCACCATCTGTTTCCCCCTTGCTGACTGTGTGGGTTTTTTTTTTTTTTTTTTTTTTAGCTCAGACACAGGTCTCAACTTGTCTTCCTGCCACATTACATCCTGTTTAGGGGCGTGGAAAGGGACTGAACGGAAGAGTGATGAAGAGCTGGGCTCCAGAATCAGATCAAGAGGATTTTGAATCCAGGTCACTGTGTGACCTTGGGCAAGTCTCTTAACCTCTCTGAGTTTCCTCATCTGGAAAATTGCAATCACTGGATTTAGTGAAGATTAAATTGCATTATATTTGCAAAGCACTGAGCTCAGGGACTGGCAGGGGGTGCCCAGCAAACAGAATCTGCTTTTGGCTGGGGCAAGCTTACGTGGTTCGGCAGTAGTACCAGGAGCACGGTGCATGCTCTAACTGCCCCCTCTACCTGCTAAAGAGTGAGCTGGAAAGGCTTTGTCTCATCAGGAAAGTTGAGAACACCCCAAAAAGAAGGCAGGTGTGGTGAGGGCTGTGGCTGACACTCACAGGAAACAGCCCTGAGAGAAAAAAACTCCTTCCTCAGCCCCTAAAGGCCAGGCCGCAGCCCCTCTCCTCTCAGTTTCACCTTGAACGAGAGAAAGAGAAAGGGAGGCAGATGACAGCTCCGTCCAGCACAGAACGGGGTGTCCTGTGAAGTGGTGAGCTCCCTGTTCCTGGGAGTATGTAAGCAGATCACAGATGAGTCACAGCTGGGCTTAGAGAAGGACCATGAGCATCTGCCAGCTGTGAAATGAGAAGACTTTCAAAGTCTCAAGATTCCAGGATTATCTGAGATCTGGAACAAAGCCTAGAATCAGATCATCTCAACCTCCCCTTGCTAGAAGGAGCCTGCATGTACTTGTTTTATAAGCTTCCTCTGCTTGTTTTATAAACTCAGAGAGATTAGGTGGCTTGCCCAAGGACACACAGCAAGTTGAGGGAGGAGCCCAAGTCTCCCAGTGCTGTTCTGATGCCTTCCCATTCCCCTGACCCCCAAAATGCCTCAGAGCCCTGCTAGCCTGAACCCCGGAGAGGACTTAGATATTTTGATCATGCATCTATGTCAGTAAAACCTTTTGCACACACGCCTCTATTTTTCTTTCTTTCTAAATTACACGCATGTGTTGCTGTCCTAGTTTATCATGAACATCATAAAACAGCTACTAAAAAATTTCCAGAAATTAAAAAATTATATGATGGAAAAATTTAGAAATTTTAATATTGTCCTCCTGAGGCCATGAGGTCACCTTGGACATTACCCGACTTTAGAGACCTCTACTAATCCTCAACTCCCCCTACAACTCCTCTGTTCTCCTCCAAGCATCCCTTACTGCCCTGTAACCCCTCCAATCACCCCAGGGGAAGAAGGGGACATTTGTACAGCCTAACTCCATGCCACATGATCTTCCCCACTACCCAGAAAAGGGACTATTCTTAATACTTTCCTTCCCATTTCACAGACGAAGAAAGTGCAGCTCAGAGAGGTCCAGGGCCTTGCCCAAGGCCTCCCAGCTGGTCATATGCAGGGCTAGGGTTCAAATCTTGGCCAATTCCCTCCGCTGCCCGGCATCTTCCAGCCACCCGGGCTCTGCCTAAGGCCTAACCCTTCCCCTCAGTGCCTCAGTGGAGGCAGAGAGGCGCCCCCATCCCCTCTCCCTCTGCAGTCCCCCCTCCCTCCCCTCAGCCCCAGCACCAGGCACCAGAGGTATTTCTACTTTTGTGAAAACCACCTGCATTTAAAACCCAGGCTCACCCTCCCCCATTTCACCTTTTCTCAACAACCCTGCGGCAGGGGACGAGGGAGGACTTTGTCCCCATTGCCGGATGGCTCACGAGACTCATAGAGGGCAGGGGACCAGCCCACAGTCACAGAGCGAGGCAACCTCAGAGCCTGACTTAGACTCTGAGGGGCCCCGACCTTCCACGAAGATGCCAGGCCCTGACCCAGGAGAAAGGGAGGAAGCTCGGCTCTCCAGGCACCCATGTGGCTCTCTAGGACATAGGATGGAGAGGAACTCACATTTATTCAGCACCTACTGTGTGCTCAGACCTGCACGCACAGGCTTGCACTGCAATCTCCCAAAACTTTACAAGACAGGCAACATTTTCCCGTTTTACAGATGAGGAAATGGAGGCTGAGAGAGAACTCACATGTCCTGTGTCACGTGGCCCGGCTGGGGTGTGAACCCTGTTGCCTCTCTCCTGGGGTCAGGGCTCCCCACAAGGTTGAACTTGCTCCCCTGAGGCTCCAGGATCTCTCTAGCCATCTGCCCACCCTTCCCTGGCAACCAAGCCCCAGCCCCAGCCACTCAGAGCTCAGGAGACAAGAGCTGGGGAGCAGGAGGCCTCCTCCACTGCCTCACTGCTGTGTGGCCCTGGCCAGGTTCTGGCTTCTCCCTGGCCTCAGCTTTCGATTCTGGTCAATGAGAAGAGACCCTCATTTTCCCCTGGGGCCATTGGGATGACAGAACGCAGGAGGGTCAGTGGGGTGGAGCTCCTACACACTGTAGGACATCTCACCCAGGCTGCCCACAGTCCTCCACCCCCAGCCACCCCAGGGCCAGCACCCTGCCCCTCAGAAGGCCCTCACTGCCCCACCCATGTCCCTAACCAACAGCTGTTGGTAGTTCCTGGAAAGTACCTGGCCGACCTACAGAGTATGCAGACAGTCAACATTTCCAAGCCTCCAAGCCCTTGCCTTCCCCTCATGTCCCCGGTTTCCACCTGGACACAGCGCTGCCTTCTCCCCAAGCTCTGAGAGCCCAGCTGGGCTGTGACCTTGGGACCCGAGCCATCCCATGACAGGTACAAGGCTTCTCTCCCCCAACAATGCGCAGGCAGACAGCATGCCCTCACCCACTTGCTCCCCAATTACAGCATCTTTTCACCCACTGTCCCTTCATTCTATGCTGGTGAGATCATGAAGATAAGAGCTCGGGTGCTGGGGTCAGATGGCCCCAGGCCCCAGCCGAGCTCTGCACCCTTGAGCCAGCCACTAACCTCTCTGGGCCTCGGCTCCTCATCTGAGGAATGGGGATAATCACTGACCTGCCTCACAGGATTGCTGAGGTCAAATGGAATCGTGTGGTGCGCGGAGCCGGGCACACAGCAGGTGCACCATAAACAAGCACAATTGGGTGGTGGTTTTTGCTACCTCTGGGCATTCACTGACTCTCAGTAAACACTCTCTGAGCACCTACCGCCTCCAAACTCTGTCTAGAAAAGCCACTGACCCTGGCGTGCCGGTGTCACAGTCTCCAGGGAACTCGATACATGAATGGTGTGCTCAGAGCCATGACAGAGGACACGCATGGGGCTTGGGGTCCTTGATGAGGGAGAGCGCATTGCTGTCTAAAAAACTTAGGGAGAATTTCACCAACAGGAAACCCATGAGCGTGGCTTTGAGGGGCAAGTAGGAGTTTTCCAACACAGAAGAGAAGAAAGCATTCCAAAAGAGCAGACATCATGTGCAAAAGCCACAGGCCTGGTGGTGCAGGTGTGTTTCAGTCCCTTCAGGGAAACTCAGAAGGCACGGGAGTGTCTCTTCCCTGAGAGGAGGATGTTACCAGCGGGGAAATATGGCCCAGAGAGAGACAGCGACCAGCCCAAGGTCACACACCAAAACTGTCGCAGGGTCAAAATCAGCTCTGTCCTCCTGCCTCCAAGCCAGGCTCAGGCTGCGGTCCCAGCCATGCTCAGCCACCCTTCCCACCCCCACTCTCCTTTCCCGCTTTTCACCTCTTCTTCTGCCCATCTTTGGTTTCAGTTCTTATTCCCGTCTGCACGCAGCCTTTCTTTCTTAATGACAAACACAGCTTCCCCAAGCTGGCCAGTTGGGGAAGTGGCCAGGGGCAGGGGGATTTGTTTCTTTTCCTGGTGGCTCTGAGGAGCAAGCAACAGGTTGAGCTAAAAGAATGGGGGCAGGGGCTGGAGGATGGAAATCAGGGAAGATGGGGACAATGGGGTCAGTATTGAACATGGCTGGGCAATAAGGATGGCGGTACCAGAGGGGATGCGGTGAAAACAGTGCACCAGGTGTCACCTGGGAGGCACTGGCCATGGTGACCATGTGAGGCGGGGAGTGGCTGTTGGGATGTTGTTGGAGTTGGCGTGGTGATGACAGTGATGATCAGAGATGCTGTTGGTGATGTTGGTGACAGTGATGGGGGTGACGGCAATGGGGACATCAGGATAGGATGGTGATAAGGAATATCATGTGGATGGTGGTGATGACACAAGAACCCCCGATTCTGGGGTTCAAAGACCAGTCCCTTCTGCAGGAGAGCAGGCCCACTCTCTCTCACTCCCTGAGGCCCAGGACCCACCGTCTCAGAAGCAGGCAGGCGGAGACCCACCATCTGAGATTTTCAGGGAGGTAAAGGTTATAGAGAAAGGACCCAGCCGTCAGTGAGCACACACCCGTGCCAGCCAGAGTGTGGACACTTTCCTATCCGTTTACTTCATTGGCTCCTCCTACCAAATGTGCGAGCCCAGGACAGAGGCTGCACAAGAAGACAGGCCCGGGCTTGTCTTCAACCCTTCCCAACAGACAATGCAGTTTGCCATATGGGTCCCAAGTGCCAGAGCCCTCCCTTGCCCCTCCCCCTCAGGGCTGCTCCACCCTGACCCTGTGTCCTACAGCCTCACACTTCTGCCATCATCATTATTATTATGGCCCCTCCCTGAAGCTCAGTCCCCTCAACCTCACCTGCCCACCCTGATTTCCCTGGGTTGCCTGGGAGGAGGATGTGAGAAGGGAGTCAGATGTGTCACCATCAAGAGGAAGCTCCCCTTCCCCACCCTGTGCTTCTGGTCAGAGCTTATGAGGGCTCAGTGGGGGCCAGCCCCCCAAGAGCACTATCTCCCCAACCACCTCTCCAGCCAGCCCAGATACCACCAGACGCCCCCATTCCTGGGGCCACGCACTCCGCAGCAGCCCGGCCTGGCTGCCTGCAGCTCCCCAGAGCCTGGCTTCTCTCTCCTCTTCACTCTTCCGCAGTTCTCGTCCTCACCCGCCGCCTCCACCTCATCCCCTCCTCCCTCCACTGGGCTCTGGGGCTCACAGACCTCAGTGAGAACCCCAGTGCAGCCGCTGATCCCCTGTGGGATCCTGGCCTGGCCATGTTACTTCATCTGTAACATTTCCTCATCTGTAGAAGGGAGAGAAGAATCCATCCACCTCCTGGAGTGGGTGTGAGAAGTAAATCATTGAAGACAGTGATTCAGAAAGATCAACTGAGCAGCACAGGTGCCTGTGTGTGGACACCCAGCACGGAGCCTGGTGGCCATGGCTGCCTTATTTGTAACAGCCCCAAGCTGGAATCAATCCAAATGTTATTTTGCAGGAAAACAGGCAAATGCATTGTGGTAGATTCATACAATGGAGTATACACAGCAATGGAAAAAATGAGTTAGCTACCCGCAACCACACAGACGAAGCTCCCAAACATAACGTTGGGAGAAAGAAGTGCTCACAAAAGAACACGCGCTGCAGAATTTCATTTCTACGTAATTCTACAGATGTATGTATTATAGAACTACATAGACAGGCAGAAGTCAGTGGGGGCGGGGCAGTGGCGAGGCGGGGGCTCTAGGGGCCTCTGGGTGCTGGTCTGATTTCTTAGTTTGGGTGGAGGTCACATGGGTGTGTTCACCTTGTAGAAGCCCACCAAGGTGTGCACTTAAGATAGCTGTGCTTTTCTATAGGTAAATTATACATCAAGAAAAGGTTTGCAAAAATCAAATAGAGATTGGCTGGCACCTCCTGTGCCAGGTTCCACGGGATCATGAAGATGAATCAGGCTGGGTCAAGACCCAAACGAGCATCCAGGCCAGAGGGCACGACTCCCAGGGACCCAGCACACAGGGCTCTGGGTCAACACCCAGAGCTCAGGGTCCAACCGTAGGGGTCAGGGCGGGCTTCTCAGAGGAGGTGGATCTTGAAGAAGATTCCCCGAAAGAGCAATGGAAAAAGTGTTCCAGGCAGAGGAAAGGGCATGAGCAGAGGCCAGTGTGCATGAGACGCATTCAGGAAACGGCAAGACGTTCCTCTTAGTAAACTGTGATTTGGCGTCATCCATGTGCTGAATACGCAGCAGGCCTCAGTAAATGGCAGCAGTTGGCTGGGGGAACACACGGATCCACCGGTTTGGCAGGGGTGGGGCCTCTGGGGTTAGAGAGAAAGGGGAAAGAGCATGCAGGAGATGTGACGGCTCATGCAAAACCTAGAGAACCTAGACTCGGACGGCTCAGATGGCGCTGGAGGAGGTTGTCACCTGCAGCACAGGAAGTGCTGTGACTGGGCGCTAGCAGCTAACTTTGCCCCAAAGGCAAACAGTACCAGTGAATCCCAGCAGCAGAGATATTCTGGCTGGTGGTAGCTTATCAAATCTCCCTTTAGGAGCAGCCAGTGGGGGGCTCAGAGTTGGCCTCCAGGTATGACACAAGGCCCTGTCATTCTCCACTTCCTAGATATCTGGGGAAGCACCCTCCACTCCCCAAACGATTCCCTAAAACCATCACTTCTCCCTTTATCTTCAGAGCAAAGACCCACAATAGTGATAATAAGTATTGATACTATTATTGTTGTGCATTTATTAGACGCCAGGTCCTCTTCTGAACTTATACAGTCGGCCCTCTGTATCACGGGCTCTGCATCTGAGTATTTTCAATCTGCAATCCACGATGTGGAACCTGCGGATAGGGAGGGCCGACTGACCATACACTCTCTCGTGTCAACCTCGCGCCAGTCTTGAGAGACAGGTTCTAACATGAGTCCCATATTTTTCTGATTTTGCAGGTAAAATTGAAATCAGCTCTTTACACATGGGCTCTGTGCTTCTCAGAACAAGGCTCTGGGGATGGCAGAGCTGACCCCCTCCCCCATCCCATGGCTGCCAGGAAGGCTGCCTTCCCTGCCTCCACCTGGAGCAGACACCTGGGCTCGGGTTCTTTATCTAACACAGGCTGCAGAGTCACTTGCCCTCCTGAGCCTGTTTCCTCATCTGTAAAATGGAGGCCCCCGTGGCAGCTGCCATTTTTCCGGTGCCACAAATGGTAGTTACTGAATCCCACTTGACCAGGGAGGAAATTGAGGCTGGGGGACGGGTGCCTTGTCCCAAGCAGCCCCTGTGCAGGGCTGAGGCAGTGCAGCTCATGGCTTTGCTTCCTGCCTCATTAGGGGGTGCTTTGTGCCACTTCCCTTGGCAGGGTGGGGTCCCCTGGGAAACCAACGCTCGCCTCACAGTGAGCTCAGAGCGAAGTCCTGGTTCCAGGCTGATGCTCTAGGCTCAAAATAAAAGCCTCACTTCCTGGAGGCCTCGGGGCCAGGTTGGCAACAGAGAAGTCTCGGCCAGGCCAGGCTAGGCCCTTCAGCCACTCTCTGGGTGGGATGGGCCATGGGGGCCTCCTGCTTTTAGAAGCTGGGGTTCACACCCCTGAGGTGAGGAGAACAACTCAGTTCTGACACTGAGGAGGGGCTACAACTCCCACCCTGCCCCCACCGGCCTCCTCACCCCTCCGTGAAGCGCACAGAGCTGCAGTGGCAGAGAACGTGGCCTCTCTGTCCAGCCCAGGGGCACTGGACATAAAGGTGGCAAGTTCTAACAGATTCTCACCCAGGGTTTTCCCCACCTGGCAGTTTGGACCCATTTTTCAACCCCAAACAGATGAACTTTCAACAGAGGAGTGGGGCCAGGCACTATGGCCCACGCCTATAATCCCAGCACTTTGGGAGGCTGAGGCTGGTGGATCACTTGAGGTCAGGAGTTCAAGACCAGCCTGGCCAACATGGTGAAACCCCATCTCTCCTAACGATACAAAACTTAGCCGGGCATGATGGCACACACCTGTGATTCCAGCTACTTGGGAGGCTGAGGCACAAGAATCACTTGAACCCGGGAGGCAGAGGTTGCAGTGAGCCAGGATCACGCCACTGCACTCCAGCCTGGGTGATAGAGCAAGACTCAGTCTCAAAAAAAAGGGGCGGGGGGCCTTGTGTTCTTCTTCCACAGCCCACTTCAGGCACTCACCTGCTAGCCCTCCACCCGGCTTCGCTAGGGTCTCCTCCAAATGATCACTTTTGAGGCAGGGACCACTGGCCCCATTTACAGATGAGGAAGGCAAGGCTCAGATAACAAAGGTGCCCGCCTGCTCAAGTCACACTGCTGGTAAGTAATGGAGATGGGCCTGTGTTCCTTTCAATCACAAATCACTGCCCCCAAAGTGGAGCAGAGAAAAGAGCCCCAGGAGTTCTAAGGAGGACAAATCAGGAGAGCTTCCTGGAGGAGGAAGCTTCCCGTAAACTGGACCATAAAGAAGAAATGAATGGTGGGAGGCTGGATGAGGGCAGGGCCTCCCAGACAGACACACCACCCCAGCCATGGGGCAGGGAAGGAACTCATTTGCCCACTTTCTGGATCATTCCACACACCTGTGTGCCAGCAGGGGGACCTGAAGCAAGCTCCTGCCCCATCTCTCCATGTGTCCTGGAGCAAGTAAGGGGCCCTGCTGGACCTGTTTTCCCATCTGCAAAATGAGCTGATAGGCCGAAGAGAGATCCATCTTCTTAGCTCTGAAGCTTGTAAAAGCAAAGGACTCGGGCAGGTCCCACCCCTGGGGACCTCTCCACCCTCCTCCCCGACACACCTCGTGGCCACCCCTCCTAACCCAGCTTGACAAACCTGCTAGGTCTCTGAAGCACTGCAGGGTCCTTCCCCTCCAAGCCTGTGTCATGCTACTCCCCCCGCCCAGCGTGACCTCTTTTCCAAGGTGCCCAAGCAAAGCCCTACTCATCCTTAAGACTCAGACCTCCTCCAAGAAGCTATTCCAGAATCCCAACCTCCAGCCCTACATCTGTGCCCCCATCATAGCCAGCAATGTCATCCATTGTCCTCGTCGGTTTTTCCTTGGCAGACTGGCCCCTCAAGGGCAGAGGCCGTGAATGAGTCAGGGCTGTATCCCGGCCTGGGGCTGGGCACATGGGTGAACTTACCTGCACGAGGTCAGGGCAATAGAGACTCCTTCTTCAAATACTATGATTTGAATGCTTTACCTTTTTTTTTTTTAAAGAGTCTCACTCTGTCAGGCTAGAGCGCAGTGGCGCGATCTCGGCTCACTGCAACCTCCACCTCCCAGGTTCAAGCAATTCTCCTGCCTCAGCCTCCCGCGTAGCTTGGACTACAGGCTCCCGCCATCATGCCCAGCTAATTTTTTGTATTTTTAGTAAAGACAGGGTTTTGTCCTGACCTCAAGTGATCCACCCGCCTCAACCTCCCAAAATGCTGGGATTACAGGCATGAGCCACCGCACCTGGCCGTACTTTTTTTTTTTTCCAATTTAAAAGTAGTATACTTGAGCCACAAAGTAAAGTACCATTGGATTATAACCCAAAGCATACAGTAAAGATCCCTGGGTCCCTGTAATATAAATAAATCATTTATTTATATAATAAACTGGGAGTACAGACAAATCTCCTTGAGAAATTCCAAGTAATTTATGTAGCTACTCTGCCCTCAAGGAGGTGGGGCGGAACTCCCCATTCATCAAACTTGAGTTGCTTGGAGCAGCATAGTGACTTCCTTCTAAAACATACAGCATGGAAAGGAGAAAAAAAGAGTAACTTTACAAAGGAGTAACCTCAGCCGGGGGCTCAAAGTCACCAGCAACAGTGGTAAGTCAAGTTGGCAGAACCTTTTCTTAGTACGATGTTCTGAGACTGGCACATCATCTCTGTGGTCTTCCTCCCAAAAGCACATTCCCAGACTAATCATGAGAAAACCACCAGAGACCCCAGTTGAAGAACATTTGACAAAATGCCTGACAAATACTCCTCGAACTGTCAAGATTATCAAAAACAAGAAAAATCTGAGAAACCATCATACCAAGAGGAACCTAAGGAAGTGTGAAGACTAAATGTAACGCGGCATCCTGGATGCAATCTTGGAACAGAAAAAGGATGTAAGAGGAAAGCTGGGGAAATAGGGGTGAAGCACTGACTTTAATAACAGCCCACGAATATTCATTCACCCATTGCAACAAACGCACCACACTAACGTTGAGACGTTAGCAATAGAGGAACTAGGCATGGGGGACGCAAGAACTATCTGTACTGTGTTTGCAATATTTTCGTAAATCTAAAACCGTTCTAAGTACGTGCTCATTGTACCAAATATGGAAAATACAGAAAAGTAGAAAAAATAGAGCTTTCACTATCCTAGAACCCAAATACATTTCCTCCTCGCCCAGTTTTGACGTATCCTGTTTTGACACTGTTGAAATCATAGCAGGTGTTAAGTTTTTTAACCCAGACAATGCATTTCTGACAGTGGAATTCCGGGCACTCTGGGGAAGAGGGGTCAGGAAGAAAGAGATTTCTGGGCAAAAGTGTCTTCTGGGGGTGTCCACTTTCTACCATCGACTTAGAACGTGCTTCAGGTTGACAAAAAGCCAGGACCCAAGAGACCCAATTTAAGAAATTTCTCTAGACTGGGCTCGGTGGCTCATGCCTGTAATCCCAGCGCGTTGGGAGGCCAAGGCAGGAGAATCACTTGAGGCCAAGGGTTTGAGACCAGCCTGGGCAACATAGTGGGACCCTGTCTCTACAAAAAAAAATATTTAAAATTAGCTGGCCATGGTGGCATGCGCCTGTGATCCTAGCTACTCAGGAAGCTGAGGTGGGAGGATCTCTTGAACCCAGGAGTTCAAGGCTGCAGTGAGCTGTGATGGCACCACTGCATTCCAGCCTGGGTGACAGAGCAAGACCCCATCTCTTAAAAACAAAAACAAAACAAAACAAATCAAACCACAAAAGATGGGCAAGTTACTGAACTTTGAAAAAAAGAATAGATTTTTTAAAAAAAGAAAGAAAGTTTGCTGGGTTCCCAAAGTGTGCAAGTTTGGGTGACCCAGAGAATCCTCTACACAAACCCACTGACATCCTGAGGAAGATGCCCGAGCCCAAAGCTACGGACCAGGCTTCCCTCATGTAATAACGCCCTCATGACTCAATAGAGCGTGGCACTGTCTCAGGATGGCAAGGTCTCAATTTAACCCTCCCTAGAGGGGCCAAGTCCACAAATAGCTCATGATGTGCAGAGTCGTCACCCATGGCTGGGTCCAGATGACAGCCAGCATGGGCTATTGACACATCTGGACCACAGCTTCTCTTTTTCCATCCAGATGCTCAAGGTCCTATCAGCACACCTGTTGCCAGCTAGCCTATGGGAAAGCCCCCAGGCCCTGCCCTTTCTGGGAAGGAGAGAGGACTCTTTCGGGGTGCAGGAAGATAACCCCCCACTGGAGTCAACTGAGGACCACAGCCTGGAGACAACCTGGGCCGAGCGCACAGCTTCCAGGACACCCCTCTGCTCTTTTGCTTGCTCCTGCTCTAGAACGTCTCATCACTCATAGGCATTGGTTCTCAACTGGGAGAGATTGGGCCCCATAACTAGAGACATTTTTGGTTATCACAAGTGGCAGGGTAGGGAGATGGGCAGTGCTGCTAGTATCTAGTAGGTAGAGACCATGGATGCTGCTGAACTTCCTCTAACGCACAATTCACTCCCCCAAGATGAAGAATTATCCAGCCCAAAATATCAATGGTGCACTGCAGAGAAGATCCAACTTCTTAGCTTGTCACTCAAAACCTTTATCACCTCCTCCCCAAACTCCAGGTTTGTCTCTATTGTGTCCCTGTAGAAGCCGAACACATACGCCATTGCTCACCTGTTTCTCCTCACCTTCCATACTGCCCACAACCAAACTCTCCCTCCTGCCAATGGCACCACCTCCAAGAAGTCTTCCATGATTGCTAGGGCCCACACATTCTTCAGCTCTGTGAGCAGGGACCGTATATCACACCACCATTTACAGGTGAGGACATCGGATGGCACGATCAACAAGAAACCTTAACAGCCCCACAGTCCCGGGTTTGCAGGGCAGCCTCTGGGCCCACACAACCTGCAAATGGATTTGACTTGGCCTGCACTGAGATTTTTTTCTACCATGCATCAATCACTAGCATTGAAACATCAGAAGATGTGACACAAAAGCCTGCTCCCTATTCTCTAAACATCAGAAGAGCGGCCACCAGGGCCCACAATCCTTCGTGGCAACAACAAGCAAAAACAGAGAACAGCTGCAGGGTGGGCCAAGCAAGGGCTCCCGGGGTCACCGCAGGCCCCATCTGCCCCCTGCTGTCACTCACATGGCCTGCCCAGACCCTAGAGGCATCAGAGTTGGAGACCTCTGAGCCAGTCAACATCACCTTACCCCTGACTTTATAAAAGGGAAACTGAGGCCCAGAGAGAGGCTTGTCTGAGCCCATACAGCCAGTTAGTGGCAGGGCTGGGGTGAGGACCCAGGGACTTGCTACCTGTGAGGCGCCCCTGCATGCCACACTGTCCTTCTAAGAATGTGCATAGTCTCAGAGCTTGAAGGCCTAAAATACAGGGTACAGGGACACTCAAAGAGTGATTTGCTTCTCTCAGCTCTTGCATTGGCAGGAGCTCGGAAGGACAACCTCTGAGTTCCTCCTCCCAAAACTAGAGTCCTTGAATCTGACAACTTGACTCCAAGGATGCTGACAGCAGGTGCCATGTCTGATGCACAACGAATAATAAAGCACTCACCTGTGCGTCAGGCGTGGTTCTGCATGCTTTGTATGTATCAACTCCCTGAGCCTCACAACAAACCCTATCAGATGGGTATGATAATTCACATCCCCATTTTTTTAAATGAGAAAACTGAGGCTCAGAGAGGTTAAGTAAATTGCCCAAGGCTGCAGAGCTGGGAAGCAGGGAAGCCAGGATTTGCATGCAGGAGTCTGCATCCAGAGGCCGTGGGCTAACCACTGAACAGCATCGCCCCCCTGAAGGCTGGGCTCTTGCCACAGCTCTGCCTGCCCTGCCTGTGACAGGAAGCAGACGCAGGCAGGTCTGAGTTTGCAGCAACCCACCGCAGCATGTGGATCTAGGCTAATTTTGAGGAAGCCCTTCCAGACTCATGAGAAAACTGTTAACCACAGGCCCTGAGTCACCCCAGGAGGAAGTCGCTTGGGTCTAGGGGAGATGAGTGTGGCCAGGAGTTTGGGAGTAGGGTGGGTCTAGGCAGGACAGTACAAGGACACTGACCCTCAGCCACCCCAGGCAGAGGGGCAGCCTTGGCCCCCGGGCACTGTGACTTGCCCAAGACCACACTGTGAGTCACCAGGAAAGGAGGAACCAGTGACAGCCGTGACTTCACAAGTTGCCCAACAAGAGCTTGGGCCGGACAAGTTACCCTAATGATTAGCACAGGTCTCAAGTTCTCTTTGGTGGGCAGAAGGCCGTGGTTTGACTGAGCTGGAAGCTGAGAGGACACGGCCCCTGCCTCCCCACTGGAGGCACAAAGGGGAGATCCCCACTTCTCATCCCCTCGAGTGGCCCAGGCTCCCTCCAGGCCCCAGGGGAAGAATCGGGGCTGTGTCTGCGGCCGACCTCACATCCCGGTCAAACAATCCCAGCCCACGTTCCTCCCAAGATCCCTGCCTTCCAAAGCACTTTCACATCTGCTGTTGGCTTTGCACACAAATAACCTTCCGGCTGCTGCTGTGCCCCATCTCACAGAGGCAGAAACGGAGCCAGCCTCGGAGTGAACGTCAGTTACATTTGCCTGGAAAGTGGATTCCAGCTCCCTTACTCCTCACTCTTGCGGCATCTCCCCAGGGTACCCCCAGCCATTTGACAGAGAAGGAAACTGAGGCCCAGAGCAGGACAGGGATTTGCCCAGGGTCCCCCAGAGAGGTGGAGAGCAGGAGTTCTTTCATTTGTGGGGCTCCGTAGATGACGGGTCACCGCAGACATTCACACTCACACAAGCACGCACGCACACACACCCGGGGCCCGCACACTCACCACATGGTAGATGGCCAGGGCGGTGGTTGCGATGCGGACATTGAAGCAGCAGCAGGTCTGGCGGACAGTGGACAAGCGGGGGTCCATGGTGCTGCCGTCCCCTCCTCTGAGACACTGAAGGGGAAAGAGCCTGGTGCCTGGAGCAGGGCAGAGAAGGGGAAGCTGCTGGCTGCCCTCCTCACTTCCTTCCTGCCCCTTAGACAGGCAGGGACAAGGTCGTCACAGCTGGGGCGGGGCAGCTGGGGAGGGGGAGTGGGGACAGGGCAGCAGCCTGCCTCAGAGCACCCCACTGCCCTCTGCCATTCCCAGGAGGGGGTTCCAGAGAGGACAGACCCTAACACGGTCATCATGCCCTTCTCTGCACCAGGGCCAGGGTTCCACCGTTTCACACAGCTTGCTTACTAGAAGAACACTACCAACTTTGGAAGCCAGGACTGTTACCAAGCCCATTTCCAGATGAGGAAACAGCTGTCCAGAGAGGTCAAGGCACTTGCCCCAAATCACACAGTAGTTAGCACTGGTGGCAGAATTCAAACCCAGATCTGTCTGGCTGCAAAAATAGCTATTGTCTAGGAGGCATTTCCTGCCTCTTCCAGGCATGCTCCTGGATTCACTCCTTTCATCCTCACCTCAATCCTTTGAGAGAGGTACTATTATGATCCCCATTTTACAGATGAAGAAACTGAGGCACAGAGAGGGGGAATGATTCGTGCAAGGTCACACAGCTAGTCAATGAAGGTGCAAGGATTTTAACTGAGGCTGACTGGTGCTAGAAGCCTCCCTGGAGCTGGTGTTCTCTCCCACTTCCTCACCCTGAGCCGCAGGGAGAAGCTTGTTCTTCCTAAGCTACGAAGAGGCGTGCAGGGCTCCAGACAAGGACGGAAGAATAACCAGGAAGCAAACCCATCAACTGTGCGCCAGGCCCTGGGCTAGGCTTCTCTTCTAGGTGGGTCAATAACTCTTCACAGCAATCTGTGAGACCCGAACCTCACTTTCAGGGCCTCAAGACCCAATCCCCATACTCACACAAAATCAGGGATTGCTTTTCCCCCTTGATCTTGCAAAAAGTTGGAATTAATAAGCCACAACTCTTAGGCAAGCTACCCTGGAATCTCTACTCCCTCCTCAGATGATAAATTATCCATATTGCAATAAAGAAAGGGAATAGGAAGTACATGCAACATTTCTGGAAGAAGCCCTGCTTCATTCCACAGCTGAGCCCCTTTGCAATGCCAAGCTTCTAGTGCAGAGCAGACAGGAACTGCCATGAAGCCCTGCCCTCCCAGGAGATCATGGAGTTAGGATTGGACACTGCTGCAGCCCATCATTTCTGCCCCAGGAGAGGTTATAGAAAGTCCCTAAGCTCCTCCCACTTGGCAGGAGTTGCTCTGTTAGACCCACAAAACTTGATTGGTGGACTTGATCAATCCATTCTCCATGTGCCAATGAGACCAAGGGGACTCTGCAAGCTTTGGGCTCCTGGGAGGCCTGGCCTATCCCTTCCCAACTTCATTTTCAAGGCTGTTCCTGTTCCTTCATAAGCCTTGCTGAGGCCTGACATCATAGAAAGGTGACACAGTGCAGTGGTTAAGAACTTTGGCTCCACAGGCCCATGGCCTGGGATCTTCTGGCTGGGTAGGCAGAAAACCAAGAGAAGTCCTCCTTTGTCTAAGAGTAGCAAGACCAGAGGAACTGGAGATCAGGAAACCAGGGGCCAGGAGGGCCCTGAGGCCATGCTGGGGAGTCTGCATTTGATTGTGCACAGAAGCCATTTGACGATTTCCTACCATAATAAATGATAGCCATTCATAACATTGTGATTTGGTGAAACCAGGACAGGTGCAAAGCCAACTCCCAAAGAGAGGGATGAAACACACTGACAGCATGTGGAATAATTGTACATGGTCTATGGGTAAACATTTCTCATTTTTTATGGTGATAAATTCATTTTAATGTGCATTATAAAAATATACATAACTAGTCCATGAATCCTGTGATTTTCCATTTATAGGAGTAATATAAAGTCTCATTTTAAAAGAAATGCATTTAAATAAAAAAGGCAGTAAGTCAATTTAAAGAACATATTAAGGAAGCCACAGCCTAGGAGGACGCAGATGTGGCAGACAGCCCTGGAGGTGGAGTAGGTGGCATCCGTTTGGGAATCCTGGGGCATGGGGAATCCCAGCTCCCCACTTAGTAGCTGTGTGGTGTCAGACAAGGCACTTGATCTCTCTGAGCTGTTGTTTTCACCTCTGCAAAACGGCGGGGCGGTTGGGGGGAACAGAAATTTGCCTGGCAGGGCTGCGGTGAAGGTGAAATGAGGTCACGTGAATGCATCTGTTTGTTTTCTCCCTTCCAGCCCGTCCCTGCTCCCCGATCTCACCCGTACTCAGGCTGCTAGGAGGAGGCAGAGCTGGGATTGAACCCCTGATCTGTCTGATTCTGAGTCCCCTCGGGCACTACCTCCCTCGCAGAAGCAGGAGTTCTGATGCAGTCATTTGTCTCTCACCGGGTCACCAGGCTCCAGCACACACTGGCCCCTTGGCAGGCACCTCAGTCACTCCCTGTGGAGTACAAGCCTGAATCACTTTATTGTCATTCCCAACAAACCCCCTGTGGAGAGGACGGCTATTATCCCAAAGGTCAGACCCTTTGGCCAAAGCCACTGTGATAGGCAGAATAGTGCCTCTCACCCCCCAAAAAAAATCCACCCTAATCTCTGGAACCTGTGCGTACATGGCCTTACATGGCAAAGAAACTTCACAGGCGCCATGAAATTCAGGATCTTGAGGTGGGTGGGGAGATTATCCTGCATTATCTGGATGGCCCTGAGGTCATCAAATGGGTCCCCATAAGTGAAGGAAGATCAGAGTCAGAGAGGGAGTGGAAGATGCCACACTCCTGGCTCTGCAGTTGGAGGAAGAACCATGAGCCAAGGAGTGCAGGCGGCATCCAGAAACTGGAAAAGGCAAGGAAATGGCTTCTCCTCTAGAGGCTCGAAAGGGAATCACTTTCATTTTAGCTCAGCGAGGCGCATTCCTGACTTCTGGCCTCCAGAACTGTAAGACAATAAATGTCTGTTGTAGTCACTGTGTTTCTGGTCTTTTATTATAGCGGCCGCAGGGAACAAATACAGCTGCTCAGTGGAAGCAACAGCTGAGCCTGGGGCCCCGTCGCTGGAGCCCAACACACTCCACCGAGACCACAGTCCCCATCTGCACAAGTGCAGCCCTTACTTCCTTGCTGTGTGACCCCAGCCAAGTCGTGAACTTCCCTGAGCCTCCGCTTCCTCCTGCGCCAAGCGGGGATAATGATAATGCCCATCTCGTTGTCTGTACATGCAGGTGGCAACACCACATAAGCTCACTATTTATATTCTGCTGTTTTCCGTTACGAATGATAAGTTTTGAGCTTCTTCAAGTTGCTTTTCATACCTTCTTTGTGGAGTGGTAGAACCCTTGAAAACTTCAGACCCTCTGAATTCATCAAGATAAGGACAAGGAAATGTTCCATGCCACCGCAGCCACGGCAGAGCAGATACAAATCTGCTTGTCAAACTGCCCTTGTCAATGTTATTTCTGACAAAGGAATCTTCTAAGACCCCCTGACTTCAGACATGGTTCCCAGATCCTAGAGAGTCATCTTTAATCCTGAAAAGGTCTGTAATTCTGGCTGGTTATCTGGCTTAATAATTTGCTGCCATGGTATATGAATATTTAAACAGACAGCTCTGTTTCCTCAAAGGCAGAATTAGTTGTAAGCTTTCTTTGTTAAGTCAGAAGAACATCACTGGAACTTCCCTCTTCACCCATAGGCCTGGAGGTAAAAATAAAACCCACGACTCTGCCAGCTTTTGTATTTAAACAAAGAGTTTGGGAGTCTTGTGTCCTTTCCATTAACCTAGATGAAGCACTTAGAAGGGGCTGGGTCACGGTAAGGACTGCACAGTGGGAAGCATTTTGATCACGATTGTCACTATGATTCTTCCTGTCCTTTAAACCCTTTCTCAGCTGAGCCTCCCCCAGCCCTAGCCAGCAGAGGAAGGCAGCAGAGAGGCACTGATCAGCTCCCGTAGACCCAAGGGGCCAGTGATCTGCTGCAAGACACACAGCTGGTCAGGAGCAGAGCCAGGACACAGGTCCTCCTTGGGGACAGCTTCGTGGGCGGCATGTGAGTGGTGGCAGCCAAGGTAGCTCCAGGGCTGTCTTCTCCCGAGGGGCTCCTGGGTGCCCCCTGCAGCTCACCCAGGCTGAAGGTCAGCTTCCTGCCAGACCACTGGCCTGTGATTCCCTTCTGGCTGCAAGCCCCACCTCACTTCTGCCTTTGAGGTTTGGGGCTGGAATGTGTAGGGCCAAAGCCAAAGGCCTGAAAAATGTGAGAAACGGCAGAGCATTCTCTCCTGTCTCCTGCCCCGAACCCAGCACGGTCACCAGGGGTCAGGGCCTACACGTGCAACCCACAGGGTCCCTCCCCTACTCCCCTGCCTGTGGAAGGGGCCCAGGCCTTGAAGTCAGCCTGGAGGGTCAGCCTGGCAAGGACAGCCCACAGGCCTGTGGCCTGGGGACAACCAGACCTTCCAATGACCAGCTGCTGAGTCCAGTGGGCAGGCAGGGGACCCCAACGGTCTGCCAGACACTCCAAGGAGGCCTCCCCTCAGCCAGGCAGTCCAGGGGTCCCTGGCTGCACCCAGGGGCACAATGACACCATATCCTAGTCTGCTGCTGCCACAGGCACTGCAGGCTGAAGGCTCCAGGGAGATGGGACCAGCAGGCAGAAGGAGCACTGGCTGCAAAGTCTGCATAGCCGAGCCAGCAGCCTCCTGCTGAATAACAGCTCTGGGCACACCCCAGGACGGAGCATTTTAGATCATGGGTGCAGCCGTACTATCCATGGGGAGCTGGAAAACCCGGCTCCCTCCTGGCCCTGGTCTCCAACCAGCCTCTGCCTCACTCTGAGCTGTAGAGTGGGGATTGTCATAGCGCATCCAGTGTGCTGCTGCAAGGACTAGGTAATTCCCTCCTAAGCACCAGCCTCTGCCAGAGCCCCCTCCTCCCTGCTGCTGACCTCATCCTCAGGAAAAACCTCAGAGATCCAGGCACCTTAAGAAGTTGGTGGCAAAATAGCACAACTGCCATCAACACCACAGTAGGAGTTACCTCATTAGGTCATTCCCCCAGCTAGGGGATTTTTATTTTAAAAAATGAAACAACAACCACTAGCAAACAACAAAAGTGATAGGCCCCACTGAGGACCAAATCTGGGGCCAGGCTTTAGATACCTAAAAAAGAAGAAGAAGAAGAAGAAGCAAGGTAGAGAACTACTACACATGGTGTGCGATTTAGTCACTTCTAGGAAAGCTGCAACTTTCTTGATTTGAAAGGGACAGACTTCATAAGCACATGTCTTCTACCCATTGTCCTAACTCCCTTCGACCTTCTGTAAATGCAGGTGCAATGCCTGGAGGCACAGAAGCCATTTGGGGACCATGAGAACAAAAACGATACCCTAATGCAGAGCGGAAAGAGAGGAAGAGCCGGGATCCCTGATGCCATCATGAAGCCTCTGCACCAGCCCTGAACCTCCTTTCTCTGTACATCTTGTAATGTGAGGGAAAAAAACCTCCCCAGGCCTTCTGACTTCATCCCTTCAACAAGAGCCTTGTTTTGTGTGCTCAGGACATAGCAGTGAACAAGGCAGACAAGGTCCCTGGTCTCATGGAGCAAACATTCTAGTAGAGGAGGCGGTGAACAAGGACACACATGAACAAGAGCATCTCAGCAAGTGACAGCTCTCCATCACTTCCTCCTGCTGCCTTCCTAGCCTGGTTTCTGGTCTTGACTGGAGCACAGAATTGCTGTGGGGCTTTGGAATGGCCACTTCCCCACTCCAACTTCTGTTTTCCTGTCTATAACATCAAAGAGGTGTCCAAATCCATGCTCTCTGAGGCCTGGCCCCTCTCAGCCAGGCCCCGGCACCAGGCAGGTTACTCCAAGCAGCTGCACCCAGAGGCTGGACCCCCTCCAAAGCGACTGGGCTGTTGCTGCCCTCAAATTCCTCGGCACTGGGTAAACAGCTAGGCAGCTCCCGTCAGCCAGCCAGGCCTCCTGACCACCCCTCTCAGGGACATCCATAAATTTTCAGCCAGCTGCAGGCTGAAGAGCCCAACTGTGACTCAGGCTCTTCCTGCCAGTGCCCGGCACAGAGCAGCCCGAAGGGCCAGGCCATGAGGGGGCCACCCCTGCTGTTCTAGGGCCACCATCCCTACTCTGGGGACCCCAGCTGTGGCTAGTCCCTGCCCAGATCAGCCACTGAGTCTTAGTACCCCTGTATGGCGTGCACACACACACACACACACACACACACACGCACACACCGCACCCATCGTGCACTCCATACATCTCAAACTGACCCCTCTGGGTGTTGGCCCCTCCAGCCTCCCCACTGCCCAGCCAGAGACCACAGCACAGCCTCCTCTCTCTCCTCACCCTCACTTCCACCTCCTCCCAATCGCCAAGCCCTGTGGATTCTGCTTCCCTCCCACCTCCCAAATCTGTCTGCCTTCCTCCACCCCTACTGCCCAGATCCAACCCCCTACGCCACCCCACACCTGAGACTTTGCTGTGGCAAAAGGCAGGGAGCAGAAAGAGAGGCCTGACCTGAACCAACCAGGCTCCAGGGGCTGCTGCCTGGGCCAGCCACACTGCTTCACCCAGCAGGGAAGGGTTTCTTTGGCCAAGGGGCTTGGAGGGCTGGGATCTATCAGGCCTGGGGCTCCGGGCCACTGTCCAACAAGTGGCTAAAGAGCAGGAGGTCTAGACCACCAACAAATTCAGAATATATATACATATATAATTTTTTTTCTTTTTTCTGAGTCAGGGTCCTGCTGTGTCACCCAGGCTGAAGTGCAATGCTGCACACAGCTCACTGTAGCCTCGGGCTCCCAGGCTTAAGCAATCCTCCCACCTCAGCCTCCCAAGTAGCTGGAACCACAGGCATGCACCACCATGCCCGGCCAACTTTTTTATCTTTTGTAGAAATGGGGGCTCACTTTGTTGACCAGGCTGGTCTCGAACTCCTGGGATAAAAGGTTCTCCCACCTCAGCCTCCCGAGGTTCTGGGATTACAGGTGTGAGCCACCGCACCTGGCTATATATGTACCTGAACAATTAAAACCTTTTGACAAACGAGGAGATCAACTAGGGCATGCATCTGACTGAAAGGTCACACTCCCCACAGAACAGCTCTGCCTCGGCTCCTGGAGCCCACTACCTGTGCTTGCTTGTGAGGATGCCCCCATTAGGACGCGTGTGTGGAGACCGTGTGGCCCCGCACACACCGGCCTTGTCATCAAGGGAACTTGGGTCTGTTCTGGCATCCTCCAGGGGAACAGTGTGAATATACTAATCTGGCAGGCGACTGCATCATTCATTTCTCCAAGCAGCGTCAGGTATGTCTTGAATGCCTGCTATGTGCCAGGCACTGTATTAGGCCCTAGAGCAGTGACCAAGACAGCCCTGGCTGCAGGGGCTGCCATCTGCTCAGGGTGCCCGCCAGATCCCAGCCCCACTCACAGAAGCCCTCCCACCACACTTCCTCCCGAGTCCAGGCTGCCTTGGGGTAGCCCCAAGGACTCCAGGTGGGGAAAGCAGAGGTCAGTAATAGTCACAACGTGAGTGACAGCATCACGAGACAAGCCGGTTAACAATGCCATCTCTTAGTCAAAGGCACAATCAAGATGACACCAGTGGGCTAAAAATAGCAAGCCCCTCTTTAGAGAGGTATCGGGTGTAGGGGAAGTCCGCAGACCCTGAGGGGACAAACCTGGCCCACATCCCGGCTTTGCCTCCGGCACGCTATGTGACCAAGAGCCAATCTCACCACCTCTCGGCAGCTCCAGTTTTCTCAACTGTAAAATGGAGGTAACAATATGTCGGCCCCTCTTGCAGAATTACTTCAAAGATTAAGCTAACAATGAGGAAGCTGGACTGAACAGGTGGTCCTCAACCTGTCACCTTTCACTTTGCCAACTATACTTCCTAAAGGCTCGTTCAGAACCAGCCCTGCCTGGCTCAAGAACTTTCAATGGCTCCCTATTGCCTGAAGAGTCATAGCCAGACAACTGAGCCTTGGAATGTTCCCACTAATCAGATGCTGCCTGTCTGTCTGAAGCTTTCCAGAGCAGCCAAGGCCTTCTTTGAAGCAGAGCCCACATGCAGCACCTCTCCCGGGTCCCACAGAGCACGGCAGCCAAGAGGGCCAAGGCCCCTGCTAGTGCACTCTCCACCACCCAAGGATGCCTTGGCCAAGAAAGCTTAGGGGTACAAGGCCTGAAGGTGTACAAGGCCTCACCAGCCTCAGCCCCACCCCACTCCCCTAAATACTGGAGGGAAATGTGGGGGTGTTTGTGGTTGGAGAAGCACGCCATTTCCCATGGTGCTATCTGATGCTGACATTTTCCACTCCACCCTCAGCTGCTTTGCTAAGCAATGTGGCTCTGTCTCCTGCCTGAGGAGGGGAGCGGAGAGGGAGCCTGCCCCAGAGGGAGTTCCCAGGAGTGGCCGAGGGTCATGGTAATGTCTGGGAACGCCGAAGGGGCAGCATCGCAGAGCACAAGTGTCACCCTGTGAATGAGGCGCTGTGTTGCCCCCGTTTTACAGACTAAGAAACTGAGGATTGCGGACTGAAGCGGTTTACTGGAAGTACATTTAGACTCTGGGCTCAGGCATGAAATCCTGTATACTTACCACCACCCCACACGACCTCCTGATGCTGCTTAGGACTGAAAAGAATTCGGAGATATGTACAAGGTATAGATCTTCTCCGTCTCCCCTCCCTCTCCATCAACCCCTCAGTGATGTGTGAGATGCTCGCATTAGCCCTTCTGCTTAGGGGTCATATAATACCCCCGCTGTCCACTTTTGAAAATTTATGTTTTAATAGATATCAAATGCACATGGTACAAAGTTGAATATATACAAAAGGATATACAGTGAAAAATAAGTACTCATCTAGCCCCTCCCAGCTACCCTGTTATTCTTACCTGGGACAAACACGATTACCTATTTTGTGGTGTTGCTTTTCAGAGATTTCTATGCATATGCAAACACATTCAAATACATACCAGCATCACAAATAGTAGTATAACTTAACCATGTTCTGAACCAGCTGTTCTTTACTGAATGTGTTCGGAGATTGTTCTATTTATTTATTTATTTATTTTAGGAAGGAGAGAGTTTTACTCTTGTTGCCATGCTGGAGTACAATGGCACAGTCTCGGCTCACTGCAACCCCCGCCTCCCGAGTTCAAGTGATTCTCCTGCCTCAGCCTCCCAAGTAGCTAGGGTTACAGGCACCCGCCACCACGCCCAGCTAATTTTTGCATTTTTAGTAGAGACAGTTTCACCATGTTGGTCAGGCTGGTCTCGAACTCCTAACCTCAGGTGATCCACCAGCCTCGGCCTCCCAAAGTACTGGGATTACAGGCATGAGCCACCGGGCCTAGCCTTCTCCATTTAATTACATAAAGAGTGTGCCCAGTCTTTATTCTGGCTGCATACTGTTCCTTTGGGTGACTATCTCATCATTAAATAAATTTTAACCCACAGACATTAGATTGTTTCCAGCCTTTTGCAATTACACACGCTACAGCAATAAGCACTATTGTACATGTATCATTTTCACATGTGTGAATACAATACATGTGGAAGTCAGCTTCCTAAAAACAGAATTACTAGGTTAAAGGGTACGATCATTCCAGTGTTTTTCAGTATCAGCGAGTTGCCCTTCACAGAGGTTGTACCAATTCATACTCCCACCAGCAAGGTGAAAGAGTGGCCACTTCCCATAGCCTCACCAACACAGTGAGGTATCAAACTTCTTAATCTTCACTAATATGATCGATAAAAAATGGTTTGCATTGCAGTTCAATTCTTTTTAGAAGGTTAAGGATATGTTCACATATTTAGGAACAATTTGTATTTCCTTTTTTAGAAACTGCCTGGATCCTTTGCCCACTATTTTTTTTCCGGTTGTTGGCCTAGTTCTTATTGATTTGCAGGTGTTTTTTAGATGTTAAGGAAATTCTTCTTTTGCCTGTAAAGTAAGTCGCAATAATCCCTGGATTTGCTTATGGGATTTTTCACCTTTTTTTTTTTTTCTCCTTTTTTGAAACAGAGTCTTGCTCTGTCGCCAGGCTGGAGTGCAGTGACACAATCTCGGCTCACTACAACCTCCGCCTCCCAGGTTCAAGCGATTCTCCTGCCTCAGCCTCCCAAGTAGCTGGGACTACAGGCACGCGCCACCAGGCCCGGCTAATTTTTGTATTTTTAGTAAAGATGGGGTTTCACCATGTTAGCCAGGCTGGTCTCAAACTCCTGATCTCAGGTGATCCACCTGCCTCGGCCTCCCAAAGTGCTGGGATTACAGGCGCGAGCCACCACACCCGGCCTTTTCACCATTTTTAAAGGGAACTTGAATGTGTTGATAATTTAATTTATAATATCTGTTAAAGTGTCTGGTTATGAAAACTCCTCCATGGTTTTTGCTAGCACTTTCATGCTGCTGCTTTTACATCAGTCCCTCTTCTGAGTCACTTGTGTGCCCCAGCTTGCACCACGTTTTGGGCCCTGACATGCTGTGTCCTCATCCTGTTTGTGTTAGTCTGCAGCGGAGGTTCAAGCAGGCAGAGGTGAGCCTGGGCACAGAAGTGAGCATCCATAGTGTTTGTCCACCGAGTGGCACAGGCCACTGTCCGGGGTTGCTGGAAGGGAAGGGCTGTGTTGTGCTGGGACGAGCACCAAGCCGGAAGTCAGCTGTTTTACTTGCTTCGTATACAGACTTACTCTCTGTGCCTCAGTTTACTCCTTTGTAAAATAAGAGAGCCTTCCGTCATGAACTTCAAAATGAGAAGTATGTACTAGCTGCACACTGAAGCCCCTTCCTACTCCTCCCTGTCTCTCCCACTTTGGAGCTATTTATTCTTTGGGAGTTCAGCCTGGGCTTTGGCAAACAGGGAAGGCTTCCAGGAGGAGGCGGGCCCTGATATGCTGAGACCTGAGTTTCTGATCCAGTCTGGGAGCCAAAGCTGTGAGGAGGAATGTGTGTTGAGCAGCAGCTCTGGACCTCACTCTCTTACCTTACCTGGTTCAATCCTCACAACAACACAACCCAGTGATCCAGCATGGCCAGATGACCTTCCGTTTTAGAGATGAGAAAACCAAGGCTCTGAGACGTTGAGCCATTTGCCCAAGATCCTAGAGCCCAGATCCTAAGTGGCAAACTGGAACTCAAATGCTGGCCTGGGATGAGCAGAAGCAGGTTCTCAGCTTCTTCAAGGGTTGGAGGGGGCTGGGGAGGTTGTGTCAGGGTGTGGGCAGCAGTTGGTGGTCAGTGACTTTCCCTTGTGGCAGGAAGGAGAGGTAGGGGAAGCAGCTGGAGTTGGGAGATAGGAGGCTGAGGCAGCAGGACCCACAGATAAGGCAGGAGGTGAGCAGGGGCGGGTGTGCACATCCCGGCAGCTGGAGTGTAGATGAAATCTCAGAGAGCCCGGCAGAAGGGCTGGACCAGGGACCACGTCACTCCCAGGCCTGACCACTCCCTGCTTCTCCAGGCCACGTCTCACCCCTGAGCCTCGCAGCAGCCGTCACGGTACTTTCCTGGGCCTGGAAACGGCAGCCCCAGCCAGGCCTCCCTCTTCTCCAGGGTCAGATACAGGGGGCAGTGTGACATGATGCGAGAGCCGGGGCTCTGTCCTTCTGCTCTGCCTCAGGCCTGCTACACCTGAAAGCAGTCAGCCAGGCCTGCAGACACTCGGGGCTTCCCAGGACCAACACGGTCCCACCATCTTGTTGTTTCACTTCGAATGTCTTCATGACAGGCACACACTTTCCAGCTCTCCACCGTCCCCGCCTCTCCCTATTGTCCCACAACTTGTCACACCCCACATTTACCTTCTCTACCTGGCCCCTAAAGAATTTCGATTTTGAGGACCTGAATTAGTTGAGCGGATGCACTGAAGGTCAAAGTTTGTAATTTTCAGGGAGAAGGAACCTTTGAGATATAAGGGCCCAGAATGAAGCAGTAACATCCCCAGAGTCCCACTGCAGAGCGAGACAGAAATGGGACTAGAACTCCTGACTCTCAGTCCAGTGCTTGCTGACCTGACTTCTGCTGCTTCCCAGAAGCCTCAGGGAGGAAAACAGAAACAACTGAAGGAAAAGAATGGAGAATTCACAGTTTGGGAGGCTGAGGCGAGAGGATCACTTGAGACCAGGAGTTCAAAACCAGCCTGGGCAACATAGCAACACCCCATCTCTACAAAAAAAAAAAAAAAATTTAAGTTAGCCAGTATGGAAGTATGCACCTGTAGACCCATCTACTCCGGAGGCTGAGGCAGGAGGATCCCTTGAGCCCAGGAGATCAAGCTTTCAGTGAGCTATACTTGCGCCACTGCACTCCAGCCTGGACGACAGAGCAAGGCCATCTCCAGAAAAAAAAAAAAAAAAAAGAATGTAGACTACAAAAGAGTGTTGTTCTGAGCACTGTGACCCAAGGCAAGTCCCTGCCCTGCCACCTCTGGGCCTCAGTTTCCCCATCCACACAGAAGGAGGCTGGCCCAACAATGGTAAGTGCTGCTGTGAGCGCCTGAGTCCACCTCTCCCTCCCAGAGGCCGAGTGGGACAAACCACACGTTCCTCAGGCCTGTTTCGCACGAGCTAATATTGACCCAACGCTGTTTCCCTTGGCCCTGCACAGGGGCTATGTTTGCTCTGGCAAGACCCCAGCCTCGCCTGCGCCCCTCTGGGCTTCAGATGTGCTGGCCCAGGCGGGAGAGGCCAGGTCAGGGGCGTGTGCCTCATAGGCTAAGGGGCAAGGCAGAAACCACAAGAGGCCCAGGACACCATCCCGGGCCCCCCTTAAAGCTTCTAGTGTATTTATATATATTTAAAAAAAAGAACTGCCCAACCTCAGTTTTAAAATCTCTGATCTTTTTTAATGTTATATTTCATAAATACACTTTTTTAACACACATCTAACATGCATGCATACACACACACACACACACACACACGATATGATAACTAAATGTTCAGCCTCATCTGCGAGTCTGGTAGAAAACTTAAAATTAGCCCCTACATTGGAGAAATGGCTGATTCCAGGGTCAGGCCAGAGAAAGAATAAGATGAGCCTAAAACATCTTTTGTGCCAGAAAATAAGGAAGAACTCAAGGAATGACAGGGACATCACTGGGGACATGAAGAAGGTCCCTCCGGTTTCTTCTGAGCATCAAAATAAATACCCACAGTAACACAGCATCACCCACTGAAAAAAATAGGGAACCGTGAGTTCTGGCTGATGTGAATTAATTAATGCATAACAGAAGTTTGGTGTGGAGTAGGCTACTCATGGTGTCTCAGAGTGCCGACCGAACAAAATCCTTTTCCATGATGAAGGGAAAAGAGTCACTCTGCAGTGGAGAAGCCAACCAAGGGAGCCAAGTGGATTTCATCAGTACCAGGGCAAATGAGAACCGTGAGCCACCTGCAGGGATGCAGGAAGAGAAGCAGCATCTCTCTGTGATCAGCCCCCTGAAGATGCTCAGCCTGATATAACCAAGAGGAGACAAACCCAACATAAGGAACGTTCTCCAAAACCGGCCTGGAATATCCAACAACGTCAAGGGCACAAAACCAAGACTCAATGAGGAGTTATTCCAGGCTAAAGAGACAGGATGACTCAATGGCTAGGACATTCCTGGAACAACAGGGGGACCTAGGATACAGTGTGAGGTTTGCTTTGGGATTTTCATATGGCATTGTGTTTGTGTAAGAGAATGTCCTTGTTAGTAGGAAATAGACACAAGTATTCAGCAGGGATAGAGCATGATGACAGCAACTTAGTCTCAGATGGCCAGGGAGAAAAATAGCTTTCCCTACTGTACTTGCGATGTCCTTATATGTTTGAGATTGTTAAAAAATCAGAAAGGAGATGGGGACTTCAGAAATGTCAGGTCAGAGCCAAGATGGTCAGGCAGGAGGCAGGAAGAAGGAGCCTGCCTTGAAACATATCCCTCACTTTTTTTTTTCCTTTGGAGACAAGGTCTCGCTCTGTCACCCAGGCTGGAGTGCAGTGGTGCAATCACAGCTAACTGCAACCTTTTCCCTCACTTTTTTTTTTCCCCTTTGGAGACAGGGTCTCACTCTGTCACCCAGACTGGAGTGCAGTGGTGCGATCACAGCTCACTGCAACCTTGGCTTCTTGGGCTCAAGCAGTCCTCCTGCCTCAGCCTCCTGAGTAGCTGGAACTACAGGCATGAACCACCATGCCCAGTTAATTATTTTATTTTTTGTAGAGATGGGGGTCTCACTATGTTGCCCAGGCTGGTCTCAAACTCCTGGGCTCAAATGATCCTCCCACTTCGGCCTCCCAAAGTGCTGGGATTACAGGTGTGAGCCAGTGTGCCTGGCTAATTATTTTATTTTTTGTAGAGATGGAGTCTCACTATGTTGCCCAGGCTGGTCTCAAACTCCTGGCCTCCAGTGATCCTCCTGCCTCAGCCTCCCAAAGTGCTAGGATTGCAGGCATGAGTCACTGTACCTGACCCGTCCTTCTCCTTTCAAAGCACCCCAGCGAAGAGATGACAAATAGATGTTAACAGGGGACAAGCCCTTCCTGAGCCACATGGGAGCAGAGCAGCCAGGCCCTAGTAGCTCCCTGCTCTGATGTTTCTCTCCTCCTCCCTCAGGCTCTCTGAGGCTTCCCGGGGGTTCCGGGCTGCAACACCAGACAAAGGCGGCATGCTGAGTTCCAGTCCTCACTCTGCCTCAACTTGCTGCATCCACTTGGGTAATTTCTTCCCTGCTCTGGGCCTCCGTCCCAATCTGTTCAAAGGGACATCATGATGTTCTCACTAGTTGCTTTCTGCTGAGCTGGAGGCCAAGGACTCAGACTCGGTTTGACTGGTTCTGCCTCTGACCTGCTGGGAGACCTGGAGCAGGTCACTTAACCTCTCTGTGTTTGCTTTATCAGGATAATCTGTTGAAGTATTCACCAATGCCTCTCTCTCCAGAATTTCCTGTTGCCCCTCCCTCCCTGCCCCCTGCCCTTAGTCCCCACATCTGGGCAGCTGAGCAGGACACAGAAGAATATAGGCACAGCAGTCAGAGCACCTGGTTTTCCATGTTTCAAGAGCCCACGCTCTGAATAGTATAGAAAATTTAGAAGCTCACGCGATGAACCAGAAATGTCCTCCCCACCCTTGAGACCAGGTAGAAGGTGAGGAACAGAGGAGAAAGCTGGGGTTGGGGGTTCCCTGCAACCCCCTGGAAGTGACAGTTCTCCCAGGCCCAGGGAAAGACAGCAAACGGTGAGAGCAGAGCCCAGGGCATGGCCAGAGCCACCCCATGGAGAAGTGCAGGAGCTGCCTGGCAGGCAACAGGGCAAGAGAGCTCTCTCAGAGGGGCAGATGCAGCTGGATGCTGCCCCTCTACCCACAGTAACACAGACCCGGCACTGACGTGGTGGCTCTCACAGTGGCACGGACCCGGCACTGACGTGGTGGCTCTCACAGTGGCACGGACCCGGCACTGACGTGGTGGCTCTCACAGTGGCACGGACCCGGCACTGACGTGGTGGCTCTCACAGTGGCACGGACCCGGCACTGACGTGGTGGCTCTCACAGTGGCACGGACCCGGCACTGACGTGGTGGCTCTCACAGTGGCACGGACCCGGCACTGACGTGGTGGCTCTCACAGTGGCACGGACCCGGCACTGACGTGGTGGCTTTCACAGTGGCATGAACATGGCGTTGATGTGGAGGCTCTGAAGGCACACTGGTCAGGAACGAGGAAGGACTCTGCAGTTTCCTGCAAAGTCTAGACAAGAATGCAAGGCAAGGCACAGGAGCCCATGCCTGGAATCCCAGCACTTTGGAAGGCCGAGGTGGACAGATTGCTTGAGACCAGCCTGGGCAACATGGCAAAAGCCCATCTCTACAAAAAAAAATTAAAAATTAGCCAGGCGTGGTGGTGCATGGCTGTAGTCCCAGCTACTCGGGAGGCTGAGGTGAGAGGATCACTTGAGCCCAGGAGGTCGAGGCTGCAGTGAACCATGTAAGCACCACTGCACTCCAGGCTGGGTGACAGACAGAGTGAGACCCCCATCAAGGAAAGGAAAGGAGAGGAGAGGAGAGAAGAGGAGAGGAAAGGAGAGGAGAGGAGAGGCAAACATCACAGGGGAAGCTGAGAGGGGACAATGCTAAGAATCTAATGTGTCCCTCCCCACCGGTGTCTCAGCGCCACATAAACCCCCACACCCTAGACAAGCCTGGGCAGGGGCCAGTGGGAACCATGATGTCTAGATGTGGGGCTTCCATCGCTTAATGGAATGAGGATCTAAAATAGAAACAAAGGTCAGTTCAGGAAGCAGAGGCAGGGTGCTTTCCCCATGCATCTGAATCTGTGAATGGAGACCGCTCCCCAGCTCATGGTTGGCATGGGAACAGGACCGGTGCATGCTGGAGAGGTCCTATGGCTTAACTCTGAGTTCAGTGGCCTCATGGGCCTCCATGGAAGTGTGAGAATTGACAAATACTACGAATCAGTAGTTGTTGTGTTTGAGGTTGGTTGGTTGCTTTGTTTTTTTAGAGAGCCTGTTTACCAGCATACTCCTGAATGGAATCCACCTGCTAGGGTTGCCATGGACATAAAGTGCAGGTGTGTGAGGCGTTTGACCCCCGATATAACTGGTATAACTTTTGCAAAGCTGGTTTCCGCAGCTGCCCCTGCGGTCGTCCTGACTGAAAGACAGTGGACAGGGGAGTCTGCCCTGATGGGAGCCTTGTCCCTTCCCCTCTGACTGCTGGGAGCAGGGGGATCTTTTGGCTCCATGGGTCACCAAAGCTGTTCCATGTGAGGGACACCCCTGCCCCATGCCCTGAGCAGGCATGGACTTGAGGGTGCTTCACTCACTAGAGGACTGGAAAAGACCCAGGCCCGCCCCGAGGGGGCAGTGGGACCTTCTCCGACCCTCCCAGGTGAGCTGGGACCCCGGCCTCTGGGGAGGATCTTGGAGAGAGCAAGCAGCTGAGCATGAGCCTCTGGTTGGGGGGCAACGCAGTGGGAAAGAGGGGGCGGGACCCCCGGGCCCCCAGACACTCAACCAGAGCCAACCTTGAATGCGCTGAAGCACTTCTCAGTGGAAAAATGGCAGGGCAGCTTTGCCGGTGCTGGGCTGTGTGCCCGTGGTAGGCCGGCAGGGACATGGTCTTCTCCTGGTCTCCGGCTGTACCGCATGCCCTGACACACGAGGGGAGGCCTCCCAGAAGGGTGACATTGGGATTGCTATGTTTATCTTATTTTTATTTTTCTTCAGTTCAGGATGCCCCTGCCTGGCCCAGAAACCACACTGCCATGAATGGGTCAGGACATTTTACCATCCTGTGCCTACTCCACCCAGCCTGGGGTGAGGGAATGGGGGGCAGATGCCAGATTCTGGCCACTGACCAGCCACAGAGCCCAGCAGGGCCATAAACAAGGCTGGGTGGGGTTTCCAGGCCCACTCGGTGGGGCTCGTTTACTTGGACGAGGGCAGGGCAGAGAGCACCGACCAGAGTGCCTCAAAATAACTCACGTGGCCTGGCCGGGAGCCAATCCCTCCATGGAAAATTTAAATGAATTCTTCACAGCTGCAAGGCCCAGGCCCCCAGACGGCCCACCCAGAATCACCAGATTACCGTGGCTCTGATGGTTCCAGAAACCCAAGAATGTTCTGGAAGCCCAAGGAAGCCATAGTCGGTCTCTGGGCTTCCTCACACAACCAGAGGTCATGATACACTCAGAAAAGGATTATCCAGTCACCAACTGCTCAGCCCTTCAGGACGCTGGTGCCAGAAGGGCCCGTGCCTGCCAGGCTGGTCCTCGTGGACATAGGGCTCTGGACGAAGGGTTGGCCCGGCTTTCACTTAGCCCCCCAGGAGACGCTTCTGGGAGCATACTCCCCTCCTTATCTGGGGACACTGAGGCTCAGTCAGCTCCTCCTGCGAGGAAACAGACAGGTAGCAGCCAGTGCTGACCACCAGGCCATCCCATCCCCGTGCCAGTGCCTGAGCCACAGTGACTGGGTGAGGCTGCAGATGTGTGGTGAGGAGAGCAACTGGGGAGCGGGGAGGGGAGCTGAACTGAGGAGGGAGGGAGGGAGTCTGAGGGAAGGAGTGAGAATGGACCCCAAGGAGCATGAGGCCAGCAGCAAAGGGTTAAAGAAATGCACTCTCGGCCTGGCACAGTGGCTCACGCCTGTAATCCTAGCACTTTGGGAGGCCAAGGTGGGTGGATCACTTGAGGTCAGGAGTTCAAGACCAGCCTGGCCAACATGGTGACACCCCATCTCTACTAAAAATACAAAAAATTAGCCAGGCGTGGTGGTGCATGTCCCTCCCAGCTACTCGGGAGGCTGAGGCACGAGAATCAATTGAACCTGGGAGGCAGAGATTGCAGGGAGCCGAGATCACGCCACCCGTGCTCCAGCATGACAGAGTGAGACTCCAAAGAAAGGAAAGAGGGGAAAGGAAAGGAAAGGAAAGGAAAGGAAAGGAAAGGAAAGGAAAGGAAAGGAAAGGAAAGGAAAGGAAAGGAAAGGAAAGGAAAGGAAAGGAAAGGAAAGGAAAGGAAAGCGGAAAGGAAAGGAAAGGGGAAAGGAAAGGAAAGGGGAAAGGAAAGGAAAGGAAAGGAAAGGAAAGGAAAGGAAAGGAAAGGAAAAGGGAAAGGAAAGGGGAAAGGAAAGGGGAAAGAATGGGGAAAGAAAAGGGGAAAGAAAAGGGAAAGGAAAGGAAAGTCATGGGGACCCAGGGGCAGCCAGCAAGGCTGGACAGAGGAGACCGGCCCTGACCTAGGAAAGGGGGGTCAGGGCCTAGAAACAGCACAGGCCAAGGTAAGAGGCAGAAATGATGACACCCTACACACAGCCCTGCAGACCACGGGGAATGCAATGTCCAGTGTCTCATCTCACATCAAAAAGGCCACCCCTGAGCCACTTGGTGGGAAAGAAGAGGCCGAGCTGGGGCTGGAGTCCTCGTCCCTGGTCCTCAACCCCATGCCCTTTCCATGAGCCGAGGCTGCCTGCTGAGAGGCCTGGAGGAGTCCGGAGCAGGCCCAGGGATCTCACTGCCCCCTGCACTCTGCATTTGGTCATATCATGTGGGTGGGGGCCTCGGATGGGAAGGGGCTGTGCCTTGGGAATTTTCTTGTCCCCAGACTCCTCAGGGAGGAAAGAGCCTGGGGCCTTTGGAGGAACTTGGGCTTCGGAGTCAGACCCATGGAGTCGGACTCCAGGCCACGCCTCAGTTTGCTAAAGGCCATGACCAACTCTGCTCTTGCCCGCCGCATGCCAGCATTTCATTTAATGGTCCAAACATCCCATGAGGACATATGGCCATCATTCCCGCTTTACTCATGAGGGGACTGACACGCAGAGGTTAAGCAATTTGCCCAAGGTCACGCAGCTATTCCGTGGCCGATCCAGGAGCTCAGCCCAGGATGCCTGACACCAGAGTTGTCACCCAATGCTTCCATTTCCAGGCCACCTTGAGCAAGTCACTGAACCACCCCAGGCCTCTGTTTCCTCACAGCCACAGTGACTCCCACCTCGCGGAGTTGAGGAGGAGTCAGTGAATTAATGGCTGAGTGCGTGGCTCGTGGCAGCCACCTTGCCTGTTTTCAGCCAGGCCACAGACTGACCCCAAAACCCCATCCCCCTAATCTTTCTCAGGGGCCCTGGCACCCAGGACAAGGTCCCAGCCCCTCTTGGCCCAGCAGAGCGAGGGACCAGGAGAACTGAGGCCACTCTGGGGCCCAGGGCAGGGCAGGGGCCGGGCGGCCACGGGAACACAGGTCCACTTCACCCTCCTGCTCAGCAGGGCTGGATTCTCCCTGTCTCCTGGGGCCCACTGGGAACTTGGGGTTTTCCTGCATCTGATTAGCATAAATTAGCAGCTGTCAGCAAGAGGGAGTAATGTAGCCTTTCAACGGCCCCGTCTTGTTTTTGGAAACCTTATCGAGTTCTGCTGAGGGCTCGCCTTGTTCACTGGCCACTGGATGGCTGACTGGTGTTTGTGTACCCAGCAGAGGCCCACCACCGCCCCTGGTGAGCCCCCGGCCCCCAGCCTCAGCTCCAAGGATAACACGGAGGGAAGGAGCCTGGTGCGGGTGGTAGCGGGATGAGGGGGGATCCAGCCAGACTCCCCGCCCTCCTCCCACTTCACACCTCTCACCCGAGGTCCCTCCACACTGAGAGAGCCCTCTGTGCAGGCTGGTGGGGCGGAAGGGCCCAATGGCCACCTCCAGTTTTCCCGGCAGGGGGAGCAGTGGCCATTGGAGCTTCCTAGGCTGGGGCTACGTCCACAGAGAACTTTCAACTGGACAGCACCAACCTGGTTCCTTGGGGATAAGGCTGGTCTGCCCTGATTTTCCAAGGAAAGGGAAGAACATCTATTCCACAAGGCCTACTGTGTGCCGAGCCCAGGAAGGGGTGACTTCTTTGTCATCCAAGAATACCACGGGTGCTGGAGGGAACAGGGTTTGTCTGCCAGGCAGCCCTTCCCTTCTGCTTCTGATAATGCCACAGCCTTCCTCCAGGTGAACTAGAGCCTGTGCTCTGGAACCAGAATGGGTTCAAATCCCACCACTCACCAGCTGTGTGCCTCTCTGCCTCAGTTGCCTCACCTGTAGAATGGGACCCTGGTTGTGAGAATTAAATGAATTTGTGCGTTCAATGTGCTGAGAACAACACTGGCACATGGTAAGTGATGCGTTAGCTATGACTGATTGCCCTGGCCCCACTCCAAGTGCTTCTGGTGAGGCTGCTTATCCAGACTCCCCACTCCCAACCACAGGGGCAGACATGTAACCTAGATCAGCCAGTTAGGATGCCTCATCTCCAACTGGCCACAGTGATTGGCCCAGGAATAGATAAGCCTAGCCAATCAGACTCTTTCCCTGTGATTTAATATTTGGCTGTGAGTAGAGAAGCTCTCTCTTTCCCGAGGGTGAAAAGCTGGAAAGATGTAAGCCCAACGCTCTCTGTGGCCCTGCCTTCCTTTCTTCACCCACCACATCAAGGAAGCAAGCCTGCAGTAGGAGAAAGTGAGGCCACCAACCCAGAGATGAGCAGAGCCCAGAGAGGTGGAGAGGCGACTGAGAAACCAAGAATAAATGATAGAGAAGGATAACCCCGTTATTTCCATCCCTGAAACCGGCTGTGCCTGGGACTTCCCTTTGACCCAAGACGTTTCCTTTCACTGTTAAAATCCGGAATCATCCAAAGTTGATTATCTCTATTGTACATATGAGAAAACTGAGGCTCGGGGAGGTGGAGTGATCAGCCCTTGGGGACAGAACTAGTAGGTGGTGGAGCCAAAGGCAGGCGGCCTGGCCGCAGAGTCCAAGGAGGAAGGGGGAGGCAAGCAGCTCTGCCTCTTCGTCTCCCTGTCCCTCCCCAGACCACACATTAGCCTTTGTTTGAATGGTCACCTGGAGGAGAAGGAGAAGCTGGGTTTGAATTCCAGCTCTGTTGTTTTCTGGCTATGTGAGCTTTGAGCAACTCACTTCTCTTCTCCGAGCCCAGTTTCCTCGTCTGTAACATGGGAATAATATTCCTTATTTCACTATGTTGGCATAAAATAAAATGTCCCATTGGAAGCACCCAGCATATAATTAGCACCCAGTACATAATTAGCACCCAGTAAATGCTCATTTTTCCATTCCCCAAAACAGCAGCATCATCTCAACCTTCCAGGAAGCCAAAATGCCTGACTTGCAGGGCTATCGATAGATCCTCAAGGCAGCAGTGGTAGCCCCCATTTCAGAGACGGGAAACAGGCTCCGAGTGGTTCAACCACACACCCAAGGTCACAAGGCTTGTTAATGGGACCTCTCCCACTTCTATCAAGTTGCCTGAGTCCCTGCTGCAGGGTTCTCTGCAGTCAGAGGCTGGGAACTGGGTTGGCGGTGAGGAGGGTAAAATGGGGATAGAGTAAGTGGTTTGGACTGAGGGACTCTGAGCCCTCCGCTCTGCCCTCCCCACCCTCAAGCCCAGGCTAGACTCCGGGTCAAGGGCGCCCCCTGCTGGCCATCTGGGGAACTCCATCCCAGGCACCTAATAAATCCCAGAGAAGGCACCACACGGGCAGGGCAGGAGCTTAGAGCTCAGACTCCCTGTTACTTAGGGCAGCGACTCTACCTCCCTGAAGCTCGGTTTTCTCGTCTGCCAAATGGGGATAATAATAATATGATAAATGAAATAATGCCACAAAGTGCCTGGCACAATGCTCAGACACCACTCCACCTCCATCAGGACGGCTTTTTTTTTTTTTTTCTAAGGCAGGATCTCAGTCACTCTGTTGCTCAGGCTGGAGTGCAGTGGTGTGATCACAGCGCACTGCAGCCTCAACCTCCCAGGCTCAAGCAATCCTCCCACCTCAGTGTCCCCAGTAGCTGGGACTACAGGCGTGCACCACCACACCCAGCTAACTTTTTTTTTTTTTTTTTTGGTAGATACAGGGTCTCACTATGTTACCCAGGCTGTTCTCAAACTCCTGAGCTTAAGTGATCCTCCTGCCTCAGCCTCCCAAATCGCTGAGATTATGGGCATGAGCCACTGCACCTGGCCATCTGTTATTTTTTTTTTTAAGACAGAAAATAGCAAGTGTTAGTGAGAACGTGGAGAAATTGGAACCCTTGTACATTGCTAGCAAGACTGTAAGATGGTAGAGCCACCGTGGGAGTACAATATGGCAGTCCTTCAAAAATTAAACATGGAATTATCACATGACCTGGGAATTCTACTTCTGTGGATGCACCCAAGAGAACTGAAACGGGAACTTGAACAGATATTTGTTCAACCCCAATGTTCATAGCAGCATTATTCACATAGTCAAAAGGAGGAAGCAACCCAAGTGGCCATCCATGGATGAATGGATAAACAAAATGTGACCAAGGCACACGATGGTATATTATTCAGCCTGAAAAATGAAGGAAATTCTGACGCATGCTACAACGTGGGTGAACCTTGAGGACATTATGCTGAGTGAAATCAGCCAGACTCAAAAGGAGGAGCCTATTATATAATCCTGCCTATATGAGATACCTACAGTAGTCAAGTTCATAGTGACAGAAGGTAGAATGGAGGTTGCCAGAGGCAGAGAGGAGGGAAGAAATGGGGGTTATTGTTTGATGGGCACAGAGTTTGAGTTTGGGAAGATGACAAAGCTCTGGAGATGGACGGTGGTGATGGCTGCACAGCACTGTGAGTGTAGTGAATGCCACTGAACTGTACACTTAAAATTGTTAAAATGATAGATTTTATGTTATGTATCTGTGCTATAGTTTCAACATTTGTCCCCTCCAAAACTCATGTTGAAGTTTAATCTCCAATGTGGCAATATTGAGAGGTGAGAGGTGGTCTTCTTCTTTTTTTTTTTTTTTTTTTTTTTTTGAGATGGAGTCTTGCTCTGTCGCTCAGGCTGGAGTGGAGTGGAGTGGAGTGGTATGATCTCGGCCCACTGCAACCTCCACAGTGGAGTGGAGTAGAGTGAAGTGGAGTGGCACGATCTCGGCTCACTGCAACCTCCACAGTGGAGTGGAGTGGAGTGGAGTGGAGTGGAGTGGAGTGGCACAGTCTTGGCTCACTGCAACCTCCACCTCCCAGATTCAAGCTATTCTCCTGCCTCAGCTTTCCAAGAAGATGGGATTAGAGGTGCCCGTCACCATGCCCGGCTAATTTTTGTATTTTTAGCAGAGACAGGGTTTCACCATGTTGGCCAGGCTGGTCTCAAACTCCTGACCTCAGGTGATCTGCCCACCTTGGCCTCCCAAAGTGCTGGGATTACAGGCGTGAGGCACCAGGCCTGGCCTGAGAGGTGGTCCTTTAAGAGGTGATTGGGTCATGAAGGCTCTGCCCTCATGAATGGTTTAATCTATTCATGGATTCATGGATTAATGGGTTAATGGTTAATTGATTATCATGGGACTGGCGGCTTTATAAGAAGAGGAAGAGAGACCCGGGCCAGCACCTCAGCCCCCTCACCATGTGATATCCTGTGTGGCCTCTGGACTCTGCAGAGTCCCCACCAGCAAGGAGGTCCTCACCAGATGCGGCCCCTCAACCTTGGACTTCACAGGCTCCAGAACCGTATAAAATAAATTCCTTGTCTTTGTAAACTACCCAGTTTCAGGTATTCTGTTACAAGCAACAGAAATGGACGAATACGTTACCACAATTTCTGAAATAAGGACAAATAAAAGAGCATTTGAGCTAAGACCTAAAGGATGGACATTCCTCCCAAGAAGAAGGTATTCTGGGCAGAGGGGACAGTGTGAGTCTCGGCTGGGAGGCCGGAGGCCCTGGGATGTCCCAGGAAGGGGCAGGCGCTGAGGCCGGAAAGGTTGGGAGTGGCCCAATCACGAGGCCGCCTGAGACTCAGTCTCTTCATCCACCATGTGGGGATGCTGCCACTCACCTCACAGAGACAAGGTACCCCATCAGCTCATCAGACGGGGGTCTGCGAAACAGGAGAAAAAAATCCCAGCCAGGGCCTTAGTTTCTCTGAGGTACAGATGTTGGTGATGTTGGTGGCAGGTATACATTTGGGGGCCATAAAGCTTCCCAGAACTATAGCAACCCCACCTCCACCCATCCCCGAAAAGGAAAGAAAATTGCTACCCCTACAGCCCTTGCGGGCCGCCCCCCGCCCCCAACCCCGACCACCCCCAACCCCGACCACCCCCACCAGCCCAGCAGAGAACTTAGCGACCAGGGCCCGGATGGAGCAGTGTTCCTGAGTAGCCACCAGAGGGCGCACTGTACCCGCCAACTCAGCGTGTCTCCCGCCCTGGAGAGGGGAGACGGACAGGGAGGAAGGGCTACTGTCGTCCTGGGACACATTCCTGGGCAGGGGGCTTCCAGGTCCTGTTGAAAGCTGTCCTTGGGCAGAGGACATCCTGAGCCATGGATTCACAGCCACGGAGATATCCGAGTTGGAAGGGGTTTAGGATGGGGACCCTTTTATGGGGACCCTTTTACAGAGATGAGGCCCAGAGAGCAGAAGCCAGCTGTCTAGCGTCACACAACGGGTCAGGGCAAAGCAGGGGCTGGAACCCGAGACTCTCATACCCCTGCACACACCTGCTCCTGCTCTCCAGGCCCCGGACAGCTGGGCCCAGATGGAAACCAGGGGGCAAGGCAAAATGGAACTGTGGAAGGGGCTCCAGCATCTCCGCCATCCCCTGTTCTCCCAAGATGCTGAGCCACAGGGAAACTGAGGCATGGAGCGACAAAGAGGCAGAGGTTGTCTGCATCCCTCCTGAGCAGGTCAGGGCCCCATGCGGGTCCCAGGGAGCCCCTCTGCTCTCCCTGGAGCCAGGTTTGGGTACAGCAGCTGTGACTAGCCAACCAGGCTGGGCCACTGTGGCTGAAGGCTCAAAGTCCAGCAGGGAGCCATTGATCAGTCCGGGACTTCTGTTGGGAGGGTGCCGGCAAACTATCTGATGGGTCCCCAGGGCCTCCCCTGGAGGAAGTGGGGACTTGAGCAGGAGGTGTCCGGGGGCTCCTGGGCTTTGGCAGGGCCTCCCTCCCCTCCACCGCCTCCCTCTTCAAATCGCAGCTGGAAACAGCACCTCCCCTGTTGGGTACAAGAACCTTCACAGGGGCCTTGACCTTCTATGACTCTACCCCACGGAAATCAGCAGAAGCAGACGGAGATGGCCCCTGAAGCACTTTGGTGTGTAATGTCATTTAATCCTCAGAATGACCCCATGGCATAGAATATGATTCGTTCATCCAATTTTGCAGCTGGGAAACCTGAAGCCAGGACGAAGAAGGCAATTGCTTGGCAGCAGCACTCCAGAAACACCATGTGCCATGCAGAGTCCACGGCTCAGCCGCCGCAGCCCCTGTGCGCGCTGTCTCATTTAATCCCCCCAGCCACTCTGTCAGGCAGGTAGGGTGAAGGCCCAGCGTTAAAGATGAGGAAAATGAGGCAACGAGAACAAATTGCCCTGTTGCTCAAGCTCTCTTGGCTTCCTGTGACCTCCCAGACCTTGGGTGACAGAGGCACATTAAGGAAGTCCCTCAACTCTCCGGCGGGGGTGGAGCCTCTGCAGGGGGCGTGGAACCAGTAGCAGGACCACAGTAGCCAGGCAGGGACATGGATCCCCCACCCCCAACACCTCCCCTAGCTGCCCCTCCATTGCCTTACCCAGCTCTTGAGGCTGGAAGGCTCATAGCTCTTTTCCTGACTACCTTCCACCCATGAGTAGCCAGGCGCGTGTTCTAGCCCAAGAGATCTAGGTGGGAGTCAATGAGGAAGGGCTTCACTTCCCAAATTTTATTTTTGTTTATTTTATTTTATTTTTTCGAGAAGGAGTCTCGCTCTGTCACCCAGGCTGGAGAATAGTGGTGCCATCTCAGCTCACTGCAACCTCCGCCTCCCAGGTTCAAGCTATTCTTCCTGCCTCAGCTGGGACTACAGGCATCTGCCACCATGCCTGGCTAACTTTTGTATTTTTAGTAGAGACGGGGTTTCACCGTGTTGGCCAGGCTGATCTAGAACTCCTGACCTCAGTGATCTCCCCCGCTCAGCCTCCCAAAGTGCTGGGATTACAGGTGTGAGCCACCACGCCCGGCTACTTCCCAAATTTTAAAAAAAGCCTCCCAAGACCTTTGACTTTCCCAGTGCCTCTCTGCCTGGAATGAAACGTGAGTGCTGGAGGCACAGCAGGCACTTTGGAACTACGAGGGCAAACACCACAAGTTAGGGACAACGGAGTTGGGAGAGCCTGCACTCTGACAATGCTGCTGACCTGTGCACCAGCCCTAGAGTTCCCATCATGTGAGAAAGATAGACCCTCCTTCTCTTAACACGGGGGACCACCGTCCCTGCTGGTTGCTGCCTACTCAAGTTTGCATTCCCATCTGACCCAGCAGCCCTGAGTAGGGGTTAAGAATGTAGTTTTTTTTGTTTTGTTTTGTTTTTTGACAGAGTCTCATTCTGTTGCCCAGTCTGGAGTGCAGTGGCGCGATCTCGACTCACTGCAACCTCCGCTCCCAGGTTCAAATGACTTTCCTGCCTCAGCCTTCCAAGTAGCTGGGATTACAGGCGTGCGCCACCATGCCCGGCTAATTTTTGTATTTTTAATAGAGATGGGGTTTCACCATGTTGGCCAGGCTGATCACGAACTCCTGACCTCAGGTGATCCACCCACCTCGGCCTCCCAAAGTGCTGGGATTGCAGGTGTGAGCCACCGCGCCCAGCCAAGTAGTCTTAGAATCTTGGCTGACGAATTGGTAGCTGCATGGCCTTGAGCAAGGGGTTTTGTGTGGAAGAGCCTCCATTTTCTCTTCTGGAATAGGCCCAAGTGTGCCCCCTGCACAGAGCTGTTGGAGGGTCAAATAAGACACCAAGTGTCCTGAGCCCAGGACGGGGCACACACACACGAAGGTTGGGTGTTGTTAGGAAAGGAGAAACGGGCCATAGGGAGAAGACAGGGGGAGGCCCTGTCCTGGATCCTTCCCCCTCAGGAAAGGCTGTTTGGGAAACAGGTCTGATCGGGGAAAATTGAGCAGCGCTTCCTGACAGATCAGTAGCTCCCTGAGCCCCCAGACCCTGAGTCCCCTCCCCTTTAACGAAGTGCGGGCTCAGCCAACTCAGTTACCTGCCCGCCCAGCAAGGCGGCTGCTCCTCCAGCAGGGCTGGCTGCCCACCCTGGAGATGTGGGAATGGATCCTGCACACTCCAGCCTTCCAAGCCTCTTCTCCACCACCCACCACAGGGTCGGGCATTCTGCTACTGGGGATTCACTCCTTCTGACCTGAAGCCTTGCAGGAGCACCCTGGGTGATTAGGGCTGGCACCCTGATGAAAGGCTATGGCTCCGGGGGGTACTCAGAGGCCACTGCTGAGGTGTAAGCACCTTGGAACATGTCACCCCCTGAACTGTGGTCAGCTTTGGCCCTGGGTGTAGCGAAGGGGAAGAAAAGGAACTGGCACCTCGGGGATATGTCCTGCACCAGACAGAGGCGTGTCTCAGTGCATTGGGTCAGCACAGCGATCCCGCAGGAGGGTGTTGCTGGCCTCAAGACAAGAAAAATAACCCTTAGGAGAGGTAAGGGACTTGCCCAGGTCACAAACAAGCAACAGCACAGAGCTGGGATTCAAATCCAAGCCTCTTCCACTCCAAGGCCCAGCCCTGGGCTCTGCTCCCTAACTAGCTATGTGACATGACAATTCCCTCCCCTCTCAAGGCCTTCTGTAAAATGTGGTGGTTAAAAGACATGAGGCTGGCCAGGTGCAGTGGCTCGCGCCTGTAATCCCAGCACTTTGGGAGGCCAAGGTTGGTGGACCATTCGAGGTCAGGAGTTCGAGACCAGCCTGGCAAACATGGTGAAACCCCATCTCTACAAAAAATACAAAAATTAGCCCGTGCAGTAGTGGAACTGAGGCAAGAGAATCACTTGAGCCTGGGAGGCAGAGGTTGCAGTGAGCCAAGATCACGCCACTGCACTCCAATCTGGGCAAGAGAGTGAAACCCTGTCTCAAAAAAAAAAAAAAAAAAAAGACATAAGCTTGCATGACCCCCCTACCCAAGTCAGATGCTGTGGGCGCACTGCAGGGAGCTTAAGAGAGTGGGCTCTGGAGTGGGTCTGCCGGGGGGTGCCCCCCAGCTCACCCCTTACATGGGAATTTGGTTACTTAACCCTGTTGTGCCTGCGCTCACTTGCCTGTGAAACAGGAATAAGAACTGTCTCCCTTCTCAGAGCTGCTGCACCTGCTGTGGCAGCTCCGCATGAGAGCTGCACTGTTGTGACAGGCTCCTTGGAGGGCCAGAGCAGGAAAAGACTGGGGGACTCAGGGAGAGCTGAGCAAGGAGGTGGAGGGAGGAAGATCAGTGACATCATAGAAACAGGTTTGTGAGGACCAGGGCTCCTGCCCTGTGGCCCTCGGATGGTCCCACAAATCCCTGGGCAGATAAATCCCAGCTCGCCACTTCCTGGCCTCTCAAAGAAGCCCTTTGTCTGGTGGGTATCAGAGGCTACTTCCGGCTCCACGAGGGCCTGATCAAATGGAGACAAAGGACCCTCACACCGGCCAGAGAGGCCCCAGGGGATGCCCACTGGCCCCCAGCTTCCGCTGCCTGGGTGGCCAAGGGGGGCCCCCGCAGCCTGGCTGAGATCAGAGGGAGAGGGGACAGCAGCCACGGCTGCTGGGAAGTCAGGGGAGGGCCCGGGATAAGGGTGTGGCAGGAAGGGAGTCAGCAGGGACAGGAATTAAAGACTCCAGAGGGCCTTTTTCAGGAGCCAGAGGGCTTTTTTTTTTTTTGAGATGGAGTCTCGCTCTGCCGCCCAGGCTGGAGTAGTGGCGTGATCTCAGCTCACTGCAACCTCCCAGGTTCAAGCGATTCTCCTGCCTCAGCCTCCCGAGTAGCAGGGACTACAGGCACCTGCCACCATGCCCAGCTAATTTTTGTATTTTTAGTAGAGACGGGGTTTCACCATGTTGGCCAGGCTGGTCTCAAACTCCTGACCTCAAGTGATCCACCCGCCTTGGCCTCCCAAAGTGCTGGGATTACAGGCGTGAGCCACCGTGCCCAGCCAAGGGCATTTTAAAAAAATAAATAAATCAAGCACTCGAAGCCTTCTGTAGCTGCCCATTAGCCTCAGGCAGACTCAACTCCAGCCTGCTCCCAGCCCACGAAGCCCTGGGCTGCCCACCTCCCCCAAAACAGCCTTCTGCTAGTTCTCCAAACACAGGCTGCCCCACTCATGGTTGGGGACTTTGCCCCAGCTGTTCACTCTGCCGGTAGAACTTTCCTCCAAGGCATCCACATCCCTGACTCCCCCCTTTCATTAGGGCTTTGCTGTAGAGATGCCCCCTGACTCCTGACCCCTCTGCCACACTCTCCAGTCCCCCACTTCCCTCTCTGCTTCAACTGGGCTTTCATCCTCATATGTCTTCTCAGGATCACCCATGGCCTGCCTGTGGCAGGACCAAATAGCCAAGTGCCTCTGGGTGTAGGCGGCGGCAGCACCTAACACAGGGAGGCTGGGTCTCCTCTCCAGTCCTCAGCAGCTTCGCTCTGGTTTTCCTCCTGCTTCCTGGCTCCTCTGCCGGTGCCTCCTGGCCTCCCTGACCTCCTGGGAGGCTCTGGTCCTGTGCCCCACCCTCACTCCCTCCTTACGTGACCCACGCAGTCTCTGGCTTCCACCACCTTCTCTCTCCCTGACCCACACCTCCAGCCCCAGCCTTTCCCCAGAGCACGGGACTCCTGTGTCCATGCTCACTTCCAGGAGTTCACGCAGCTGAGTGACGGCATCTCGAAATCCACAGGCCCAAACCCAGCCCTGGCGGCCCCTGCCCCAGACCTGCTTTCACGGCACCCCCAACTCTGTGGGTGATGATGCCCCCTTGCTTATCCTCGACCCTGTCTCTCCGACACCCCACGCCTGCAGACCCAGGATCCGACCACTTCCATGGCTCCTGTTGCTGCCACCTCAACCTCCCAACTTCTGCCCTTGTCCCTGCTTCAAAACGCTCCCGTCCTGCCCTCCCCAGTGACCCCCAACTCAGGGTAAAAGGCCAGCAAGTGTGCAGCTGCCCCCCAGCCCTCGGCTGTGACCTCTTGAACCTCTTCCCCTGCCCTTCGCCCCTCACTCCAACCGCTGGGATCTCATTGCCGGTTCTCAAACATTCCAAGCTGGCTCCCAGCTCAGGGCCTGCGCGTTTGCTGTTACCTCTGCCTGGGCCAGACCTGCGAGGCCCACTCCCTCACCTCAAAATATCACTGGATCAGAGAACCCCAAAAAGTGCTCCTCACAATACTCCCCATCTCTTCCCCCAGCTTAATGTCCTTCAGCTCATGCATCCCCAGCTGGTGGCCTCCCCACAAGCAGGCAGCTCCCTGAGAAGGGGGACTATACCTTTTTTGTTCAATGCCAGCACATAGATCATGCCTGGCACACAGGAGGGGCTCCAGAAATGTTGGCTGAGTCAGCGGATGAATGCGCTGAGCTGAGTGTTGAAGGCTACGTGAGTCTGCCAGGCAGGTGGTGGGAGGAGATGTTCCAAGCAGAGGGAACAGCATGTACAAGGCCAAGGCACAAAAGGACATAGCGTGTCCAAGAAGGCAGGGAGTGCTGCTGTGCAGAGCAGAAGGAGGAGGGTCTAGGGCTGGGGAGTTTAGGGCTGCGGAGTCAGCCAGGGAGCCTGGTCATGAAGGGAATGTGCTTGTTCTTCCATTCATTCATTCATTGAATATTTATTAAGCCCTGTGAGAAGTCTTGCTCTTTCCCCATCTAAAGGGATAAGACTTAATCTTGAAGGTACTTGGGAGCCATTGAGAGATGCAGAGAAGGGGCAGCACCTATCACTGCTGGTCACAGGATGGAACCCCAATATGCCCCCGGATCCTCCCCTACCCCCAGGGGGTGCCTGCTAAGCCACTGCTTCCTTTCCAAGGCAGCATTTTGGAGGTCTGGGGAGAGCATGCCCGCCGAGCTTTCTCCTGGCAAGGCCACAGAGCAACTGAGTCTCCACTAGAGTCAGCCTGTCCACCTGTGGCCCCCCTCGATGTGTAAGTCACATGGCCCAGATGGGGGCTGTGAACCTCCAGAGCTGGAAGAACCTCAGAGAATCCAACCCTTCATTTTCCAGACAGGGCAACTGAGGCCCACCAAAGACAAAGGACTTATTCAAGGTCCTGCTGTGTCTTCAGAGGCAACTCTTGTTTGCAAGTGACAAGCACCTGATTCAGACTGGCTTTTTTGAAAGGACGAGGGACTCTGCAAGCATGACCAGGATGTTGAAGAGTGAACTTCAGGTGCGGTTGGATCCAGGCTTACCTTGGGACACATGCTTCCCCTCTGACAAACACTTGCCACAGGTCTGCAGGACTCTCAGTGGCCACGTCTGGGGATAATGTGTCTACTCCTGGAGTGGGGGTGAGGCGGCGGGGGCAGTGTCAGCCCCACATGGCACCCCAGGACTGAGAAGAGGGTGGGACCCCAAAGGAAAATTGGATTTGCTGGCCCAAGAATGGGGGTAACAAAAGCTGATGTCCCCACACCTAGGAGCTTAGGGATAGAACCCAGACCAGATCTCCACCACCCAACTCCAAACCCAGCACCTATCCCACGTCCCCAGACTCCCTCAGGAAGACAAACTAGACACTAGCGTGGATGGAGGCTGGAGCCAGAGGCAGGGGACCGGGAAGGAGGTTGTCCAGGCGAGAGGCAATGAGCCCCTTGGAAGAAACTCATCAATCTCCTAACTCCCAACTCATTTTCCCACGTCAGCATTTTGCTGAGGGAAACATCTGTCACTTCTTCAAGATGAATAACACACCAACACCATTATTAATGTATTCTTAAGTGGTGTTTAGAATCCACTTCATTCTAACCATCATGACATACATCTTTGCTGACTTGTTCGGACCCCAGAGACCTGGCACTGCATGGCTGCTGCGCAAACTGGGTGACCCCTGATCCCCAAGCATGTAGCAGAGGGTCAAGTTCACAGCAGCCTGACAAACAGCAGGAGAATACACCCCCCAACCCCAGTGAGAGAGACCTGACGCCAGTGAGGGCCAGTGAGGTGAGTGATGCCTGCTACTGCTGGTGGGCGTGTCAGGCCATTATTTTGGAAAGTCATCAGCAGGGTACTTTTTTTTTTTTTTTTTTTTGAGGCAGAGTTTTGCTCTTGTTTTCCAGGCTGGAGTACAATGGCGCCATCTCAGCTCACCACAACCTCCACCTCCCGGGTTCAAGAAATTCTCCTGCCTCAGCCTCCTGAGTAGCTGGGATTACAGGCATGTGCAGTCACGCCCGGCTAATTTTTTGTATTTTTAGTAGAGATGGGGTTTCAGCATGTTGGTCAGGTTGGTCTCGAACTTCTGACCTCAGGTGATCTGCCCACTTCAGCCTCCCAAAGTGCTGGGATTAAAGGCATGAGCCACCGCGCCTGGCCAGTCATCTAGCAGGGTACTTTTACTGTCTAAAATGGCACACACTCCTCCCACCTCTGGAAAGGCCTCTTAGAGATGTAACTGGAGATGTGAAAAAAGCTGTGAGTGCCAAAGATGCTCATCGGGGCATTGTTTATAACAGAGAGAAATTGAAGCTTACCCAAGTGTTCAATGAGGTGATGTCCAAGCATAACCTGAAATGGTGATGCAAACTCAGGCAGCTCCACTCTATGGGACATTCTGTGTCTATTCAAAAATGTGGCCTTCAAAAACTACTGTCTGACGATCATTTGATGGGAAAAAGCAGAAGCTTATGAGAGCCCCAGTCAAAAGAATGATTTTTAGCATCAGAGGAATGCCCCAGAGTTCCACGGCCGGAAGCACCATCGAGACACACAAAACCACCAGCTCCTCAGCAGCGTGTGTCTCCTCAACCACACTAAATCCCTCCTGCTTCTCTCTGGCTGCAATGTTCTCTCTCTCTGCAGGCCAGCCTGGCTGCCTTATCTCCAGAGCTTACCCACTACTCTAGCTCAACCTCACAGCTATTTGATTCCATCTTCTCTTCCTGCTGAAAGAAAATGAGAGAGGGATAAAGCAAGAAAAAGAGGGAGGCAGAAAGAAAGGGAGGGAAGGAGGAAAAGAGGGAAGGAAGGAGGAAGAGAAAGAGAGGGAGGGGAGGAGGAAGAGAGGGAGAGGAGAAGGAAAAGAAGGAGAGAAGGAGGAAGAGAGGGAGGGAAGGAGGAAGAGAGAGAGGGATGGATGAAGGGAAAAGGGAAGGAGGAAGAGAGAGAGAGAAGAAAGAAAACAGGGAGGGAAGGAGGAAGAGAGAGAGAGAAGAAAGAAACCAGGGAGGGAAGGAGGAAGAGAGGGAAGGAAGGACAAAGAGAGGGAAGGAGGAAGACAGGGAAGGAGGGAGGGAGAGAAGGAAGGAGGAAGGGAGACAGGGAAGGAGGAAGAGAGAGAAGTAAGGAGGAAGAGAAAGAGGGGAAGAGGAAAAGAAAGAGGAGAGGAGGAAGAGAAAGAGGGGAGGGGGAACAGAGGGAGGGGAGAAGGAAGAGAGGGAAGAAGGAAGGAGGGAGGGAAGAAGGAAGGGAGGGAAAAAGGAAGAGAGGGAGGGGAGGAGGAAGAGAGGGAAGGAAGGAGGAAGGGAGAAAGGAGAAAGAAAGAATTTCTAGAAGGGACAACTGAATTGTCTTGGCTTTGGTCAAGTGACTCCCCTGGTCCTATCAGCTGTGCTGGACCAGGAGGGCTCCCCATAGCACAGCAGGCTCCCGGTAGTTTGGGGTGGGGTAAAGCAGGAGGAAATGACTGATGTCCCAAATCCTAGTACATTATCGCAGGGTGTATTAGTTATCTATTGCTGCATAACAAATTAGCCCCATGCTCAGTGTTTAAAATTACAGCATTCATTATGTCACAGAGGAATTGAGAAGTTTTTCTGGGTGGCTGTGACTCAGAGTCTCTTGTGAGGCTGCAACCAACACGTCAGCCAGGGCTTCCATCTTTGGAAAGCTCAACTGGGCTGGGGACTCTGCCGTCAAGCTCCTCACAGGGCTGTGGGCAGCAGGCTTCGGTTTCTTGTTGGTTATTGGGGTGAGACCTAAGTTTCTTGCCCCACAGGCCTCTCTGTAAGGCTGCTCAGGACAGGACAGCTGGCCCTCCAGTGCAAATGACCTAAAAGAGAGAGAAAACTACCAAGACGGAAGCTGCAGCATCTCTCACAACCTGATCTCAGAAGTGACGCCCCATCAGTACTCCCGTATTTTATCCTTCACACAGACGCACCCTGGTACAGTGTTGGAAGGGATGACACGGGCACGAATCCCAGGAGAAGGGACCACTGGGAGCCATGTTAGAGGCTAGCTAACATACACGGAAAACACTCATTCTACAAAACTGGTTTCAAAAGTGGATATGCTCTACACTTTTTTATTTTTTTTTTATTTTTTTTGAGACAGAGTCTTACTCTGTCACCCAGGCTGGAGTACAGTGGCACTATCTTGGCTCACTGCAACCTCCACCTTCTGGGTTCAAGTGATTCTCCTGCCTCAGCCTCCTGAGTAACTGGGATTACAGGCATGCGCCACCATGCTCACCTAATTTTTGTATTTTTAATAGAGACTGGGTTTTGCCATATTGCCCTGGATGGTCTTGAACTCTTGGCCTCAAGTAATCCACCCACCTCGGCCTCCCAAAGTGCTGGGATTACAGGTGTGAGCCACTGCACCCAGCCTACCTATTTTTAAATAAAAGAATCAAGTAGGGTAAACATAGTCCCAAAGAAAGTCTTCCTTTTAAAAGAAATTGCCTTTGATTACTTCTGCTGGGTCATAGAGGACCTGCCAGATCTGAGATCTGGATGCATGCAGTATGAGGGCTGGGTGACACTCAGCATCCAGCCTCCATGTGCAACCGTCCTCCTGGTCACAGGATGGCCACGGGGCAACAGGCACTTGCACCTCGCCATGGCTGGGGTTCAGACACATGTATGATGTGACTGACTGACTTGGGGCAGGTGCCCAATGGAAACCAGGCAAGACTGCCAGGAGCTGAGGAGGAAAGGCTCCGTAAGAGAAAGCGGAGAGCAGGTCGCAAGCGAGATTCAGTGGCAGGGGCCCCCGGTTGGAGGGGGTCTTGGTTCTGGACACATCTTGACACCTGGTACCAGGACCCGCTCCAGCCCGGCCACCTCAGCAGCAGCAACAATCCTGGGTGGGTAGGCTGAGTGTGGGCAGAGAGAGCTGCTTTGAAGACGGTCCACGCCGCCCTGCCAGGGGACCCATCCTCAAGGAGCGCCCTTCCCCTCTCTCCCTGGCAAGCAGTGAGCTCCCGAAGTGGCAGAGGACTGAGAGCATGGGGGCCCTGGGAGGCAGGACCCCGCTGGGGCAGGACCCCGATGGAGACGCTGGAGGCAGCAGCAGCGGTGGGAGGGGGTGGGGATTCACCCACACTCTTGAGAGGAGAGAAGAATGAACCCAGGAGCTGGAGTTCCCACAGGCGTAGGTGGGGGGCGGAGCCAGCAAGACTTGGATATTAATGCTTACTCTGGTAACGAGGCTTTTATCACCTGATGATTCCTAGAACCACAGAAGCCAAAATAGGCAGGCCTGGAGGAACCTCGTTAGAAATCTAATCCAACCCCACAAGTCTCACCAGCTACTCAAGGGCTTGACCACTCCCAGCAATGGTGAGCTCACTACTCCGTAAGAAAATTCATTCCGTCATTGGACAGTCCTGACAGATAGAAAGCTGTTTCTGAAATCCCTATGGGTACCACTAATTGGCCCTAGTTCTGCCTTCTGGTGCCTCATAAAATAAACCAGCACCCACTCCTCCAATAGTTACCCTCTTCATTGTTCAGATCAGCTCCTCCCAGCACATCACAGACCATCAGAAACCATTTGTTCTTCCACACTGCAGTGTGAGCCACACTGCATAGCACTACACACCCCCTAGAATGGTCAAAATGAAAAAGGCCGGCCATGCCAAGTGTTGGTGAGGATGTGGAGCAACAGCGACTTTCACACACACCAGTGGGAATGCACGGCCACCCTGGAAAGCAGTCTGCCCCACCCAGCCCTTCCACTGCTGAGTATTTACCCAAGAGAAACAAGAACATGCCCCCAAAGGCACACGCACATTAATGTTTGTCGCCACTTGCTTATAATAGTCAAAAATTGAAAACAACCCAAATGTCCATCCACAGGTGAATGGAAAAACAAATTGTGATATATCCATGCAGCAGAGTACTACTCAGCAATAAAAAGGAACACCCAGCAACAGGGATACATCTCAAGAAACAGGGCTAAATCTCAGGAAAGAGTTCACTGAATGAAGAGAGCTAGACAGAAGTCTAATACTCTGTGCTTTCAATTATAGAAACCCCTAGAAAAGGAAAAGCGATCTAGAGGGCAAGAAAACAGATCAATGCTGGCCTGGGAATGGGAGTAGGGGAAGGGATGGACCGCTAAAGGGAATGAGAAGAAGTGGGGAGATATGGAAATGGTAGTACACTGATTGTGGGACACTTTCGCAGGTGTCAAAACTCACCAGGTTTTGTGCTTTAAGTAGGGCAAGTTGTACACATAGAATACATACGATATATTTTAGCATGTTTCTTAGAAGCTCTAACATGCCGTTCCTTAATTGAATGCTCTAACAACCTGGTCCAGCCGAAGGCCTGGCTTATGAGCTGTTTGTAATTAGCACATGGAGGGGCCTGAACGGCAGGAACTAACGGAGCACCCTCTCTTTAGCAGGTTTGGCCTTGTTAATGTTTGACTCTGGAAACTTTCTTCCAATGCTTTCCAGCAAGTTAATGGCAGAGCCAGGACGTAAACCCAGGTTTCCTGGTTCCCAGGCCAGTTATCCAGTCCCACAATGTGAGAAGAAATAGAAACCAGCGCTTGTGGAGTGCTTCATGGTTCTCCAAGCTGCTTGACATCTGTAATCTGATTTCCTGGATTAATCCCATTTAACACACTCGAGTGTGTCATGGATGAGACGGGGCCGGGAGCACATGCAACGTGTTTATTTATGGCAGGCATCTACTCTGATGGCTTGAGGCCCAGGCCAGGCCAATTGTTAAGTATCTTGAATAACCCTCCTGGGTTAAGCATTCTGGGTTTTGGAGTCAGATAGATCTGGGCTGGAATCCAGGCACTACTATTTACTAGTAGAAGACCTTGAGCAAACCATTTAACCCCTTTGCACCTCAGTTTTCTCTTCCATTAAATGGGGATGGCAGCAATAAACTCCTTATATCGCTGCTGGGATGATTCAGTGTGGTCACAGCATCAGGCATGTGATAAACCCTCCAAGTCTGGCAGCCATCATGAGCCCCATTACTACTATTAATCCTCACACTACTCTTTTGAAGTGAGTCCTATTACATTCCCATTTTACAGAGAAAGAAACCCAGGCTCAGAGAGGCAAAACGACCTGCCCAATATTACACCATAAATAAGTGGCAGAGCCAGGACTCGACCTCAAGTCTCCTGTATGGCTGCAAAGCCAGCTCTCTCTTCGTGGCCCGCCAGGACTCGACCTCAAGTCTCCTGCATGGCGGCAAAGCCAGCTCTCTCTTCGTGGCCCCACACTGCCTTCTGCTTGGGCTATGAAAGTGCTCAAGGGGCCTAAGATGTGAAGGCATAATCAAAGTGCCCTCACATCCCACCCAGTTACAGCTAGAGCTGAAGGAAGCCAAGGCCTGGGCAGGCTGATGCGGCCGAGACCAGGTCAGTCTCCTCTCTGGATCCTAGGCTCTGCCACTTTAAAAACCAGGACGAGGCTGAGCACAGTGGCTCACACCTGTAATCCCAGCACTTTGGGAGGCTGAAGCAGGTGGATCACCTGAGGTCAGGAGTTCAAGACCAGCATGACCAACGTGCTGAAACTCCATCCTACTAAAAATACAAAATTAGCTGGGCGTGGTGGCACATGCCTGTAATCCCAGCTACTCGGGAGGCTGAGGCAGGAGAATCACTTAAACTTGGGAGGCAGAGGTTGCAGTGAGCTGAGATCGCACCACTGCACTCCAACCTGGGTGAAAGAGTAAGACTCCTTCTCAAAAAAAAAAAAAAAAAAAAAAAAACCTCAAGGGGAACTCAGGTCCTGATACATGTGACAGAGGCTAGAATAGTGGTCACCTTCCTTGTAGGGAGGTGGCACAAGTGAGACCCTGGACACAGGTGATAGTCACAGTTTTATACATATATAAAAATCCATCTAAGATTTGCATACCTAGGCCAGGCACAGTGGCTCACGCCTGTAATCCCAGCACTTTGGGAGGCTGAGGCGGGCAGATCAACTGAGGTCAAGAGTTCAAGAGCAGCCTGGCTAACATGGCGAAACCCCATCTCTACTAAAAAATACAAAAATTAGCCGGGCATGGTGGCAGATACCTCTAATCCCAGCTACTAGGGAGGCTGAGGCAGGAGAATCGCTTGAACCGGGGAGGTGAAGGTTGCAGAGAGCCAAGATCGTGCCACTGCACTCCAGCCTGGGCGAAAAAGCAAGACTCCGTCTCAAAGAAAGAAAAAAAAAAGCTTTCCACACTTTACTGTATGAAAATTAGACTTCAATAAAAAATAAAAAATAAAAAAGGCCGGGCGCGGTGGCTCATGCCTGTAATCCCAGCACTTTGGGAGGCCGAGGCGGGCAGATCACGAGGTCAGGAGATCGAGACCATCTTAGCTAACACGGTGAAACCCCGGCTCTATTAAAAATACAAAAAAAATTAGCCGGGCGTGGTGGCGAGCGCCTGTAGTCCCAGCTGCTAGGAAGGCTGAGGCAGGAGAATGGCATGAACCCAGGAGGCGGAGCTTGCAGTGAGCCAAGATCGCACCACTGCACTCCAGCCTGGGTGACAGAGCGAGACTCCGTCTCAAAAAATAAAAAATAAATAAGAAAAAGAAACAAACCTCAATCTTTACCCAAATGTCCAGGCACACATGTGAGCACATAGGTGAACATACGTGCACACTCATGCACTCTCTAGCTGCACCTGCTCCAACAACAGTACCCCTAGACAGCCCCCCGCCACAGTGGACAGCAAAGCCCACCATGCGGATACAGGCACTTTCCAAACTCACCCTCACACACTGTGACCTTTGCAGAGCCAGGTACCCACTTGAGCACAGGCACACGTGGTCTTGGAGACACCTGGGGGATTTTCAGCCCTAGTTTGTAGCAGGGGTTCCTGGAGAAATATGCAACATTGGGCCAGGCACAGTGGCTCACGCCTGTAATCCCAGCACTCTGGGAGGCCGAGGCGGGCGGATCATGAGGCCAGGAGATCGAGACCATCCTGGCTAACATGGTGAAACCCGTCTCTACTAAAAATACAAAAAATTAGTTGGGCTTGGTGGCAGGCACCTGTAGTCCCAGCTACTCAGGAGGCTGAGGCAGGAGAATGGCATGAACCCAGGAGGCGGAGCTTGCAGTGAGCCGAGATTACGCCACTGCACTCCAGCCTGGGCGATAGAACGCGATTCAAAAAAAAAAAAGAAAGAAAGAAATATGCAACCTCGACAGCAACTTGGCTGACACAGGGACCGGCCCCTCCCCGCCAGGATTTCCAAAAGGAGAAGACATTTCCTCCAGCCTGTGGCTGGGCTGCTGGAGGAGGCCATGGCCTTGATGCCGCTTCAGCAGGTTTCTCATCAGGCCAGCAGGTGTCCCATGCAGCCTGCAGCACCTGGGGATCTGGGGAGAGGAGAACCCAGAGTCCTGGGAGGATCAGGAGGTCCCCTGCCTTGGTCATCCCCCCTTCTGGGCCAAGACTATGCTAGATCAACCTTGGGGTCAGCCAGTGAGTGCATGAGTCCCCAGGAGGCCAGGACTGGGGAGCCCTGGAGGCAGGAGGTCAAGTTCATTGTGGCAGTATGGGAAAGTGGTTACATGGGTGAGCTTTGGAGCAGGAGAGCCCTGCTCAGCAAGGCTGCCCCAGCAATGCCATTTATTAGCTGTGTGACCCTGGACGCATTACTTAACCTCTCTGGGCCTCAGTTTGCCCACCTATCAAATAGAGATGATAACATTACCTGGTAGGAAAATATTACATGGTGGGTAAGGAGGTGGGGAGAGAGTTAAATGGCATCAGACTCATGCCCCTGGGCATAGTAAGTACTTAACAGTGTGAGTCATTTTTATCAAAGGCCCAAGGACAGGAAGAGGCCTCTAGATATTGAGTATCTTGTGGATTGCAAAGTGACAGCCACGAGCTCAAATGCAACCCACAAATGGGCTTTGTTTGGCCTACACAGTGTCTTTCTTTCTTTCTTTCTTTTTAAATTGTTGCCAACATTTAAAAATCAGATTTCACATTTAAAAATCCAAATTTTCTGCTTCTCTTGAAAAGTTCAAAGATTTGGCAATACTGGGCCTGCATTCCCGCCTGGCCATCATCAGCCAGAGCTGAGTGGCCACTGCCCAGCTCAGTCCAGCCCTCCCGGTTCCACCCGCCTCCTCCCAGTTCCTGCCTGGCCCCAGGCGCTGGAGTTTGCAAACCCCTCACAACCCACCAGCACCTGGTCCCATGCCTTCATGATGCACATGGACAAATGGGGCTCTAGAGGAGATCCTAGGGGCACAGCCTCCCCCGGGGTCACAGCAAGTCAGTGCAGAGATGGCAATCAGACTTGGGTCACCTGATTTCCAGTCCTTCCTGAGCACTGGTTAAATGCCAAGGAGGAAACTGGCCGGGCCCTCAAAAGTGCCTGCGTCTACAGCACTTGCTGGGGAGTCAGGGTCATTGCTGGGCATGGGACTTCCTTCTCTGAGTCTCAGTGTCTTCATCTGTAATACAGGATAATCATAATCCTCCCTCATAAGGCAGTTGTGAGGATGAAATAAGTTAAAAGAAGTAGAGATCTCAGAGCAGTGCCCGGCACACAGTCATTGCTTGATAATACCAACATCATTCTTGTTCTCAGTAACTCCTGGCGCACACATTGTGTGCTCATGACCTTTTTGGTTCCTAACAACCAGCTGTGATGTCACTCTCCTTAGCCCCATCTAACAGATGAAGAAACCAAAGCCCAGTAAGACCCACATAGCCAATGAGGGATGGAGCCAGGATTGGGGATTTCAAGCCAGGGTCATCTGGCTCCAAATTATCATGCACTAGAAGCCTCTGCACAGTCCACACATAAATCACATAAATATTGAGGGCCTACTATGTGCTGGACACTATTACAGGCACCAGAGACATGGCTGGGAACACAAGAGACAAGGTCCCCAGCCTGAAGAGGCTCACAGCCTGAGAGATGGGGGTGGGGCAACAAACAGTCAACAAATCACTCAGGCTCTGGTGGTGTCAGGTGCTAGGATGTATTGGAAAGTGCCTCAATCTTCCCCCAGATGTCCAGGCACACATGTGAGCACATAGGTGAACATACTTGCACTCTCCAGCAGCACCTACTCCAACAACAGTGCCCCAGACAACAGGGGTCAGGCATGGTGGCTCATGCCTGTAATCCCAGCATTTTGGGAGGCCCAGGTGGGAGGATCCCTTGAACCCAGGAGTTCAAAGTTACAGTGAGCTATGATTGTACCACTGTACTCAGCCTGGGCAACAGAACAAGACCCTATCTCAAAAAAGAAAAAGGGAGGAAGAAGGAAGGAAGGAAGGGAGGGAGGGAAGGAAGGAGGGAAGAAAGAAAGAGAGAGGGAGGGAGGGAAAGACGAAAAAAAGAAAGAAAGGAAAGAAAGAAAGAGAGAAAGGAAAGGAAAGGAAAGAAAGAAAGAAAGAAAGAAAGAAAGAAAGAAAGAAAGAAAGAAAGAAAGAAAAGAAATGAAAAGAAAAGAGAGAGAAAAAGAAAGAAGGAGGGAGAGGGAGAGAGGGAGGGAAAGAAAGAGAAAAAAAGAGAGAGAAAGAAAGAAAGAAAGAAAGAAAGAAAAGAAATGAAAAGAAAAGAGAAAGAGAGAAAGAAAGGGAGGGAGAGGGAGAGAGGGAGGGAAAGAAAGAGAAAGAAAGAAAGAAATAAAAGGGAAAGAGGGAAGGAGGAAGGAAGAAAGAAAGAAAGAGAAGGAAGGAAGGCAGGCTGGCTGTCGAGAGGCACAGTAGGTGCCTTGCTATAGTAGTCAGAGAGACTGCCCCAGGGAGGTGACATTAGACAGGGACCTGAGAGCTGAGAAGGAACAGGCAATGCAACAACTGAACCCAGCAGCAGGAAGAGCCGCGGTGCAGGCTCCCTACTGGAATGAACTTGGTGTTCTCCAGGCATGGAAGGAGGGCCAGTGCAGCTGGAGCAGAGTGAGGAGGAAGGCCTAGGAGCAATAAAGTCAGACAGGGAGATGGGTCCCGACTACCAAGCACCAGAGCAGCCAGCTAAGAAATACTAATACCTTCCGCCCTTCACCCAGGGCCCACGGTGTGCCAGACGCGGCACTGGGCACTCTTCCTGCAGTGCCTCATTCGCCCTCTCCACGCATCTATGCTTCATTGGCCCCATTTGTCAGGTGAGGGCACAGAGGCCTAGAGAGAGGCAGGCACTTGCCTGAGGCCACCCTACTGGGAAAGATGGGTGCAGGCCTGGAACTCCCATCTGCACTCTAAGCCAGGCTAAGCCAGGCCCTCCTTGCCCACCATCAACCAGGAACAGACCGCAGTCTTACTGGCCTTGATGTGATCCATACTGGAAACAAAGGGTCACTTCCTAGCCAAGGCAGGCCTCCTCCTGGTCTTATGGCCCCATCCCTAGTAAACCCAGTCTCCCAGCTGATGGACATGGCATACCCAGCACACACACAGTGCCTATGTACACACACACACATGCACACACACATACACAGCCACCCTGCCAGGAGGATGATATAGAAAACAGTGCTCTCCACAGAGGATGAGCTTCCAGGCATCAGGTCACTGTGGTCTTCCCAAGCTCCTCATCTCATCGAGGGCACAACCCATCATCTAGGCCAGAAGCTTGAGCACTGTCCTCAACTTGCTTCTCTCTTACCCTCCCCATTTCTCATCGCCTATGAAGCCTGCCCATTCTGAGCCCATCCGGGCTTTGGCACCCATGGCTATCTTCTGTTGGGGCTCTAAAGGTAAGGGTCTTTCCTGCTTTCATGTCCTCTCACCTGCCACCACCTTTGCTGGAGAACCAAGGGCCAGGCGATAGTGGCAGCCGCTGGGGACTTAGGAGTGGAGAAAGGAAGAGCTTTAAAGGAAGATCAGAGCAGTAGGGGGGTGATGTCACCAGCCCAGGACACCTACTGATTGATGCCAACATCACCCTTCAAGACACACACACACAAACACACACACACACACACACACACACACACACACACACACACTCATCTTGAGCTCCTGTTTCATGGCTATCAGGTTGCAATGCCGCTGCTCCAAGACAAAACAGGAAATCCCACGACTAAGCCAGCCAGATGGGGCAAGGGGCTGAGAATCTGAAACCCCCTCTGCTCTCTGCAGTCACCCTCCACCCCCCATCCCACCTCCTGCAGGCTGGAGCTCCGTGGCCAGAACCCTCCCTGGGCACCTCCCTACCCCAGGCACTGCCAGCCCAGCCTCTATTGGATTCAGGGGCCCGAATTCCTGCCCTGTGCAAGCTCCCTGCCCCACACAGGGCCTCATGTCTCCATCGGGAAGTCAGGGGTGGGTGATTTCTGAGGGTCTTTCCAGTTGAGATACTCCAGCTTTTATGGACATTTGCCTCCCAAAGACACGGGGGCTGGGAGTCCCCAAAGTAGAAGTTGCAGTCCGCGGAAAGGCCAGCAGAGGGCACCCGCGCTTCGTTTGCAGGAGGTCCGCGTCGAGCGACAGGCGACAGGGTTGGGAAGAACGCTGGAAACGCTGGGGCTTTGCTTGTACCCCTGACCCATTCCGATTTTCATAAAGCTCCGCATAGTTCCACGGGCAGGCCTCTGTGCCTTCGCACATGCAGCTCCCCTGCCAGCCTGCAAAACTCAACCAGGGATCTCAGCCCTAGGGAGGCCTCTCCTGACCCCTCTCCTCTGCTGCCTCTGGATCCACAGTGCCCGCTGCAGATCTGACTCCAGCAGGGACCAACCGCGGGTGGATGGAAGGATGGACGAAGAAAGCCAGCTACAAGCAGCTACGTGGTCGTTCTCTAGAAACAAATAATTTGACGTGGAAAACTGCTGGGGAGGAAAATCATTTTTAAAATGTAAAACACTCACTGAGGTCTAAGGGCTGGCACCATGATCTTACTTAATCCTAACCAAACGCCTTGTTGGGGTGGGTGGTATTACCCCCATTTTACAGAGAGGGAAACTGAAGCTTAAAGACAGCAAGTGGGCCTGGCACGGTGGCTCATGCCTGTAATCCCAGTACTTTGGGAGGCCAAGGCGAGAGGATCACTTGAGCTCAGGAGTTCGAGGCCAGCCTCAAACTAAAAATACAAAAAATAAGGCTGGGCGCAGTGGCTCACGCCCATAATCCCAGCACTTTGGGAGGCCGAGACGGGTGGATCACCTGAGATCAGGAGTTCAAGACCAGCCTAACCAACATGGTGAAACCCCCGTCTCTACTAAAATACAAAAATTAGCCAGGCGTGGTGGCAGGTGCCTGTAATCCCAGCTACTCAGGAGACTGAGGCAAGAGAATCGCTTGAACCCAGTAGGCAGAGATTGCAGTGAGCTGAGACTGTGCCATTGCACCCCAGCCTGGGCAACAAGAGAGAAACTCCATCTCAAAAAAATAACAATAATAAATATAAATAAATAAATAAAACAGCTGGGGGGCTGGGCACAGTGGCTCACACCTGTAATCCCAGCACTTTAGGAGGCCAAGGTGGAAGGATCACCAGAGGTCAGGGGTTTGAGACCAGCCTGACCAATGTGGTGAAACCCCATCTCTACCAAAAATACAAAATTAGCTGGGCATAGTGCCGCATGCCTGTAATCCCAGTTACTTGGGAGGCTGAGGCAGGAGAATCACTTGATCCCGGGAGACAGAGGTTTCGGTGACCTGAGATCGTGCCATTGCACTCCAGCCTGGGCAACAAGAGCAAAACTCTGTCTCAAAAAAAAAAAAAAAACCAGTTGGGCATGGTGGTGTGCGCCTGCAGTCCCAGCTGCTACTTGGGAGCCTGAAGTGGGAGAAACACCTACACCCAGGAGGTCGAGGCTGCAATGAGCTATGATCAAGCCACTGCACTCCAGCCTGGGGGACAGAGGGAAACCCTGTCTCAAAACGATAAAAATAAAAGAGAAAGAGAGAGCAAATACATTGTCCAAGGTCACCCAGCAATGTGGGAAAAGCAGGATTCTAACTCCAGTCTGTTTCACTCTTCATTCTGCTATGACCTAAGACCCAGCTCTGAGCTCAGCCCTGTCCTGATCCCTAGCAGAGTCCTCTGGGCGATCCTAAGGCACAGACAAGTGCAGACAGGTCCCAAACAGTCTGGCAGCCCTGGGTCCGAGGTTTTCCCTCAAAATTCTATCAACTCAACCTAACCCGAATTCTAGCCTAATGCTGACTCTACTAATAAACACTACTATTTACAAAGTGCCATGTGCCAAGTACTAACACTTTGGATGCAACATTTTGTGATCCTCAATAGAACCTGATATGAGGCATAGTATCCCCATTTTACAGATAAGGTGAGTAAGATTCTGAGAGGTGAACGCATTGCCCAAGGTCACACAGCTAACAGATAGCAGAGGCAGGACTCAAACCCAGC